>NC_000006.12:81398261-82023261 GCF_000001405.40 Homo sapiens | reverse complement strand
AGGTCCAGTCTGATGAGAAGAGGAAATCAAATGAGGAGGAATAGAGACTAGTCATTGGCAGTTTCACCAACTAAGCCAGTGGAATTCTGCTACTTCTCATGAAATGGATATGGAAAGATCATGGGCCTTAGAAACCAGGAAGCCTGTGTTCTAGACACAGCTCTGCTACTAACCAGTTACATTGCTTTGAACAAGTCATTTCATGTCTTTGGGCCTCAGTTTCTGGAACAGAGATCAGATGATATGTGACACTCCTTCCAGTTTTAACATTCCGGGACCATAGGTCAGGTGATTCATTTGATTAGTAATTCTTACAGTGCTCTGGAGGGGGAAATCCTTTCATGTGGACTTTTTCTTAACACCTAGGATGGAAGTTTCTTAACAAAAAATTTGCCCCTTATACACTGTTAGAGGAAGTAATCCAGGAGTCAGCTAATACTAAGAGAATATCAGAGTTCAACTGTCTAAGACATGTAGCCACTTCTACTCATCAGTGTTGGCATTCCTGTTCTATGAGTCATTTCAGGAAATCTTAGCTGCTTTCATGAGGGCACAGTCCCTGCACCCTGCTCTCCTTTTCCCTTGCTTTTCTTCCTCTGTCTGTTTGGCAATGGTCTGTCCTGTAGCATGTTATTGAATAGATCGGAAGATATTTATCAGGGGTTCCATGAAGTGCCCTGCTCTATGCTGGGACACTGGAATTCACGATGGTTGACAGCTGTTTCACCCTGTGAAACATATTCTGGCTGAGGAGATAAGACCCAAGCACGTGAAATCTTAGCAAATAACATAAAAGAATATATAGTGATGTTCCAAACTGAGAAGTAAAGACAAATACTCTAGGATTTCAGCAGTAACAGGTCATCATAGACCTGTAGAGCAAGTGGGATTTGAACTGAGCCTTGAACATTGGATCAAAATTTGGGAGAAGTCTCTCAATCAAAAATGGGTAGCATCAGACTTGGCAGCGAGAAGGAACTTGCTTTGGCTTTGTTGGTCATTTGCTGATTCCATCTTTTTGGTGAACTTTCAGTTCATTGACCGTTCCCTTTCTCAGTTTGATGCATCCAATTTCTCTCCATAAATCCATAGTTCCTCATATATTATACAGATATCTGAATGAATACAGATATCAGTTTATATTTAAAAATAACCTGAAGCCCTCTTTATGTTTGGAGGTGAGGTTGCAGAGTCAGCTGCTCAGATTGCCAAACCACGTGCACTATTGACTCTTCCAGATACTCTCAGGGATTTGCCATATTATGTTAAAAACAGCTCTTTGCAATTTTTATTGCACACTTGTTATGTGTTGATAAGCATGCATTCCAAAATAGCATTTCTTCTGCCCATACCTTTTACATGTTGCATATAAAACCATATTGCAATCAGATAAAACTATATTCTAAAATGGGATGGCAATGCCTTTCCATTGATAGCAATGCGAAGCTGGGTTTGAGGTGGGATTATACTTCAGGAAGAGACAAAATTCTCACTAGAAAGTTAGTGTAGATAACTCTAGGACTGAGGAGGGTGGGCAGCATATGACTTAATTTAAACACTAACCCAGGATCCTCAAAATGTATACGATTGACTCTATGCACTGACCTTGGAACTGCAAGGTTCAGACTCACAGTGTGCTGGGATAATCATCACTTGGCTGCTTATGTCCTCACTAATTTGTATTTCTTAAAATGCAGAATGTTTCAGGTGGAGAGTGAATCTTCCTGCATAGCACTCTTTGGGAAACTGTCAGAATAGAAAATACTTTGACAGTTTCCATTTTTATGAAATTGATGGGGGCTGAAGGTACACACATATGCAAATTATTTAATAAAGCTTATGGAGAAGTCTATAAACCAGAAAAACTTAATTACATAATAATAATGACTGTATGTTGAATGCTTACTGTGTCCCAGGTACTACTGAAGTTCACAAGAGCAGAAAGAGGTGTAGGATTAGCAGAGAAGAGTGAACTTGTAAATCTGGACCTTCAGAATGCTCTCTTCTAATATTCTTTTCCCCTCCTCACTTGCCCTTCAGATATGTTCATCCTTCAAATCCAAGTGATCTCATTCTTCAGATAATTCTTTAACATCTAGAACTTCACTATCCTATATAAATGACACTAGCTGGCTATTTAAATCTTTTTTTGCCCATTTTATTTTTATTTATTTTTTAAAATTGGCACAAATGTATAAGGTACATATGCAATTGTGTTATATGCATAGATTGCATAGTGGTCACATCAGGGCTTTTAAATTAAATTAAATGAAAAATTTAGTTCCTCAGTTGCATTAGCCATATTTCAACTATTCAATAGCCACATGTAGCTAGTGGCTATCATATAGAACACTTTACAGATATAGAAAATTCTATTGAACAGCATTGACTAGACTACAGATCTCTGTAAAACATAGCTTCTTTTATAATGGTCAGTGTACTTGAATTACTTATATTGCCCCATCTTGCCCACCAGATTGTACATCCCATAAAGTAGGGACTTTTCTATCTTCCTAACTAAACATGGTATATCCGTTATCCAGCATAGTGTCTAGCATGTCTGGTGTCTGATGCACAATAATATTTTTGATAATTCACCAATGCATAGGAGGAAATTTATTACTGTCTGGATGAGTCAGAAATTGTCTCCCAGAAGAGAAAAGATTTGGGTTGGATTTTGAAGGACAAATATGAGCTTGTCAGCTTGAAAAAGAGATAGGCATTCAGGAAAACAGACCAGCACAGTCAAAGACAAAATCATTATAGGTTATGTTTAAGAAAAAGATCAAGTAAGAAGTTCATGGTGGCTGAAGCAGAGTTTGTATGTGTATAGAGTGGGTGTACTGAGGTGCAGAGAATGGTCTGGGAGTGGGTTTATGTAGAAGATGTACAGTTGGAGACAGATAGTGAAGGAGATTTTTGTTATATAATAATTTTAGACTATTTTCTGTAAAGGTGACAGGCACCACAAACAGTTACAGGAAGGAGATTGGTATGTTCAGATTATACCAATTCATTCATTTATTTTAGGAGCATAATTATGGGAGCAATGTGGAAGATGGAATAAACAGGAGAGAAACAAGAACAGAAAAATAAGCTATTTTCTAGTTGTGATACCTGCAGCTATAAAGGAAAGGCTGCAATCAGGGAATAGTCCTGAGGTAGAATAGACAGGATTTGCTAGCTTGTTAATAAGGTGGACGGTGACAAAATGAACAGAGATTATGAATATGGAAGGAGAAACATATTTGGAAAAGAGAATAATTGATTTGATGTGCTCAAAGGCAATACAGTGGGTTAGGAAATTGGCAATATACTTGTGGATCCCAGGAGAGAGGTCCAGGCTGGAGATACAGATTGAGGGGTACAGTTGCCAGCTTTTAGACTGATGGAAGCAATGGGAAGCTCATGAAGAGGCTTGAAACTTAACATGGAAATGAAAGTCAGATACTAGAGAATGCTAACATTTAAAATATCTAAACAGAATAAAAAGCCAATGAAGCTGGTAGAGAAGGGGCAATCATAGGCGCAAAAAAATTTAAGAAGTAGAAAGCAGTTGATAGAAGTCACGAAAGACTAAATGTTGGTCATTAATATCTAGAAATATAGTAATAACAAACCCTGCATTCTTTTCATAGTCTTTAGCATGGTCAACATTGATGCTACATCAATGAAGTCAATACCTAGGTAAATATTTTCCAGCACTAGTGGACTTTCTTTCCTATTTTTCTTTGGTTAGAAACTATTCTCCTGTTCTTCTCTGTCAAAAGTAGAAAACTTACAGCTCATTGTGAAAAATATCTTTGACTGATAGGAACTTCACATTGTGTTTGTTTTAGGGGCATTTCATAGGAATCATTTATTTCCAGAGATAAGTATTTAAAACTGAAATTTTGGCTTTAAATCTGATTTGGAAGCCATTGATATGGGAAGACCATGGTCTTCCGGCATCCTTAAATGTTTAATTCAATAGTTGGCTCCTGATTTTAGAAGGGCGATTGACCTAGGGTAGAGCTAGAGGAGAACTACTAGGATAATCCTAGTAGCCATTGAAGGACAAAACCTTAAGCCATGTTATAGTTTGAAAGATCCAGGATTGTAAACATGAGATGATACCTAACAGATAGCTGAGGGTGTTAAGTAGAGAAAGGACTGAATTTACTCTGTGGCACCTTAAAAGAGAACCGTGAAAGAGGGGTGACATGCTAAAGGGAGGCTGATTGTGTTTCTTATGTTGGACTGTCAGTTTCTTGAGAGTAGGATGTTTTATCATCTAACTCCGTCACTGGGCAATGCTTGACAGATAAAGAAAGTTTTAATATCTGTCTGTTGTACTAGTAAATTGAACCACTCAAATAATTAATTAATTAATCATTCATCCTGCAAGCTCATGAGTTGCCTGTATTAGAACTATTTGAACAGAAGTTAGATTTATCCTTAAAAGAGTGCGTTAGACTCCATGCGTGGGGGAGGGCTGTATTGGAGGACTTTGATGAATTCCTTCTCCACTTTGCTATAGTCGTATGCAATGACACTTGTGATGGCTGGAAACTTGAACTTCAAACATGCGCTGTCTGCAAGTGTTAAGGGGTAAGAAGAAGGAAATGATAAGAAAATGATGAGTTTTGTAGAGATCTGGCATTCATATTGCCCACCTGTAACTCAGGCATTCGACACACAAAAACTCACCATCACACAAGTAAGTTTAAGAAAATAACCACAGAACGTGCTGAGTCTCTTGGATGCCCCTGACTTGTATCCTTCACTTGAATGCACCCAACCTTATTCCTGGAATGTGCTTTTTTTCTGTGTCCCAAATGAGAACAGATTAGTTGGGTAAGAACATATCTCAGACCTTTAGCGTGGCTCAGAGAAACACTGGCATAGTTGATTCAGGAACTAGGAGCTATGTCTTGGGTGCATTAAAAAACAAAAACAAAAAACTATAAATACCTAAAGAAAAGTCTGATGGTTTTGCTGTTCAGTTTTGGCAGAGTTGAAATTAGCTGTAAGGAATCTGGAAATGTGATAATTTGGAAGATAATGAAGTCTCAAGATGCTCAGGACTTACCTGTCAAGGTGCTGACATCTTTGGAATTCTATCTTCAGTGCCATTTCCAAGTTCTAAAGAGAATATAGGCAAGAGTTCAAGCTGAATCTTATTCTTGTCCCTGACCTCCAGAAAATTACTAGTATACTAAAAATAAAATTTCTATTACCATGGTAGTCATAAGAGACAGTAGCGAATGGTTGAAAGCATGGGTTCTGGCGGTTGCCAAACTAGATTTGACTGGGGGCCCAGCTTTGTGATTTTTGGCAAGTTGCTTATCCGCTCTCCAAACTTTAAATTCTTCATCTGTTAAAATGAAAATACTAATACCTACATCATAGGGTTGCCTTTGAGAGTAGAATTAATTATTATTAATTCTATACAATGGAATTAACTTATAAACTGATTCTTCAACACAGAATATTTTTGGAGCACTCAATATGGTAATTTTCATGTGGATTGGATAGATTAATCATACCCAGAATGGGCAGAAATATTTTGCAATGCTCACAGGGGAGACTGAGAAATCCCAAATCAAATCTAAAAACTTTACAATGGCATGAGATTCCTGCTTGCTCTGTCCCCTTCTCCTGTTGCCTATTGAAATGACTGGGAGAGCTGTTAAGCAAGTGCTTAACTCCTCAGGGATTGATGAGTCAGAGTCAGCAAAGAGGACTCTGCTAAGCCTCTGTGACCCTGAGCCCTCCCTTCTCCCAGGTTATGACTGATTCTTGCCCAGTTTTGCATTATTTCACCATGGAGACAAATGTTCTAAAGAGGGAAGGAGGATTTGCTGGGCTTGTTTATTGCTGTAATAACATCTGTCAGGTGTTAAGCAACTACCTTCTCTCCAGCTGCCCCCTTTCCTCCTGTTCCTTTGAATAAGCCTAGATAGTTACCCCAAATACCATTTCTACTGTAGATAGGAGAGTTGCCTCCAAGATTGGTCCTTGGTTGCCAGCTGTGAAAATACTGCCACATCTCCAGTGACACACTATTGTGCAGTGTTTATAACCTGGGGTTAGGCATCAGACTCAACAAGGTTTCCATCTCAGCTCTAGTTACCAACTTAACTTCTCTTACTTTCAGTTTCTCATCCATAAAATAGGATAATAATAGCTTATATTTGATGAAATTAGAGGAGATTATGGCTTTGTAGTAACCATTTCACGTATGTTAGCTTCTAAGATCATTATTATTAAAAATGTTCTCTGGAGCTTTAAATTTATTTTTGGAACTACTTATTCTGGATTCCAAACAGCCCTGGTAGGAGTATAAACTCTGAAAACTACTGGCTCAGGCTCCTGGCTATCTCCAGATTTATGTACATGCCTCTCTTAGTAGGCAAAGTGTCTGGCCAAACTATTGATTGAATGACTCTGTATCAATTATCTTTTGTTGCAGTTATTATTCCTGATGAGACTGTTGGCTAGCTAGATAGTTTTGGGTTCTGCTTATCTGATCTTTGCTTAGTTCTGCTGAGCTCAACGATGCATCTTATGTCTGCTGTTGGGTCAGTTAGAAACAGGCTGATATAGAATAGTGTCACTCACATGGCTGGCTATCAGTTTGGGTGATATGGAGGATGGGACTGTGTATTTCTTCTCATCCAGCAGGCTAGCCTAGGCTTATTTTCATGCTAGAAATTGGGTTCTGAGACAAGAGAGAGGTAAAGCATGCAAGGTTTCTTGATTGTACCCCATCATATTGCATTCTGTTGGCCAAAGCAAGTCACAAAAGCGAGCCCAGGCATAAGAAGCATGAAAATAGACCTCAACTAGCAAAGGACGGATATGCAAAGGCATATTGCAAAGGGTATGGATACAGGGAGTTGTGAACACATAGGGCCATCAGTTTACCATGTACTCACCGTAAAGTAATCATTAGCCCTGGGCATCAATATTCTTGACTCAATAACTGGAACATAAAACTGAACTATTAATCCACTATATTCCATTCAATGTGTTGAAATTGTTGCCTTCTTTCAGTGTTTCAACAACCATTTTCCCAGTGTAGGTGCAAAGGAAGATGAACATAGTATTCTGAATAGGTCAGAGTTTCTGCTCTTTCCTTCTTTTCCACTCTTCCTTTTCACCCACAATCCTGCCTACTACTGAATGTTCTTTGAACTCAGTGATCTTCTCTATTCTGCAGAGTGTAAATCAAGTGTAGAAATAGGTAGGGCAAAAATATGAGAGTAGAATTTAAACTTCTAGAAGTTCTTTCTTCCACATTTGCTCTTGGAATCACTGCATAGTCAAAGTAATGCACAGTTGTCACTTGCCATTCAGTTTTGAGAAATGAGTCTCTCTTTTTCTTATTTCCCTCTCATGCCTATTGCCAATATTTATTTTTCACCATGGAATGGTTGTTGTGAAATTTTTCCTACACTGAGTACTTTTTAAGTTTTTTTATAGCACATAGACCCACTATGGCTAGCATCTCATGGCTCACTTCCCATTAGACATTTGTGAACATGGTCTTTGGATGGTACTTAAGTTTTCTGGAGTGGCAGCGTAAACAGGAATGGAAATTCAGAACAAAGCATCAGAAGGAAATGCTGTGACGTGGGGCATGATGTTCAAGGACCAGTGAAACAAAGGCAAAAACACACAAAGAGTGACCCTGGAATGATTGATTTCATCAACAAGTATGAACCTCAGAGAATTAAGATTACAAAGTGCCATGAAAAGCCAGAAGTGTGATGCCTTTGTGCACCCAAAGACTTTACAATCTGGTTGTTAAGGCAGATCCTGATAGAAAAATATACAATGATATAAGAAGATCATTAAGGGCAGAATTGAGAGGGGTGGTCTGTAAAGAACAAAGTATTATAAGGATGGCTTGGAGTGGCCGAGAAAGGTTGACAGACTCTGGTAAACTGAAAACCCAGGTTATTTCTGAACTGACTCAGAATGGCTGTGTCACCAAAAAAAGGACAAAGGAGTCAAGGAGACTATGTGTACTTCCTTAATTATTTTTATGGTTTGCTGATTCATAGACTGATTGAGCTGCAGGGTTGGAGGGGACTGTAGCTGTCATCTAGCAAAGCTGCTTTCTTGCCATCCAATGTTGGAAAATATTGGAAGCCTTCTTCCACCGTCCTTTCCTTCAGTCCTTGAGTAGATCAGCAGTGCTTCAAACCTTACTGTATGGAATATTGACTTTCTGTGTCTCTGCTGACACACCCTGAAATGGGTAGAACTTAAGGCTCCTTGGAAGAAGACAGTTCATTTCCTGAGTCAGCACAGACCCATCACCTCAGCCTCAAAGCTCTCATTTTATATCTGAATCAAAGGGTGTCCTAAACATGGAACACAGCCCTTCCCTTCCTTTTTTTCCCCGTCAAAGTGAAAAATGGCTGGGTAGGAGCTCTAATTATGTGGAACATGCTGGACACTCTTTTCATGTCCAAGTAAATTGGTGTAACCACTGTCCTTGAAGCAATGAGGTGATGCTGTGGTAACCACAGAGATGGGCTGGTATGCTCACAGTAGCAACAAAATCTAGTATTTGCACAGTGTTTTATAATTGTAACGAGTATTTACATATATTATTTGAATCTTGTTAAATTCAGTACCCTAGACCTGATAACTATTATTATCATAGGCTCTCATTTTTTGAATCTGTAAACTGAGGCTTAGAGAAGTATAACTTGACTTAAATAAGTTAGTAATCAAAACCTAGAACCGAGATTTTTTTTCTCAACTCTCAATTCAGTGCTATTTTTACTACACTGTGATTATTTTTTCTTAATAGTTCATCCCATGATTTTTATTTGTTTGGTAACTTACTGTCTGTAAAAACTCCCCCAAAATAAATTAATGTCATTGGTCTTCATATTTTTCTTAAGAAAACTGGAAAGACTCCAAAGATTTGTCCCCTGTGATCCATTTTGGAACTTTAAGATGAACAAAATAGATCTATGGGAAGAAAAAAATAATATTTTAAAATTTAAGCAATTTTCTTTCTGTCTACTCTAAAAATATGAGTCTATTGCTTGTTAATGCTGACAACATCCCAGTGAGGTAAGGAGGTCAGGAACACTATTATCTCTCTGTTTTTAAAAGCGGGTACACAGAGAGGAAATAACTTGCCCAAGGACATGGTGACTCAGTCAGAAGAGGAGCCAGGATGAAAACAGCCCTCATTTTTTGACTTTCAATACAACCAAGACCCTGATCCAGATGGGTTACGGGATTATGGCCCTTCACAAATAAGTGCATATTAGTCAGATGTGGAAATAATTATGTCCCTTTCACATTCTGAACAGAAAGTGAACTCTCAAATATATTGGCAAAGGGGAAGCCAAGATTCTCCAAGACTTTTTCTTTCCTTCTTTTTATTTTTAAGTCACAGATGGCTAGTCTGAAAATGAGGGAAAAAAAACAACCTTTCCTTGTCTTTTCTCTTAGGCCTGGCCTCACATAACACCCCCTACCACACCCCTGTGGGAAGAAGGATTACACTTTCCACTATTCCCTAGAGTAGATTTTGTTCTTTTAAAATAAACAAACACTTGAAAACTTTTTTTCTTCTAATATTAGCTTTGGTCTTGAACCAGAATTGATTTGGCATGGAGTAACTAGAAAGGATGAATAGTATTCTCCATGAGCAGTAGAGGAGATTCTCTTTCCACAGAGCCTTTTAGAATCATCATTCAATATGATGAACCCAAAATGAGACTAATTTTGACCAAGAGAAATAATGACATGAGATAACCACTCATCATCCCTGTTGGCTGGGATTACCTAATGATGCCAAGTGGGGTGGCTGCCTACATTCCTATTTTCCCCACACCAGAATGACCATGTACCCTGGGTCTGGTTGTATAATAATAAATTATCCTTTTTTTTTTTAACTCAAGGAAGGATTGCCTTTTTCAATTCACACAAAGATTCTTCACAGTGTCTGGTAGAGGCCCTGATCCAGTCCTTCCTAGTGGCTCTATTCCTCTACTCCCAAATTAAACCTGCTTTCTCATATGCTGGCAAAGTTGGATTACATGGCAGGTTAGTTACTTGCTGAAATGACTCTTTGGTATTTGATCCTTTTTCTGCAACATGTATATAGTTTTCTTACAGATAATGGGTCTATAACTTTATAAGATTATAAAAATAAGATCATATTTGTAGGATAAACATTTAGAATTAGAACCAGTGTGGTGATGGAATCCTCTTTATCTAGTTATCTAGGAAATACAACCTTGGAGAGAAACTATGAATGGGTAAGTGGAGATGTGAACAGCCCTGTTTTGGTCTGCTAAAACTATCATAACAAAATACCACAGCCTGGGTGGCTTAAACAACAGATTTTATTCCTAACGTTTTGAGAGTCTCAGGAGCCCAGGATCAAGATGTTGGCAAAGTAGGTTTTATCCTGAGGCCTCTTCTCTTAGTGGCTGCTTTCTGGCTGTGTACTCACAGAACCTCTTTGTGAGCTTGTGAAGAGGGAGAGAGCTCCTTGGTGTCTCTTATAAGGACACTAATCCTATTGGAACAGGGCTCCACACTTATGACCTCATTTAACCTGAATTACTTCTGTAGAGGCCTCAATTGCCTGAATAGCTGTTTGAAAACATGATATGGTGTTAAATAGTCCTAGAGACTATTCAAATGAAAAGAAAAATTGTTCTACCTCATATTTCAAAAGAAGAGAGCTTGCACAATTTTCAGTGTTAACTCTCCTTTTGTAAAACATTATGAAAATCCTATTTTTCAAATGTTTTCCTGTATTACCTTGGTATGCATTCTGTCAACTTAAAGGGCTTTTTTCCCCTTTCCCATAAAACATAGTATGTGGCAATTTTATCAAGTAGAGACTGCATCTTTTCTGTTTACTTAATTTCTTTTTTAAAAAGACCAACTTATTTAGGTGTAATTGACATATAAATAGCTGTATACATTTAATATATGCATCTTGACGAGTTTGGGGATAAGTATACATCCATAAAACCAGCACCACCATCAAAGCCATAAACACATCCATCACCTCCCAAAGTGTCCTCCTGCCCTCTTTGTTGTTGTTGTTATTGTCTTTCTATAAGAACCCTTAACATATGATCTACTCTCTTAGGAATTTTAAGTATGTAATGCAGTATTGTTAGTGATGGGTGCAATGATGTATAGATCTCCAGAACTTATCTTACACAACTGAAACTTTGTACCTTTTAATTGTTCTTTTCCCATTTCTTCCTCTCCCTATTCACTGACAACTACCATTCTACTCTCTGCTACTGTGAGTTTGACTATTTTAGATTCCACATGTAAGTGAAATCATGCAGTGTTTATCTTTCTGAGTCTGGCTTATTCCATTTAATATAATGTCTTCGGGTTCATCCGTGTTGTGCAAATGGTAGGATTTCCTTATTTTTGAGGCTGAATAGTACTCCATTGTATGTATCTACCATGACTTTTTCATTCATTCATCCATTGATGGACAATTAGGTTGCTTCCATATCTTGGTTATTGTGAATAATGCTGCAATGAACATGGGAATGCAGATGTTTGTCTCTTCAAGATCCTATTTCAACTGTTTTGGATATATACCCAGAAGTGGGATTGCTGGATCATATATTAGTTCTATTTTTAATTTTTTAAGGAACTTCCATACTGTTTTCCATAATGGCTTTATGCATTTACATTCCCATCAACAGTACAGGGTTCCCTTTTCTCCACATCTTTGGCAATACTTACCTTTTATTTATTTACTTCTTTATTTTTATAACAGCCATCCTAGTAGGTGTGAGATGATACCTAGAGATTTCAGTTTGCATTTGTCTGATGATTAGTGATGTTGAGCACATTTATATGTACTTCTTGGCCATTTGGATGTCTTTTTTTGAGAAATTTCTTTTCAAGTTCTTTGCCTATTTTGTAGTCATATTTATTAATGTTTTTCTTTTCAGCTGTATGAATTCCGTATTATTTTAGATATTAATCCCTTATCAGATATATGGTTTGCAAATATTTGCTCCCACTCCATAAGTTGCCTTTTCATTTTGTTGATCATTTCTTTTGCTATCCAGAAGCTTTTTAGTTTGATGTAATACTACTGGTTTATTTTTGCTTTTGTTGTCTGTGCATTTTTTGCTAAAATTAACTTCGAGGAGCTTTTCCTCTATATCTTCTTCTCTAAGTCTTTATTTTGAGTTGATGTGGGTGCTTGGTGTAAGGTAAGAGTTTGTTTGTTTTACATGTAGATACACAGATTTCTATTCAATATTTATTCAAAAGGTTATCTTTCAATCTTGTGGATTTCTGGTGCCCTTGTCAAAAATTAGTTGCAAATGATGGGCAAAGACTTCAAGACTAAAACACCAAAAGAAATTGCAACAAAAGCCAGAATTGACTAATGAGATCTAATTAAGCTAAAGAGCTTTTGCACAGCAAAATAAACTATCATCAGAGCCTACAGAATGGGAGAAAATTTTTGTGATCTACCCATCCGACAAAGGTCTAATTTCCAGAATCTACAAGGAGCTTAAACAAATTTACAAGAAAAAAAAAAAAACCATCAAGAAGTGGGTGAAGGATATGAACAGACACTTTTCAAAAGAAGATATTCATGCAGCCAACAAACATGAACAAAAGCTCATCATCACTGGTCATTAGAGAAATGCAGATCAAAACCACAATGAGATACCACCTCATGCCAATTAGAATGGCAATTACTAAAAAGTCAGGAAACAATAGATGTGAGGCTGTGGAGAAACAGGAACACTTTTACGCTGTTGGTGGGAATGTAAATTAGTTCAATCCTTGTGGAAGACAGTGTGGCAATTCCTCAAGGATCTGGAACCAGAAATACCATTTGATGCAGCAATCCCATTACTGGGTATATACTAGAGGAAAGTAAATCATTCTACTATAAAGACACATGCATATGTATGTTTATTGTAGCACTATTTACAATAGCAAAGACTTGGAACCAACCCAAATGCCCATCAATGATAGACTGGATAAAGAAAATGTGGCACATATATACCATGGAATACTATGCAGCCATAAAAAAGAATGAGTTCATGTCCTTTGCAGGAACATGGATGAAGCTGGAAGCCATCATTCTCAGCAAACTAACACAGGAATAGAAAACCAAATACCACATGTTCTCACTCATAAGTGGGAGTTGAACAATGAGAACACATGGACCCAGGGAGAGGAGCATTACACACTTGGTCCTGTCAGGGGGTGGTGGGTAAGGGGAGGGAGAGCATTAGGACAAACACCTAATGCATGCGGGGCTTAAAACCTAGATGACGGGTTGATAGGTACAGCAAACCATCATGGCACATGTATACCTATGCAACAAACCTGCACATTCTGCACATGTATCCCAGAACTTGAAGTAAAATTTAAAAAAATTAGTTGCAAATGGATGGGTTTACTTCTGGGCTTTCTATTCTGTTTCACTAGTTTATGTTTTTGTTTATGCAACCACTATACTGTTTTGATTATCATAGCTTTGTAACTTTTTTTTTCAACTTTTACTTTAGATTCATTGGGTACATGTGCAGATTTTTCTTTACCTGGGTATATTGCACGATGCTGAGTTTTGGGGCATGAATAATATCCAACCCAGTTACAAAGCATGGTACCCAATACTCATTTTGCAACCTTTGCCCCACTCTCTTTCTCCTCCCTCTAGAAGTCCCCAGTTTCTATTGTTGGAATCTGTGTTCATGAGTACTTGATGTTTAGCTACCACTTATAAGTGAGAACATGTGGTATTTGGTTTTCTGTTCCTGTGTTAATTTGCTTAAGATAATGGCCTTCAGCTATATCCATGTTGCTGCAAAGGATATGATTTCATTCTTTTTTGTGGTTACATAGTATTCCATGGTGTATATGTACCACAATCTCTTTACCCAGTACACCTTTAATGGGAACCTTTGTTAATTCTATGTCTTTACTATTTTGAATAGTGCTGCAATGAACATGTAAGTGCATGTGTCTTTTGGTAGAATGATTTATTTTCTTTTGGGTATATACCCAGTAATGGGATTGCTAGGTCAAGTGGTAGTTCTGTTCTAAGTTCTTTGAGAAATCACCAAACTGCTTTTCATAGTGGCTGAACTAATTTACATTCTCACCAACAGTGTAAAAGTGTTCTCTTTCTCCACAGTCTGGCCACTACCTGTTGTTTTCGACTTTTTAATAATAGTCATTCTGACTGGTGTGAGATGGTATCTCATTGTGGGTTTGATTTGCATTTCTCTGATGATTTGTGATGCCAAGCATTTTTAAATATGTTTTTTGGCCACTTGTATCTCTTCTTTGAGGAAGTGCCTCTTCATGTCTTTTGCCCATTTTTAAATGGGATTGTTTTTCGTTTATGCAATTGTCTAAGTTCCTCATAGATTCTGGATATTAGACCTTTGTCTGATGTGTAGTTTGCAAGTATTTTCTCCCATTCTATCTAGCTTGTCTATTTACTCTGTTGATAGTTTCTTTTACTGTGCATAAGCTCTTTAGTTTAATTAGGTCCCACTTATACGTTTTTTTTGAGGACTTGGTCACAAATTCTTTTCCTAGACCAATGTCCAGAATGGTGTTTCCTCTGTTTTTTTCTAGGATTCTTATACTTTGAGCTCTTACATTTAAATATTTAACCCATCTTGAGTTAATTTTTGTATGTGGTGAAAGGTAGGGGTCCAGTTTCATTCTTCTGCATATGACTAGTCGGTTATCCCAGCACCATTTTTTTGAATAGAGAGTCCTTTCCTCATTGCTTATTTTTGTCAGCTTTGTCAAAGGTAAGATAGCTGTAGGTATGCAGCATTATTTCTGGATTCTCTATCTGTTCCATTGGTCTATGTGTCTGTTTTTGTACTAGTACCATGCTGCTTGGTTACCGTAGCTTTATAGTATAGTTTGAAATTGGTTAGTATGATGCCTCTGGCTTTGTTCTTTTTGTTTAGAATTGCTTTGGCTGTTTTGGGCTCTTTTTTGGTTCCATATAAATTTTAGAATTTTTTTCTAGTTCTGTGAAAAATGATGTTGGTAGTTTGATAGGAATAGCATTGAATCAGTAGATTGGTTTGGGTAGTATGGCTATTTTAACAATATTGATTCTTCCAAACTATGAGTATGGAAAGATTTTCATTTGTTTCTGTCATCTATGATTTCTTTTAGCAGTGTTTTGTAGTTCTTCTTTTAGAGATCTTTCATCTTCTTGTTAGATGTATTCCTAAATTATTATTTTTTTTTGCATGGCCATTGTAAATGAGATTGCATTCTTGATTTGGCTTTCAGCTTAAATGTATTGGTGCATAGAAATGCTAGTGATTTTTGTACATTGATTTTGTATTCTGAAACTTTACCAAAGTGATTTTTCAGTTCTAGGAGCCTTTTTGCGGCGGCGCTTTTAGGGGGTTTCTAGGTGTAGAATCATATTTGCAAAGACAGATAGTTTGACTTCTTCTTTTCCTATTTGGATGTCTTTTATTTATTTCTCTTGCCTGATTGCTCTGGCTAGCACTTCTAGTACAATGTTAGCAGTGATAAGAGTAGGCATTCTTTTCTTGCTCCAGTTCTCAAGGGAAGTGCTTCCAGTTCTTACCCATTCAGTGTGATTTTGGCTCTGTGTTTGTCAGAGAGGGTTCTTATTATTTTGAGGTATATTCCTTCTTGAGGAACATCATTTCTTGAGGTTTTTCATTTTTTTTTAATCATGAAGGGATGTTGGATTTTCTTGAAAGCTCTTTCCACACCTATTGAGATGATCATATGTTTTGTCTAGTGGTAATGAATTCCCTTAGTGCTTGCTTGTCTGAAAAAGTTTCATTTCTCCTTTGCTTATGAAGCTTAGTTTGGTGGGACATGAAATTCTTGGCTGAAATTTCTTGTCTTTAAGAATGCTGCAAACAGGCCCCCCATCTTTCCTTGCTTGTAAGATTTCTGCTGTTAGCCTGATGGGCTTCCCTTTGTATGTCATCTGACCTTTTTCTCTAGCAACCTTTAAGAGTTTTTGTTTAGTGTTGACCTTGGACAGTTTGGTGACTATATGCCTTGGTGATGTTTATTTTGAATAGTATCTCACAAGTGTTCTTTGGATTTCTTGTATCTAGATGTCTACCTGTCTAGCAAGATTAGGGATTTTTTTGAATTATTCCCTTAAATATGTTTTTCAGGTTTTTATCCTTCTCTTTTCATTCTTTCTCAGGAATGCCAATAATTTGTAGGTTTAGTCAATTTACATAATTCCATATTTTTTTGAAGACTTTGTTCATTAAAAAAATTCTTTTTTCTTGATTTTTGTCTGGGTTAGCTAAAGAGACTAGTCTTCAAGCTCTGAAATTCTTTCTTCTGCTTGATCCAGGCTATTGATAAAGCTTTCAATTGTACGTTGAAATTCCTTAAGTGAGTTTTTAAATTCCAGAAGCTCTGATTGATTTCGTTCCATGATGTTTATCTTTTCCTTCATTTCTTAGATTGCTTTAGAAGTTTCTTTGTGTTGATTTTCAATCTTACCTTGGAGCTTGTTGAGCTTCCTTGCAATCCATGCTTTAAATGCTTTATCTGTCATTTCCGAGTTTCCATTTTGTTGGTGACCATTGCTGGAGAGCTAGTGTGATTTTTTTGGTGGTGTTACTACATTCAGATTTTTCATGGTGCCAGAATTTTTGCACTGATTCCTTCTCATCTGGAGACACCGGCACTTCTAATTTTTGTAATTATTTTTGTGCAGGAGGGATTTTTTCTTTTTCTTTCTTTCCCTGTAATATATATGTTTTTCCTTTCTGTTTCCTTCTTCCCCTCTACCTCACCAGGGGATGCAACTGTAGAGAATGCTGAATAGGGTCTTTTGGCTTTACTTCTATAGTCTTATGCACTGTTTTTGGCAGATTTTATATTGGGCTGTGCAGTTTGACCAACGAGCCAGCAGATGGCACTTATAGGTAAGAGCTGGCTGTGGCCAACATGGCTGGGTATATACTTGATCCTTGTTTACTGGCAGAAGCTCTTTGTTACCTGAGGCAATGGGCTGGTTCATGGAATGCACAGTGGTGTGAGTTCTCTGCTCAGCCCGGAGGCAGTGGGGGCAACAATTGGTGGGACTGAATTGGGCAGGTCCCCTGATGGCAGGCACAAGCACCTGTGCTGTGTGAGAATCCAGTGGGTAACACCAGGCACGCAGAAATATACCTTGGCACAGAGCTGGGAAGCCTACTCAGCCCCAAGTTCTCTGCATGGGGATGTGTCTCGTGTGTGTGTGTGTGTGTGTGTGTGTGTGTGTGTGTGTATGGTGGGGGAGGGGTCTAAACTCCTAATCCAAGATAATGGGTACTTCAGATGCCTGGAGATCTGCCTGGCATGGATCAAGGAGGGTTCCCCTGCACCAAGATCTCTGCATAGGAGGTCTGGCACTCTGCATAGGGTAGCTCTGGCAGCTGATCCAGGCAAGCAGGTGCTTGGAATGCCTGGAGATCTGCCTGGGAACGGAGCAGAAAAAGCTTCGCTGCACCATGATCTATGTCCAGGAAGGATAGGGTGAATCAAGCTGCTGAACCAGACAAGTGGGTGCTCCAGATGCCTGGAGATATGCTTGGGTGTGGAGTGGAGAGGGCTGTGCCACACCATGATCTTAGGGAAACAGCCTAAGGCCCCAACAATGGCACATGCAGACCAGTTCTAGGTGGCCAAGATGGCTCTGGCTTAAGTCTCACTCTTCAGCAGAAGCTACAGCTATAGCAGTTCTCCTGTTCCAGTCTTGCAATGGAATGGAGGAGAGCAGGTGCTCCAATCTGAGTCTAAAATGCCTGTGTGAGCATGCCAGCAAATGTCCAAAGAATGGCTGACTTTGTATTCACCTGAATTAAAAATGGTGTCCAGTTCTAGGTCCAGGTGTGGGAAAATTTCTGTACCTTTTCCCGGTGTCTTTCCCAGTGTCTCGAGTAGCTGGCCTTTTCCCGAGTTAGCGCCAGGGTTTGGGAGAAACAAAGCGCACTCTCTAGGTTTGGGTTGCTCAAGGTTTGGGTTACACAGATCCCCAGTGTAAAGAAGAGTCACAGAGGATGTCTCTGCTTCTTTCGCAGACTGGGCTTCACTCATGTTTATCAGTCAGACACCATCATGGGGGCTGTTTGCCAGCATTCTCCTTCCTGGGATCTGGAGTGTCCTTAACGATTCTGGAAGATTCCTGTTTTCCTTCTTCTGTAAAATAATTTGAAATGAGGAAGTGTAATACTTTCAGTTTTGTTCTTTCTCAAGGTGGCTTTGGGTATTCAGGGTTCTTTGTGAGTCCATACAAATTTTAGAATTATTTTTTCTATTTCTGTGAAAGTGCCACTGGAGGCCGGGCGCGGTGGCTCACGCCTGTAATCCCAGCACTTTGGGAGGCCGAGGTGGGCGGATCACGAGGTCAGGAGATGGAGACCATCCTGGCAAACATGGTGAAACCCCGTCTCTACTAAAAATACAAAAAAATTAGCCGAGCGTGGTGGTGGGCGCCTGTAGTCCCAGCTACTCCGGAGGCTGAGGCAGAAGAATGGTGTGAACCCAGGAGGCGGAGCTCGCTGTGAGCCGAGATCGCCCCACCGCACTCCAGCCTGGGCGACAGAGCGAGACTCTGTTTCAAAAAAAAAAAAGAAGAAACAAAAAAAAAAGAAAGTGCCTCTGGCATTGAATCTGTAGTTTTCCATGGGTAGTATAAACATTTTAACAATATTGACTCTTCCAGTTTATGAACATGGGATATCATTCGGTTTATTTGTGTCTATTTTAATTGCTTGCATCAATTTTTTTTTTTTTTTTTTTTGAGACGCAGTTTCACTCTTGTTGCCCAGGCTGGAGTGCAATGGTGCGCACTCAGCTCACCGCAACCTCCGCCTCCTGGGTTCAAGTGATTCTCTCCTTCTTCAGCCTCTCGAGTAGCTGGGATTACAGGCATGCACCACCACACCCGGCTAATTTTGTATTTTTTAGTAGAGACGGTGTTTCTCCATGTTGGTCAGGCTGGTCTCGAACTCCTGATCTCAGGTGAACCCCCCCGCCTCGGCCTCCCAAAGTGCTGGGATTACAGGCATGAGCAACTGCGCCGGCCACATCAATGTTTTATAGTTTTCACTCTGTAGTGTCTAAAGAGTGTGAAAAAATATTTTGTGGTTTTCAGAGTATAGATTTCTCATCTCCTTGTTAAATTTATGCATAAATGTTGTGTTGTTTTAATGCTATTACAAATGGCATTGTTTTTGTAATTTCTTTTTCAGATAGTTTGTTATTGGTGTATAAAAACACAACTGATTTTCATATGTTGATTTTGTATCCTGCAACTTTACTGAATTCATTAATCATTTCTAACAGTTTGTGTGTGTGTGTGTGTGTGTAGACATTAGGATTTTCTATATGTAAGATTATGTCATGAGCAAACAGAGACAATTTAACTTCTTCCTTTCTGATTTGAATGGTTTTTATTGCTTTTACTTTCCTATTTGCTCTGGCTAGGACTTCCAGGATTATGTTGAATAGAAGTGTGAGTGTGCACATACACTTCTTTTTCCTGACCTTAGAGAAAAAGCTTTTAGTTTTCCACTAATAAGTACGATGTTAGCTGTGGGCTTGTCACATATGGTCTTTATTATAATGTTGAGGTGCATTCCTTCCTACCTAATTTCTTGAGAGGTTTTTTAAAATCATAAAATGGTGTTGAATTTTACAAAATGCTTTTTTTTCTGAATCTATTGACATAAACATATTATTTTTTCTTTCATTCTGTTAATGTCTTCATGTTTATTGTGTCTGTTGAACTATCTTTGCATCCCAGAGATAAATCCTACTTGATTATTTCATATGATTATTTTAATGTGCTGTCGGTTCAGTGTATTTATATCCAGTTTGTTGGAATATAATTTTTTAACAGTAGAATTTTATGGTTCTTTATGTGGTATAAATTAAAATGCTTTCCCTTTAATTTATATTTTTACTTGGGTTTCCTCTCTTTTTTTCTTACTCTAGCTAAAGGTTTGTCAATTCTGTTTATCTAAAAAAAAATTCTTATTTTTGTTGAAGTTTCCAATTGTTTGTCTAGTTTCTATTTCATTTATTTCACTCCTAACATTATTTCCTCTCTTCTGCTAATTTTGTGCTTCATTTGCTTCTTTAAAATCCAGTTCTTTTGGCCAGGCACGGTGGCTCACATCTGTAATCCCAGCACTTTGAGAGGCTGAGGCAGGTGGATCACAAGGTCTGGAGATCGAGACCATCCTAGCTAACATGGTGAAACCCTGTCTCTACTAAAAATACAAAAAATTCGCTGAGCGTGATGGTGGGTGCCTGAAGTCCCAGCTACTCCGGAGGCTGAGGCAAGATAATTGCTCAGACCCGGGAGGCAGAGCTTGCAGTGAGCCGAAATTGCACCACTGCACTCCAGCCTGGGCAACAGAGCAAGACTCTATCTCAAAAAAAAAAATAAAAAAATCTAGTTCATTTGAGGTATACAGTTAGGTTGTTTATTTGCGATTTTTATTTTTTCTTGATGTAGACCTTATAGCACCAAACTTTATTCTTTGAGCTTTTTTTCCTCAGCACCCTGTAAGTTTTGTACGTTATATTTCCAATTTTGTTTGTCTCAAGATATTTTTTGATTTCCCCTTTGATTTCTTCTTACACTCATTCGTTCTTTAGGAGTGTATTTGTTAATTTTGCATATTTATAAGATTTCCAATTTTCCTCTTATTGATTTTTAGTTTCATACTGTTATTGTTAGAAAATATACTTGATATAATTTCAGTCTACTGAAATTTGTTAAGATTTGTTTTGTGGCTTAACATGTGATCCATACTGGAGAATATTCCTTGTGCCTTTGAGAAGAATATGTATTGTAATGCTATTGGATAGAATGATCTGTTTATGTCTGTTAGGTCTATTTTTCTATAGTGTTGTTCAAGTTCACTGTTTCTGTACTGGTTTTCTAAATGGGTAATCTATCCATAGTTAAAAGTGAGGTATTGAATTTACCTACTATTATTGTAAAGCTGTATATTCCTCCCTTTAGTTCTGTTAGTGTTTGTTTCATATATTTAAGTGCTCTAATGTTGAATGCATATATACAGTCATTCCTTGGTATCCTTGGAAATTGATTCCATCACCCCATTTACAGATGCTCAAGTCTCATATAAAATGGCATAGTATTTGCATATAACCTATACATATACTCCTATATACTTTAAATCATCTCTAGATTACTTGTGATATCGAATACATATATATGTGACCCAAGTAGTTGTTATGCTGTATTGTTTAGGGAATAACTACAAGAAAAAAAAGTTCTTACATGTTTGGTACAGATGTAACCATTGTAACCCTAACTGTATTTTTAATTTGTGGAACTGGTGGATGTGAAAGCTGTGCATACAGAGGATCCACTGCGTTTATACTTGTTATATCTTCTTGAGGAATTGATCCTTTTATAATTATATCACATTCTTTGTCTCTTGTGACAGTTTTTCACTTAAAGTGTCTTTGATATAAATATAGCTACTCTTGCTCTCTTTTGGTTAGCATTTACATGAAATATCTTTTTAATGTCTTCACTTTAAGCCTAAGTATATCCTTAAAACTAAAATATGTCTCTTATAGGCAACATCTAGATGGATCTTGTTTTTGTTTTATTTTAAATCCATTCAGCTAGTCTTTGTTTTTTGGTTGGAAAATGTAATAAATTTAAACTGATTTAAAGTGGTCATTGATAGGTAAGGACTTACTATTGTCATTTTGCTAATTGTTTTCTTTTATTTAGAGCCACTTTTCTGGCGTCTAATAGTTTTCTTACTGTGTTGTAGCTCCTTTGTTCCTTTCTCTCTTGCTGTCTTTCTTTGTTATTTGAATCAGGAGGTTCTAGCCTGATTTTTTTGTAGTGGTATGCTTTTATTCCTTTATCTTTTGTGCATCTAATACAGATTTTTTCTTTGTGATGATCATGAGTCTTACATAAAACATCTTATAACAGTATTTTAAACTTATAACAACTTAATTTTAATTACATATGAAAACTCTAAACTTTTATTCACCCCATTTTATGTTATTGATTTCACTACTGACATCTTTTTATAATATGTAATCATTAACAAGTTATTGAAGCTATATTTTTTAAAACTTCTGTCTTTTTAACCTTAACACTAGACTAAAAATGATTTCTGCACCATCATTACAGTATTATTGTACTGTGAATTTACTCTATATTTACTTTGACCAGTGAATAACAGCTTGCTGGATGCAATATACTTGGTTGGTGATTGTTTTCCTTTGACACTTTGAATATATCATTCCATTCTCTCCTGCCTGCAAGGTTTCTCCTGAGAAATGTTCTGATAATGTTATGCAGCTTCCTTTGTAAGTGATGAGATGAGCAGCTTTTCTCTTGCTGATTTCAAAATTCTCTGACTTTGATTTTTGACAATTTGATTAAGATGTGACTCAATGAAGATCTCTTTATGCTCAACCTATTTGGAGTTCTTTGGGTTTCATGTAGCCACATGTTCATTTCCTGCTCCAGATCTGGGAAGTTTTGTGTCATCATTTCTTTCTTTCTTTCTTTCTTTCTTTTTTTTTTTGAGATGAAGTTTCATTGTTGTTGCCCAGGCTGGAGTGCAATTATGTGATCCTGGCTCATTGCAACCTCTGCCTCCCAGGTTCAAGTGATTCTCCTGTCTCAGCCTCCTGAGTAGCTGGGATTACAGGCATGCACCACCATGCCTGGGTAATTTTTTGTATTTAATACAGACAGGGTTTCACCATGTTGGTCAGGCTGGTCTTGAACTCCTGGCCTCAGGTGATCCACCCTGCTCAGCCTCTCAAAGTGCTGGGATTACAGGTGTGCACCACCACACCCGGTCATCATCATTTCTTTAAATAACCTTCTAGCCTTTTTCTTTTTCTCTGATCCTTCTGAGATTTCCATGATATGCTTATTGGTCTGCTTGACAGTGTCCCATAAGTCCTATATGCTTTCTTCACTCTTTTCATTATTATTGTTATTATCTTTGTTCCTCTGACTGGGTAATTTCAAATGATCTGTCTTAGTGTTTGCTGGTTCTTTCTTCTACTTGACTGATTCTTCTATTGAAGCTCTCTATTCTTTTTTTCACTTTAGACATTGTATTCTTTGGCTCCAGAATTTGTTTGGCTCTTTTTTTGTGGTTTCTCTGTCTCTATTGAACTTCCGATTTTCTTTTCATGTATTGTTTTCCTGATTTTGTCTAGTGTTCTGCACTCTCTCATAGTTCACTGAGCTTTAGGATGGCTATTTTGATTTACTTATCATGGAATTTATAAATCTCCCTTTCTTTGGGGTTAGTCCACTGGAGCTTTATTTTGTTACTTTGGTGCTGCTATATTTCCTTGATTCTTTGTGCTCCTTGTAGACTTGTGTTACTCTTGTTGCATTTGAAGAAGTAATCGTCTTCTCTACTCTTTACTGACTGGCTTCAAGAGAGAAAGACCTTCACCAGCAAGCCCAGCTAGAGATTCTGGGAGTCTCTCAGACTTTTTCTGGATGTATCAATTTTACTCTTCTTGTTCTCTATAAGAGGAGAAATTTTAGGGGTTGTGTGCTGTCTCTGGATTCTGCAACACCAGGTCTGGTGCTATGAGGCTCCCATTTATTTTTCCTAGGGCAATGTTCAAGGTTATTCAAATCAGCAGGGTTGAGCTGTCTGCTAAGATCCACACCTTCTGTTGAGATATGTGTGCTATGAATGGGATTTTATGTGGGCTATGCACAGGGTACTGTCCATGGGGAGGGCATGTGGGGTCCTGGAGGCATGTGTCAGCTGATTATGATGGTCCTCAGGTGAGTCATTCTGCGGGCAAACCTCTTGGTGGAATGTGAAAGCTGATTAATAGGATTTATGTCTAGCCTTTTCAGTGCGTCCACTCTTGGATTTTGTGTTCCCCTGGAGTGCTGAAATATCAGTTAGACTCTGTGATTCCCACAAAGATATACTCATCCATGGGTAGTTACCAAAATTGGTGTTTTGGCGGGGCATGACATCTAGAATCTCCTAATCCATCATCTTGCTGACATCCCTCCCTGTTTTCATTGTTGTTATTTTATTTAATTAATTAATTTTTTTTTGAGATGGAGTTTCACTCTTGTTGCCGAAACTGGAGTGCAAGAGCACAATCTCGGCTCACTGCAACCCCCACCTCCTGGGTTCAAGTGATTCTACTGCCTCAGCCTTCCCGAGTAGCTGGGATTACAGGTGCGTGCCACCACACCTGGCTAATTTTTTGTATTTTTAGTAGAAACAGGGTTTCACCATGTTAGCCAGACTGGTCTTGAACTCCTGACCTCAGGTGATCTGCCCGCCTTGGCCTCTCAAAGTGCTGGGATTACAGGTATGAGCCACCGTGCCCAGCCTTCGTTGTTCTTATTATTATTATAAGATGTCCATTTATCTTCATGTATAGCTGATAATGCTCCAGTTTTTATTCTCATGGTGATTCATATGGGAAAAGTTAGTTTGTATGATTATTTAGGAGTCATCGTTCCTTCATTTTAGACAGTTTTGCTTACTTTTTAGGAAAAAAAAACAAAATTTGATCTAACCTAAATGTGAATTATGATTCAGAAGAGTGGAAGGCATTATCATTTCTGTGGCTTCAAATACCAATGTTGCTTGTTTATCTGTGTTGCTAAGGTTGACTTTTGTTGCTCTCCCTCATGTATTGGGATTAACCACACTGACTGAATGGGGATTCTTATGGTTTGAATTCTGTCCCCTCTAAAAATATTGAAGTCCTAACTCCCAGTACCTGTAAATTTGACCTTATTTGGAAACAGGGTCTTTGTAGATGATCAAGTTATGGTGAAGATTGCATCTTTATAACAAAGAGAAGTTTGGACATGGAGATACATGCGCACAGAAAGAATGTCATGTGTAAATTGGAGTTAGGCTCCCCAAATCCAAGGAACTCCCAGAAGCTAGGAGACAGACCTGGAACCATCCTTCTAAGGTTGATGCCTTTGGGGTGAACATCCTGCTGACACCCTAATCTCAGGTTTCAGGCCTCCAGAACTGTGAAACAATAAATTTCTGTTGTTTGAGCCACTCGGTTTGTGGTACTTCGTTAAAGCTGACCTAGAAAACTAATAAAGGGCTATTATATAGGAATCCATACTTTTCATGGTTGCCCCATTAGCACTCTATATTAAAAGTTCTATATTAGGAGAGTTTGAGGGAGCACAAACTGTCAAAACCACACCTAGGAGAAGTTTATTTCAGAAACAGAAATTAAAGAGTCACTCAAGCTGGTAAATGTACTGAGTCTTTAGGCCCATTATACTAATCTGTCTCTGATGTGCCTGGCCCATGGGAGTTACTTGTAACTTATGAGATGCAAAACCCTGTTGGGCTCATATGTGACTGGGAAGTGCCCATCATTCATTCATTTCTATTTTATTAGATCTTAGGATATTTAATGTGCCAGTATTCAGAGTAATAAAGATAGAGCTGTGAGTAAAAGTCTGCCAGGAAATTGGTAATGAAAATACTTTTGTGGGTGACACAGCAATTTCACCCACTCACATTTAACTGAAAAGTTCTCTTCATAGAGACCAGATAACCCAAGCTGTGCTGTGCTGTTTGACACGTACATATTTCCCCTTTCATCATAATTACTCTGCTGGCCAGTGTGTGGGTACTGTTTTTTTTCCCCTTGAGGAGCAAGTTTTTTTTTTTAAGAGAGGAGGAAGAAAGACAGGAAAGTTGTTTGCTTGAGTGTAGAAATGCCATCGTGAAGTAAGACATTTTAAAAAATTCTCTTATTTCTGGCATGCTGCGTAGTTGTAATTCCACAGTATATAGATTACTTTAACATAGCTAGAAGCAGCTTGATTACATTTTATATCGGGGTAAAAATGCCCCTGGCTATTGGTATACAGCTGGGAAGGAATTTTATGGCTGAACTGAAGCAAATCTGAAAAGTGAGGAGGCCTGACTAAACCCTCTTTCATCATGCCACTAAAATCACTGTTTAGTGTTAGTTTCTGAACCAAGGTATGAGTCACAAATTTAAAAAGCCTCAAGAATATGTGCTTGCAAAATAATGTGTACCACTTTCCTTTACTGGAAAAAATTAGCTGATATACATTTAAGACTTATAAATGAGATATAAAGTCAAATAGTAGTGCATGCCTGCTATGTCTAAGGACTTTGCTGGGCCCTGTAAGAAACACAAGGAAGGGTAAGTTAGGTGTCTAATCTGAAGAATCTGAATGCCTATCCAAGAAGTCAGGTCAAATATAGTTAAAATGTTAACAGGAGACTGAGTAGTATATAATCTGAGTCAAATGGATGATATAGCAGACAGTAAATGCAATAGGAATTCAAAAGAAGGAAAGGTCACATTAACTCAATCAGTTATTCATTCGTTCTTTTGATCAGCAAATATTTATTGAGTATGTATTATATGTCATGTACTGGCCTGAGTGAAACAATTTAATATGCACATGGCATCCAGTATGAATGCGGCAGTCTAAGTTCTTGATTACAGTCACACCTGTGATCTGACCTTCTCATCTGACCTCTACTTTAACCCCATTTTACAGATGAGAAAATCAAGACTTAGCACTCAAAAAAACAAGCTAACTAATTCAAATGAGTATTTGAGTTAAACCTGATGGTTTGAGTAACAGTTTTCAGAGATGACTCAGAGGTATGAGGTCTGGGTGCTTGAGAGGCCTATGAACCAAAATAGTCATCGAGTGAGTGTGTGTTTAGGGGAGATGAGAAATTTTATTTTAAATATATTGAGTTAAAAGCAATGGTGGGATGTCTATGCGAACCAACCACTTCGTCTTTGGAGATGTGGGCCTGCATCTTTGATAGCTAAAGATTTGGGTGGCATACATATAGAAATGATAATTGAAGTATTAATAGTCAATGAGTTTTCCAGAAGAAGTAGTATGAATATTTGAGAGAGGGGGCAAAGGTTCCAACCTTGTGAAAAGCCTGTGTTTGGGGAGGTGGGGAAGGATTGACAAAAGCAGTCATCAAAGTGACCAACAAGAAGGAATAGCTTCAGGAAATGCTGCCTCATCCCAGAGGTTGATAGCATTACTTCAAGATGAAACATGTTAAAAACTACAAGGAATGCAAGGAGAAAGAGGGCAAAACAGAAACAGAAAAAGGGCCTTTGAGGATAGCAACAATGCAGATTTGTGGTTCTTGGGAAGGTTCAGTGAAGAAGGAGGAGCCAAACCAGATTACTTTAAGAGATGGGAGCATAGAGAGGAATGAAAGTAGTGGATATAAACTATTCAACTGGGGGGAATTTAAAAAATTTAAGTGTGAAATCTTTCAACTGAAAAGTAATTATCCAATGTTGTTTTTCACTTTGTCCAAAGATTAGATTAATATTACCCTCCTAATGAAATGAAAGCAGCATTCTACTTTCCTGATTCCTTTAATTGCTCTTACTGCAATGTTGGCAGACTGCTTTAGGGAATTATCTGAAATCTGATTCCTATTAGATTCAGAATTTAGTCATCATCATGGTTCAGAGAGTAAGACATGGAAGAACAAAATCAACAAAGATCATGCCCTGTGCCAGATCAGAGAGAAGAGGAATACTGTGCTCTTTCATGGCAGGTCCAGTGCTTTTGGTAGTCTCCATTTATTCCCACTGCCCAGCAAGTCTCAGCACGTGGCAAATGCTTTACAATATTTATTTGATGTAATGTGGAAGTATTAATTGTGGAGATAATGATTTTACTGTGCATACTTCTTTTTGGACTCTTTAAACATGAATTACCTGGTGGCATCCAGGATCGAAGGCTTAAAGGCAGTGTTTAAACCAAAAGGCCATCACTAATAAGCTCACTACAAAAACAAAGACTACATGAATCTAATGGCTTTATGCTATTCTCCAATTTGCCACCTTTTTAAAGGTTTTTAGAGCTTAGATGTGGAAATTTTTCAGGTGAGTAGAGTTAAGATGATGCTGTAATGCATCAACATGACTTAAAGCAGATGAAACATTTTCTGTTACCCCTCTTAGAATGACCAAGTCATGTTTTATTTACAATTTACATTCACCTTTTCCTAAAGGGGTTTGATGTGCCATATAAAACTATATTAATGTAAAAGTTACAAGTAGGATTAGAAAGAAGAGTAGAGCAGCAAGCATCTGTAAGGGACAGAGAGAGGACATGTTTTTAGACTGTTAAAATAAAACCTTTTTTATAACAGGACATTGAGTTTGCCTCTTTGTGTTTCCTGGTAGCTCAGGCAAAGCTGAAATAGTTTGGATATAATTTTATTGTTGGTTAAAATAATCACAGGAACCAAGCTCTAGGAGGAATCTGTCATGCAGTTTCTTACATAGGTGGTTTGGAGGAACACAGCAGTCAGTGTTTTAAGCACAAAATCACGCAATACCCAGGTAAAATGTTGAACAAAGTACCTTTTATGTTGCCCTCTATAAAGTTTGAAGGTGTAACATTAAATTGAACCCCAGGGAAGATACTTCCACTGGAGCATGGGAGAGAGTAGTTGCCAGATAGTGAATTGCTTTTTTTAAAAAAACTGTTTATATACTTTTGTATTATGAAAGTAATTCAAGTAGATAAATCTATAAAGATAAAATAAAAAGAAATGCATTTATAATTTCAACATCACTTTGTCGAAATATTAGCAAACTAATATTTGCTTTGTTGCCACAATGAATAAATGCATGTGTCTAAACATATGAATATAAATTTACATATGGTATACAGATGTATATTATGAATGAGAACATATAGTGCATATAAGCATTTGGAATTGAGATATATCTATGTCTATATATCTATATGGATATATGATTTTGTATTAGTCTTCCATTTAATAAAAAATCATGCCCATTTCCTCATGAAAACTATTTTAATGGTTAATAATTCTTTATGCAAATAATTTATAATTCATTGAACTCTCAGTTGTTGGGAAATTTGTGTTTTATTTTATTAAGGATATTATCGCTGTGATATTTGTTGCAAATACATTCATAGTTTATGATTTGCCTTTTAATTTAATCTTTGGTATTAGAAACTTTCATTTTTATTTAGTCAATCTTTTCCATTGTAATTTTGTTTCTGCTTTTTTTCCATAAAGTCTTCCTCGTCTGGTTCATTTTTCAACTTTGAAAAGCTGAAATTTAGCTAGGCAATGATTATGCCTACTAAAACCTAGACTTAGGCAAGTTATGATTTTTAACAAGAAAAATATAATATTCCCAGGCAGAAGAATGTAATTTTAAGTAGTGAAGAGAAAAAAATATGACCGAAATGATAAAGTCCCAAGTCTTACTAGGAAGACTTTTCCCTTTACGTTTTCTTCTTTGCTATAGTTTGAAATGTCTTCCCCACTCCAAAGTGGTATGAATGTGTTTCTAAATTTTCTTCTAGTTCTTTTATACTTTCACCTCTTACACTTAAATTTTATTCATTTGGATTATTTAACTTGGTATATGTGAATACATCTAAATTATTTTATTTCAAAATGAACCTGAATCTCAGCACCATTTTTAACAAATCACCCTTTCCCACTGATGTGAAATGTTATTTGCTAATGTTCTGTTACACTCTATTTCTTAGGACTCCTGCCCAGTCCTAGCGTTTCTAACCAAAATTGTGTATAGCTTTCTCTTTACATCTTTGTCCTTTTAATTTTGTGAAATTTTGATATTGGGAATGGCTTTGCTTCACTAAATGTATTAAAAATAGCATTCCAAATGTTTTAGTACTCCAAAATGGCTTATAGATCGTAAGAAATATCTGTTCCTTGACAGTTGAAGGATCTTGCTTATAAAACTGTTGGATTCTATAGCATTCTTTGAAGGCAATTCTTCAAATTAAAACATAATGTCCATAGCTATGGGCCTGTTAAGATATTTCACTTCTTTTGAGTCCATCTTGATTATTTATATTTTCTCACAAACTGTCCATTACACACAATATTTATAATTTTATATTTTAAAATATCTATAACATTTTGTATGGAATATTTGCATATGATATTCTTTCATACTTTTAAATAATCCCATGTTTCTTGATTATATATGCTTTCTCATTAATAATGTTTGTGTTTTTTCTCTTCTGCTAAGTTTATCAAAGTGTAAATCTTTTTTAAAAATAACTGAAAATTTTACAATCCATTTCTATTATGTTCAAATTTATTCAATTATTTTAGTAATTGATTACTTGATTATATTTAATAACTTCTCCAATTTTTTTCTTCCAATTTTCCTTAGGTTCTGTCTTGATTTTCTGACATTTTGAGTTCAAATAAAACCTTGAAGACTATTTTTATAAGTAAATTTGGCCATATATCTGAAGTTTCTATTTTTGTTTTTATTCTCATTTTTACATGAGTATTTCTCAAGTGACAAATCTTAAAACTTTAAAAAATGTTTACATTAAACTGTGTCACAAGAATTGTGTTGGTTTCAGAAAATTTATTGAATGGCTTTTCATTTTTTATTACAGTCGAGTAATAGTATGAAATGAGAATTACTTGATCTTTATAATTTGATACAAGAAAGAGGTTACTGGTAAACTGGCCCTAAATCATTTTTAAAAAGTAATTTTTAATACTTTTCATTCTATATTAGCTTTGTAAGAAGTTTTTCACTGTCTAAGTATTCTTTGTCTTCAAAATGAGGTCTTAAAGTTTATAAGTGATATGTTTAATTTGTCTTGTAAGAGTTTTGTTTTTGCTATTTTGTTTTATTGTTCCCTTTTTTGCTTTTTTACACACTCCTTAACTTTTTTGCGGTCTCTAAAAGAACTATTTCTAAACTATTTTTATATTGTAAATTTTAAAATACAGTGATTTTGAAGATTTACATTGTGTTTCACATTCAGCTTGTAGCTACACTTACATTTATTCAAAAATATTCTTCAAAGGTTCTTTTTAATAATCAAAATCTAGTGCAGTTGGATCTTTTGAATCTTTATTTCCCTGTTTTATGTGAGATATTTAGCATGCTTTAATCATCTTCCCTTTTAATATAATTTGTGTTTTATTCTGATTCTTATAATTTTAAATTTTTAATATTACGTATGTTTTTTCAGTTTTTTCTACTTTGTATTAAGTTTTATCTTAATAATCACAAACTCAATTATTAATTGGTTTCAGTTTCAGTATCAATTATTAATCTTTTTTTAAATCATGACCTTCTCATTCTTAGATTTTAAATTTGGATTTATCCCTTGGTAGAACAATGTCAAGTAATTTTTTTCAAGATTGTGGATATGTTTTTGTGAATATGCCTGCACTTTATAATAACTTTCTATTTCCTTCATGCGTGAATGACAAGTTGGCTTAGCATAACATTTTAGTTCACCACCTTTTTTCCTTCAAAATTCTGTGGTTGCTTTTTTCGTTACCTCTTGGCATTTCACATTGCAAAAGAAGAGTCTGAAGCCAGCCCAGTTTTGATTTCTCTGTTAGTAACGTGTTTTCTGGAGGACTGCTTGTTAGATGGTTTGTTTATTCTTGTAAGTCCAATATTTTGTCACTCTTCGGTTTCTTTTTAATAATTTATACTAAGCCCCTCTCAATCTAAGAGTTATCTTTGAAAATTGTGTCCATATTTATCTTATCAGAATGTCCTGTTGATTCTTTACCTCCATCAACTCTGGAATTGATGTTCACTTTCTTAATCTCCTGTTCCCATCCAAGGTCAAACCACTGATATCTCTTACCAGGAGTCTCACTATAAGAGCCTTAGACTTGCTTCTTTACAAATCTACACATTGTAGTCATAAAGATTGTTTTGTCTCCAAATTCAAATCTGTTCACATCATATATCTGCTTAAATAAATTTGATGGCTTTTAGATAAAGAGTGAAATCTCTAACATAGATTTACTATAGAATTTTTTAAACTGCAGGTGGGGATCTATTGATGTGTCATAAAATCAATTTGTGAGATCATGAAAGCATTAAATAAATCATTATACAGATGGAATATACATGTAAAATATAAATAAACCTAAACAAAAGATTTCATGAACTGCTACCTACTTTTACAATAAGAAAAGCACTCTGGTATGTTCCATTTTATTCTGTTCTTTCATTTTTTTAAATGCTCTCATGATCTAGCAAATTGATTTCTGTATATGTACATACGGGTTTGTGTACTGGGCTATGATATAGAAAGTATTTCTGACTTTAGGTCATGGTGTTAAAAAAAAAATGGTTGAAGTCGTTGACCTACAGTGCGCTGGATAATCTAGCCCTTGCATGTCTCCCCAGTTGTCATCTCATCCATGTTCCTCTTGACTCTAGCCTTCTTGTTTCATGGGCCTTCTGTTCCTCAGCCATACCTCAACCTACCGTTCCTCAACCATGCTATGCTCACTTTGACTATAGGTCTTTGCATATGCTATTCTCTCTACCTGGGACTCACCTATTCCCTGGTTAATTTCCACTGTCTCTCAAACCTTATATGAAACATAATTTCCTCAGGGAAACCTTTTCTGACCTCCTGATTAGCTCACATCCCCGTCACATGCTCTCATATCACCACCTACTCTCTTGTCCTGGTTGTAATTTTATGTTTAGTCATGTGATTATCTGTCTGTGTTTCCTAATTACTCGCAGGGTAAAGATATCCCTTTAAAAAATTTATTCTCAGTGTATTTTGTATAATGGTACCCAAGTAATTATTTGTACTTGTATGTAATAAATGAATGCATATTCACACAATATTTTGTCTTAGTTTGGGAAGACTTTTTCATTGTACTTCTGGTTACTGCTTTGTTTCAAACTTCTTTTTTCTTCCTATTCTTGTATATTTCTTGTGAATGTCTAGATTTTTTATGATGGACATATTTTTTTCCTTTTATAGTGACTCAATCTGTTAATATCTACTCTTATCCTCTGCACTCTGACATAGCTTCTCAACTCTGTTTTCCTCATCAATTACTGGATTTAAACTGTGAATACTGTTTTTTTTTCTACCTCTACTTTTTATTTACTGCATCATAGTTTTCAAGCTCAAACCTGTTATTTTTTAAATCTCACTCTGTTATGTTTAAATATGTTTGTTCACTCCTTATTACTTTATGTTACTTTATCATATAGACCATGTCTTCTTTTATTTTATTGAGGAATCCAAGACATTTTCTAAAATTTTGTTCTGGATTTTATCATACCAGTTTCCAAAGCTTATTTATTCTTTTAGGAATTGGGAGGATGACATTGCCTCTATTTGGGCTTCAAGATCTCTCTCTCTCTCTTTTTGGACAAAACAGACTGTGTGTGCTACTTACTGTCCACTTCGGAGCTGTAGATTTTCAGATCTCTAGCTATAGGACAACATGATATGCAAAATGCCTAAGCCAAATTCAGTTATCTAATGAGGTTCTGTAGGCATGAGATGGAAACTTCTGTTTTGCAGTATAGTTCTCTGATGCACATCATAATTTTTCAGTAGTTTTGTAGATATTGAATGAAGATGGATGGGAATTTTATTTTGGTTGGTTCAGAAATTTGGCAGAATATTGATAAGCAAGCCCTCCTCATTGTTCAGGTTGATGGAGAATGCGCTCTTCTGAGTTGGGGGATAGGTAATGGTGTGTTTTGGTGTCCTTTTTTTGCCTACTTCCTGGTTGGCAGGTTCATTCTGTTTAATGAAGTAAAACATGGGTGTACAAACGCTTGTTTCTGAAATGAGCTCCATTGTCTTTGTACTTAGTAAAAATTTCTCATATACGAAAGCAATAGGTTAACTATCAATCTTAGATTTTATCTTATATATGTTTTCTACTTTATATGTTTTAATGTATGTTAGGTGATGAAATTAAAGTTATAGGATTTTAGAGTAAATTTCACAGATTGACTGTTCTTAAATTTGAGAAGATAAAGGAGTTTGCTTTTTTTTTTTTTGTCAGGCAGGAAGTTATACTTAACAATCTCTTTTAGGATTAGTTGCTTAAACTGGGTTGGGAATACTTACACATATTGGTCAGATGCTAAATAAATCTATAACAAAATATCTTTTCTTGGGGATATTTTTATTTTTATAAAATTGATCACATATTACAGTCGTAGATTTTTCTGTCTCAACTCTGAGGTTTTTTGGAATCTACAAAATATGAAGTACTCATTCTATACTGTGAAGCAATCAAAATGCTAGCGATCTCCTTAATACTTTTGTTTACTCGAATTACCCAACATTTTTTTTTAGTGCTTAAGATCACCAGATTATCATAATTCTCCTAGTAGTCTTTGGAATACTTGAAATAATGAGGGGATTTCTACTGTTATATATTTATTTATACATAAGCCATATAGTTTTATAATCCAGCAAATAACAACTGAGTATGTGGAAAGTTTTCTGTTTGGACTTTCTTGGTGCTTGGCATGTTTGTTACACTGACACTCAGGTGAGATATCCCAAAGATTGTCTAGTTTTCAATGGATATGTATGTTTTTATCATTTCTTTAAAAAAGTCTTACCATGGGCAACAATTTGCCAAAATATTTTTACTGATTGTTGTCACTTGTTATTGAGCCTTCTTTTCAGAGCTATCTTTTTGAAACAGATATGAACTTTATGAGTCATTGAGTGATTTAAGTTAAAATGAATTTGATAGCTTTGGGGGAGTTTGCTCAAGGGAAAAAAGGAGACTGTGTTTTTGTCTACACGTATTGTCAAATCAAGACATAGGAGAGCCAACTTTATTCTCCCAGAAGAGATATGGTCAAGATTGGTTTCAGCCTATTTTCTATCTTATATATATATTTAAAAGAATTTGTTTTTCCCACAGATGATTTTGAATAAAAAGTTGTCAATTATTTTCATCATTATTAATCTCAAGTCATAGTAGTAGAAATTGTCATTCCACCCTAGTCGGCTTAGGCCTATAATATTGCTTGCTCTAATAAGTATGTGGCAACACATTTCCAGCAGTGTCAATGAAGTTCATATTAAGTTTTAGGAAATCATTTCACATTTTAGTATTTCCAGGTGAAGATATTGCGGTGAACTGAGTTTACACATTTAATAATATTAACCCCTTAAAAATGTATGTGAAATTACATTTCAATTTATCACAGAGATTGCATTTAATATGGTGAAGTTATGAAGATGAATTAGCTTAAGAAACTGTGCTCCATTTTTTATCCACTTTGCAGAGAAAGACCTGGAAAGAATATGTGCAGAATAATCTAATAAATTTAGATTTAAACTTGGATGAACAGTCCAAGATAAAGTATATTACCTACCAGCATTGTGCTATTGCCTAATGAATATTTGGAGGATATAATGTTCGGTTATTTATTACACTGATTTCACACACAAAAGTGTATCTTGTCAATCAATATATAGAAATTAAGACTCATCATACTACTGTCTTCTGGAAACTGGAAAAGTACCAAAGAAATATGATCTTCTTATATCAATTCAAGAGTTTGAAGACTCCCTTTGTGATGTTGGCTGAACTTTGATGTGTATTAAATTATTATTTTTTCTGTTAGCTTGGATTTTAAAGGGGCCTGACCGTTTGGAAATGGCAAAATTGTTTTCATGAATACTTCAGAGATTTAAATATTTTCATTTACTTTCTGTATTAGTTCATTTTCACGCTGCTGATAAAGACATACCTGAGACTGGGCAATTTACAAAAGAAAGACATTTAATGGACTTTCAGAAGCTGGGGAGGTTTCACAATCATGGTGGAAGGTGAAAGGCATGTCTCACATGGCGACAGACAAGATAAGAGATCTTGTGCAGGAAAACTCCCCCTTATACATCATTGAATCCTGTGAGACTCATTCACCACCACAAGAACAGCACAGGAAAGACCTGCCCCATGATTCAACTACCCTCCATCGGGTCCCTCCCACAACACATGGGAATTCAAGATGAGATTTGGGTGGAGGCACAGCCAAATCACATCACTCTCCATATTGCTGTATTCTGAGAAACAATATTTAGTCGCTGAAAGATTTGATTAAAACACAATTTGGGTCAAATAATATCCATTTATTTTCGTGGGGGATTTGGATTATAAAGTTCCACAGTTGTTGGGTTATTGATTGTGTCACTATTCCTGACACTTGCTAAGCTCAGTTGGGATGGGTTGAGATAAAGCATAATAGTACCGTTATTTTATTAAGGGAGTTAAGGGGCTTTAGATTTCATATTTATTAAGGGAACTAAGTAGAATCTAAGGAATAGGAGGATTTAGAAAGAAGTTAGCTGAGGCATTGATTATGATCTATCCTTGGGGAGAGTGGTGTTTGATGAAAGTCTCTTTACTGGGTATATCCCCAGAAGAATATAAGCCATTCTATTATAAAGATATATGCACATGTATGTTCATTGCAGCGTTATTCACAATAGCGAGGGTATGGAATCAACCTAAATGCCCATCAATGATAGACTGGGTAAAGAAAATGTGGTGCATATATACCATGGAATACTATGCAGCCATAAAAAGGAACAAGATCATGCCCTTTGCAAGGACATGGATAGACTTAGAAGCCATGCTCCTCAGTAAACTGACACAGGAACAGAAAACCAAACACTGCATGTTCTCACTTATAAGTGGGAGCTGAATGATGAGAACACATTAACATATGGAAGTGGGGAAAATACACACTGGGGCCCATCAGAGGTAGGGTTGCGGGAGGGAGAGCATCAGGAAGAACAGCTGATAGATGCTGGGCTTAACACGTAGGTGATGGGATGATCTGTTCAGCAAACCACTATAGCACACTTTTACCTATGTAACAAACTTGCACATCCTGCACGTGTATCCCAGACTTAAAATAAAAGTTGAAGAAAAAAAAAGTCTCTGTGAAGTATGACCAACCAGAAATGTAAAGACCAGCCAGAAAGAATCTTGACTGAAAAAAATATATGGAAGAACATGTTGTCCTTAAAATGTTGTCACATTGAAGTTCACAAATGGAGACAAATTTCCACTCCAGGGTGTGAGCAAAGTAAAAATGAACAGAATATTATAGTGATCAGAAACTTCAGGGAGCAATCATAATATCATTCACATCAGCTTCCTGACTCAGATCCTACGTATTGGTCAGTTTTGTAAGGTTTTAAAGAATTTTATTCATTTATTTAAGGATTTTTAAAAATGTAATATTAGTCTTAGAAGGATGTAAAAGAGATTCAGAATACACCTCTCTGTAATATCCTATATAGAAAGATAGGACCTAGAAGAATAGGATTTGCATTTTTAGGAGACCTCATAAAGTCTTTGAATTATAGCTAAGTGTTGGTTTTCACAGTCAATGTTGGACTCTTCCAGATGGAGATTGGGATAATCTCACCGATTTCTAGCACCTTTCATTCTATGGACCATGCTGAGCTTCTAGCCCATTCGAAGCAACATCTTTTTATTTACAAAAGAATAAAGAGGAGAAAAGTGAGGAGTTCAGGCAGTAAGAGATTTCTTCAGAAGTGCTGTCAAGTTGAAAGCTAGACAATTTTTTCTTCAAATATTTTGAAAGCTTAGTACTTTTTTTAGGTTTATTCAAAAAGCTGAGTATTGTGAGAAGGACTCTCATAATAAACCTAAAAATACTATATTTAATGCCTCATCCAAAATCTCATAGATTCAGAACTGCTGTTTGTTTTCCTCTTCTACGATCAGACTTTTGGAGCCATAGCTGCATGGGTCATCCTGAGCCATGGCTTCCCACCCATTTCCTTCAGGTGAAATAAGAAATCTTGGTGACGTACTGCACATGCACCCTAAAACTTAAAGTATATTAAAAAAAAAGAAATCTTAGTGAAGTAAAAAAAGATTGAACTCACTCAGAAACAAATGAAACTTGATACATGGGCCAAAAAGAATCTAAATGCCAAGGAGATTATGTAGCAGATGTCCTAAGGCAATTTGAGAAATTAATGCTGAATCCCTTGAAAGGCACAAAGGGTAGAATTTCTCAAAAAGTAGAATATTAGCATCTAGAATACAAGCTAGATAACTTATAGGATGGAGGACATAGATAGAACCTTTGAGTTTTTCTTCCCCTTTTCCCAAAATGTGTCTGAACATTGAACCAGAGTCAGAGGCTTTCTCATGTTGTAACTGTAGGAAGCCAGACTACATGAACAGGTCCTGCTGCTATCACCTGGTCTCTTGCAAATTTCTATTTCCTTGCTCCTCAAATAATTCTGAGAATTAGCCCTTCTCAGTTTAATAATGTTCAACTCAGGGCCCTGAATATTATAGATTTATATGCTGAGATTTTTGATCTACTAAATTTATTTCAACTGAAGATCAAATGCTTTTGGCTGGTGTTACAATTGAGTTTTTTTTTTTTCTGGGAATAAAAAGTTAATGTCACCTCTCAATTCAGCTTCATTCTTCAACTCACCTCTCTTGGCTAATGAACACAGCCCAGGCATTTCAGCCACCAAATTTCACCTTGCTGAGTTTAGCAGATATGCAAATGCAAAATGCAAAATATCAATAGCACAGCTGGTGCTTGGGTTTGCGATTGTAGTGAAAAGAGAAGAAATGGGAACCATACAACATCTAATGTCAGAAGTGGGGTCCAATAACTTTTCTAGTTTTTCTCTTTTGATATAGCATTTATGTACAATGAAATGCACAAATCTTAAGTAGACATTCATTAGTTTTGATCAATGTATATATTTGTGTAACCCAAACTTTTTTTTTTTACCACCACTCCAAAATGTCCTGGAATGCCCCTTCCCAAATAATCCCCTACCCACCCCTCAGAGGTAACTACTTTTCTGATTTTTTTCACCTTAGAATAGTTTGCCTGTTATAGAACTTCATATAATTGGAATAATTCAGTATGTACTCTTTTGTGTAAGGCTTCTGTATTAGTTTTCTAGGGCTGCCATAACAAAATGCCATAGATTGAGTGATTTAAACAACAGAAATTTATTTTCTGATTTTTCTGAAGGCTGGAAGTTTGAGATCAAAGTGTCAGCAGGTTTGGTGTCTTCTGAGGCCTCTCTTCTTGGTTTGCAGATGGCAGCCTTCTCACTGTGACCTCAGAGATGGTCACCCCTCTGTTTATATTTTGTCCATGTCCTAATCTCTTCTTCTAATGTCACCAGCATATTGGATTAGGGCCTATCCATGAGACCTTATTTTTCCTAATAACCTCTAAAGGCCCCGCCACCAAACATGGACATATTCTGAAGTGCTGGGGGTTAGGACTTCAACATATGAACTTTTGGCAACACAATTTAGCACATAACAGCTATTTCAATTATCAAACTGTTTTTGAGATTTATCTGTGTTGATTTTATGAGTAGTTTTTTCTTTTTATTGCTGAGTAGTTTATTGTATGAATGTGTCACAGTTTACTTGTTATTTTAACAGACACCTGGGCTATTTCCAGTTTTTGGTTATTGTGAATGAAGTGACTTAAACATTATGCTTCAAATCTTTTTGCCAATGTATATTTTCATTTATTTTTGCTTAATACGTAAAAGTGGAATTACTGGCTATATGAGCAGATGTTCATTTAACTTCATTAAAAACTTCTCCCAAATTTTCCAGTGTGGTGGAAAATTTCTCACTATCGGTTTATGAGAATTGCAGTTTCTCCAAATCCTTAGCAACATTTAGCTCTATAGGTATTTTAAAATTTTATTCATTTTGGTGGATGTATACTAGTATCTCAATGTGGGTTTAATTTGCATTTTCCCCCAGTGACTAATGATGTATTAGGTTGGTGCAAAAGTAATTGAGGTTTTTGCCATTAAAAGTACTTTTGCATCAAACTAATAGAAACAAAATTACTTTTTTGTTTCTATTATTTGTTCCATTACCAACAAAATTACTTTTGCACCAATCTAATAGAATACTTTTGCATGTACTCATTGGCCATTTGTGTGTCAGACTTTTAATTCACATTAAGTAGAGGGCAGCTGGGGGCACAGGCAACATTCATGTGAAGCAAATGTTCTCAGCATGTTTATCACCTAAGTCCTCTAAAGATCCAGTTCTCATATTTCACCTGATGTTTGTGACCTCTCTGAGCATTTCATGTGTGACTTGAAGAAATTCAGGCATAAATTATCTAAGAGCATGACATTGACCTTAAAAAAAGAAAGAACGGAGTGTGTGTATGACACCACATTTTCATATTTATTGGTGTTCCTTCAAATTACAAATATGCGAGAAGAAAGAAAGTACTGTAATTAAAATTGGCCTAGATAATAACTGGACAGGCAGTTGGAAAACTGTGATGTTTGGATCTCTATCTCACCCCACTCACAATATAAATTCCAGATGGGTAAATAATCTATTTTAATTATTTTTAATCAAATACACATTCATTTTTATGAACTCAAATATTTCTTAAAAGTTTGTAATGGAAATATTAGTCTTTTACTCCACCTCTTTTCTAGCCTCCAAGTCCTGTTATCCACAGGCATTTCAACTATGCTTGTTTTTTTTTTCTACATAATATGGCTATATAGCTGTTTTGGCTTATCAATTTTAGACATTATCTGTTGACTTCCCTCCATAGTAAATGAAGACTTATCCTTCTGAAACACCTCTCACTCCTCTTAGCCCTATCTCCCCCCTCAACATAATAATAGAATTTTGGTTAGATCACATCCGTGTTTAAATATTATAACATGAAAATATTGTTTACTGCTTTCCCAAAAGGCATTCTATAAGAACATAACATTTCATTTTTAATCTCTCATTAAGTGATTTTCTTTTGCTCAATTACATCCTTAAATTTCAATTAAGCTTTCTGAAAGTATCTGAAAGTATGATTTGCTAGAACAAGGAATATAATGGATAAACGCCAAAGAATAAAATAAGACAAGGATGAGTGGAGAATCAAGCCATACTGGTACATGGGCTCAGCAGACAAACAGACTTGAGATGGAATTTCAGCGTTGCCACTTGCTAGCCATGTGACCTTAGGAAAATTATTGAACTTTCTAACTTGTCTCAGTTTCTTAATCTGAAACATGAGAATGATAGAAAATATAATTTATGGAATACCTACCATGAACCAGGCATAACATATATGTGCAAAGAGAGAGAGAGAGAGAGAGGAGGTGCACCAGGCCGAAGGTGTACTGATTTTATTTGTAAGCTATACAGCATCACTATAATGGCATTTCATTCATTAGAGGTGAGTCACTAAGGCTGGATCATGTTCAGGGGGAAGGAAACTAGATTTCACTTCTTGAGGGGGAATGGCATGCTTCTGGAACAGCATATGGAACTAAAAATATTGTTGTGGCCATTTTTGGAGACTGTTCTGTTTCTGTTTCTGTGTGTTTCATAGTGGAAGGGAAGAGGTGAGGGCAGAGATTGATGAAAGAGAAGTCTAAAGAGGTAAGCAGTCATCAGGTTATGTATAGTCACTTAGATCATTCTAACAGAGTTAGACTGTATCAAGAAGGCAGTGTAACATTTGGAAGGGGAATGACATAATTAAATGAAATGTTTATCAAAATTATGTGGATTGTGGCATGAAAGAGGCAAAAGTGAAAGCAAGAATTTCAACTGGAGGCTGTTGTAGTAATCCAGTCAAGAGGTGATGCTGCCATAAACTGTTGAATTTGGAGAAGGGTGGAAGACAGTTTTGAGATATTTTGGAGGTAGAATACTTAGTACTTAGAGAGTGACTGGGGCCAGAGTGATAGAAAGCTTTCTGTCTTAGGCAACCATAACAAAGTATGTTGGGGAGGGTGATATGACACCATTTACTAAGATGAGGGACACAGGAGGAGGAGCAGGTATGAGAGAGGGTGAAGAATAAAACATAATTTAGTTTTGTTTATGTGAAGTGGGGGCAACTGTGCTATGTCCTATTGAGATACCTTGTTTGTTATTAGCAAAAGCTGTGGAGCCCAGCAACAAAATAAAGTTTGTTAGTCATCAGTCTATAAGCTTTAATTTAAGGAATAGAAGTGGTTGAGGTCACTCAGCATTTGTGAAAAGTGAAAAGGGAGTTCTAGAAAAGACCCCTGTGAAACATTACAACTTAAGAAAAATGATAGCTACCTAAACCAAAAACCAAACATCTTCCCAAAACTATACAGATAAGGAGAGCAAGTAAAACTCTATGGACCCATGCCCACCACATAACTAGGAGATAAAAGATACCAAAAATTTCATTTACATGAAAGAGGGGAAATAAACTAACCAGCAAAGACAACTCTGGAGCACACATCAAAATGGAAATCAAGTGGAGACTTCATGGTAAAAGGAAGGCGGGGTGTTTAGCGGTGATAAAACAATGAATTAAAAAAATCATCTCGTATGTCAGAATGCTGGCTGCAGGAATTCAAAAGGAAGTGGCTCAAAATGCAGGGGATCTAAGATGGAAATCTTGGAAGAGTCCCATCTGTGGGGAATTGAAAGGACTTGGTGGTGAAGGAAATAAGAGAAAAAAATCATTGGAAAATAGGATCCAAATAAACAAAAGAAGATTACTTAATAAAAAGTCAAACTGACCAGGCGTGGTGGCTCATACCTGTAATCCCAGCAGTTTGGGAGGCTGAGGCAGGCGGATCACCTGAGGTTGGGAGTTTGAGACCAGCTTGGCCAATATGGAGAAACCCCATCTATACTAAAAATACAAAAATTAGCCAGGCGTGGTGGCACATGCCTGTAATCCCAGCTACTCAGGAGGCTGAGACAGGAGAATCGCTTGAACCCAGGAGGTGGAGGTTGCAGTGAGCCAAGATTGTGCCATTGCACTCCAACCTAGGCAACAAGAGCAAAACTCCATCTCAAAAAAATAAATAAATAAAATAAAATAAAATAAAGTCAAACCAATTCTTCTCTTAAAAAATGGTGCCATTTAATAAAATTACATTTTATTATATCAACAGAAGAGGGTGCTCTTGAACTAAAAAACTAGTAAGCCACCAAATGTCTCACATTTGTCAACACAGAATTATTCCTTATTGTTAATCCAGAAAATACAAGATATTTACTGTAAACAACAACCATAAAGGTTACTATATAAAGAAGATGGAAAATAAGAATCAAAATGTTCCTACTGATGAAAATTCTAAGAAAAATCCGTGAAGAGTAATAAAACTGAATTAAATAATATTATTTTCATATGTTAAGAAGCCCATCCCAATAGAAACTCAAATATTCAGAAGAAAGGGGCGAAAGGATATGAGAATTAAGCTAAATCCAGAAAGAAATAGGAAAAAAAAGGATAAAATCATTTTAGGAATGAAAACTAAGCTACAGGGTAACCAAGAGAGAAAGGAATCAATGACAAATATCACAAGGGAAATTGAGGAAGAGAATTAAAATAGCCAAGAGAGTGAAAATAACAAGAAAAAGAAACAATCAGCAAGTGATAGTTATAGAAGATAGGCAAAGAAGATCTCACATACATACAATTGGAGTCTTTAAATCAGAAAAAAACAAAGCAGTGGAATAACAGAAATGTTATTTAAAATTATTGTTTTATTATAAATTTAAAAACCTGAATCCACCTATGTGGGACTAAAAGTGACTTAGAATGATCAACTCAGAAATATGTGCTAATGAACTTTTAGACTTTAATGATTAAAAAATAATCTCAGGTGTTCCAGACAAAAAGACAATATAATTTACAAGAGAAAGAAATAAAGTTTAAATCAGAGTTCTTGACAGCAAGATACAAAGCAAAACAACTTTGAAACAAGAGTTTTTAAAAGCAAGAACAGGAAGTGTGAGTGAAAGCTTTTATATCTAGACAAGTTAGTGTTAAACCACCAATGCTATATAAAAACAGTTTTGAAGATAAAGTGTGAGAACTGAAGGAGTGGTATATTCACAAATAGAACAAGAAGTTAAGCTTTATCCAACCAACAGAAGACTAGAAAAACTCTGGCAAATGAACTGATAGTATACATGGAATATATTTCAGTGTAGTCCTAACATTAAAACAAATAGTGGAGAAAGAGTGTATAAGCATTATACAATCTGACAAAGTAGAAATAAGACAACTCCCCAGAAACACAGAGAAAAGTGAGGAGAAGGTGGAAAGAATAAACTTATTGCTTTATAGGTAATATGTGCAGTCCAAGTATATCAATTAGAGTTGACAAACCAAATAGTAGAAGCCTCAGAAAGGCAAAAGTGGACTGAAGACATTACAAACAATATTAGAAAGAGGTAACCACTGGAAGAAGATCAAAACCTTCCTAAATACCAAGAGAAAGAAACAGTAAATATTACTGATATGCCAGTAAATATAACATAAAATTGACTTGAGCCAAGATATATTGTCAGTAGAAAGAGCAAAGTATAAGAAGTGTATATGGTATGGTAGCATTGTGAAGAAATATAAGTGAAAAAGAGTATGTAGTTTTTGCAAAAAAAGAAATTCAAGAAGAATGTCCCAGAATTGAATAAAAATGATTATATATTAGGGTTGGGTGCAAGTGGGACAGGATTGATAGGTTGAGAGTATAACTTTTTTGAGCTTACCTTTATATATATTTGTATCATGTAAAAGTTTGTAAATATGAAAAAATGAAATTTTAAAAATGAAGAAAAACTAATACAAGTAGAAATAAATGAATCTTTTTGTCAAAGTGATAATACAACTATATATATGAGAATAATGGATTCAAGTAACTTGGATCACAGTACTCTGATTGTACACTTTAAATTAAATATATTCTAAAGACAAAAAGAGTTGCAAAGAAATGTTAATCTTCACATGGTAGGTTTGTTTTTGGTGATGAGACTGTAATAATATAAAACAATGTTTTGGTCAGACATTGTGCATATGGGACAGTCATCTCATAAGATTATAATGGAGCTGAAAAATGTCTATTGCCTGGTGATGTCATAGCTATTGTAACGTCATAGTACAATGCATTACTCATGTTTGTGGTGATGCTGGTGTAAACAAATCTACTGTGCTCTCATTCATATGAAAGTATAGCACGTAGGATTATGTACAATACGTAATACTTGGTAATCATAATAAACAATTATGTTATTTGTTTATGTATTCACCACACTTTCATTTTTTATCATCATTTTAGAGGATGCTCCTTCTACTTATAAGAAAAAAGTTAACAGTAAAACAGCTTCAAACAAGTCCAATAGGAGGTATTCCAGAAGAAAGCATTATTATCATAGATAACAACCCCATGCATGTTATTACTTCTGAAGACTTTCTAGCCAAACAAGATGTAGAGGTGGAAGACAGTGATATTGATGATCCTGATACTGTGAAGGCTTAGGCTAATGTGTGTGTTTTTGTCTTAGGTTTTAACAAAAAGGTTTAAAAAGCAAAATAAAAAAGTTAATAAAGTTATAGAATAGGGATATAAAAAGGAAATATTTTTGTACAGCTGTATAATGTGTTTTAAGCTAAGTGTTATTACAAATGGACCAAAAAGTTGAAAAAATTTAAAAGTTTACCAAGTAAAAATATTACAGTAAGCTAAAGTTAATTTATTATTGAAGAAAGAAATATTTTAAAATAAATTTAATGTAGCTGAAGTGTGCAGGGTTTGTAAAGTCTAGAGTAGTTCATAGTAATGTCCTGGCCTTCACATTCACTTACTACTGACTCACTGACTCAGCCAGAGAAAATTCCAGTCCAGCAATTTCCATTCATAGTAAGTGTCCTATACAGGAATACCATTTAAAAATTGTTTAGACTGTATTTTTACTGTACCTTTTCTGTGTTTAGATGCGTTTAGTTACACAAATACTTAGCAGTGTGTTACAGTTGCCTACAGTATTCAGTAGCATGTGCAGTAACATGCTGCACACGTTTGTACTGTAGGAGCAATAGGCTATGCCAGATAGCATAGGTGTGTAGTAGGCTATACAATCTAGGTTTGTGTAAGTACACTCTATGATGTTCACACAGTGATGAAATCATTTAACAATTAATTTCTCAAAATGTATCACTGTCCTTAAGTGATACATGACTGTACTGTAAGATAATGCCCATGATTAAGTCTATTGCTATTGTTGTAGGAAACTAGAGTTCTTCAGACAAATATAAAATTAGGAAAGGTGAAGAAGAATCCTGCAGTGTTAAATTGGAGGAGAATGTGGGATGAATGAATTTTTAAAAAATTAATTGTAGAAGGCTTAGTATGTTGTGTGTTGGTGGGTAGAAACTAGTTGATCACATTTCTTGATTAAAATATAAGAGAAAGGGGATAGTGTACAGAGCAGGTTCCTGAGGGTATGAGAAGAATGGGAATCTGCATCTGAGTGAAGGTTAGCCTTAAATGGGAGAATAAATAACTCTTTGTATTAGGCCATTCTTGCATTGCTATAAAGACATACCTGAGACTGGGTAATTTATAAGAAAAAAGATTAAGTGGCTCATGGTTCTGCAGGTTGTACAGGAAGCATAACACCAGCATAAGACATACCTGAGACTGGGTAATTTATAAGAAAAAAGATTTAAGTGGGTCATGGTTCTGCAGGTTGTACAGGAAGCGTAACACCAGCATAAGCTTCCTGGCCTCAGGAAGCTTACAATCATGGTGGAAGGCATATGCTTCGCGAAGTTCTCGGGAGCAGGCACATAATATGGTGAAAACTGGAGCAAGACTGAGAGAGCTGGGGGGAGGTGCCTCATATGTTTAAATAACCTGATCTGGACAGCACCACACCATGAGGGATCTGCCCCCATGATACAAATACCTCCTACCAGGCCCCATCTCCTGCACTGGGAATTACAATTAAACATGAGATTTGGGCAGGAACAAACATCCAAAGTATATCACTCCTCTGTTGAGGCAGGAGGAAAAATGGAAAGAACAGAGACAACACAAATAAATGTATGGGTTTGTGTAGGAAGCTCAAAGATTTCTTGAATGATGGCTTCTGTTTTCTCTGGGAAGTAGAGGAAGTAATCAGCTAAGAATGACAGTGATGATATGGGGGGATACGAGGTTTTAGGAGAGCACAGAAGGTTTGAAATACATTATGGAAAATGGGAGAGGGACTTGATTGGAGTATCATGAAAGGATTGCCAGATGCTGTGGATCTCATTGGAATTAAAGGTTATTAATTTGTCTTGGCACCAACAGACGTGTTGTTTTTTCTTTCGTTTTTTTCTTCTAAAAAATAATGGGATACACATGCAGAATGCACAGGTTTGTTACATAGGTATACATGTGCCATGGTGGTTTACTGCACCTATAGACCCATCCTGTAAGTTCCCTCCCCTCACCTCCCAACCCTCAACAGGCCCTGGTGTGTGATGTTCCCTTCCCTGTGTCCATGTATTCTCATTGTTCAACTCCCACTTATGAGTGAGAACATGCGGTGTTTAGTTTTCTGTTCTTGTGTTAGTTTGCTGAGGATGATGGATTCCAGCTTCACCCATGTCCCTGCAAAGGACATGATCTCATTCCTTTTTATGGTTGTATAGTATTCCATGGTGTATATGTACCACATTTTCTTTATCTAGTCTATCATTGATGGGTATTTGGGTTGGTTCCATGTCTTTGCTATTGTAAATAGTGCTGCAGTAAATATACCTGTACATGTGTCTTTATAGCAGAATGATTTATATTCCTTTGGGTATATACCCAGTAATGGGATTTCTGGGTCAAATGGTATTTCTGGTTCTAGATCCTTGAAGAATCACCATACTGTCTTCCACAATGGTTGAACTAATTTACATTCCCACCAGGAGTATAAAAATATTCCTATTTCTCCATGGCCTCCCCAGCATGTATTTTTCCTGACTTTAAAAATAATCACCATTCTGACTGGCATGAGATGGTATCTCATTGTGGTTTTGATTTACATTTCTCTGATGATCAGTGATGTTGAGCTTTTTCTCATATGTATGCTGGCCACGTAAATGTCTTCTTTTTAGAAGTGTCTGTTCATATCTGTTGCCCACTTTTCGATGGGGTTGTTTGTTTGCTTTTTCTTGTAAATATGTTTAAGTTCTTTGTAAATTCTGGAAATTAGACCTTTGTCAGATGGACAGATTGCAAAAATTTTCTCCCATTCAGTAGGTTGCCTGCTAGCTCTGATGATAGTTTCTTTTTCTGTGCAGATGCTCTTTAGTTTAGTTGTGTCCCATTTGTCAATTTTGGCTTTTGTTGCAATTGCATTTGGCATTTAGTCATGAAGTCTTTGCCCATGCCTATGTCCTGGATGATATTGCCTAGGCTTTCTTCTAGGGTTTTTATGGTTTTGGGTTTTACATTTAAGCCTTTAATTCATCTTGAGTTAACTTTTGTGTAAGGTGTAAGGAAGGGGTCCAGTTTCAGTTTTCTGCATATGGCTAGCCAGTTTTCCTAGCACCATTTACTGAATAGGAGATCCTTTCCCCATTGCTTGTTTTTGTCAGGTTTGTTGAAGATCAGTTGGTTGTAGATGTGTGGTGTTATTTCTGAGGTCTCTGTTCTGCTCCATTGGTCTATATGTCTGTTTTGGTACCGGTACCAGTACCATGCTGTTTTGGTTACTGTAGCCTTGTAGTATAGTTTGAAGTCAGGTAGCATGATGCCTCCAACTTTGTTCTTTTTGCTTAGGATTGTCTTGGCTATAAGTGGTCTTCTTTGATTCCATATGAAATTTAAAATAGTTTTTTCTAATTCTGTTAAGAATGTCTATGGTAGTTTAATGGGAATAGCATTGGATCTATAAATTACTTTGGGCAGTACGGCCATTTTCACGATATTGATTCTTCGTATCCATGAGGATGGAATGCTTTTCCATTTGTTTGTGTCCTCTCTTATTTCCTTGAGCAGTGGTTTGTAGTTCTCCATGAAGAGGTCCTTCACATCCCTTGTTAGTGGTGTTCCTAGGTATTTTATTCTCTTTGTAACAATTGTGAATGGGAGTTCATTCATGATTTGGTGCTCTGCTTGCCTGTTGTTATTGTAAATAAATGCTTGTGATTTTTGCACATTGATTTTGTATACTGGGACTTTGCTGAAGTTACTTATCATTTCAAGAAATTTTTTTTGGCTGAGATGGTGGGGTTTTCAAAATATAAAATCACGTTATCTGCAAACAGACAACTTGACTTCCTCTCTTCCTATTTGAATACCATTTATTTATTTCTCTTGCCTGATTGCCCTGGCCAGAATTTCCAATACTATGTTGAATAGGAGTGGTGAGAGAGGAAATACTTGTCTTGTACTGATTTTCAAAGGGAATGCTTCCAGCTTTTGCCCATTCGGTATGATATTGGCTGTGGGTTTGTCATAAATAGCTCTTATTATTTTGAGAGACGTTCCATCAATACCTAGTTTATTGAGTTTTTAACATGAAGAGATGTTAAATTTTATCAAAGGCCTTTTCTGCATCTGTTGAGATAATCATGTGGTTTTTGTAATTGGTTCCATGTGATGAATTATGTTTATTGATTTGCATATGTTGAGCCAGCCTTGCATCCCAGGGTTGAAGCCAACTTGATCGTGGTAGATGAGTTTTTTTGATGTTCTGCTGGATTTTGTTTGCCAGTATTTTATTGAGGATTTTCTCACCGATGTTCATCAGGGATATTGGCCTGAAGTGTTTTTGTTGTTGTTGTGTCTCTTCCTGCTTTTGGTATCAGGATGATGCTGGCCATAAAATGAGTTAGGGAGGTTTCCCTCTTTTTCTACTGATTGGAATAGTTTCAGAAGGAATGGTACCAGCTCCTCCTTGTACCTCTGGTAGAATTCAGCTGTGAATCCATCTGGTCCTGGGCTTTTTTTGTTGGTAGGCTATTAATTATTGTCTCAGTTTCAGAGCTTGTTATTGGTCTATTCAGGGATTCAACTTCTTCCTGGTTTAGTCTTGGTAGGGTGTATGCATCCAGGAATTTATCCATTTCTTTTAGATTTTCTAGTTTATTTGCATAGATGTGTTTATAGTATTTTCTGATGGTAGTTTGTATTTCTATGGGCTCAGTGGTGATATCCCCTTTATTATTTTTTAATGTCTATTTGATTCTTCTCTCTCTTCATTAGTCTAGCTAGCAGTCTATCTATTTTGTTATTTTTTTCAAAAAGTAAGCTCCTGGATTCATTGATTTTTTTGGAGGGTTTTTCATATCTCTATCTCCTTCGATTCTTCTCTGATCTTATTTGTTTCTTGTCTTCTGCTGGCTTTTGGATTAGTTTGCTCTTGCCTCTCTAGCTCTTTTAATTGTGATGTTGGGGTGTCAATTTGAGATCTTTTTAGCTTCTTCATGTGGGCATTTAGTGCTATAAATTTCCCTCTTAACACTGCTTTAGCTGTGTCCCAGTGATTCTGATACATTGTCTCTTTGTTCTCATTGGTTTCAAAGAACTTCTTGATTTCTGCCTTAATTTCATTATTTACCCAGGAGTCATTCAGGAGCAGATTGTTCAATTTCCATGAAATTGTGAGGTTTTGAGTGAGTTTTTTAATCTCGAATTCTAATTTGATTGCACTGTGGTCTGAGAGACTGTTTGCTATGATTTCAGTTCTTTTGCATTTGCTGAAGAGTGTTTTACTTCCAATTCTGTGGTCGATTTTAGAATAAGTGTGATGTGGCACTAAGAAGAATGTATATTCTGTTGATTTGGGGGTAGAGAGTTCTGTAGACATCTACTAGATCTACTTGATCCTGAGCTGACTTCAAGTCCTGAATATCCTTGTTAATTTCCTGTCTCATTGATATGTCTAATACTGACAGTGGAGTGTTAAAGTCTCCCATTATTATTGTATGAGAGCTAAGTCTCTTCATATGTCTCTAAGAACTTGTTTTATGAATCTGGGTGCTCCTATATTGGGTGCATATATATTTAGAATAGTTAGCTCTTCTTGTTGAATTGTTCCCTTTATCATTATGTAATGCCCTTGTCTTTTTTGATCTTTTTTGGTTTAAAGTCTGTTTTATCAGACTTTTTGCTTTCCATTTGCTTGGTAAGTTTCCCTCCATCCCTTTATTTTGAGCCTGTGTGTGTCTTTGCATGTAAGATGGGTCTCCTGAATACAGCACACTGATGGGTCTTAACTCCTTATTCAATTTGCCAGTCAGTGTCTTTTAATTTGGGCATTTAGCCCATTTACATTTAAGGTTAGCATTGTTATGTGTGAATTTGATCCTGTCATTATGCTGTCATTATGCTGCTATTTGGTTATTTTTGCACACCAGTTGATGCAATTTCTTCATAGTGTCATTGGTCTTTATATTTTGGTGTGTTTTTGCAGTGGCTGGTACCAGTTTTTTCCTTTCATATTTAGTGCTTCTTTCAGGAGCGCTTGCAGGGTAGGCCTGGTGGTAATGAAATCCCTCAGCATGTCCTTTGTAGGGACATGGATGAAGCTGGAAACCATCATTCTCAGCAAACTTGCAAGGACAAAAAACCAAACACTGCATGTTCTCACTCATAGGTGGGAATTGAACAATGAGAACACTTGGACACAGGAAGGGGAAAATTACACCCTGGGGCCTGTTGTGGAGTCGGGGGAGGTGGGAGGGATAGCATTAGGAGATATACCTAATGTGAATGATGAGTTAATGGGTGCAGCATACCAACATGGCACATGTATACCTGTGTAACAAACCTGCACGTTGTGCACATGTACCCTAAAATTTAATGTATAAAAAAAAAAAAAAAGAAATCCCTCAGCATTTGCTTGTCTGGAAAGGATTTTATTTCTCCTTTGCTTATGAAGCTTAGTTTGGCTGGATATGAAAATCTGGGTTGGAAATTATTTTCTTTAAGAATGTTGAAAATTGGCCCCGAATCTCTTCTGGCTTGTAGAGTTTCTCCTGAGAGGTCCTCTGTTAGTCTGATGAGCTTCCCTTTGTACTTGATCTGTAGGAAGTTCTCCTGGATAATATCCTGAAGTGTATTTTCCAGCTTGTTTCCATTCTCCTCGTCTCCTTCTGGTATTCTGATCAATTGTAGGTTTGGTCTTTTTATGATGTTCCATATTTCTTGGAGTCTTTGTTCATTCTTTTTCATTCTTTTTTCTCTATTTATGTCTGTATCAAACTCTGCTATCCTTTCTCCTGCTTGGTCGATTTGGCTGTTGATGCGTGCCTATGCTTCACGAAGTTCTCGTGCTGTGTTTTTCACCTCCATCAGGTCACTTAGGCTCCTCCCTAAACTGGTTATTCTAGTTAGCAATTCCTCTAACCTTTTATCAAGGTTCTTATCTTCTTTGCATTGGGTTAAAACATGCTCCTTTAGCTCATTGTAGTTTTTTATTACTCATCTTCTGAAGCCTACTTCTGTCAATTTGTCCATCTGATCCTCCATCCAGTTCTGTGCCCTTGGTGGAGAGATGTTGCGATCATTTGGAGGAGAAGAGGCACTTTGGCCTGTTGGGTTTGCAGCATTTTTTTATTGATTCTTTCTCATCTTCGTGAGTTTGTCTAGTTTCGGTCTTTGAGGCCGCTGACCCCTGGATGGGGTTTTTGTGGGGGCCTTTTTGTTGTTGTTGTTCATGATGCTGTTGTTGTTCCTTTCTGCTTGTTTGTTTTTCTTTCAATAGTCAGGACCCTCTTCTGCAGGGCTGCTTCAGTTTTCTGGGGATTCACTTCAGGCCCTATTGATCTAATTCACTCCTGTGCCTGGAGATGTCACTCAAGGAGGCTGGAGAGCTGCAAAGATGGTTGCCTCCTCCTTCTTCTGGAACCTCTGACCTCAAGGTGCACCAACCTGATGTCAGTAGGATCACTCCTTTATAGGGTATCTGACAACCCCTGTTGGAGGGTCTCACCCAGTTCGGTGGCATGAGGATAGGACCCATTTAATGAAGCATTTTGTCCATTGTGGAGAGGGTGTGTTTCACTGGGGGGAAACCCACTCATCTGGGCTGCCCAGATTCGTCAGAACTACCAGGAGGAGAAGCGAAGTCTGCTGGTCTGCAGAGACTGCAGCCACCCCTCCCCCTAGGGGCTCAGGCCCAGGGAGATTCGAATTCTGTCCCTCAGCCTCTAGTTGGACTTAGTGGAGATCCTGCAGGGAAGCCCCACCCGCTGAGGAAGGATAAGTCAGGTAGAGGCCTGAAGAGGCACTCTGGCCACAGCCTGCCACAGCCCGTGTGGTTTTTTTGGGCTGTGGGGACATACATGTCTTGGGTCCAAACCCTCCAGCCTCCCTGGCTCCAGCAGGAGAAAAGCACAGCCTGGAGTTACAGAAATGGGTGCTACCCTTCTCCTAACCAGGGAGCTTAGCGTGTTAGACAGTTGCCAGTCCCAGTTCTGGCTGCTGCCCCTCCCCCACGGAACTCAAGCAGCTTAGACGCCAGGCATCAGCAGCCTGTGCTGGTCGCCCCTCCCCCTGGGAGTTCGGTAGATTTAAACAGATTCTAGCTGTGAGGCTGTAAGAATCTGTGTGTTCCGGGGTTGAGACGCTAGGCCTGGTGGCGTGGGTTCGCGAGTGGGATCTTCCGATCCGAAGGTTGCACAGTTCTGTGGAAAAAGCAGTTTCCCCCGCTGGGTAGCGCGCTCACGCACTGCCTCCCTTGGCTGGGGGGAGGGGATTCCCCTTCCCTGTGTGGCTCTCAGGTGGGCCGTGGCACCACACTGCACTTCCCTCTCTCAGTGGGTCACACCAGCCTTCTAGTCAATTTTGATGAGAGAGCCTGGATACCTTGATTGCTGGTGAAGGATTCACATGCTTATTATAAGTGGTTTTTTTTTTTTTTTATGGGAGCCTCCGAATGCTGCTGCTTCTAGTTGTCTATCTTGGCCCTGCCACTCAAATTGATGTGTTTTCATGATATTCTTTGGCCAGGTTTTGCAGACTTAGAATATAGACAGCGTAGATGTGTGGATTGGTCCAGGATTGGGGTTTTGCTAGTCCATAGCAATTCGAAGGGCAGTGGGCTAGTGTTATGAGAATATTGGCAAGAAAATATTGATGTAATGAATTATACATTCCTAGATGGATAGGAAAGGAAATGGATACAGGAAGGTGGAGAGAGGGAGAAAGTAGAGTTATCAGGTGGTTAGAGAACTCAATGAATTTGAAGAACGTGTATTGAGGAATCACTGAGTAAGGGATATGGTAGGAAATGGTAAGAAGTTGTGGTCGGAGAATGAGATGGCTGAACTTAGGTTTTCAGAGGTGGAGGAGTGATGCTATGGTGGCTGAAATAAAATGGAGAAGTAACTGAAGATGAGAAGGTCAAGAATTATGAAACTTGGGTATTGCATGGACAGGATGTCATCCTGAATGATGGTAGGAAGTTGCATGGAGAGAAAGACTACAGTTATGTGCAGAAGTGTTTAGTGAACATGAGAAAATTGTCCATGGAATCAGCAGACACTCTGGGTACAAGGGAGGGTGGAATGTGGTATGTCTGGATAACTTGAACCTTCAAGGATGGAAGGATTTTGCATGAGGATTGGTGGTGATGAGGACTGGTTTGAAGCACTGCTAGGTGAAGACGATCTGAACTCTGCTTCCTTATTCTGAGATACCAAGGGTTGTTGACAGCCACATTCTTCACTTGGTGAGACTGCTGGAGAAGCAGTGTCCTCAGATAGAGAAAAGCTTTAATTAAGGCAAGAAGGTGGAGTGAGTTTAGTGGCAAGGCTAGGGATTGAGGGCTCCAGGAAGCATAATGAAAGTACTGGGAATGGGAAGATGGTTAGAAGTTGGGGTCAGGAGAAGGAAGTCACAGAACACTGTCATAATGCACACTTCTAATTTCGTTGCCTAGAATGGGAATCATGACAGGCTAGTTCATGTTCTACAACCACACATAGCTAGTTAAAGAAGCAAAGGCAAACTAAGACCTCTAAGATTTAATAGTGGCAGTGTTTAGTCATACTATACTGACATTCATCTTTTTAATGGTAAGTTTAATGCAAAATAAAATTTTATTTTCTCAATAAAAACACATTTAAAGGAAGCAAATACTATAAAACACAATTTGAACATTAAAATGGAGCTCAATGTAAAACCTAAGCCAATAATAGTTTCTAAAGTATCATCTATAGGCATATATGCATTTATTTCAAAATAATCATGGCCAATGAAATTAAATGGACAGTGGCTTGAGAAAATTGATTTTTAGAAAATGAGTCATAAAGTTGGAACTCAATCTTATAGTAACACAGTGACCCAGAACTCCTAGTAATCTATAAACCTATAACTAGGAAACACAGAAATAAATGTCTCTTAGGAAATGTAGCTATAGAGTTCTTAAAACATGGAAAAACTAATGAAGCCACTGGGAGAAATTACTGAGGCAAAATCAACATTTAAACAATTTGTTATATTACAGAGGTCATATTGGAAGAAAAGAGACCATATTCTGATATATATATACACACACACACACACACACACACACTGCAATATATGCATACATATATGTATACAAGTATATATATATACACACACATATATAAATCCTACATATAAAATAATTACATATATATGTGTGTGTGTATATATATACACATATACAATTTTGGCAGAAGTACATGGCAGTGGCAGCCAAAAATCTTCTCACAGATTAGTAAAGAGACAATAATTTCCTAAGACAGAAGGATTTATTTAAAAGCTCTTTATAAACATTTACCTTTAGTAAAGTCTCCACATTATAGAAATAACAAATGATCGGCATGTTAAAATCTAAAGCTTCTTTTAAATGCAGCAGGACTATGTGGGAACTTTCTCCTCTTTAAAAGTCATTTTCTTGAAGGGATAAACGTCACTATATCCTATGAACCTTATAAAATGTTTGACATTCATATGCACATATAAAGATACAAAAGGTCCTTTAATTCTGAACATTTTTTTTTGCAGTGTAGCATTAATGGATTCTCTTAATTACATTATTAGTATATGCCCTCTATTTTCCACTTCATTCATTCAACAAATGGTTTTGGGGTAGCTACTCTGCCCCAAACACTGTTCTGTGAAATAGGTGGGAACATAGTTTTGAATGATGTTAGTATAAAATATGATACAAGGTTTTTGTGGAAGACCTCTCTTCTGAGTTCCAGTTTTCTTCATAGTCATGCCACTTGGAGGATCCCCAGGCTCCTCAAACTCACTCTTATCTTGTAAGTGAAATCAGTGTTCATTCTACCAGGGAAGTGTGATTGTTTCCTTGTGTTCCTCTCTCACCTGTTAGAAGCTTTCCAAAATGTAAACCTGGCCACAATGCATCCCTGTTGCAACACTCCATGGCTCTCGTGCCTAAGGCAATATTTCAAAAAATATATGTGAATGCACACACACACACAAAAGAGTAAGCTTGGAGGAAAGAGATCATAAGCTAAAATGGTGACCACAACCGTGGCATTTTTCCAAAATTTCATGATTTACCTTTATAATTTATAAAGTTTTGCATATTAATCTACAGTGTATCTTTATTTCTTTTTCCTATGTTTGAAAATTCTCACTGTTTAACATCTTCTCACCTATCTGAGTAAAATTTTCCCTCATAGGTCTTTCAGTACCATTGATTTACTGGGCAAATGGCTACATATATTCTCTGGCTTTATGTATTTCTGACTCATATGCTATAGTTGGAGAAATAGAGACCTAAGGGATATAGCTCAGATCTTGATGCACGTCAGATCTTGATGCACAGCATTCATGAGGAGGCAGTGTAGCCAAGCACTTAGGAACCTGGGCTGTGGAATTTAATTCCTTATTTGAATCCTGACTCTGTTGTTTGCTAGTTGTTTGATCTTGGGCAAGTTATTTAACTTCTTTGGTTTTATTAAATAAGCCTTGTAATAGCATCAACTTTAGGGTTATTATTGAGACTATGAAATGATATAAATAAAGGGTTCATCCTAGTGCCTGGCCATAATAAGTGTTCAGGAGTGTTTATTCATCTCTTGTTAGACCCCCAGGAAATAACTTGCAATGTCTTTCACATGCCATAATATTTCATGTAGATCTGCCTTTGGTCTAGAATATTCCACTCCCATAATATTGTATATTGTATCACCAGGGAAGGAATAGAAGAAAAACAAGTTTCTGTAACTTCCCTAAAGGAAGAAAACCAACCAAACAAAAAAACCAATAACCCTGATATGACAGGTATAATGTACATAAAATTCATTATGAGGATAGTAAAAGGTAAGTCATCTCTCTTTTTTTAATGTAATAATGTAAACCTCACCTAGTCTTCATCAGAATAGAAAATAAAACTATGAGCATTCTATCTTGGGAGAGGTTGACTGGGTTTCACCAGGATCGCAGTATTAATGGCAGAGTTAAGCATGACAGCTATCACCTTATAGCCCCATCCCCATGTTGTGTTCTTCCTTGACTCATCCAACCTTATTCAGCAGTTGAATTTCCACTCTCTTCCTTCTTTCTCATCCCTTTACCATCTTTTTCCCATCCCTTTTCCATCTTTAAGTGGAAGGTTGAATACATACTTTCCACTTAAAACAAACACGCAGCTCACCAGTTCATGTAACACATCCTTCCTGGAGCCTTCACTGACATTAGAAGATCCTGATAAACTGACATAGTGAATTAGGACCCTTCAGCTTGAGAAAAGTTCACTTAGCCAAATAATGTTGGCATTTCTATACTGTGAACCTCAGAGTAACCTTTATACACTCTACTAACAGAGCCTGCATTTCCAACGTACACCCTAAATCTTGGAGCCCCGCATGGCTCAGTATCCATATAGAATCACACGCAAAGAAGCGTGATCTGGCAGACCAAAAGTGACTTTATGGTATATTTTAACTTTACTTTTATCTCTCAACAAAACAACAGAGGGGTTCAACTCCTGTCTCAGAACAACTGTTATTGGTATTTTCTCCACTCTTCTGCTTTCTTACCCTTCACTTCATAAACTCTTATGTTCCAGAGTTGCTTATATACCAGCTTCTAAACTGCTCTCTTCAGCTTTAGTGCCAAGTGACTTCGTTTTGTAACTTACTACTTCATTCCTTCTCTTTAGGTAGCCCAATTTAGCCTCTTCATCCTTTCATCTAATTACCTTTTCCTATCTCTTCTTTCTTCCTATTTTTTCTAATTTTGCTTCTCAAAATCTTAAGCATTCAAGTTAGCAAATACTCTCCTATAGATGATTAGTGTGACTAGAGAGATTGTGAGTTGAATGCAGATTGAAGATCTGGTCCCCATCCACATATTTATTTGTTTGTTCCTTCGCTGGGTTGGGAGTTTCTTGGGAGGATGTCATATTCACCTTTGTGTCTGCGGTACCCAACATAGAGCGTGGCACAGAATGACACTCAAAAATTGTTGAGTAAATGATAAAAATTATTAATCTCTATAAAGCACTTCTTAAATAGAAATTCATGAAAAAATAAACTTGGTTTAATCTGTAACATAACCAATGTAAATAAACTTTAAGGGGCCTGTTGGGACTCTAAGTCTCCTTATCCATAGATTATTTGTTGTGACATCAATTGGCCAGAGCGGTCTTTCCACGTTGTCAGATAGTCTATTTCTTCACCTCTGTCTAGATACCATCTTTGTCTCTGGTATATCTGCTCATAGGTCATTGTATAAAAGCAGCATTTTAGTTGACAATTTGCATAAACTTTGTGAAACGTTCAAATTATGAGTTCAGCTTTAGCCACTTTTGGATTCTGAGTTTTGTTAGGTTAATAACATTGAAAAATTTGGTATGAAGTGGGGCCACTCAAGGTTGACATGGTGGCCCTTTACCACAGACATAGATGTGAAAAGACCTGGGCAAGAAAGCTGTGGGCTCTTCCTCACCTTCAGTTCAGCCTGGGTGGGCTTGTCCCCTTCCCTTCCTCTGCCATCTTTGCAACCACAACTCCTGTAATATTTGCGATTGGAGGCTCAAGTGAAAACAAGTATGTGAGGCTGTATGGCGAGGGCATCACAGAAACACTTGATTATTTAACTAGGACAAAGGCTCTCAGCATCTTCAACATGAAGCATTATCTAGTGTTTTAGTTTAATTCAACAAACTTATAGTGCATGTAACAAGAATAGAAATTAAAGTGAACTCCTTGAGGAGAGGGACTCTATTTATTTTTCTTTATATTGCCAACCAGCAGTCCTGTGCTTGTTCACAGCTGCCACTTCGTAAATGTTTGTTGGATGAAAGAGTAAATTAAATTTATCCTTACCCTTATGGAGCATATGATATCATGCTGAACACATTGAAATTGGTATATACAGTAATAGAGGTGGAGCCACAGTGTGACGGGAGCAAAGAGGATGAGGAGATTAATGGTTGGTATAAAAAATGTTCTGAAACCTTCCATATTATATGCCCAAATTCAACAGCAGCACTCATAAAATGAAAAGCCCTATAATATGTTTATATGCCAAAATTTTGATTGTAGGTTGCTATGCACAGAGGGAAACTAAAATTAGAAAGAAACTGCATGGGTTTTGATATGAAGAAAGAATATAGTTTTTAAGAACATACTTAGGAGAAAAACCAAACCCAAAAGACGGAAGCAACCTCCATTCTCCTAAGGCATTGGGTGGAGGATCTTTAACTAAATGAGGTTCTCATGCAGATTATAATGGAGGAGAGAATAAAAGAACAAAGCAGGGTAGAGTGAGATGACATAAGAAGGAAGAAAAATGATCAAATCTGACAACTCTTGTCCAGAAGAAATGCCTTTACTTTCACTCCACAGCCTGAATATTACCTTCTCAGAAGGTATTTAGCCCATATTTATTTCAGTAAAACAAAAGAAACTCTACTCTCTTAAGCTCCTTTTAGTTTAAAATTCACTCCTTAAATCATTCGTCTCTTTCTTCATTCAGGAACACTGGTGTATGAGACCCTATCCTGGTAAGTTTCAACATGGGAGTGCCTTTGGACCTTAGGTCAGGTCTCTGAGTGACGTTTAAACCATCCTGATCCATTCAGATGAATTGAAGCAGGCTTTCCTAGGCCTCAATACCCAATTGTTTTTGGTGTTAGAAACACTGTTTTACACTTTTATGATATTGACATGACTGTGCTCAGAGTGACAGAATGTTATGATGTTTATTTCTCTTCACTGTGGTTGACTCTTTATAGTCAATAACATGTAATAAAAAGTGAGATATATTGTCTACTTTATATTGGGCCTTTACAATTAATCATGTAATATAAAGCATTAACCTTAGACTGAAAAACAACATTTCCATTTTTTATATTACAGAGAAAAAAATGTAGTGACACGTTTAGTAATTATTGAAAGTATCTTAAGCTGAGAATTAAGACTTCTTCCCAGGCTTAGGCCGCATATGTTGGCTGTGGAGTGCACTGGCATCCAATCTTTTTGCTCTAGACTTTGGATGTTGAAATCTGGATTCATACTTGATGTAAACAGGATGAATCTCTTTTGCCTACAGCCTTTAAAATATGGTTATCTAGTTTTGGTCAAAAGTCTCACCATTAAGTTCATTGTTAAATTGAATAAACTATCTGAAATCTGGGGGAATGAGAAAATGGATATTTTGGGTAATTACATACTCTGTTGGATAACCAAACATAACATATATGGGCTCTTCAGGTTTCAAGTCAGTAGAAGGTAATGTGACATTTTCTGATCAGACTGTTGGGATTTTTTGTTAGTTGCACCTCATGTTTACCTCTGTGACTAGCCTTCACCAAGCAGCCATCCCTTCCTTGAACCGATCCCTCTCTCTCATGCCCCTTTCCTTGGTACATTCTCTTCCTTTTGTCCAGAAATACTTTTTCTCTTCTTTCTGTTTAGATGTCACCTCTTCTGTGAAGCCCTTAGTTCCTTCACAAGAATCTCCCCAATCCAATTGCTTGCTCTTTTATACTCCTATAACATTTTTTTGGTAATTTTTTCATAGTGGTAAAATATACATAACATACGATTTAAATTTTATCCATTTTTAAGTGTAAAATTGAGTGGCATTAAGTACACTTGCTGTTGTGCAACAACCATTAAGTCACTGACACTGTTGTGCAACAACCACCGCCATCCATCTCCAGCACTCTTTTCATCTTCCCAAACTGAAACTCCATTAAACAATACCCTATTAAACAATAACTCCCCATAGTTCTTCCTTTTAGCCCCAGGCAACCACCACTCTACTCTGTCTCTATGAATTTCACTACTCTAAGTATCTTGTATTACTGGAATCGTCCCACTAATTGTCCCTTTGTGACTGGCTTATTTCACTTAGCTTCATGTCTTGAAGGTTCATCCGTGTTTAGCATGTGTCAGAATTTCCTTTATTTTTAAGGCTGAACAATATTTCTTTGTATGAGTATGTCACTTTTTGTTTATGCTATCATTCATTGACGGACACTTGGTTTGCTTCCACCTTTTAGCTATTGTGAATAAGGCTGGTACAAACATTGGTGTGCAAGTATCTGTTCAAGTTCCTGTTTTCAACTGTTGTGGGTATATACCCAGGAATGGAACTGCTGGATCATATTCTATACTTAATTTTTGGAAGAACTACCATACTGTTTTACGTAGCAGCTGCACCATTTTACATCCTTACCAGCAGGGCACAAGGGCTCTCATTTCTCTATATTTTCATCAACAGTTTATTTCATTCTTTCCTCCTCCTCCTCCTTCTTTTCCTTTTCTTCTTCTTCTCTCTCTCTTTTTTTTTTTTTTTTTACAGTAGCCATCCTAATGGATGTGAAGTGGCATCTCATAGTGTTGATTTGTACTTCCCTAATTAATAGCAATGTTGAACATCTTTTCATGTGCTCATTGGCTATTTGGAAAAATGTATTCTTTGGAGAAATGGCTGTTTAAGTCCTTTGCGCATGTTTTATTTAGGTTTTTTGTTGTTGTTGTTGAGTTGTAGGCATTCTTTATACATTCTGGATATTAACCCCTTGTCATATATGTGATTTGCAAATATTTTTCTCCCATTCCATGAGCTGACTTCTTATTTGGTTGGTAACACCCTTTGATTCACAAAAGTTTTTAATTTTAATTTTTATATAGGTTACATATATATATATATATATATATATATATGTTTTTAGACAGAGTCCTGCTCTGTCGCCCAGGCTGGAGTGCAGTGGTACAGTCTCGGCTCACTGCAACCTCCGCCTCCAGGTTCAAGCAATTCTCTTGCCTCAGCCTCCCAAGTAGCTGGGCTTACAGGCCTGCACCACCACACCCAGATAGTTTTTGTATTTTTAGTATAGACGGGGTTTTGCCATGTTGGTCAGGCTGGTCTCAAACTCCTGACCTCATGATCTGTCTGCCTCGGCCTCCCAAAGTGCTGGAATTACAGGCATGAGCCACTGCACTGGCCTATTTATCTTTTGTTGACTGTGCTTTTGGTGTCATATATAAGAAATCTTTAATAGATCTCATATTATGAAGATGTTCCCATGTTTTCTTATAGAAGTTTTATAGTTTTAGCTTTTACGTTTAGGTCTTTAATTCATTTTGAATTAATTTTTATATATGGTGTAAGTTAGAGGTCCAACTTCATTCTTTGGCTTGTGGATGTCCAGTTTTCCTAGCACTGTATATTGAAAGCTCCCTTAATATTTTGCACATATATGTATAAGTTTTCCTATTTAAAATGATCTGTTTGTAAACTGGCTGTCATGCAGGGAGGGAAGCACTGATTTGCAGAATTGGTAATTTCCCTCGTATGAATAGTCTACCATGGCCAAATTTAAGCTAAGATGATATCACTGAACAGGGAGTTAGAAAGAAATATTAGTTAAGGGGTAGAGGCCTGGAATTATTTTACTTTGTCTTTCTTGCACCTGGCATATACTAAATACTCAAGTCTCACTTCATAGATTCTTATTTGACAAATATTTCAGAGTGCTTTCTATGTGGCAGGTAATTGTGCTAGATGCTGGGTACACAACGATGAAAATAAAAGCAAAAACAACAAACATACATGGTCCCTACCTTCATGGATATTATAATCTAGAGATATGAGAAATAATTTAGAAGTAAACCAGAAAATAACTAATAATTACTCATTATCAGCTGGGTGTGTTGGCTCACACCTGCAGTCCTAGCACTTTGGGAGGCCAAGGCAAGTGGATTACCTGAGGTCAGGAGTTCGAGACCAGCTTGGCCAACATGGTGAAACCCCATCTCTACTAAAAAGTACAATTAGCCGGTCATGGTGGTGGGTGCCTGTAACCCAGCTACTCAGGAGGCTGAGGCAGGAGAATCCCTTGAACCCGCGAGACGAATGTTGCAGTGAGCCGAGATCGTGCCACTGCACTCCAGCCTGGAAGACTCTGTCTCAAATAATAATAATCATAATAACCCATTATCAGTAAGATAAAGTGCACAGTGACAGAATTGCTTAAGCATTCCTGTCTAAAGAAGAGTTGGGGGGAGAAAAGCAAGCATGATGCTCTATACCTGGAAGGAGAGACGGAAATGATTATGTAAAGTGCTGAGGAAGAGCCTTTTAGGAAGGGGGCCAAGAAGGGCAAAGGCCTTGAGCCAAATGACCATAACCACTGAGTGAAGCTCAAAGGAGGCCCATGTGGCTGGGTTAGAAAGAGGAAGGAGAGTGCCCTATGCTAAGATGAGAGAGTTGGCGGGGGCCATATCATACATGGCCTTGGAGGCCACTCTCAGGTATTGGGATTTTATTCAAAGTAAAATGAAAACCCATTTATGGCTTCTAAAAAGACAGCGGGCATAATTGGATTTTTTAATACGAATTCTTTCTGTCTGTGTGAATAGAGTGGGTTTTTGAAAGCCATTGATGAAGTGGAATTGCAGTAAAGAAGCTTTTGAAGTGCTGCAGATGACATAGAAAGAAGTGGGCAGATTTGAGACTTTATTTTGAAGGGAAAGTAGAGACTTGATGACAGATAACATGTCAAGGGTGAGGCAGTCAAGGTGTCCTTCAGTCAAGAACTTGGGGAAAGAAAGTTAGACAAAACATAGTTCATTCTTTTTAAGAAGCTGTGTGCCAGCTAGCCCTGAGCTAGGGACTTTGAGTGATATAAAAGAGGTAGATAATGTATTATTCATACACAGAAAGTATAAACCTTGCTCCTAGTGAACCTTTTAAAATAAATTTTCTATATAGTTTTACCCAAATCTGCAAACTATAATAAATCGGTGTATATAAAGGTGTAAACTACTGCTGTATTTGAGGTCGAGAATATTAGTGTGAAAAGAATTCTGACAGCAAAAATCCTAGTGGGTTGATTAGGAATGAAAGTTTCATTGGGGTTAAAGTGTCTGAAGAAATTACAAGACTTGGGGCAGTGGTTCCAAGATGGCCGAATAGGAACAACTCCAGTCTCCAGCTCCCAGCTTGAGCGACGCAAAAGACGGGTGATTTCTGCATTTCCAACTGAGGTACCAGGTTCATCTTACTGGGGCTTGTCGGACAGTGGGGGCAGGACAGTGCAGCCCACCGAACGTGAGCCGAAGCAGGGCAAGGCATTACCTCACCCAGGAAGTGCAAGGGGCCAGGGAATTCCCTTTCCTAGCCAAGGGAAGCGGTGATCGACAGCACCTGGAAAATCGGGTCACTCCCACCCTAATACTGTGCTTTTCCAACCGTCTTAGCAAATGGCACACCAGGAGATTATATCCCGTGCCTGGCTCGGAGGGTCCCACGCCCACAGAGCCTCGCTCTTTGCTAGCACAGCAGTCTGAGATCAAACTGCAAGGTGGCAGCAAGGCTGGGGGAGGGGCACCCACCATTGCTGAGGCTTGAGTAGGTAAACAAAGCAGCTGGGAAGCTCATGCTGGGTGGAGCCCACCTCAGCTCAAGAAGGCCTGCCTGCCTCTGTAGACTCCACCTCTGGGGGCAGGGCATAGCAGAACAAAAGGCAGCAGAAACCTCTGCAGACTTAAATGTCCCTGTCTGACAGCTTTGAAGAGAGTAGTAGTTCTCCCAGCATGGAGTTTGAGATCTGAGAATGGACAGACTGCCTCCTCAAGTGGGTCCCTGACCCCCGAGTAGCCTAACTGGGAGGCACCCCCTAGTAGGGGCAGACTGACACCTCACACAGCTGGGTACCCCTCTGAGATGAAGATTCCAGAGGAACGATCAGGCAGCAACATTTGCTTTTCAGCAATATTCGCTGTACTGCAGCCTATGCTGCTGATATCGAGGCAAACAAGTCTGGAGTGGACCTCCAGCAAACTCCAACAGACCTGCAGCTGAGGGTCCTGACTGTTAGAAGGAAAACTAACAAACAGAAAGGACATCCACACCAAAACCCCATCTGTATGTCACCATCATCAAAGACCAAAGGTAGATAAAACCGCAAAGATGGGGAAAAAACAGAGCAGAAAAGCTGAAAATTCTAAAAATCAGAGCGCCTCTCCTCCTCCAAAGGAATGTAGCTCCTCACCAGCAACAGGACAAAGCTGGATGGAGAATGACTTTGATGAGTTGAGAGAAGAAGGCTTTAGACGATCAAACTTCTCCGAACTAAAGGAGGAAGTTCGAGCCCATCGCAAAGAAGCTAAAAACCTTGAAAAAAGATTAGACTAATGGCTAACTAGAATAAACACTGTAGATAAGTACTTAAATGACCTGATGAAGCTGAAAACCATGGCACGAGAACTACCTGACAAGTGCACAAGCTTCATTAGCCGATTCGATCAACTGGAAGAAAGGGTATCAGTGATTGAAGATCAAATGAATGAAATGAAGCGAGAAGAGAAGTTTAGAGAAAAAAGAGTAAAAAGAAATGAACAAAGCCTCCAAGAAATATGGGACTGTGTGAAAAGACCAAATCTACATCTGATTGGTGTACCTGAAAGTGACAGGGAGAATCGAGCAAAGTTGGAAAACACTGCAGGATATTATGCAGGAGAACTTTCCCAACCTAGCAAGGCAGGCCAACATTCAAATTCAGGAAATACAGAGAACACCACAAAGATACTCCTCGAGAAGAGCAACTCCAAGCCACATAATTGTCAGATTCACCAAAGTTGAAATGAAGGAAAAAATGTTAAGGGCAGACAGAGAGAAAGGTTGGGTTAACTACAAAGGGAAGCCCATCAGACTAACAGAGGATCTCTCAGCAGAAACTCTACAAGCCAGAAGACACTGGGGGCCAATATTCAACATTCTTAAAGAAAAGAATTTTCAACCCAGAATTTCATATCCAGCCAAACTAAGCTTCGTAAGTGAAGGAGAAATAAAATCCTTTACAGACAAGCAAATGCTGAGAGATTTTGTCACCACCTGGCCACCCTACAAGAGCTACTGAAGGAAGCACTAAACATGGAAGGAAAAACCGGTACCAGCCACTGCAAAATCATGCCAAATTGTAAAGACCATCAGTGCAAGGAAGAAACTACATTAACTAATGAGCAAAATAACCAGCTAACATCATAATGACAGGATCAAATTCACACATAACAATATTAATCTTAAATGTAAATGGGCTAAATGCTCCAATTAAAAGACACAGACTGGCAAATTGGATAAAGAGTCAAGACCCATCAGTGTGCTATATTCAGGAGACCCATCTCACATGCAGAGACACACATAGCCTCAAAATAAAGGGATGAAGGAAGTTCTACCAAGCAAATGGAAAACAAAAAAAGGCAAGGGTTGCAATCCTAGTCTCTGATAAAACAGACTTTAAACCAACAAAGATCAAAAGAGACAAAGAAGGCCATTACATAATGGTAAAGGGATCAATTCAACAAGAAGAGCTAACTATCTTTAATATATATGCACCCAATACAGGAGCACCCAGATTCACAAAGCAAGTCCTTAGAGACCTAAAAAGAGACGTAGACTCCCACACAATAATAATGGGAGACTTTAACAACCCACTGTCAACATTAGACAGATCAACGAGACAGAAAGTTAACAAGGATACCCAGGAATTGAACTCAGCTCAGCACCAAGTGGACCTAATAGACATCTACAGAACTCTGCACCCCAAATCAACAGAATGTACATTCTTCTCAGCACCACATCACACTTATTCCAAAATTGACCACATAGTTGGAAGTAAAGCACCCCTCAGCAAGTGTAAAAGAACAGAAATTATAACAAACTGTCTCTCAGACCACAATGCAATCAAACTAGAACTCAGGATTAAGAAACTCACTCAAAACCATTCACCTACATAGAAACTGAACAACCTGCTCCTGAATGACTACTGGGTACATAATGAAATGAAGGCAGAAGTAAAGACGTTCTTTGAAACCAATGAGAACAAAGACATAACATACCAGAATCTGTGGGACACAAAGCAGTGTGTAGAGGGAAATTTATAGCACTGAATGCCCACAAGAGAAAGCAGGAAAGATCTAAAATTGATACCCTAACATCACAATCAAAAGAACTAGAGAAGCAAGAGCAAACACATTCAAAAGCTAGCAGAAGGCAAGAAATAACTAAGATCAGAGCAGAACTGAAGGAGATAGAGACACAAAAAGCCCTTCAAAAAATTGATGGATCCAGGAGCTGGTTTTTTGAAAAGTTCAAGAAAATTGATAGTCTGCTAGCAAGACTAATAAAGAAGAAAAGAGAGAAGAATCAAATAGATGCAATAAAAAATGATAAAGGGGATATCACCACCGATCCCACAGGAATACAAACTACCATCAGAGAATACTATAAACACCTCTACACAAATAAACTAGAAAATCTAGAAGAAATGGATAAATTCCTCGACACATACACCCTCCCAAGACTAAACCAGGAAGAAGTTGAATCCCTGAATAGACCAATAACAGGCTCTGAAATTGAGGCAATAATTAATAGCTTACCAACCAAAAAAAGTCCAGGACCAGATGGATTCACAGCTGAATTCTACCAGAGGTACAAGGAGGAGCTGGTACCATTCCTTCTGAAACTATTCCACTCAATAGAAAAAGAGGGAAACCTCCCTAACTCATTTTATGGCCAGCGTCATCCTGATACCAAAGCCTGGCAGAGATGCAACAAAAAAAGAGAATTTTAGACCAATATCCCTGATGAACATTGATGCAAAAATCCTCAATAAAATACTGGCAAACTGAATCCAGCAGCACGTCAAAAAGCTTATCCACCATGATCAAGTGGGCTTCATCCCTGGGATGCAAGGCTGGTTCAACATACCCAACTCAATAAATGTAATGCAGCATATAAACAGAACCAGGGACAAGAACCACATGATTATCTCAATAGATGCAGAAAAGGCCTTCAACAAAATTCAACAGCCCTTCATGCTAAAAACTCTCAATAAATTAGGTATTGATGGGACATATCTCAAAATAATAAGAGGTATTTATGACAAACCCACAGCCAATATCATAATGAATGGGCAAAAACTGGAAGTATTCCCTTTGAAAACTGGCACAAGACAGGGATGCCCTCTCTCACCACTCCTATTCAACACAGTGTTGGAAGTTCTGGCCAGGGCAATCAGGCAGGAGAAGGAAATAAAGGGTATTCAATTAGGAAAAGAGTAAATCAAATTGTCCCTGTTTGCAGATGACATGATTGTATATTTAGAAAACCCCATCGTCTCAGCCCAAAATCTCCTTAAGCTGATAAGCAACTTCAGGAAAGTCTCAGGATACAAAGTCAATGTGCAAAAATCACAAGAATTCCTATACACCAATAACAGACAAACAGAGAGTTTGTCAAATCATGAGTGAACTCCCATTCACAATTGCTTCAAAGAGAATAAAATACCTAGGAATCCAACTTATAAGGGACATGAAGGACCTCTTCAAGGAGAACTACAAACCACTGCTCAATGAAATAAAAGAGGATACAAACAAATGGAAGAACATTCCATGCTCATGGGTAGGAAGAATCAATATCGTGAAAATGGCCATACTGCCCAAGTTAATTTATAGATTCAATGCCATCTCCATCAAGCTACCAATGACTTTCTTCACAGAATTGGAAAAAACTACTTTAAAGTTCATATGGAACCAAAAAAGAGCCTGTATTGCCAAGACAATTCTAAGCCAAAAGAACAAAGCTGGAGGAATCACGCTACCTAACTTCAAACTGTACTACAAGGCGACAGTAACCAAAACAGCATGGTACTGGTACCAAAACAGAGATATAGACCAATGGAACAGAACAGAGCCCTCAGAAATAATACCACACATCTACAACAATCTGATCTTTGACAAACCTGAGAAAAACAAGCAATGGGGAAAGGATTCCCTATTTAATAAATGGTGCTGGGAAAACTGGCTAGCCATATGTAGAAAGCTGAAACTGGATCCCTTCCTTACACCTTATACAAAAATTAATTCAAGATGGATTAAAGATTTAAATATTAGACCTAAAACCATAAAGACCCTAGAGGAAAACCTAGGCATTACCATTCAGGACATAGGCATGGGCAAGGACTTCATGTTTAAAACACCAAAAGCAATGGCAATAAAAGCCACAATTGACAAATGGGATCTAATAAAACTAAAGAGCTTCTGTACAGCAAAAGAAACTACCATCAGAGTGAACAGGCAAACTACAGAATGGGGGAAAATTTTTGCAATTTACTCATCTGACAAAGGGCTAATATCTAGAATCTACAAAGAACTCAAACAAATTTACAAGAAAAAAACAACCCCATCAACAAGTGGGTGAAGCATATGAACAGACACTTCTCAAAAGAAGACATTTATGCAGCCAACAGACACATGAAAAAAAGCTCATCATCACTGGCCATCAGAGAAATGCAAATCAAAACCACAATGAGATACCATCTTACACCAGTTAGAAGGGCGATCATTAAAAAGTCAGGAACCAACAGATGCTGGAGAGGATGTGGAGAAATAGGAACACTTTTATACTGTTGATGGGACTGTAAACTAGTTCAACCATTGTGGAAGTCAGTGTGGCAATTCCTCAAGGATCTAGAACTAGAAATACCATTTGACCCAGCCATCCCATTACTGGGTATATACCCAAAGGATTATAAATCATGCTGCTATAAAGACACATGCACACGTATGTTTATTGCAGCAGTATTCACAATAGGAAAGACTTGGAACCAACTCAAATGTCCATCAAGGATAGACTGGATTAAGAAAACGTGGCACATATACACCATGGACTACTATGCAGCCATAAAAAGGATGAGTTCATGTCCTTTGTAGGGACATGGATGAAGATGGAAACCATCATTCTCAGCAAACTATCACAAGGACAAAAAACCAAACACCGCATGTTCTCACTCATAGGTGGGAATTGAACGATGAGAATACCTGGACACAGGAAGGGGAACATCACACACTGGGGCCCGTGGTGGAGTGGGGGGAGGGGGAAGGGATAGCATTAGGAGATATACCTAATGTAAATGATGAGTTAATGGGTGCAGCACACCAACATGGCACAGGTATACATATGTAACAAACCTGCACGTTGTGCACATGTACCCTAGAACTTAAAGTATAATTAAAAAAATGAAAAAATTACAAGACTCATACTGGTGGACAGGAGGAATCTGAGGTTCTTACAAGTATAGTCAACTAGAAAATCACAGAATCTATCTGGAGCGCTGCATGTGAGGTGGGTGGGAAGGTAGCTGGTTCAACTACAGAGCTGCTTGATCTAGGTTAGTGGAGAGCTAATAGGAACTGACATTACTATCGGCAGAGCTTTTGGTGCTTTTCCTACAGTTCACAAGGTGCTTTCCCTTGATTTACTTGTTTCAGTCCTTACAATGAAATAGGTAAGGCACCAGGATATTTCCTTATTTTATAATCTGGAGTTGGGTTATTGCAATCGTAAGGTGTTTCACTCAAGCGTATATGTCCAGGGTTTGTATTAGAACTGGAATCCAAATCTCATTCTCTGAATTTATCTTTTTCATAAACAACTTATTCTAAGTTATTAATATTTTTGAAACCACTATCAGGAAAGCAAATCTTGCCTTAAAGATTTCCCTCTGAATTAACTGCATGATTTGAAAGAGCTAGAAGCCCCTAGCTGCTATCTTCAACTTCAATAGAATGACTGAATAGCCAAAATGTGATTTTTTTTTCTTTTTTTTTTGAGATAGAGTTTCTCTCTTGTTGCCTAGGCTGGAGTGCAATGGCGTGATCTTGGCTCACCACAAGCTCCTCCTCCCGGGTTCAAGCGATTCTCCTGCCTCAGCCTTTCAAGTAGCTGGGATTACAGGCATGCACCAGCACGCCTAGCTAATTTTATATTTTTAGTAGAGATGGGGTTTCCCCATGATGGTCAGGGTGGTCTTGAACTCCCGACTTCAGGTGATCCACCCACCTGATCACCTCAGGTGATCAGCCTCCCAAAATGCTGGGATTAAAGGTGTGAGCCACTGCGCCTGGCCAAAATGTGAATTTTATATGACAATGATTATCTCAATTTTCTTTAGGTCATTTTGTCTACATGATGGTTTTCATAAAGATTCTGAGGTTTTAGGAAGGTGGTATTTAACAGCAAACTTTAGAGAGCTGAAACATACTTTACATCATGACTGTACTTCGTGGGCATTATAATTTTGTTGGTTTCTGATTTTCTTAATTAGATACCATATTCTATTTTAAAACAGTTGTGTGTAGCTCATGTGTGTCTATCTATCTATCTATCTATGTATGTATGTATGTATGTATCTATCTATCTATCTATCTATCTATCTATCTATGCATCCATCCACAAGAATCATGCTTGCTTCTTTTAAATTCCACAAACACTTATTAAAAGTTCACTAGCAGCAGATATTATGACAGTGGACCCAGAAAATTCTTACTCCAGCATCGAACGTAATGAGTACAGTTAGCATGAGAGATAGTTACAGAAAATCAGTGAGGTGAGAAATCCCTGTGGTTGAAAGGACTAGGGAATATTAGGCATTTAAGCAGCATCTAGATTTTAGAAGAATAGATAGAATTTTGTCAGGTAGAGGTGAAGGTAGGACATGCCCATAAAGGAACAGTGAGGATAAATATCCAGAAGTGAGAAAATGATAAATGTATTCAGAAAACCAGGAACAATCAAAATTTACAGTTTCCTTTGATACAGGTTGGGTAGTAGAAGGTAATGCTGGAAAAATGTTTAGGTCAGAATAAAAAATGTGAACTTAATTTGGCAGGCAGGTGATGTTTAAATATGTATGAAATTGAAATATATCTAAGATAGAAGACTGAGAAAAATCACAGTGACCTTGGAATATAGATGAGATTGGAGCAGAGAATATCACTTGCTGTGGGATGGACTAAGGAAGAGCTCTAAAAAACCAGCTTGGTTTTAATGATCTGATCAAGGATAATGGCAAATGACAGAAAGAAGGAATTGGTGGGATAGATTATTTTTAGTGATGTGATGCATAGCTGACTCATGGTCAGCTATGGTTATTTCTGCCTTAAGTACATTTAGTCAGCCTTTCTTTACCTTTTATCAATGCAGTATGTTTTCCCCATGAGTGTAGTTTTCTAATCTGGCTGACATCCTGTATGAGATCAAAAGTGTGAGAAGCAGAGGCCAAGCAGCTTTCACATTTTCGTCTGTTCACTGGGCTAATTTTGGTGAGCATTTCCTTCCTCCTTGACTGGTGAGGGCATTCTGAAGCTAAGGAAAAGGACAGCCTTAACCTGTTAAGGGGCATCCTTTAGTTAAGATCATATAAACCACAAGGGTTAATTTGTGTAGAAGGAAAGCCCTGAGGCCAGGGTAGGAAATTCTGATGAATATCAAGAGCTTAGAGGAAGGTCTAGAAGTCAATATCCAGCATATATCCTCCCTTCTCTGCAAATCTGGTGTCTTTTAACCTACCTAATGGTCCAGCACACACTTTTCCAGGATCTTCATGAGCCCCGTAGACCAGCAATTGATGTCTTGGTATTGAGTCAACAGCCATGCAATATTGTACCAGGCATGGGTTAATAACCTACTTCTACTTTGATGGTTGTTTTCAAAGTTCTACTCTAGTAAATCTTTCTGGTACTATGCCTCATTCTTACTGTTCTCCTGGATCCATGAGTCTGAATGTATGTCCAGGTTCCTGACATATCACCTGATAAGTAACTTACTTGCATAGCCAGTATCACTGCTATTGTCTGAATGCTTGTGTTTCCCCCAAATTCACATGTTGAAACCTACCCGTGAAGTGTTAGGTTTGTAACATCTTGGTAGCTAGGTTGATGGTATTAGAAGGAAGGGCTCATTGCTTCTCAGCCTTTTGGCTAAAATCAAGTGTAGAAGGAAGGGCTCTTTCTAAGGTGATTAGATCATAAGGGCTCTGACTTTATGAATGGAATTAGTTCTTTTATAAAAGAGGCTCCAAAGAGTTTATTGGTTTCTTCTAATATGTGAGGATGCAGCTAGAAGGTGCCATATATGAACCAGACAGTGGGTCCTCACCAGACATTGAATCTGCCAGTGCCTTGATCTTGGACTTTCCAACCTCTAGGACTGTGAGAAGTAAATTTCTGTTGCTTAAAAGCTATCCAGTTCATGGTATTTTGTTACAGCAGCCCAGGTGGACTGAGACAATCACCCACCCTTCTTTTCTTAAAGCTTTTTTTTTTTAACCACCTGTTTAAGATGTCCAGCTGTCATTCTCTTACCTTGCTTCTCCTTGCTGCTGGATTGTGAATGGAAGGCCATATTCTTCAAGTCCTGCCACGTGAGAGCCTCCAGATACAGCTCCTCTATCACTCTGTCTACAAAAGGATTGTTTCTTTCAAATCTGAGCCACTCGACACTTCTGATGTTCCTGGCTTTGTCTGCTGATTACTGAATTCAAACAGAAAAAATAAAGTTTCAAAAGTCAGGCCCAAGTGAGGAGCTATAGGGGTTTGGGACAATCTTATGCAAGATAGATGGGAAATGTAAAAACAAAAGCTGCCAACTTTATAATTTGCTCATTTTTCTTAACATAGGAAACTGAACCTTGAATCACTTTGAAGCTCTTCTCCAGAGCAGAACTGGACTCCATATAGTTTTATTGTTGTTCTTTTTCTTTATTAAAATAGGGGTTTATTTTCATAGTAACAAAACTTATAGCACAGTATTCAGTCTGATACAATATTTTCTTCACCTAGAACTGCAAAAAGGAGATTTTCACTGAAATGGTAGGAATATAGGGGTGGGCAGTGGTGGGAGTACTATTTGTATTTATGTAATGTGATTATCATGAATCTATGAATGCTCAACTTGGTTCTCCTTGATTATATTTGTAGGTAACAGTGTTTTATCATTTATATTAGTTATGCAAATTGTTTACATAATGTATAGAGGTAATGACTCTGTGAGTGATGTATGTGTGTAGACTAGTGCTATTTTTAAAGAAAAAATATTTAAGTATTTGGAGCAGGCTAATTGAATACTGTGATTGTAGCCATCCTCTTCCTTTTAAAGGAAGAATAAATCATTCAGTCCTGAGCATGCTGCTGAGCCAGATCATTTCTCAAATACCCTTCTAGTTAGCTGTTTTCATTTTTTCCTAGGTGAGGATGTGTGGCTCCAAAGAATTTATTGGTTTCTTTTGTCTTTCTCTTTGAGAAATATAGAAATCCAACTGTGTTTCTATTGAGGGAGTCAGGGAGGACATTTGTGTAGTTGGAAAATAACATATTTCAAGAAGACTAGGTATTACTGAAACTCAAAGATGCAAATCTGAAAACACTACTCAATAGAATTTATTCAGGATAATCCTTGAGAAGAAAAAAATTATTGATCTGTAATAGGCAAAGTTACTAAGGTTGACAGTAGTAATTGTTGGTATAATAAGAATAATAATTGCCCCCCTGAGCTATTATGACTTAAAAAAACCTGAAAATGCTTAATATTCTTATTAGAGTTATTAATAGGAATATTGTGTTAACCACTATGTCAAAGACAATATATTGTAATTTAAATGCTACTCAGTATTTCAATTTTTTTATTCAATGAATGTTTGTTGAGCATTTACTTACTGTGTGTCAGATACAATGGTAATGCTGGGGATACAAGGGTAGACAGGACAAGTTCTCTGCTCTCATGAATTTCCCTGCAATGACACTAACCACTTAGGTACTTGTGGTCATTGATTCCTTTCCTTTCCTTTCCTTTCCTTTCCTTTCCTTTCCTTTCCTTTCCTTTCCTTTCCTTTTTCGTTTCTTTTTTCCTTTCCTTTTTCCTTTCCTTTCCTTTCCCTTTTGAGACAGAGTTTCGCTCTTGTTGCTTAGGCTGGAGTGCAATGGAGTGACCTTGGCTCACTGCAATCTCTGCCTCCTGGATTCAAGCGATTCTCCTGCCTCAGCCTCCTGAGTAGCTGGGATTACAGGTGCCTGCCATCACGCCCTGCTAATTTTTTGTATTTTTAGTAAACACAGGGTTTTACCATGTTGCCCAGGGTGGTCTCAAACTCCTGACCTTAGGCGATCCACTCTCCTTGGCCTCCCAAAGTGCTGGGATTACAGGCATGAGCCATCACACCTGGCTGGTCATTCATCTTAATAGAGTTACAGGAGTTTAATTTATTCACTTAGTAGGCAAATGATTATTGACAACTTACTATGTAGAGGGTATGCTGAGGATTCAGCACCAACAAAATATCAGAACCTCTGCCTTTATGAAGTTGAATATCTATTAGTGGATGTAGACAAGGACATAAGCTCTTAAAATACAGTGTTTTAAGTGTCATATGAGTGAAGTACCTTGTGGTATGGAGAAAATTTGAGGGGAATCTAACCATACCTTCAGGAGTCAGCAAAGGAAAGGAGAAAGGTCCAAGCTGAGACACCAAAGATATATAGGAATTAGCCAGTGCTTCAGGTACAGAACAGCTCATGAAAAGGACTAGAAACAAGAAAATTGAAGGAAATACAGTATTAGTGGTGTAGAGAACATCCAGGGAGGGGACTAGGAGTGAACTATGAGGCAGGAGACGTGGGATCATTAAGGACTTTGCACGCCATACTGAGGCATTGGACTTCATCCTACAATGTAACAGGGAACAACTGAAGTGTTTTGAACACAGAAGAGACACAATTAGGAATAGCTCTGTGTAAAGAGTATACTTACATTACTGCTCCATCTTTAAAAGCTTCACAACCCCAAAGGATGGTTTTTATGTATGTTTTAATTTGGCATGGGATTCGGGCTCAGATGTTTCAACTTATCTGAAATCAAATGTCAACTTAAAATTACTGTTTACAGAGTAAACTGCCTTTTTAGTTTGGATGTTTTTCCTTGCTGCTTTGCCCTAGTAAGCACCATAATCTTGGGTCTCTATTTAGACGTCCCATAGTGGATACTCTCCTCATTTAGAATGTGAGCGGGCAGGTTCTAGTGATCCCACAAAAGGCCAATGCTTGAAATGTTTGTTCCTGTCACAAAATCTATTCCAGAGATGCACAATTTCTGTCCAAAAATATTCTTTAATGCCTCCTGTTAACATCTGGGTGAGGCCTTCATCTAAATACTAACATGTCTTCAGTATCTGCTAGTCTCCACTTTAATAGCAGAAGGTGGGGAGCCTGAGGCACACAGCCTCTGTCAGGGAGCACAGGGAGCTTCCAAAACTAAAATCCTGAACTGGAAAAAATAGGGAAGTTGTGAAAATGAGGAAATCCAATTATTAAGTTTAGTTCATTACAAAGGAGTTAGAACCCTATGGCGGTTCCATTTGTATAATGGAGATCCAGCTCTCCTTTGAATTTCTCAGTTAAGGTGGTTTATTGTTGTGCCTCTGTGGTAAGAGAACATTTCTGTTTTTCCTGAAATAGGAGACAAATGTCTATGTCACATACAATAAAAAGTCTTGTCCTGAGTGTGTTTGATGGATCACTGGACTTTCAGTATGTGATTTTGGTGTGTCATGATGTTTTAATCTTTGGTGGTGTTTTATATCTGCCTTCAGAAGAAATCTTTCATGTATCACATGCAAACTGAGATTTTACTAATGTGCCTTCCTCTGTCCTCCTCTCTCTTCATAATAACCTAAAGAATGCTGCTTCTGGATGCAGTGCAGGGAGGCTCAGGGCTGACGCCACGGCCTGAATTGGAAGTGCTTTAAGGAAAACACCAATCAACCTCATGGTTAAAAAAAAAAACAACAACAACAACCAAATATAAGTTTCTCCAGGATTATACTGCTGACCTAACACAGACAATGGCATCTTTTAAAAACTTGTTTGAATTACAGAACAAATGACAAAAGAGACACATACAGAAAAATAGCTGCTGCAATCTCTATTTACAATCTCCAAGGCTAAGAATATACTTGTGCTTTGGTAATTGTTTTAGTGTGTGGAGCATATTCTCTTTCTTTTAAATTCCCACTCATCTTGAGCAACATTAGATTTTAAAAGTAAGAGATGAATGGAATTATTTTTTTTTTTTTCTGAGTGACTACTCTGAGCCCAGCACAGTCATTAATACAGTCCCGGCTTGATACATGTCTGTAACCCAGCAAATTCCTCTGAAGAGCTCACCTTTTAGAAGGTGCTCTTGAAAAATAAAGCCATAGCTTCGCTATACAAATACATGGACTATCTGCCAAATATCTCCATCATTTGCAAAGAAAATTACTGTTTAAATAATAAATGTAGAATCTCTCCACTAATAATATGAATATGCTATTTCTATGTGCATAGAATGCCCTCTGATTCTGGTAGGGAAGCATAGATATATGAGTTTTCTTAGTATTAAATCTACATAGATCCTTTGGATAGCTTTAAATCAATCTTTGTGGTATGCTGATAAATGTATGTATAACAATCAGCTTTCCAAAAAAAGAAAACAAAAGAAAGAAAGGAGAGAGAGAAAGAGAGAGAGAGAGAAAGCCCAGATTTGTAGTGTTTGCCAATTCTCGTGCTGTAAGTACACCATGGCCTATTTCAAGCTACCAATGAGACATCATTGTATGCAGAGTAGGAGGAAAAATATACACAACTGATGCCTGCAAGATACAGTAGTTCCATCTGACTCCAGCACAACACTGGCTATAACAACTAACAACTTCTCACGCTTCTAAACCCCATTGTGCAGCTCAATGCTATAGGCCTGGGTTTTGTAGAAGTAAATAGATTTTAGATAATTTTAAATAGTCTCTTTCTTCTATAGGCTTAAAAAATTAAATCATCTCTATGTAGCACACATAAGGGCAACACATTCTGCTAGGTATTAGGGAAAATAGGAAAAGATGTAAGATAATGCTTGTCCTTAAATTACTGTTTCATTTGGGATACTAAACATAAATTCAAAATATAGAAATAGTATAAGTAATAGTTTAGGAAAATATAGATACATAACAGATAGATAATAGAGAACTACCAAATGATATGTGAAGTCAGTAATTAGGATATGGGAGCTTACAAAAGTCCTAAAAGAAGACTTTATAAGGAGGTATATTGGAGAGACTTGATGTATAAGTGGCATTTGGATGCATGGCAACATCTGAGAAAGTATGGAGCTGAGACGGAATACATTTTAGAAAATCATGAACTAGGCAGGGACAGAGCGTTAGTGTAGACATATTTTAATAACAATGACTGATAGTCACTGGAGAGTTACTCTGTGCCAGACACTGTGCATAGCTTTATATAGAGTAGCTCATTTGATCATCACTGAAATCTAATCAGTCAAGTTGCTGGGAGTATTAAATGAGAAAATGCATGTTTCATAAGTGAAACATTAACCAAGTAGCCAAGGTTGGTTAGTAGACAATGGAACTAGGGCTTGAATTCAGGTTTCACTGCTCCCAAAGCCCATAACCTGAAGCATATTGCTAAGGTGAACAATTTTCTGGGAAACAAAGACACGGAATTTTGGGGATAAAATTATAAAAACTTTGAATATCAAGCAAAAGAGTTTGAATGTTGTTATTCAGAGCCATATATTTTTGTTTTTTTAAGACAAAGTCTCACTCTTTTGCCCAGGCTGGAGTGCAATGGCGCAATCTCGGCTTACTGCAACTTCCACCTCTCGGGTTCAAGTGATTCTCCTGCCTCAGCCTCCCATGTAGCTGGGATTACAGGCATGCACCACCATGCCTGGCTAAATTTTGTATTTTTAGTAGAGATGGGGTTTCGCCATGTTGACCAGGCTGCTTTCAAACTCCTGACCTCAAGTGATCCACCCGCCTTGGCCTCCCAAAGTGCTGGGATTGCAGGCATGAGCCACCATGCCTGGCACAGGGCCATATTAAGTAGAAAACCAATAATAAAACCTTTAAAAACTTGATCAAAAAGTAAAATGTCTAAATGCCCTTTCCTTTCCTCCTGTGATATCTTTTCTCATTTGATTTTGGAGTTCATTATGGCTAACTGGGACATAATGTGTGCACAAACCAAATATTACAAAAGTTTGAGATAATATCTTATAAATTAGGCAAGTCAGTAGTTAGCTTTCAAAACTTGATGATACTTGAGCAGAATATATATGAAGATAAGGCTTCAATACCAGGAGTCTACTGCTTCTTCCAAACATTTCTTGAATTATGTTTATATTAAGTTAACAGTTTGAAAAAAATGTCAAAGTACCACACTTTCCTTTCATCCTCATGATGCATATTGACAAGAAATGAATGTTTATTCTTATTTGTGTTGATAAATTATTTGCAATTGTATAGAGAACTTTAGATTGTCTATTAGTTTTGTGAAACTCTTTTTATCCCCCATAGTCAGGAAGCTTTCGATAAATAGGAGTCTGGAGAAGAAGAAAAATACATTCTTTTGGATAAATGAAAGTATTCTGGTCTTTGCTCATCTTTTCCAGACAGTAAAGTAGAGGCACTGTTCAATTTTTGATGAGATCCTTCTTGAAAGGGAAAATTGCTTGTTTAAGTAAAGCAAGTCTATACAGTTTAAAGTAACTGTTCAGTATCCAAATCATTAAGCATATTGCCAAATAACCTTCTGTAAGATACTTATAGTGCCTATGAATACCTTTAAAATGAAGGGAAGAGGAGGAATTTTCTTCCTTTCTTTGAAAAATAATGAATAGAATAAAACTGCTTTTTGATTTATGGATAATAAAATAGGGCAGTATATATGCATTTTTCTTTTGATATTTAAATAAATTCACTAACATTTTAATTTTATTGTTATTACTTATAACATAGTCCTTATCCTATTAGGCACTTCTTTCCTTTCTTTCTGTACAGAAAAGGAATGATGAAAAGAAATTTGCATTTTGCAATGATTGCATACACCAAATATTACAAAAGTTTGAGATATGCCTTACTAGTTGAGTAAGTATAACAACCTTAAGTTAGAAAAACCATCAAAAAGAACAAAGCATTACTGAATACTGAAAGTTTGAATTGTGTAAGACATATCTTTTGTGTCAGTGGCTTTAAAACTTTCTTATTTATGTTGTGAACCCATCTCAGAATCTAACAGAAAGCATGTTCACAAAGATACACGATTTTTCATACTATTTTAAAGGATATGCTAATTGCCTGAACTCCATCTATGGATATTCTAGCGTCTAAGGATTAAGAAAATGTGGCACATATACACCATGGAATACTATGCAGCCATAAAAAATGATGAGTTCATGTCCTTTGTAGGGACATGGATGAAACTGGAAACCATCATTCTCAGCAAACTATCACAAGGACAAAAAACCAAACACCGCATGTTCTCACTCATAGGTGGGAATTGAACAATGAGAACACATGGACACAGGAAGGGGAACATCACACTCCAGGGACTGTTGTGGGGTGGGTGGAGGGGGAGGGATAGCATTAGGAGATATACCTAATGTTAAATGATGAGTTAATGGGTGCAGCACACCAACATGGCACATGTATACATATGTAACAAACCTGCACATTGTGCATATGTACCCTAAAACTTAAAGTGTAATAATAATAAAATTTTAAAAAAAGAATATATTTACTTGGCACACCATCTTAGATCTAATTAATTCTAATATTTTGGTTTTTAATATCTATCTATATTTAATTTCTAATTTATAGACAAATAATTTACCCAGTCTTCATATTTAGTACCTTTCTCTTTTCTAATTTAGGTTCTTAAAACATTTCATTACAGAATGTTTTTAAAAATTTTTTTGCAGAACCAAAAGTTTATAAAAACATACTTTATTCACTGTCATTACTCCTATATTTTTTATGGACACATTCTAAAATTGTGAAGCTTTAAATTTTAAGCTTGTACTTCATACAAGTTTACACTAGAATCTAGTTTATGAGAAAAGAGCAAGCTACTTTTTTAACGTTTTAACGTTTCTGGACATATCGTTTTATGATCTTCTAGTTAGCTTTGCACTGGATCATGAAATAGCTGTGGAGCTGACATTTTCCAGAGTATCAGACAGAGGAAGGCAAGGAAACCTTTAGAGTGGTATCTGGGCATTAAGGTTTTAAAAAGCATAACAATTAAAGGATTTTCTCAAAATTGATATCTCAATCATAAAAGCCAACAGCCAAAAGCTCTAGGGCTTAAAACAAGCAAACAAAAAGCTGTTTGGACCATACTTGGCAGCCAGATTAACTTTAGTAAAACAATGTTACGATTGCAGCTCATTTTGCATTGGCTTTTATTCACGTGCTTTTTGGTGAGAACAAGACGGCTGTTCCTTTGATAAGTGTTGCCCAACCCACCATACGCACCATCCAAGGGTCCTGGCAGGTGGATTTATCACATATTCTGCCACATTGTGCATGGGCTTCATTCAATAATCTGCAGGAGTAATTAATTTATGATAGAGAGAGAGAGGGAGAGAGCGTGTGTGTGTGTGTGTGTGTGTGTGTGTGTGTGTAATTGATTCACAGGCATGTAGACCAGAGCAAGGACCAGGAAACTACTCTCTATGTAAAATCACTCCTTGCCCAACCTATTCAAGCTCTTCTATCAAGTTGATTTCTTTTTCTTATCTCCTCCTGGCTCCCCTCCCCAGTGTGCCCACAGTTGTAAGTCAGTCTTTTGAAGGAAAGATGAAGGCAATGTCTAGTACAGCCTTACTCAGATGAGTCTCCTCCATGTCTATCTCTCTGGCCTTTTTTTCCCACTTGGTGTCACAATGCATCCCTGCTCTTAGTGGTAACAGATAATAGATTACAGTCCCACTGGTTTGCCACTTCCTTCATGCTCAAGACAATGAGGCCTGTAAAAGAAAGACGGTTACTTGGGCAATTAGGTGGTTAGGCATTGCTAACAATCTTGACTTTTTATGCTGGTGACTATACTTGTGCTTGTATGAGGGAATGAGGAACTGTCCTAGCATTCTGGCGCAGCAGTTCTCTGCTTTTGATACCAGCTCAAGAGTATTTGAGGCTGCCAGTAACTGTCCGATTTTGAACAGTTATGGACTTTTCTCTTGTACTTAAATCTTGAATTGGCTCTCACTCTACTGATTTCTTGTTCCTTTATATGGTGTTCTCATACATGTGTTCCATACATATATTTTAACAGGAACAGCAAGAACAGTTTGTGTTCTGAGATTGACATCACCTGCTGATAGGATATGGGTTAATTTAGTTGGTAGAGAAATGCGCAAAAAGGAAAAGCTTTCTTCAACGAGATATAATGCACCAATTCTACCTTTATCAGTAATCTGTTGAATGGCCTTGGGTAAGCCTCTTAATCGATTCTGCTTCTGTTTTTTTCCTCTGTGAAAAAAAGAATTATAAAGACATCCTGCAGCTGAAAGGAATGTTAATGATCCTAAAACACTAGAATATTAAAAGGAGGTGCACTGAGCATTGATGGTGCTGCTAGTTCCAGAGAAAGCTTATGCTAAATCCCCAGACAGTTTCAACTCTTCACTGTCTGGATTATTCAAAGCATGTTCAGATGTTTCTGGACAAATAAAACAATGGTTGAATAATTAGGGTATAGTAAAAATGGTACAAGTGTATGCAGGTTAAGTCAATCTTGTGAAGAGGTTAAGGAAACATCTGCCAAATTCTTTTAAAAACCTAGTATAAATGAAAGGCATATTTTAAAACAAGGTATTTACAGATGATGACATCTAATTTATTAAAATCTCATTGCTCATGGGAATATGTACTTGCCAGTAAGAAGATAATTGTTTAAATATATGATCTCATGGAATAAATATGTTGTATAGCTAGGGTTATAAACAGGAACATTATTTAAATATACACTGGAATTTGTTATTATACTCTTTTAAGATTGGACTTTAAATGTTTTAACACTCAAGGATATTAATCTGCTGATGGTAAAATTTTCACATTGGTACTTTCTCCACATTCATATTTCTAATCAGTAAAGGAAGCCAAGGGGTAAAATTTGTAATTTACAAAGTAGAATTCTGTGAGATTGAAGCAGCCCTTAATTCTAGCCATCTCGTCTGTTTATGGAAGGGTGTTGCTTCTGGGTGTTTGAAGTGTAAATCTGGGAACTCTTCAGCCTTAGAGCTAAGAGAAATGGCCTTAGAGCCATTTCTAAGGTAACCAGCATCCAAAACACAGACAGCTTTATAAGTCAGAATTAACACCTTGAATTGTTTCTCAAAGCCAAATGGAAGTTCTCAAAACTTCTGGAGCCCAGTTGATGTCACCGTGTTACCAGTTTCCTGGACAGATGTAGCTCCAGCATTCTCACCAGTTAAAAGTTTCTCTCTCTTTCGTAGGCTTGTGTAGTTCTTGAGAATAGCTGTATGTAGGGCATCTAGTTATAATCCAGCTGAGAAATTAGACTGCCAGAGGTCAGAGTGGCCACTGTGAAGCCAATTTATTTTATTTCAAACGAGACCAGGCTACCCCTTAGGGCTCCATCCACATGTTTCTGACCTCTTTCTGGGAGAGGGCAAAAATCCATACATCTGATTACACACTCAAGCTCTCATCAAAATAACTCCAATCTAAGTCAGCTTGATCAGTTCTGATAAGGCCGTTGACTAGGTTTGAGGGCCAAGATCAGAAGCAGCGGGACAAGGATGACACAGGGAGGAGTGGTTTGTTTTGGAATTCCTGGTATTTCAATTCTGATACTTTTCAAAGGAAAGAAAATGATCACTAAAAGAGTAATAGGTAGACAAAGTAAGTTGCCTTGGGCAAAAGTGGCGTTTGCCCTGAATAATTAGGTGCTCTCTCTATGTGTTTATGTGTGAACCTAGTAATCCAAGTAGCAAAATGGGCTAACAGCATTGCACATTTATCTTCATCTGTTACATGAGAAAATGGTAGGGTAACACAAATGAAAGAGGTTTTAAGGAAACCAGTTTGGCAGGGCCACATTAATATTTAAGAGTTGATTCACACAATATCCTGCTTTAAGTTTAGTCTGAAATAACTTGGAAAACTTTCAGAATGATCAAGTAGTATAAAATAAACATTTAACTTCATTCTCTTGGCCACAAATTTCAAATTCTGTGATAAGATAACCTAAAGAGCTTTATCCCTTCTTGATGCATTTCCCAATTTTATCTTGAATTCCAAATTTAAAGAAACCATCATTATTGCCTAAGTTTTGTGGGGTTGCTGCTATTGCTGTCACTTGCCAAGTGTAATCAGTGTTTACTAGTTGAACCACAAATACATAGTATTAACCATGTTCTAAAGATTTAAAAAAGGAAAGGAGATAAGGGACTTGCTGTAAAGTCTTTGTCATTTTCCTATGAAATGCCAGCCAAAAAGGCACTTTTCTAAGAGGGGAAAAAAAAATACTTGAGAACTTAAACTCTTTGGCAGTGCCTAAGCTTTTCCTGAATTCCTTCATTAGAAGAACCCTGTGGCATGGCACCTACAGAATACTTTTATGGTGTTTTCATGGCATTTACACTCATCCTTAGCTCTCACAGAGCTTTCTTCAGTAACCAGGTCTTTTGGGACAGCAGACGGGAAGAAGGATAATTATGAAGAAAGCCAAGTTCACAAAATTGCTGAGATAATTTAACTTCTTACATGGCCAAACCCACATAAGATGAAGTCATTTGCATGCTGCCTAGGACATGCGTTTTCCATAAACCCTACCACTGACTCATGGTGCTTAGTCATCAACATTCTAATGTCCCCACCTGTAAAACAAAGATAATAGTATCAGTCACATGGACAGTGATGAAACGAAACTGCTTTTAGAGGACTTTGACCTTGCCAGTAAGTGAAGTCCACATAACTGTGTTCTTTAGCAGAAAGGTGTTTTATTAAAGAAGCATATGGACAAGGAACTATCTCTGAAATGTTTTCAGAGCTTCTCTGGTGTTACATGCATAGTAAATATTTTCTTTAAATTAGATGAAAAATGTGAGTAGTCCTTTTATATACTGTCATGAAATTGCTCTCTTTGTGTTATGTTACATAATGGTTTCCTTTTAGTTTTGTGACTCTGCCGTTTTCTGGTGAATTATTGATATTTAATCCTCTTGCTAAGACCACAGCATTTACATGGAAGCTTCCACTCTGGCCTTTGCAATTCTCCTTGCCCTGATTTTTAATTTTTCTACAGCACTTCTCTTTCTCTTTCAATATACTTTATGAGTAATTGATTGATTGATTACATTAAATGTTTGTTGTTATCATCCCCCACTGGAATATACTTTCTAGGAGTTTACACATTTCTGTTTTGATTAATAACATATCCCCAGTATCTAGAACATGTCCTGACATAGAGTATTGGTTAAATATTTCCACTGAATAAATGAAGTACTTGTTTGGATTCCAGCTTCCACTCAGTTTCTACAACTTAGAGCTGAAATTTTACTCAGGCTTTTGAACTAATCTGGCCCTAAATCCATCCACTAACACTTTCTTTCTTCCCTCTTATCGTCCTACCTTCTTTCCGGCTGTCTGTTCTCAGCTTCCAGTCTATTTAGGATTTACTCTTTCCATTGCCACCCGGAACAGTGGGAAGAGACTATCGCTCTCTCATTTGCTTGGTTTTGACACTTGCTTTTAGCTGTTAGTTGTGATTCTCTGACTAAGGGCTACTACAATCTGGTGAATCATTTATCTGAAGAAGAATTATAGAGGCACAGTCAATAAGTACAAAATGGCTGCCAGTGCTTTATGGGGGGAACATATGTGTGGATGTTGGAATTGATAGTCCCTGGGACAGTGTGTTACAAAGGGCCCTTCTGGCATCTGATTATCTTTCAACAAGAAAAGCATGTATACTGATCGATGTTATTATGTGGCCTTTTAAACTTTCAATTCATTTCAGATGTGGCTTAAAGTAATGTGTCATCCAGAGTTTGTTCGCCTGTTGGATGATTCATTCATTGATCTTCCAAACAAACAGATGGTGGGTAGGGGAGAAGACAGTGGAAAAAGAAAGGAAAGAAAGTAACAAAAGGGGAAATAATGTTGACATGAAGATGTCTGTTTTGTGATTTTTTTTATCTCTTAAAAACTAGAAATGACTATCTTGGTTTCTTCTGTGAAAAATTCAAACTAGTAATACCATAAACTTGAAGTAAGTTCCATGGTTTAACTGAAATATCTGCAGTATTGTTTGTTTTATGGTTGTCGTTTTCATCTAAATGAAGATGATATTTATATAGGACAGTGAGGCTAGAACATAAGTAATACATTGGATTTGATGACTCTGGTTGAAAATATTAAACATTTGGGGTAAAACGGGATCATATCATGAATGGTTCTTTACTTTGTACTCAAAAGAGTCAGGCCATAAAATTTATTGCATGTTTTATAGAAAGCCAAAAATAGTGTGTGTTTTTTGTCAAGACACTTGGCGATTCATTCAAAAAACATGACAGTACCTTCCAAGTACAAGGCGCTGTGCCTAGGGCTACAGCAGGAGAGAGACATGGGATGAGATCTAAAATTTCGCCTGTTTCTTTCAAAAATTATTTTTAAGCCTCACTAAACTCTTCAACGCAGGTATTATGTTTATTTTCTAAGTACAAAAACTGAAGATGAGAAAAGTTAAGTAATTATTCCAAAGTCACATTGCCTATATGTGGCAGAAGCAGTATTCAAAATGGTGGCACTAAACCTATGGTATTTTGATGAAGCCACCTTCAAAATATTCACAACCCAGAAGAGACAATCTCTGTCTCTCATTCGCTCAACTTCTCTCTGTCTCTGACTTACTCAATCACACACATACACACACATGCACCTAGAATATAAGGGAAGATGTAATACATAAATAAATAAAAGGGGGGCAAATAGTCACTTATTTGATGATTTTGAGTATGTAGATTTGAAGGGCTTCCTTAAATGCCTGGACATCTGGCTGAGTACAGTAGTTCATGCTTGTAATCCCAGCACTTTGGGAGGCCAAGGCGGGAGGCTCACTTGAGCTCAGGAGTTTGAGACCAGCCTGGGCAGCATAGCAAGACCCTGTCTCTAGAAAAAAATTAAAAATTAGCCAGGCATGGTAGTACACACTTGTAATCTCAGCTACTCGAGAAGCTAAGGTAGGAGTATTGTTTGAGCCTGGGAGGTTGAGCTGCAATGAGCACTCTAACCTGGGCTACAGAACAAGACCCTGTCTCAAAAAAGAAAAAAAAAAAAGCCTGGACATTTGCCAGCATTTCACATTGTTGTCTGGTTATTCAGTGACATGCATGTATTCACAACTATCCATGTCTACTTTGTGCACATACTAAGTACTGAGATGCTGACATACACACATACTTAAGACGTACTGTTACCTTTGAGTCTTAGTTTTATGCAAGACAGTGATATATCAAAAAACTGTTATGGTATTGGCCAATTATCCAGTTCTTTTGAAAATATACCAGGTAGAAAAACAAACTGCCTCTTTCAACAGAATAAAGAAGGTACAGTTGGTGGTTAGAATGCTATAATCCTGTATGGAAAGGAAAGTGGGGCTTAAGTAGTACAATGAGGCTTAACTGAGGACAAATATATTCCATTCCATTTTCCTATCCTTCCCTTTCAAAGCATTGCTTTGAAGCTCTGTCTCCCTCATAGTGTTCATGTTTTGCATCCCCTGGAAAAATATTTTTTTCAGAGCTTACAGATGGCAATTAGATGACAGGCTTATGGAAAATAATTATTTAAAACTGCATAGAACTTTGAAATCCTTGGAGAAAAGTCATGGCATGGCTATACAAATCATGGATGGTGGTTACACTACAGTCACTCAGCTCAATATAGCAAACTATTAGTTTGCATTTCCAAAGTAATATCTAGTTGAGGGAATGGCGAATACTCTGTCAAATACTGGGAACAATCATATTTCACTGGAAACAATGTCAATTTAAAATATCTTATGATTTTAGAGAAGTGTGAAAAAATATACATCTTAGAATTGGTGAAGTAGGGTGTAGATTCAATAAAGTTCTCCGACAAAACAGAACTGATAGGATGTGTATATATACAGAAAGAAAGATTTATTTTAGGGAAATAGCCCATGTGACTGTTGAGGTTGGCAAATCCAAAATCTGCAGGGTAGTTTGGCAGGCTGGAGACCCAGGGAAGAGCTGCAATTTGAGTCCAAAGCAGTCTCCTGGCAGTATTCCCTCTTCCTCTGAGGAGGTCAGGCTTTTTGTTTTAAAGGCCTTCAGCTGACTAGATGAGACCTACTCACATCATGAGGTGTAATCTGTTTTACTCAAAGTCAACTGATTTAAAAGTTACTCTCATCTAAGAATATCTTCATAGAAACATCTAGAATAATGCTTGAGCAAATATCTGGGTATATTGTCTAGCCAAGTCGACATAAAATTAACCATCACGGCCGGGCGCAGTGGCTCACACCTGTAATCCCAGCACTTTGGGAAGCCAAGGCGAGCAGATCACAAAGTCAAAATATCGAGACCATCCTGACCAACATGGTGAAACCCCATTTCTACTAAAAATACAAAAATTAGCTGCTCATGGTAGTGTGCACCTGTAGTTCCAACTACTTGTGAGACTGAGGCAGGAGAATCGCTTGAACCCGGGAGGCAGAGGTTGCAATGAGTCGAGATCATGTCACTGCACTCCAGCCTGGAGACAGAGTCAGACTCCATCTTAAAACAAACAAACAAACAAACAATTAGCCATCACAGGGTGACATCAGGAAGTATGGGGAGAGTCTCTTCATTGACAGAAATATTAGTACTAGAAGTGACTCCTAAACAGAGTCCAGAGACCAGAAGGGACAGAACAGCGAGCACTTTGCTCTGCCTCTCAAGGCTTCTGTAGGGGTTGGAGTTCATTGTCTCTGATCTCTTCAGGCCCCTCCCTCAGAGAGAAACATCCGTAACACACCTAACCTAGACCTTAGAATACAACTGTGGTGCGGTATGAAGGGGAAGAGTCTGTCCTTTTCTCCACATCACTAAAGTTTACATTTTTCTGTTTTCCTAACTTAACAGAGGCCAGACACCCAAGGGGAGGGTGGGAGATGTAGAGAGAAATCACGTATGCTTCAAATATATGAAATACAGTGTTTTTCTAAGTTTCGGTTATCTCTTCTTAGTTGGAATTTGTGTAAGTGGACAGATGAAGGGTAGAGGGGGGATGAAGAAAGAGAAATTGTGGGGGAGGAGAAGCTCAGACTCAACACTGTCTCCACCCACCCTTCTGTCAGATTGCACTTCAACCCTAACCCTAACCTCAGTCTCCCACCACTGAGCCCCTCTCCAAGCTCTCCTGGGTCCACTGCTCTTCCTCTTGCTAATGCTGCTAAGGTCTATTGTTGGAAACAGTAATTCCCTGTTAAATATTACCTACATTCAATATCTTTCCTTCTAGCCTATTGCACAATCCTTGAACCACTGACTCACACTTGCTTTATATAAATATATATATTTTGGTTACAATCATAGACTTTGCAGTCACCAAATTTCTGCTTCACCTATTGTGTTCAGCTCTCTCATCCATAAAATTGCGATAATGATAGTTCTTATGCAATAGGTTAGTTAGGAAGAGTAAATGAAACAGGATAAGGAAAATTCCTAGTACAGGGCCTGGCAAGAAATGAGCTCCCAATAGTTGTTTGGTATTATCATTCTCTTTTATCTGACATAGTTTCCCCATGAGATCACAATGCTGATTATTTGCAAACTGAACTGGTAAACAGAATACAAAGATGAAGCAGTAGGGTCCCTTCTTTTGGCCAGCTCCAAGGATAATTGGAGTGATACTATGATATGCTTCCGTTCGTTTTCATCCATGTCAACCATGAAAGACAGAGTTGATCTCAGCCTGAGCTAGAGGTAAACTATCTATGTGGTGAGAGTTACAACAATGATATAATGACAATCCAGGTAGCCTCTTGGCTTAATGTGGCCCATGGACATGTTTTGTGTGGTGAAGGGTTTTTGGTTTTTGTTTTGTTTTCAATGAAGCAGCATGCCTTTAGACAGGGCCAGTGCTCTCTCCAGCCACTCTCTGTGGTCTTGTAACCATCATATCACACATTCACACATAGTTACCTGTCCATCCACCTCATTGTCCTTGAAGTTGTGACCTACCACTATACATCATGGGGAGATATAGTAAAGATTTCAAAGCAGTGAATCGTTCAATGTTCCTCACTCTTAAAAACATAACAAACAGCATAGTTAAAAACAAGTCCTATTTAGGAAATGAGGTAAGAAGGGAAAACCTAATCATTTGCTCATCCTAAAGAAGCATTCTTAAATTTGAATATATGTGTATTTTTATTATTATTATTATTTTTAAATTATACTTTAAGCTCTGGGGTACATATGTGCAATATGCAGGTTTGTTACCTAAGTATACATGTGCCTTGTTGGTTTGCTGCACCCATCAACTCATCATTTGCATTAGGTATTTCTCCTAATGCTATCCCTCCCCTAGCCCCCCATCCCCTGACAGGCCCCAGTGTGTGATGTTCCCTTCCCTGTGTCCATGTGTTCTCATTGTTCAGCTCCCACTTATGAGTGAGAACATGCTGTGTTTGGTTTTCTCTTCTTGTGTTACTTTGCTAAGAATGATGGTTTCCAGTTTCATCCATGTCCCTGCAAAGGACATGAACTCATCATTTTTTATGGCTGTGTAGTATTCCATGATGTATATGTGCCACATTTTCTTTATCCAGTCTATCATTGATAGGCATTTGGGTTGGTTCCAAGACTTTGCTATCATGAACAGGGCTGCAATAAACATACATGTGCATGTGTTTTTATAGTAGAATGATTTTTAATCCTTTGGGTATATATGCAGTAATGGGGTTGCTGGGTTAAATGGTATTTCTAGTTCTAGATCCTTGAAGAATCACCACACTATCTTCCACAATGATTGAACTAATTTACACTCCCACCAACAGTGTAAAAGCGTTCCTATTTCTCCATGTCCTCTCCAGCATCTGTTGTTTCCTGGCTTTTTAATGATTGCCATTCTAACTGGCACGAGATGATACCTCATTGTGGTTTTGATTTGCATTTCTCTAATGACAGTGATGATGAGCTTTTTTTCATATGTTTTTTGCCTGCATAAATGTCTTCTTTTGAGAAGTGTCTGTTCATATCCTTTGCCCAGTTTTTGTTGGGGTTTTTTTTTCTTGTAAATTTGTTTAAGTTCTTTGTAGATTCTGGATATTAGCCCTTTGTCAGATGGATAAATTGCAAAATTTTTCTCCCAATCTGTAGGTTGCCTGTTCACTCTGATGATAGTTTATTTTGCTGTGCAGAAGCTCTTTAGTTTAATTGTATCCCATTTGTCAATTTTGGCTTTTGTTGCCATTGCTTTTGTTGTTTTAGTCATGAAGTCTTTGCCCATGCCTATGTCCTGAATGGTATTGCCTAGGTTTTCTTCTAGGGTTTTTATGGTATTAGGTCTTACATTTAAGTCTTTAATCCATCTTGAGTTGATTTTTGTGTAAGGTGTAAGAAAGGGATCCAGGTTCAGCTTTCTTATGTGTATTATTTTAAGGGATCGTGTGTGTTCTGAGTCCAAGGAAATCCATGGTAAAAGTAATGGGAGCCTTTGGATAGTGTGAGTTAGAATTTAACCTCACTCCCATTGAGGGTCTCCCTTTAGGTTTTCCTAGGAGTCCCCCAGAGTGTCTCACAAGGGCTTAGACATAGATCCTATATGACACACTATAGCATATGTCACTTTCTACTTTCCTGCCCTGGTGCCCTTAAGCAAAGGTCATGTCAAACAAAGCTGGATGAAATAGCCTCCTTCCGGTCCCTCCATAAGCTTCCTTTTCCAGTATATGTGCTGCCGAAGCGAGCACCATAAGCTTCCTTTTCTAAATGTAAGGCCTCTGTCAGTTGACATCAGCATCTCTTTGGGACATCCATACCTATGCAGATGCTGAAACCACTCCAAGATACACCAGTGCCACTTCCCTGCCAGACACATTACTTCTGCCCCCACATTTCCTCTGGATACTGCAGCCTGTGTGTTTGGGCCTGAATGTGCTTAAGTCATCCAGGTACCAAAGCTGTGCTATCTTCCTCACAGAAATGGAGTAATCACCACCTCCAACAGCCACTTTTGTGTCACTGGCTGGCACATAGGCATCACCAGAGCATTTTCTAAGCTCCACTGCTTTACAGAGTGAAGGGAGTCCTTCTAGGTTTTCTCAAAACACCTCTGCTCCCTAGCACCTAGCTGTTTGTGTGTGATGTCAGACCTAAGAGATAGACACCATGTAGCGCTAAGAAGTGAGTGAACCTCAGATACCTGAAGTTTAGTTGGGTCAAGTTTATTTGCCTGATTCTCCTTTCCCGCAGGGTGAGTTTTTCCTTCAGAGGCTACTCTTTGATTTAATTAGAGTTGTACTGGTCTTGTCCCATCAGGGCCGTAAGTGCACAGATGTACAACAGAGTACTCAGAAACATAAGTGCACATATGTGTAACAGAATACTCAGAATAAATCAAATTTAAATCCTCTTATAGGCTGGAAAGTCTTTTAAAATAAGCTGTACTTTCTGGTGCCTCAAAGATGAGCTAGCTGATCATTCTCCTTTGGGTAGATTCCTTTAGTCTGAGAAGAACCACCTGGATGTATTGCATGTAAAGCTGATACTCCAGTTCAGGGAGAGCATATAATGAGACTAAATTGAGCCAGGCCTGGATCCAGCTCTATGGATGGATAGAGTTCCCATACCCCTCTGTGAAACTCAGTGCCCTAAAGAGATTGGAGATTACAAGATACAAATTCTGGAAAAGTACTTGCTACACAGGAGCTTGTGCGGTGAAACTCTTCAGGTCCCAGTTCTTCCACTTTGTGTTTCAGTTTTAAAAACACATCCAAAGGACTGGCAGTAACCTCTATTAAGGTGAGATGGCAAGAAAAGACTAAAGAGCTGCTCTGAAATTAGTCACCAAGCAATAGTCCAGGAAAGCTGGAGGGAAATGGATCCATACTAGCTTTGTAGAATGCACCCAGGATGTGGGTTGTGAGAGTGGCGACTGGCTCTGGGATGTTCAGAGTGGTACTGGCATCTCCTCTTACCCACTTCTAGGGTGCCACCACATGCTTTGGAGGAAGTGGCTGCTTCTGAGTGACCGGCAATGGCTAACACTCAGCACTGTACACTTGGCAGCCGGGCTAATTTTGAGTGTAAGCTTACTGCTGGGGGAGGGTATGTCCTGCTTCCCACAGGAATTCTGTGTCTTGGTAAGGTTTCAACACACTAGTGAGTAGAACTTGGATTAGATTGTCTTGGTTTTGGCAGTCAATCTGCACTTCAGCAAAAATGAAGTGAAATAGGGCATTCTGCCCCCAATAGCTCCATCATGCACATGATGACAGCTTCTGTGAAAGCTGCCAAGATTGCTCAGCTTCAGAACGATGCAGAGGTAGCTCTCAATAGCTTTACACTCAGTAACATGAAAAGGTAAGGTTTTATGCAGCACTATTCATAACAGCCAAAAGCTACAGACAACCCAAATGTCCATCAGCAGATTAATGGATAAAAATGTGGTATGTAAATGATGAGAACTTATGAACACAAAGAAGGGAATAGCAAACACTGGGGTTTACTTTAGGGTGGAGGGTGGGAAGAAGGAGAGGAGCAGAAAAGATAACTATGTGGTTCTGGGCTTAATACCTGGTTGATGAAATAATTTGTACAACAAACCCCTGTGACACTAGTTTACCTATAACAAACCTTCACATGTACCTGAACCTAAAATAAACGTTTAAAAAATGTCATATGTACATACAATGGAATATTATTTGGCCTTAAAAAGGAATAAAATTCTGATACATGCTATAGCATGAACAAACCAAAAGGACATTATGCCATGTGAACTATCACAAAAGAACAAATACTGTATTATTCCACTTATGTAAGGTACCTAGAGTAGTCAAATTCATAAGGACAGAAAGTAGAGTGGTGGTTACCTGGAACTAGGGGCAGAACGGAATAGGGAATTATTGTTTAATGGGTAAGAGAGATTCTGTTTGTGATGATGAAGTTCTTGAAATAGGCAGTGGTGATGATTGGAAACAATATGAAGGTACTTAATGCCATTGAATATAGGTAAAATCTGTATTTTACCACAATAAAAAATTTTAAAGAAGTAAGGTGTTGGAGGTTGGATTGGTGGATAACTGCATTTGTTGCTACTCTGATCATATGGGATCTAGAAATCTATGTAACTTGAATATCAAAGCAAATCTGATCTTATTTTTACTTACGAGTTAGTGATGTCAGGAGAATTCTGTATTACAAAAATCTGATGTACAAGAATACAAACAGAAATGAGCATCCTTTAATTTGAGAGATTTCTTCAAGCCTTTAAATTATTTATTTTAGATGGATCCCCATCCATGTACCTTTGCTCAACTGTCCTCAGACCAGGTAAGGTTCAAAATCCAAATATAACTATACCTAGGAAATGACTGTGAACCATGTCCTCCAAATTGTTCTGCCAGCGGTACTGTGTGGAATTTTTAGGCTTCTTATTTCCATACTCAGTTCCCCTTCCACACCAAGCCCGTTGCCCAATCCTCATATTGTACTGGGAATATGAACTGTGTGGGGATTTTGTTAACATGCGTCTTCTGATTCAATAGGACTTAGACTGCATTTCTCACAAACTCCAAGGGAGCATGCTGGTCTGAGAAACACCTTTTGAGCAGCAAGGCCCCGGTCATGATCCCTTTTGTGTCTGGTGTGTGGGTCTTTTTCTTTGACTGGAACGCATGCCACCTTGAAGGCCAAAACTTGGACTCACAACTGTGTATCTCTTCCAGCCTCCAGCATGATGACGTATGCAGACATAGGAGCCCACAATACTGGTGCAATGATTAGTGTCAAATTACAAAAATGTAAACAGCAAATATAGAAAGAGGAAGAAAATATTAATTAGAAAATAAAAATGGAAAAACTGTGAATAGTGTGTGATATCCCAGATGAATAGACTTTCCTAAGTAAAACAAATGAGCTTTATAATACTTCAATGCTCACATGGCCTTGATTAAAAAGTTTAATACTCAGGAAAATATGTAGGAAAAAGTACAGATGATTTTCTTATTAGGCTGACAAGTGGCATCTTTGAAAGGAATTTTATCTTTCAAATTTCAAAAAGGCTTGTCTCATTGCACACATGAAAATCAAACCAATTCTTGCCTGTCTAAATTAATTTCCAGGGATTCTGTGTGTGGGGCACCATATAATAATTCCACAATATTTAGCACAGTGCTTTGTCCTTAAGCAACTATGAACAACTCCTCAGCACTGTTGTTCTTCTTTGGAATAAGTCTACATAATAGGCCTCAGGAAATAAATACAATATTAGAGTGTAAGAAAATCAGTTAATGAAAAATAATCATGAGTGAAACTGATCCTTGTTGATGTATAAAATAAATTTTATGCTACATAGTTATAAGGTTGCCGATGAGAAATATCTTGAAATAGGTTGTGAATTTTAAGTTTGCGCAAGTTTTTTTTTTTCAGAATCAAAATGTGTTTCATTCTGTGATCTTCCTGTGATGCTAATTCTTCTGGGGTCACAATTTTTTCTTGTATTATTCAGTGGGCAGATTAATTTCTCAATACGTGCTAATCTACAATTGAGATGCTTAAATCTTCACCTGCACTGATCTCTTCCATTTTCTGTGGCACAAAAAGTGAAGTATAATATTCATTTTTCTACATCAGACAGGTCTTTCTGATATACCTTTCTTCACAGTCACCAGTAACAAAAATAGAAGCCCTCATTCATCCCTGTGGTTACCATATGGAGAATGTTCAGTCCAACCCATCTACTTAAAGCAGATCTGATGACCAGAGAGCCTCCCTCCCTGATTGTTTATTATGTCTTGATCTCTGTAAATTGGAGGCCATAAATTTGATAGCAGCATTACAGCCTCTGAATTGAATGTATAATTTAATTTATAAACTCATGTTCTCCATTTCAAGAATTGTAACAAACAAAGTGTGTGCTGATTTTCTAACATGAATTAGTTTTTTGGTTAGTTTGAGAATTGACATGGCTTGAGCCTTTAATACATACGAATTCTTAAACACTTGTTCCTTTAATCTGCTAGTTCTCATCTCTCTCTCACTATTTATTTGAAAGGCTTTGAAGTTTCTTATTACAAATTACATGAAACATTGATTAACCCCATAGATTTATTTAAGTGCTTTTGTTATTAGATATTTCAGAGAGACTCACGGAGCAGAAGGGCAAAAATTCTGTAATTAATCAGGATTGCCTGGCTCTGTTGCTACAGTGTCAGTGAATTGGTTCCCAGTAGGAGAGTTAATAGAAAAACATTCAATTTTAAAATGGCCTGGATGCATCAAAGGGATTAAGGGGTAATACGTTTAATCCCTGTAACTCAAACAAAGAGAAAATTTTCCTGAGCAATGAACTGCATAATGTGTTTGTGGGGCAGCAAATGATAATTGTGGAACATCAGCTAAACAGCCAACTTTGTAGCCCAGCCATTTCGCATGGCATATCCAGAGTGACAACCCAGGAGATTTAGCAGCTTTTAAATGCTAGCATTTGAGTGAAACTAAAATGGGTGCTATTTTGGAAAGTCCTAGTCTCAGGAATTCCCAAGCTATCAGAGATCCTACTGACAAGGCTTTAGGTTAAAACTCCAAGGCAGGAATGGCAATTAGGTGGTACACAGGCCACAACATCCCCCAATACAGGGCTCATAACAGACATTCCTCTTCCCTTATAGCACCCTTTCCCATCAAATAATGTATCAAATTTAATCTATTTGCCATCCCTGTTCCAGGTATTTTGTAAAAAGAAAAATAATATAAATTATTTAATCTCCATGATCAAATTTCTCAGTTTCCAAACATCTGGTAGAGGATGTCAAATAACATATAGATACAACTTAACATGTATATATTGTTAAGAACCTGTATTTATTTTGTTTTGGATGGCTTCTGAGTATTATCTCTTAATTCAACTTTTTCTTTTGAGAAAATTGTAAATACACATGCAATGGTAAGAAATAGGCCAGGCGCGGTGGCTCAGCACTTTGGGAGGCTGAGGTGGGAGGATCCCTTGAAGCCAGGAGTTCAAGATCACCCTGGAACCCTCCACCTCCACCATCTCTACTGAAAAAATCAAACAAACAAACAAAAAAAAAAAAAAAGGAAGAAGAAGTAATAAAGAGTTCAGAAACATCGCATGTATTCATTTCCCAGTGTCCCACGATGTTAATATTTTGCAGCACTAGAGCACATTTTACAACCAAGCTATTGACATTGATAGAGTCAAGAAATATAACATTTCCATCACTACAAGGATCTCTTATGTTGCCAGTTATAGCCACAGCCATTTCCTACCTGGCCGCCTCTTCTCCTTAACCCCTGGCAAAGACTAATCTGTTCTCCATTTCTATAATTTTGTCATTTCAAGCATGTTGCAAAAATGGAACCATGCAATATGTAACTTTCTCTGACTGGACTTTTTCACTCAGCGTTAATTCACTGGAGATTCATCCATATTTTTCTGCATGGAAAATATACTTGTTTGTTTTTTATTGCTGAGTAGTATTCTATGGTATAGATGCACTGAAATTTGTTTCATCATTCACCTGTTGAAGGGTATTTGGGTTTTTTCCAGGTTTAGGCTATTATGAATAAAGCCACTATAAAAATTTGGATACAGGATTTTGGTGTGAACATAACTCTGTTTCTCTGGTGTAAAAAATGTGCCCAGGAGTACAATCTCTAGGCCACATGGTAATTGCATGTTTAATTTTTAAAGAAACTGCCAAAATGTTTTGTAGAGCAGCCATAGCAGTTTAAATCCCCAACAGCTGATCTGTCCAGTTTCTCTGTATCCTTGCCAACATTTGGTGTTGTCACTATTTTTTCATGTAAGCCATTCTGATAGGTGTGCAGTGATAGCTCATTGTGGTTTTTATTTGTATTTCTCTACTGGTTATTGATATTGAACATTTTTTCATGTGCTTATCTGCCATCTACATATCCTCCTCAATAAAATGTCTTTTCGTGTCTTTTGCCCATCTTATAATGATATTTTTTGTTGCTGGGTTTTCAGAGTTTTTTTTAAGTTAACGTATCTTTTAGATACTAGTTCCTTGTCAGATATATGATGTGCAATTATTTTTTCCCAGTCTGTAGCATGTCTTTTCAGTCTCTTAACAGAGTCTTATGTGAAGCAAAAATGTGTAATTTTGATGAAGTTCAATTTACCAATTTCCTTTTATGTGCTTTTGGTTTCAAGTCTAAGAATTATTTGCTCAGAAGTAGATCCTGAAAATTTTCTCCTAATTTTTTTCTAAACATTTTATAGTTTTATGCTTTATAGTGAAGACTGTGATTCAATTTTATTTAATTTTTATTAAGGTATCAGACTTAAGTCTAAGTTGATCTCCTCCTCTTCCTTCTTCTCCTTCCACCTCCTCCTTCTCCACTTCGCTGACTCCTTGTCTTCTTGTTGTCTATGGATGCCCAATTGCCTGATACCATTTATCAATAAGGCTACCTTTCCTCTTTTGAAGTGTTTTTGTAACTTCATTAAATAGAAGCTAGAAATATTTGTATAGGTCTATTTCTAGGTTCTGTTTTAATGATCTGTATGTCTAGCCCTACACAAATACAATAGGATTGACTACTGTGGCTGTTAAGTCTTGAAATCAGGTAGACTGGTTCCTCCCACTTTGTCTTATTTTTCAAAGTTATTTTAGCTGTGTTAGTGCCAATGCCTTTCCACATAAATTCTAGAATTCTTTTGTCCATATCTATAAAAATATTACTGGAATTTTGAAAGGAATGATATTAACCATCTATCAGTTTTGGAGAGAATTGCCATCTTGACTATGTTCAGTTTTCTGATCTATGAGCATGGTATATTTCTCCATGTATTGAAATCTTCTTTAATTTCTTTTATTATTGTTGTTTAGTTTTCAGCATATCAATACTGTACATGTATTGTTAGATTTATACCTATTTCTTTTTTTTGAGCAATTGTAAATGGTATTGTGCTTTTAATTTAGGTGTCTATATGTCCTTTGCCAGTATATGGACATACAATTGATTTTTATATGTTTACCTTGTATCCTGTGACCTCACTGGACTCACTTATTAGTTCTTGTAGTCTTTTTGTGAATTCCTTAAGATTTTCAATATAGATCAAGATGTTATGTTCAAATAAAGACAGTGTTATTTCTTCCTTCTTCACATGTATGACTTTTATTTCTTTTTCTTATCTTATTGCATTGACTGGAACTTCCAGTGTTATGTTGAAATAAGCGTAGTGAGAGTATACATCCTTTTCTTGATAGTAGGGGGAAAGCATTCAGTCTTTTACTATTAAGTATAGTATTAGCTATTGATTTTTTGTAGATGCTCTGAAGCTGATGAAACTTCCCCTCTATTCTAATTTTTCTGAGACTTTTTATTATAAATGGGTATGGACTTTTGTCAAGTTGGTACAATTATGCAATGTTTTTTTCTTAGCCTCTTATGATGGATTACAGTGATTGATTTTTAAATATTGAGCTAGACTTTCATCCCTGGAATAAATGCCACTTGGTCAAAGTATGTAATTCTTTTTATATGTTACTGACTTTTTTTGCTAATATTTTGTAAAGTATTTTTGCACATATATTCATAAGCAATATTGCTCTTTTTTTAAACTGCGTATTATCTTTGTATGGTTTTTGGTATCAAGATAACACTAACCTCATAACATGAACTGGGAAGTGTTCCTTTATTTTCTATTTTCTAGAAGAGGTTGTGTAAAATTGGTTTTAATTCTTGTACATAAGTTTGGTAGAATTCTCCAGTAAAAACATCTGGGCCTAGAGATTTTGGGGGGAAATTTTTGAATTATAAGTTCAGTTTCTTTTATCCTTTAACTAGTACATTTATATTTAAAATAATTATTGATATGTTATAACTTAACTGTGTCATTTTGGTTTTATTTTTCGTTTGTTCTGTTTTTCATTTATGTTTTCTTTTTCCTACCTTTCTGTGGGTTACTTGAGCACTCTTTATAATTTTATTTTTATTTGTTTATAGTGTTTTTGAATGTATCTCTTGGTATAACTTAAAAAACTCTTCTTTTAACTCTAGCTATTTCATTATATATATATATTATATATATATTATATTAAATATATATATTTAATATATTATATATATTAAATATATATATATATATTATATTTATATATATATAATATATATATATTCATAACATTACAATCTACTGATACTGTCATTTTACCAGTTCGGGTGAAGTATAGAAATCTTACCTCCTTTTAAATCCCTTTATCCTCCCCCATTTATAATATAATTGTCTTAACTATTAATATTTTCTCTACATTCATTTATGTTCCAAGGTTCTTTCTTTTAGTGTTTCCTTTCTGTTTAGGCAAACATTTAACTATAATTTTATGGTAGATCTGATGATAACAAACTCTCAGGTTTTTTTAATCTGAAAATGTCTTGAGTTCCCCTTCATGCCTGAAAGATATTTTTGCTGGTTATGGGATGCTAGATTGATGATGATTTTCTTTCAGCACTTTTTATATGTTGTGCCACCTTTGCTGGCCTCTGTGGTTTCTCATGAAAAATTCATTGTCATTTTAATTATTTTCTCCATAGATAAAGTGTTGTTTTTCTCAGACTGTTTCAAGATTTTTTCTTTATCTTTGGTTTTCAAAAGTTTAATTATTGCGTGTATTAGAGTAAATTTTTTGGCTTTATTCTGTTTATGGCTTGCTAAGCTTTGTGAATTTGTAGGTTTATGCCTCTTGTCGAATTGAGAACTTTTCAGCCATTATTATTTCAAGTTCTTTTCAGCACCACTTTCTTTCTCCTCTCCCTCCATAATTCCAGTGACACAAATGTAGATATTATGTTGTAGTTCCACAAGCTCCTGAGACTGTTTATTTTATCAGTGTAGTTTTTTTTTTATATTTCATAGTGGGTAATTTCTATTGCTTTATCTTCCTATCCACTGGTTCTCTGTTTATTTTCTCTGTCCTCTCCATTCTGATTTTTAAGTCCATCTGCTTAAATTTTTATTTCAGTTATTTCTTTTTATTTCTTTTACATTTGATTTTTCTTTATCTCTTCTATTTCTTTGCCTAGGCTTTCTAATTTATCATTTGTTTGAAACACATTTGTAATTGATTATTGGAGTATTTTCATAAAAGCCACTTTAAAATCTTTGTCAGGAAATTCTAACATCTCTGTCTTCTTGGTGGTGGAGTCTACTGATTGTCTTTTTTAATTTGAGAACTTCTTGGTTATTTGTAGAGTGAGTGATTTTTTTATTGAAGTCTGGACATTTTCAGAATTCCATTATAAGACTCTCAGTCTTACAGCATAAATCTTCTGTTTTAGCTGTTTTTTCTTTTTTTTTTTTTTTTATCAGACACTGCTCCAACAGAGAGATCATGCTTCATTATCGTCAGGTAGAGTAGAAGTTCAGGCTTTCCTTTCATCCTCTATTGATACTGGGGTCCTCATTATTGCCAGAGGGAGATGGAAGTTGCCAATCCCCATGGTGTTGGTGGCCTTGTTAGCACTGGACAATGGTGAAAGGACTGACTCCCCTCTTATGCCTCCTCTGACACCATCCCAGTGGAGAAAGGACCAATTCATTACTACTAGGTGGGAGTGGCAGTCCAGGCTTTACGCTTGGTCTCCATGGACTGTGTGGGCTTGGGAGCTCATTACCTGCTTGGGGGATGAAAGCCCAGCTTCATATTTAACCCTCTCTGACTCCACCCTGGTGGAGATATTCGGGTGCCTTGGTATGGCATCAGGAGTGTGGAAGTCTAGGCTCTCACTTGGCCTCTCTGGCACAGGTAGAGTGGTGCTACGATTTTTTTTCTCTGATGAATGGCTGGAGTAGAACAGACATTGTGTAAGAAAGTTTTCTTTCTTTCTAAGCTAACTCTTTTGGTCCTCTGGCTAGAGAGAGCAAACTTTTTTTTTTTCCTCCTGCACCCATTGATTGGCATTTCATGGTGGTTGATATTTTCAGCTTCTAGTCTGGGATATATGTGAAACAAAAAGAAAATCCAGTGGTCTCACCACTGTGCTATTTTTTGGGTCTTCATTTCCATAGCCAGTCTTCCTCCTTCTTTCCACTCTTCAGAGTTTCAAAGTCTTATTATGCTTGTTTTCTATTGACTACCCATGGTTTTTAGTTGTACTTAGTGAAAGGAAGAGGGAAGAGTGTATCTACTCCATCTTCCCAGGAACAGCAGTCCAGGTCCACCTTTTTATTCAATAGGAAATTTTAGAAAATATCCTGCGGTATTTTATTATAAGCGAGGTAATCATTATGCATAGAATCTGAGAATGTTGTTTTCAAAAATGCCCAGAGGCCCAAATAACATTTGGACATAACTTAGATATTAAAATGTTATTAGGAAAGCTACTGCTATGTTATAAAACAGAGATCTCTAGCTCTCCCCTACAATAGAAGACATACCATCTTCTCTTACGTGTTGGTCATTCTGTGAACCTGCTCACTAGTTTTGAGACAAGCCCTAGATGACTACCAGATTTTTTGTTTTGGTTTGTTTTTTAGCTGAGGTCCATTGTGTGTTTAAGCACCCTGAATGCCCTCTTGGCTCATGGGAACTGAGGGTTATAATAAAACTACTTACATAAAGTTGCTCATGACTTACTAAGTTACACTTCCAGTAATATTTGCATTTTAAGTGAGGGGTACTACAAAAAGAGCAATGTTCAAAGAATGGACCTCATACAATATGTTTTCCATCATCAGTATGGGATATTTTCTGAGAAGGAAGAACATATTACCAGAATTTTTAAAATTATGAGAAATCGCAGTTACCTTGTAATTCACATTTAAGTCAAGTCCTAGTGGTGGTGTAGAATTTTTTTTCAAAGATGTTACTGTTAGTAAATATCTTTACTTTCTGTGTATGTTCATGAAGACTTTCTATGTGAAAAATATGTGTGTGTATGTGTGAGCATATTGCATTCTGCTTGATTCAAACAATTCAGCCTAGAGCACAAGAAGAGAAATTGGTTGTTCAGGGGATCATAGCGACCCTGGCTGTTTCCAACTTGAAAGAGTTTCTTCTGTTCATGGAAGCCCAGCACAGCAAATAAGAGTGTGGCTCTAGGTTTAGTGAAGCCAGGGTCAAATTTCTGCTCTGTCTTTTACAGGTAATATTGCTTCAGTAACTTTCTAAACCTAAATTTCTTCATCTGTTAATTAGACATTATAATATTATCTATCTCATGTATGATAATTCATGTAAATCACTCAGTATATTAACACATACATGGCACAGACTTAGTAAATGTTAGGTATTTAGAGTTAGTCTTTGAATTACTAAGATGATGTTCCCCTCGCAAGGACAGATACGTTGCTCTGTGGATACAGCATCTGTGTTGTATTGCCTCCCTGGAAAAATGCTCTGTAAGGATAAATGGCTGGAAACCTTCAATGACATGAGAGAAGCTTGTGATCTTGCTTGTGGACCAAGTCCATCTGCTTGTGTACCTATCACCTCTTAACTTCTCCAAAGGTTGAATTAGCGTACACCATCTTTATGTTTTTGAAAATCTTGGGCTATCATGAAATATGTCTTGCTTCTCTCTCTTGTAATCACACCATCATTGTTTTAAATTATTACAAAATGAGAGATGTGTGGTGATGCACAAATCTAAATATATCTGGGAGAGTAGTTTATAGCAGTGGAAGGGGTTCCTGAATTGTAATAATTTTTCTTGAGCTGGTAATTTTGTAATGATAGGCTAATTTGTCAAAATGCTAGTCATGTTTATGTTATTTGAAAATAAAGCAGGATTATTGCTTTAGCCACACCCCGTACTTACAGGAAAAGATGTACTTAAATTTTTAATGTCCTCATTGCCAAATACTTGATATCAGATAAACTTAGTCATGGCCTCAGCAAACTGGGTTAATCTAGGCTACAAAGGCAGTAATATTGTGTTTCATTAATATCTAGAATTGTAATAAATCAAATGAATATTCTGAGCATGTGCAGGACCCTACAATGCCTATGAGTGAGGGATAGCTCACAGTGTCCTTCCTGGACAGAGTGAGGTCACAGTGAGGAGTGCAGCAAGACCAATCTATGAGGACCCTCCCACTACCCCCTGCCAACCCCACTTAGCCTGGCTTGAGTCTCTCAGAATTATTAGTTGTCCAACAACTCCACAGTTAAGCATTTTGCAACCTCAGGTAGCTGAGCTCATCACAGGACTAAATAACAAGTAGTATTTAGAAGACACTAAATGTATGTTCAGTTGGATTTAATGAAGTTAAGTGGAAGAGAAACTAATGTCATTTCCTTCTGAAGGAAGGAGAAGAGGGGGGCATTCCCATTTTTTGAAGACCTACCATGTGACAAGAAGAAGGGTGTTGGCACAATGGATGTGTTATGGCAAAGAACAGCATCATATAAGGAGTTTGTGCTTGTCATCACCCCAAGCCTGGGCCACTTCCTTGGAGAATTACTATGACTCTAGCAATGTGATTCTTTAAGCCTATTGAGAAGAGAAGCAAAAGGGAGAGTTATGGAAGGAGGAAACTGGCCTTCATTGAGAACCTGCTATGTGGCCAGGACCCTGCTCAATAGTTCATATAGATTCACATCGTATTTTGTCAGCACCCTTCAAGTCAAGCTGTGAAGTGCAGTGGTACCCTGTTAGTACCCCCAGCCCAAGAGAGTATCGACGTCTGATAGAATAGTATTATTTTTCCAAGGAACTTCCATTTTGATAGTGACCAAAGGGTGATATAAAGGTTTGAGGCCACAAACTCTAACTGAACAATATCTATCTATCTATCTGTCTGTCTGTCTATCTATCTATCTATCTATCTATCTATCTATCTATCCATCTATCTATCTACTTACCTACTGAGGAGAGGGAGGGAGACAGAGAGAGATAGACAGAGGGAGTAGAGATAGAAGAGGGAGAGTGAGAACTCAGAGGATTGGAGTGTCCTCACTGTATGAGGCTTAACTCTGACTACCCACATTGTTGATCTTACTATCTTGCCCTGAGAATAATATTTGACAAGAAAATGTTATGGAGAAAAACCTGTAGTGTAGTATACTGAATCAAAGTAGATGCTGGTTATATGTACTTAACATTATCTTTCTTTATCACTCTGTCCACTTTTTTCCTTTTCTTTTCTACATTCCCAGTTGTTTTTATGAGGCTTATGCTGGCACAGTCTGTCAGAGTACTTCCCTTATCCTGCTCCAAAGTAAAACATCAATTTGGCCTTTGTTTTTCCCATTTGCACCCATGCCAATGCTGTTATTGGATGGTAGTCAGCCCACTTACGTGAGTATACACTGTATGAGTATCTAGTGTAGTATCTAGTATAGTAAATGTAGATTACATTTACAGAAGTATGTTTCAGTTTCAACTTCTTATAAGGCTATTAGCATTTAATTGCCTAAGTTGGTTATTTATATGATGATACTACCAGGACTCAAGAGAAGACCTCGATTAAGATTCCAGGCCTGAAAACTTTCAAAAATATTCTCCTGGACCTGGGGACTCTCCCTGTAGCAGGGATTTAGCCCCTCAGGGACTGCCTGTGCCATTGCCACATTACGGAGGGAGGGTAGGTGGACTGATTCTGATTCTGAGGCCTGGTGCATTTTTTCTATACCCATCCTCCTAGAATTACTTCTGAAGTCAAGCCTTGTCAGTTTGGGTAGGTTCCCCTTCCTATCACCCTTTTTATATTGTGCCAATCTTCTTCAGAGGATGAGAGTACCTTGTCAGATTGTGTTTTATTCTTCTTGGTCTCCTCAGCACCTAGTATAGGCTTGATCCAAGTAGGTATCCAGTAAAAGGAATGAATAAATGAAAGAGAGGAGAAATTACATGGATTTTTTTTGAAGTTTTGACTCACTCAATTTATTGTTAATGAATGAATTATCTAACATTTCAATGTACATGAGATAAACATGTTTATATTAGAATGACACCAATTCACTCTTTAATATAAAGCTTCAATTATGTTTAATCTATAAAACCATAAAAACCCTAGAAGAAAACCTAGGCAATACCATTCAGGACATAGGCATGGGCAAGGACTTCACATCTAAAACAACAAAAGCAATGGCAACAAAAGCCAAAATTGAGAAATGGGATCTAATTAAACTAAAGAGCTTTGACACAGCAAAATAAACTACCATCAGAGTGAACAGGCAACCTACAGAATGGGAGAAAATTTTTACAATCTACTCATCTGACAAAGGGCTAATATCCAGAATCTACAAAGAACTCAAACAAATTTACAAGAAAAAAACAACCCCATCAAAAAGTGGGCAAAGGATATGAACAGACACTTCTTAAAAGAAGACATTTATGCAGCCAACAGACATATGAAAAAATGCTCATCATCACTGGCCATCAGAGAAATGCAAATCAAAACCACAATGAGATATCATCTCACACAAGTTAGAATGGCGATCATTAAAAACTCAGGAAACAACAGGTGCTGGAGAGGATGTGGAGAAATAGGAATACTTTTACACTGTTGGTGGGACTGTAAACTAGTTCAACCATTGTGGAAGACAGTGTTGCGATTCCTCAGGGATCTAGAACTAGAAATACTGTTTGACCCAGCCATCCCGTTACTGAGTATATACCCAAAGGAATATAAATCATGCTGCTATAAAGACACATGCACACGTATGTTTATTGTGGCACTACTCACAATAGCAAAGACTTGGAACCAACCCAAATGTCCAACAATGATTGACTGGATTAAGAAAATGTGGCACATATACACCATGGAATACTATGCAGCCATAAAAATTGATGAGTTCATGTCCTTTGTAGGGACATGGATGAAGCTGGAAACCATCATTCTCAGCAAACTATCACAAAGACAAAAAACCAAACACCGCATGTTCTCACTCATAGGTGGGAATTGAACAATGAGAACACTTGGACACAGGAAGGGGAACATCACACACCGGGGCCTTTTGTGGGGTGTTTGATGTTCCCCTTCCTGTTCCCCTGGGGAGGGGGGAGGGATAGCATTAGGAGATATACCTAATGTAAATGACAAGTTAATAGGTGCAGCACACCAACACGGCACATGTATACATATGTAACAAACCTGCACGTTGTGCACATGTACCCTAGAACTTAAAGTATAATAAAAAAAATTACATGGATTTTTAAAGAATAAAAAACAAGACAATCTTTACCAATCTCTGCTTAGACACATCCAGATAAGGGTTCTCGATAGCTCCATAAGTCAACTCTTTCATTTTATAATTGTTATAATGTTCCTCATTTGGAGCAAATATGGATACTCCATAATTGGCACCATTTTCCTCCTTGTTTACCCATTTGATAGACTAGAGATGTGGACGCCTCTTATATGCTTATAGACATGAAGCTCCCAATTCGGTTTACCTTCTTTTGCAAGCTAGACATCAACCTTTCCTCGTAGGATGTGATTTTCAGACCCTTTATCGTTCCTTGTCCCGCTTTTCTGATTTATCACATTCTCTACTTAAAATGTAGTACCCGACCCTGAATACAGTTCTTAGACATGGCCTGACCAGTGACCTGGGTATTCTTATTGTCTACATTTGTCTGCCATCCTGCTACCTACTGCACTGTCAAGGAACTCATTTTAGCCAAATGAACTTCCTTCCTTCTTCGATTATGCTTCTACTCTGAATCCCTTCGTAACTTTTCTACTGTGAGAAACTAGTTAGAAGAAAACTTGAGCACACCATTTCACCTATGAAAGACAGGTTCAAGAGGTTTCAGCAGGTAGCCAGTTCCTCCTTGTATTCTCTCTCAGGGCTCCATCCTATTGGTCTTCTCTGCCTAAAGTCAATGATGCTTCCTAAAAAAAAATAATCTCCTAACCCCAAATGCATAGCTCATAATAGTGCCATCCCTTTGATAAATGAAAATAAGAGATGAAGAAAGCATTGGTCATCTTTTTATGCTTTTGGATCAGATGCTTATCATCCTTGTCCCATCCCACTATGTCTTATGCTGTCCTGACCCTGACAGTGGGGGGAAGGGGGGGGGGGAAGAAAAAAAAAGAAAACAGGTAAGATTGCTTTACTCTGCCCAATCTTTTTAGTATTTCCTTATTCCTCCCCACCTGGAGCCATGTGATGTTTTCTATTCCCGAGATGAGATTTGCAAGAGGAGTGGAATCAGGCACCATACATGGTAGTCTAGAGATCATGCCTGGCATTCATCTGAGCATTTAATGCCTATTAACATAGTACAAGATTATGTTGGTTTTTGGCCTACTTTTTTACAACGTAGGTTCTTACTGAGCTGTGGCCATGAAAAACCTCCTTTCTATGCTTGTGCAAATTGCCATTTGAGGCACAAATTCAGGTTAAAATTTTATCTTTTTGCCTAACATACCTTGTTAATAATTAAAAAGTCTTGGATTTTTCTCTGGCAATAATATGGATCTAATTTGTAAACAAAGTTTTAATTTTTTATTTAATATGAGTTGATGAAATGTGTGTACAGTCAGCCTTCTATATCTGTGGGTTCTGCATCCATGGAGTCAATCAACCATAGATCTAAAATATTTAAAAAATATTGTGTCTGTACTGAAAATGTACAGACTTTTTTCCTTGTCATCATTCCCTAAACAATATAGTGTAACTATTTACATGGCATTTACACTGTATTAGGTTTTTTTTTTCATAATCTAGACATGACTTAAACAGAAGAATGTGCATAGGTTATATGCAAATATGATACCTTTTTATATCAGAGACTTGAGCATTAGAGGTTTTGGTATTGGGAGAGAGGTCTTGAAACCAAAATCCTGTGAATTTTGAGGAATAACTGTACTTAAAAACTCCAACCCATTTTCTTCTATTTGTTTATACTTTGTTAACAATTTCTAGTGTTATTGCTTTGTGATCACATTGTATACAGTGTAACTTATTTTTTAGATGTTTTGTTTTCTTTGTGTGTAGGATAATATTTTTGTAAGTTGTACATGAGTGCTTAAAAAAAAAGATGTACTTTTTTTGCTACAGAGTTTGCTATATTTATCTATTTACACTTATTAATGAGCTTATTCAGATCTGTATCTTTAGTTTCTTGTTTTCTTATTTGAATTATCAACGACTGAGTGGTAAATTCTGTTATTCCAATAACATTATGTTTCTGCTGAGTTCTCCTTGAATTTCTAAGTTTTTGATTTATGTATTTTGATCTTGACTGTTCAACTCATGGTTTTGTAACCATTATATATTTCCTGTAGATTGTTTTCTCATTAATTGATACACGGTGTGTTTCTTGGTCTTCTTACTGCTTCTATTGTTATTTTTGTCTTGAATTCTGATATTTCTTACTCCAGTATTCCAAATGTTATTTGCCCTTAACTGATGCTTTATTTTTTTAACTATCCTCTCACCTTAAATAGATTGTATTTTGATGGCTGTCTTCCATAAAGTTGGATTTAATTTTTTTAGTCAACTTGAAGTTATTATTTCTAATACAAATGTTTAAACAATTTACATTTTCTGTCATAATTAAAGTACATTTGTTTTATTTCTGCCACCATTTTAGGTTACCTGTTTTATACAGGTCTTGCTGTTTCTTTTCTTTTGAAAAGGTGGATAAGTTTGGCTAAATGAAAAATGTCTTTATAATGTCAAAAATCAAAGCATTTAAAAAAATAAAAAGTGATCAACTGGGGAAAATATTTACAATATATGTACTGGCGAAAGAGTCACACTCTTAATCTGTTAGGAGCTCTTTCAAATAATTTGAAATTATAGATAAAGGCCAATTGAATTATGGGGAAAGTTTACGAACAGACAACCCTTTAACAAGGAAAAACAAATGTTCGATAAATATTTTAAAATACTCAAACTCACAGGTCAGAAAGGAAGCATAAATCAAAGTAATGAATCGTTAGCATTTTGAACTTATCACAGTGGTAGCCTTCTTTTTGATAATATCTGGAGTTTGTGGATTTGAGTTAAATGAACAGTTTCCTAAGCAAAATGGATACATAGAAGGATAATGTATCAAAAGCCATGATTATATGCACATTCTGTTTTCTCCAGAAAATTCACAAATTTATCATAAAAAACAAAATTATTTTAGAAATATACACAAACGTGTACAATGATGCTAATCACTGATATTTAAAATGATAAAATATTAATGACAAAAGTAAAATTTGGTTAAATTATAATAAATTCATACGATGCAACCATGTTTCAGAGGAACATTGAGCAGCCATAAAATATTTGGTGTGAATGACATGTTAAAAATGTTTGTGTATAATACAAAACCAATTTGTGGTAGTGCCTGCATTTGTATATACATATATACACATGCACTTTGAAATTGAAAAAAAAATGAGACAGGCTGGAAGGATATAAACCCATTGTTATCGTTGGAATTTGGGGTGATTTTCATTTTTTCTTATAATTTTTAAGATTTTTCAAATTCTCAAGAAAGAATATATATTCTTTGTAGTCATAAACGAAAGAATACATTTCTAAAAATTGAGCAGGGTCATGGCAAAGCACTAGTAACTGACTATTAGACTGATACATAACAACTTTCAGTGTGGTGCTTACACAGCCATGAGCCACCCTGACTCCACAAATCATGCTCACAGGATAATCAAGAGAGAGTTTGTGGAATTCCTCTCAGAATCAACTTCATTTTGATTACCAGGAACCAACTGAGGCCATTTTAGCTTAAGACTGGTTGTCGGTATTCATAAATTTCTTTTTAAATAACAATCTCTTTTAATATATGGGGTCTCCAACATAATAATAATAGCCATAATTCATTTAAACCTCTACTATGTGCTTTATATACATTATCTCATGTAATTCTCACAACCATCTCCTGTCTTTTGGTCTTGTGCTCTTTCCACTGTATCCATGTAATCAACTACAAGATTGTTTTGAATGTTTATGTTATGCCTCTTAGAAAACATCAAAATATCTTGTGGGGATATGAAATTCATTTCCTATCAAATGAGATCTTTACCCAGGTTTTGCCACAGAAGCCATCCAGGCCTTTATTTACATGGCTGATGCAAGTTCAGAAACAGCCTTATGGTCACCATGGGCAAGGGCATCTGTGGCAAGAGAAGTGGCACTTTTGGTGGGATATCAGGTGGGGCTATCAGCCTTTCCTAGCCAAGGCTAGGAAACTGTGCCCCAAATGAGTAATTTCTTTTCTATCCCAAGATTTCTTTCTCCAGTCACATTAAGAGGGTTAACAGTCCTAGTTTTCATGATAAACCCTCCTTGTAATAGATTAAGTCTTCAGTCCTCTAGCTGCTGCTTGGACAATAACTTTGAGGAACTGAGGGACTCAGGGATAGTAAAAGAGTTATTGGCAGGCCCAAACTGAATCCTTTCTCTACCCTTACTCCCTGTCTGGTCTTGGCATAATACATGTTTCTGGGCCTAACTTTTTTTCCTTCAATAAAATTGGAACCTGCTTCAAAGGTTGTTGTGAGGATGAAATGAGATGCCATCTGTCAAGTGTGAGGTATTGGCATGGACTCTGCTTTCTGCCTGCTGTTGTTTGCTATTGTTAGCCAGACCACTCTAGGCATTGTCATACTGGCTCTGTCCCCTAGGCACTTTTATCGCTCCACATCCAGTCTTGTTGAGATACTCCCCTCTCTAATGGCCTGTGTCCAAATTCCCAAGATACAAGTAGCCAGTGGATATATTGTAAATATTGAGTATTTAGTCTTCAAAACAAAAACGAATACATACAGTGATACTGATACATAAGACCTGAGAGAGTCAAGCAGTCAATGACTTGTTGTTATGTTAACAGCATGTATTAGTTGTTCACCACCTTAAGGAGCAAAGATCAGAGAACTGGAGAGTGAAAATAAAGGATATGAATATTTTAATTAGGGATGGGAGGGAGTTCCAGTCACACATTCATGAATTTATTCTACAGCTATTCACTGAGAAACCACTTTAAGCTAAGCACAATAGGGAAATAGGGCCGGGTGCAGTGGCTCATGCCTGTAATCCCAGCACTTTGGGAGGCCAAGGTGGGTGGATCACCTGAGGTCAGGAGTTCGAGACCAGCCTGGCCAACATGGTGAAACCCCGTCTCTACTAAAAATATAAAATTAGCCAGGCATGGTGGTGCATACCTGTAATCCCAGCTACTTGGGAGGCTGAGGCAGAAGAATTGCTTGAACCCAGGAGACGGAGGTTGCAATGAGTCAAGATCATGTTATTGCACTCCAGCCTAGGTGACAAGAGTGCAAGTCGGTCTCAAAAAAAAAAAAAAAAAAGAAATGGGAAACTCTGTGTCCTTAAGGATTGTACAATCTAATAGAGAATCATGGTGAGGAGGCCACACAGGTAATTATAATTCAAGGCAATCTGCGGTGCTGCAGGAGGAGATGAGCTAGAAGTGCTGCTGTATTTCAGGGCTTGGGCCAGCTGAAGGTGCCAGGCATCTGCAAGACATCAGGGTGCCTCAGGGGAAAGTAGGGTGGAGGCAATAAAGATCGTGTCTGCCAACTCCACGATTTTGCCTCTCACTGGCTTTACTGCTCACATATGCAAATCTGAGCCTCAGGATCTGGATATAAACTCACTCAGCTCTTCTGCAGCATGCCACTACTGCTAACAGGGCCAACAGTGTCTGCAGAGTGGACTAAAATATACAGTGTGATCTTGAAACACAAAAGTAGAACTACAATGGTGAAGCTGCATAGTACAGTTCACAGTGCACATACCTGCAGGCCCCACTGATCCCTTGCTAGTAGATCTTGAGCAAATTATTTTATTTCTTTATGATTTGCTTGCCTCTTTGCTTTCATGGGGATAATACACATTTTAAAGTTTGTTGCGGGGATTAAATGAGATACTTCAGTTTGTTCCTAGCTCATATTAAACCTACTATTGTTAATTTCCTTCCTATGTTTTCACCAACCTCACGTGTGCCTTCTCTTAACTTGAATGAAAGTTCCTTGGTGTTCAATGTGGTCAAAGGCAATTCCAATCTCTTTCATTTCCTGCTGTTTATTATTTTGAAACCACAAGATTGTCTAGGGCAGACCAGCATGTTTCCATGTACCACATTTGGGCAGTTGATAAACTTTGATTAGTAATTTGGTGTCATGATTTTTTTAGAATTTAAAAAATTCAAAGGGGTTATTTTTAACAAGCAAATAGGGTTTAGGTTGTTTTAAATTTTTCTCCCTTTCATTAAAAATAATACCACTTAGATACAATTTAATTTTTTTCTGAAAATTCTCAAGCCAATTTAACTTTATTTATTAAGTGATAACAAAGAAGTGTTTTGAATAATGAAAATGTTAAATGTTTAATCTTCAAAAAGAATAAACAAAGACATGAGAGAAAAAGGTGGGAGTTTCCAAGTTGCCAAAACCAGAGAGCTCCACTTTTTAAAAAATAGAAAGTGGCTATTCCGTATTATTTGTCAGAGTGAATGCCAAAAAGGAATCATCAATTTATCTGTTTTCTAAAAATATATTTTTTAGTTATATTGTTTAGGACATATTTTATGTTTATTTATGAAAATTATAATGATTCAGGTGATGTTTTATGTGTGGATTTGAGTTTTTCATTACTTTTCAATGTTTTTTTTTTTTCAAATTATGGTGACTGAAAGGAGATAAAATTTATTTTTCTTAATCATTGTACTAATGATTACTTTTTGCTTTGTAATTTTGGTTCTTGGGATTTAGGGATTCCTAAATACGCTAAGGTATGAGATGAGCATTGCACATCTAGATTTTAGAGGTTTATCTAATGTTGAAGATAAACAGGACATGTTGGCATTGGGTGAAGTAATCATGACATCATTTATTGGGCTCTCTTTCCTTGGAAAATATTAACTTCTCTTCCTAAGGGAGAGGCATTCTTGGGTTAACATGGGAAGTAGGAAAAGCACCTTTGACTACTTGTGTTAAAATGTAGTAGTCAGAAAAGTATTGGCACAAAATCAAGTTGAAATATTAAGCTTAAATATTTTGTCATCCTATTTGTAAATGGAGTGAGACTGTTACATCGGATGAGACTATATTACAGTTCTTTCTACTTCCTAAGTACTTCTTACTTTCTACTTCCTTCTACTTAGATTGAAATCGTTGAAGTAGTGCATATTTGCAAAGACCCTACTGGATAAAAGTAGTTTGTGCTTCTGTTTTCAAAGAAAGGCAAGGTTGTAGAGTGATGGTTGTCCTCACGATAATTTGGAATGTGTCATGCTTCTTGCCTTGAGGATAATTTACTCAAAATTCTTGTTGGCTTTGGCAAAAATCATCTCAAATTTAAAATAACAGTCTGAGTTTATAGCAGATGATTTTAATATTTTATTCTGTAAAGTCAAACTATGTCATGGAACAAACCGATTGAATAATGGTTTGGAGGGCTTTATTAGCCACGGTAGTGTTTAGTAAATAGTTGTTAACTGGTCTGTGCTGGTGGCCAGTCAATGGAATTTGGAGTAAGATATCAGGACATCAGGCAGTGGAAGAGCAAAATTGAAAAACATCTCTTTTTATAGGCCAGAAGTGCTGAACATCTCCCGCTTTCTCCTGTTACAACCCTCTTTCGACAAGTCTGCTGAGCTGTAAACCAGTACCTCTCTGATAAAAGGCTTACATTCTTGAGAGTTTCCTACAGATTTTGTATTGTAGTCATCCCCTGTCTGCTTTTTTTATGGCATGAGATTTTTAGCTGCTGTGGAAAATGTTAGAAATACAACAGTGACAACATGAATTTCAAAATGCTGTGGAGTCTGGCTCTAAATGAGTTTGGGATATACAAAACTATTTCCTGGTTCTATTTCCATTTCCATTCTCTTGATTTTACTGAAATAGAGCCACTGATTGAGAGACTGGCTGGAAGTATTTAAAAGCTTGATAGTCCAGAGCAAATTTCTGTTCCTTGTGTTAGGATGTTTGAGGAATATAAGTGGGATGTGGGATATGGTACCTTGACAATGTTAATAAATATTTTCATATGACAGCTAAGGAGAGATGTGTTTCAGCTACTGAAAATATGTTAAACTCTGCATGTCTGTATTTACTGAATGCTTACTATGTGCAAGGAAGCCATGATTCTGCCCTCATGAAGCTTTCATTTCAGCAGCATCTTCATTGTAGCTGTAAGACAGTTGCATTCTCAGTCCTTCCACAAAGCTTAGCAGTGGGTATTGGAGCTCTAAGTGCCAATAGCAGGACTAAAACATACAGAATGAGAAAGAAAAATGGAGAGAATGAGAATAATAGAAGCAGGGAAAAGTGGATTAAAAAAATACGTGCTTAGTGAGTAGAGGTGGGGATGGGAAGAAGGCACCAGTGATTGTGTTAGAAGTCACTCAGTGGTCCAGCCAACCTACCCCTGAAGTATGTGTTGTCCATTGTTAAAACATTTTACACACCATTTCAAAGGTAAGAAACTGCCCCCACCTAACCTGTCAAGGAGCTGATATTAAAGTCAGACTCAGTCGCATTGCTACGAGAAAGCGGAATTTCTGATTGCCAGTGCAGACTATATTTTCCCCTTTTATGGTTTATTATAAAAACATTCATGCTGACCTGTAAGTTGATAAGTGCCAATTGGAGCCAACTTACTTGAGAGGAAAGTTATTTATGATTGCAATTTGGCTGTAAGGCTTCTTCGGTATTGCTGCTATCCTGTATCAAGAATTAAAATTAGCAGCACCAAAAATTGCATTTTCTCACCTGTGTAAAAAGATTATTTAGTAGCTTCAATGGATCACAATAGATACTTGTCCTCAGGCCACATCCAAATAGCTGTGGCTGAGCTTTTCCCTAATCATACACTGTCTTTGCTGCATAATTTATCCTCTCATTAAGCACATTTCTTGACAAATTTTCCCTTTTCTTCAAAAAGCCTCTTCTAGTCTGTCTGGGTTATGTATTGACCTATTTATTTTGTGTGTGGGTGGTTTTTGTGACTCCTCCAGGCCCCGAAATTTAATGGCTGAGTCTAAATTTTTAGCTCTGAGTGAAATGGAAATCCTTACCAAAATGCATATGCACCTGTTTCATTTCCAAAGTCTTCCTGAATTTGCATATCTGTGGTTGTTTAGCTCAGAAGATCAGATGGTGCTAATGAGGCCTGGGTTATGGCTTTGATGCTTAGGTGCCAGTTAGTACACATGTCCTGCAGACCAGGCTGAACTCTGAACCCAGAGGTACTCTGCACATGCATAGCCATGGTACTGGAGGGCCAGAAGGAGAAATGAAGGTGAATCTGAATAAATCTGTCATCATCAAAAGAACTCAGCTGTAAGCTTTCTTGATGAGGTGTCTCTTCTCGGTAGCCACTTCTTTGCATATGAAAGCAAGTGCATAAATATGCGGTGGATGCATCTGCAAATTTTCAAAGTGAGAACTTGACAGGTTTGGGCTAGTCCCAAAAAGCAGACTAGGCAAAGTTACCATGGTGCCAGTTCATGGGGTGGAGTTTCCATAAGAGTTAGGCTGCCACTGCTGCTCAATTTCCTGCCTCTTCAGCCATGGAAAAAAACCCAGAATCTGCAGTTTTCTTCACAAACCATTGTATAAATGACTCTGTGTGCTCAGGGGTAGTAACACCCCATAAACTATGCTGAAGGATCTTCTCTGGTCTTGGAGAAACCAATTGTTTAGCCAACCTCATGGATTGAACACACACCTATGGCCAGTTACCACATGGAAAGAAAATAAACAAATGGGGACATTCTTGCCTTTTAGGAGGTTAGGGAAAAGGACTTCAAAATGTATGAAAAAGATACAAGTGAACAACGGAAACATGAGAAAATATACTTATCTAAATATAATTGGACACAAGTAGCCAAGTGGCTTCGTCAAGGGACAGCTTCATGCGTGAAGTGATTCATAAACAGAGTTTGAAAGTAGAGCAAGATGTACCCAATACAGGACAGGAGGAAGGATATTCCAAAATAGAGGATTAAACATGTTTACCTGGTGGATTGCACAACAGCAGCACAAAGGGCAAGCTGTGGAACATGATGAGAAATGTATTCTACTAGTGTCATTGTCTATCATATCTTAAAAACCAGACAAACAAAAAATCTCTCCTCCAACTTATATCCCTGTTGTAGCTAGTGCTCTAACCTACTCCTGAGGACTGTGTACAAATATCCCAGTTCTCTTCCTTCTGGATGCACAGTAGCATTGTACTTCTCTGTCTTGTGTGGCCATGTGACTTGTCTTGACCAGTGAAATAAGAGTGAAATGGCAGGTCGTGCTTCCAGGTGAAAGCCTAGAAGGTTTTTTTTTTTTTTTTTTTTTTTTGCCAAGGCGAAGTACAGCAGTTCTCTCTTCTTGTTACAGCAATTGCAGATGCGTGTGCTGAGATGGAGCCTTCACTGGCCTGGGCCTCTGTGTGACTACCATAAGCAGAGTTCTGATGACCTGAATTGGACATGTAGCACAATGAAAAACAGGCCTTTGTTGTGGTCAGCCACTACAATCTGAGAGTTGTTCCTTCAGCCTAACTTAGTCTATCCTGGATGATACAAATGTTGTTGTCACATTTTTCTACATACCTTTCATTCACTCCTCAACTCCCTACACTCCAATTTCTGTCCCTACCACGCTAATTAAACTATTGTGGAAAGGTCGCAGTTGCCATACACAATGATGGTTTCTGGCTTTATCTTCCAGAGTGCCTTTGCTGCATTTAACACTGTTGACCACTTTGTTCTTAAGACTCCTTTTTCCCTTGGCTTCCATGACATCACTGTTTGGTTTCACGTTCTAGATTGTTGATCTTGTGTTTTACATATAAAATCCAAATAACCTCATTTACTCTCCCTGTTTTTTAACTAATATGTGTGTGACTAACATGCTGATGAATAAGTGTGTACTTCCTAATCCAGTACAGGCTGTATGTATAACATAGAATCATAAAGCCAAAGGTCATTCAAAAGCAACATGTCCACAATTAAGATTATCTCTGTTCTCAGGCCTGATTATTCTTTAAAGTAATAAAATCATTAACTGGGAATCTTATTTGATTTCTCCTTTCCCTCAGTGATAGCTCCCCAAAGCAGTGTGTGATCAGAAACTACAATGCTGTTTATAAATCCTATCTGCCCATATGTCCATATCTTTCTTTCTTCCTTTTTTTTTTTTTTTTTTTTGGGATAGAGCCTTGCTCTGTCGGCCAGGCTGCCTCCTGTGTTCAAGCGATTCTCCTGCTTCAGCCTCCTGAGTAGCTGGGACTGCAGTCATGCACCATCATGTCCAGCTAATTTTTTGTATTTTTATTAGAGACGAGGTTTCACCATCTTAGCCAGGATGGTCTCGATCTACTGACCTCATGATCTGCCCACCTTGGCCTCTCAAGGTGTTGGGATTACAGGCGTGAGCCATTGCGCCCCACCCTGCCCGTATCTTTCTTTCCACACTTTTATCCCTATAGAATTCAAGTACTCATTGTTGATTTTCCAGCTTCCTATAATACCCTCTGTATTGGTCTTCCTATATCAATCCATTCTGCATGGGACTTTTGGAAAAATCTTTCTATAATACAGAAATTGTCATGTTTCTGTCCTCTTAAAACCTTTCATGTAAATGTATTACATTTGAGTTAAAATCCAAACTCTTTGTAGGGCTTTTAATAAGCTGTCCCATACATACCAGTCTGGTCTCATTATTGCCATGCATGCCTTACACCCCAGCCAAGCTGCTCTTGTTTCAGGGTTTTTTTTTTTTCTTAACTCTTATTTTAGTTCAGGTACGCATGTGCAGGTTTGTCATATAGGTAAATTGTGTGTCACAGGGGTTTGATGTTCAAATCATTTCATCACACAGGCGATAAGCACAGTACCAAATAGGTAGTTTTTGATTCTCCCTCCCTCCACACTCACGCAGGCCCTGGTGTCTGTCGTTTCCTTCTTTATGCCCATGTGTACTCAATGTTTGGCTCCCACTTATAAGTGAGAACATACAGTATTTGGTTTTCTGTTCCTGTGTTAGCTCACTTAAGATAATGGCCTCCAGCTCCACCCATGTTGTTGCAAAAAACACGATCTTGTTCTTTTTTATGGCTGTGTGGTATTCCATGGTATATGAGTACCACATTTTCTTTATTCAGTTTACCGTTGATAACTGATTCCATGTCTTTGCATTTAGGTTGATTACACATCTTTCCTATTGTGGATAATGCTGTGATGAACATATAGCATATGTCTTTATGGTAGAACAGTTTATATTTTCTTGGGTATATATTCAGCAATAGGATTGTTGAGTTGAATGGTAATTTTGTTTTAAGTTCTTTGAGAAATAGCCAGACTGCTTTCCACAATGACTGCACTAATTTACATTCTCACTAGCAGCACGTAAGTGTTCCCTTTTCTCCACAACCACACCAGCATCTGTTATTTTTTGACTTTTTAGAAATAGCCATTCTGACTGGTGTGAGATGGTATCTCATTGAGATTTTGATTTGCATTTCCCTAATGATTAACGATGTGGAACTTTTTTTTTTTCATATGGTCTTTAGCCACATGTATGTCTTCTTTTGAAAAGTATCCTTTGCTCACTTTTTAATGGGGTTGTTTTTTGCTTGATAATTTAAGTTCCTTATAGAGTCTAAATTTTAGACCTTTGTCAGATGCATAGTTGCAAATATTTTCTCCCATTCTGTAGGTCGTCTGTTTACTCTGTTGATAGTTTCTTTGGCTGTGCAGAAGCTGTTTAGTTTAATTAGGTTCTATTTGTCGATTTTTGTTTTTGTTGCAATTGTTTTTGGCATCTTCTTCATAAAATCTTTGCCAGGTCCTATGTCTAGAATGGTATTTTCTAGGCTATCTTCCAGGGTTTTTATAGTTTTAGGTTTTAACTTAAGTCTCTAATCCATCGTCAGTTGGTTTTTGTATATAGTGTAAGGAAAGGGTTCAGTTTCAATCTTCTGCATATGGCTAGCCATTTATCTCAGCACAATTTATTGAATAGGGAGGCCTTTCCCTATTGCTTGTTTTCGTTGACTTTATCAAGTATCAGATGGTTGTAGGTGTGCAGCATTACTTCTGGGCTCTATTTTGTTCCATTGTTCTATGTGTCTTTGTACTTGTTTTTGCACAAGTACCATGCTGTTTTGGTTACTGTAGTCTTGTAGTATAGTTTGAAGTCAGGTAATGTGATGTCTCCAACTTTGTTCTTTGTGCTTAGGATTCCTTTGGCTATTTGGGCTCTCTTTTGGTTCTACATGGCATTTAGAATAGTTTTTTTCTAGTTATGTGAAAAATGATCTTGGTAATTTAATAGAAATAGCATTTTATTTGTAAATTGCTTCACCTCCACACCTTTGTACATTCTGTCCCCTGGACATAAACTTCCTTCACCTGGCTAATGTCCACTTTTTACTTAAAAATCAACCTAATCATCACCTCTTTCAGAGAGCCTTCCAAACTCTTCAGCACTGAGTTTTAAGGGTCTTGTCTCCATGGTCCCATAGCACTTATAACACTGATTGGTAGAAGGCCACTTATAGATCAGTTTCTCCTCCAAAACTGTGTGTTGCTCAACACTAAGCCCATCTTTCATCTCTATATTTTCCACACCTAGCAAATGTCTGACATGCATTAGGTATGCAATAAATGTTTGATGAATGAATTCACAGCTGATGGGTCTAGAAAGTCATGATCATGATTTTTACTTTTAATTAAAGAATCTGGGGAACCGTTGTAGACATTTAAGAAGGTGATGATACCCAAATGATACTTGCAGAGGGTAGTTAGAACAAAAGAGAGAAGACATCTTAAATTTCTCAGAGATGGTAAGAATGAGGAGCTAACGAATTAAAGCATTTGATTTCCCAGAATTCTATTTTTAACAATTCTCACTGTAACTTACTAGGTTTAAAATTAGTACAAAGTGTTGGAGGCAGAGTTATTAAATAGTTTGTAAATTCGACAGGAGAGAAGCCAACATATTTGAAAAGTTAATCATTTAAACTTCACATTTTAATCTTAACAAAGTCTTCCAAAATGTTTTTAAAAATATTAGTGTCACCTTAATTTTGACATTTATGAGAAGATCTAATATACTTAGCCTATATCTAAAAAGCCCTTGGTTTTCTTTCTGACTCTTTTTACTGAGAAGTCTAATCACTTCTCTCATTCTGTCAACTAACCTGAACTGTTGTCTTTTGCTTCTAACTTTTCTTTCTTTTTTCTTTTTTTGCCTCGCTGTAATGTCCAGAGGTTCTGGAAATGAAGAAAAGGTGATTTGTGAGGGGTTGGCTCTACTAGTACTATACAAGAGGGTGAGCAATAAGCCTCCCAATACTTTCTGTGCTCTTGAATCCTGTGTCCTCACAATTCTTCCAGGGCTGGCAGCTTGCTTATCTCCAGTGAAAGCTAGGCATAATTTCAAATGTCACATTGCAGAGAAATCACTCTCCTTGTCATCAGGAAAAGAAAGAGACACAGGAGAGGAGAGATGCCTTCTTATATCTGGAATCTGGCACTGTCAGCCATTTGGAACTTGCCTCCTAGGCTCTGTCTGGCCTTGGCTTGCAGAAGGCAGGGTTGCTGTGTAGCACAAGGAGGTGCAAAAACAAACATGGGCGCAAAACCAAATACTTGACTGCAAGAAATGTTCTGAAAGTTTTAAAGTGAAATACTACTTCCAGCTGTCACTTTATATAAGGATTAAGTTGAGCTCAAGGGGCTGCAGAAACTAAATAAGAAAGGGAATTATCCATTAAAGTACTGATGCAAGTTGCAAAAGATGCCTGGGTATTCTACAGAGAGATTACTTTTGATCTCTTTGTCTACTCTTCGATTTACTCCTTCGCCTTCTCACTTGTCTTTCTGTATATATCTGAAGATGTGCTATTGCTACTGCTAAGGTGGATGGCAGAGCTTCATATTCTTGCTTTCCTACAGTCAAGGGCATCCTGCCCACTGGTCTCCCTTTCTTTTTAGGAAATGTTGCCTCTTGTGGTGACTCCTCCTTAGCCTCATGGTCTGCATAGAACACTGTTGAAATGAACATTGTCATCCAATGATCAGAGTATAACACAGCAGTAGGCACATAGTAAGTGCGTACTAAGACTTTTTGGTTGATTGGCTGTGTTTAGACACATGCATTCCCACCATCGTTTTCTAACCTTTGATACCCATGATGCATAGTTCTTCATTACATTGTTCTGCCCAAGTTATACCCCATGTCCTTTTACTGGCTCAACACCTATAAACTCCTTAGATAACCCGTCATCATCCATGCTCATGATGACCATTTTTTGGCCACATGGATACAACTTCTCAGCCCCTGGGGTTCTTTCCATTGCTCAGTTTTGCTCCATTTCAATGCCAATGACAGCTCAGAAGTATGAAACAGAAACATAGAAGGTGATGTGGTCACTTTTTGCACACTCCCCTCTTTCATCCTATATCTAGCTTTCATTTTAACAGGGCAGTTACAGCCTGAAACTCATGTAGCTGTGTTATTGGCTTTCAGGTGAGTGAGTTGGGGAGGGTTTATTTTCAAACATTTTTATAGTATAAGAACCCAAGTCTTTCTCCCTATTTTCTAGCTTGCTAAAATAAGACCACATTTGAAATCTAGTGTCTCTCAAACCGACTGCCTTTATTAGATTTTGATTATTCCTGACTGCAGGAACTCTTGAAGCACAGGCTTCACTCATTACTGCTCTCAGAGAAACATTTCCACATGTGGAATTGGGAGCCATGCACTAGGGGGAAAATAGACTAATCTGTTCATAAACCACGAAGCCCTCCTAAAACTGTATAAACACTGGCAGAAGTATTTCTCAAAGTTCATGCCAGAAGGAAGGACACATTTTTGTGAAGTTTGTGAACCTTTATTCAAATTCAAAGCCCTCATTCAGTCTTAGGAATTCACACTGAGTAGTATGTCTCATCCCATGCCAGGTGACACTGAGAGTAATATTCTGCAAAATTCAATATTTTTGCTAATGGTGCTGTTACTTAGCTATTTGAAAATATTTTCTAATAAAGGAAAATGTCAAGGCACATCAAAAGTAATATTTTATGTCATTTTGTCATTAAAATCTTAAGCTGGATAATAAATTCACAACCTTTTTCGCCGTAACTTTCATCATTCTGATTTAGTCAATCATATTGTACAAGGGACAAATGTTATCCTTGTCCTTTTTTCTGTAGATAAAAATGCAGCAGGTGTTAATTTTAAGGATCTTCACATTTCATTTCAAATTTTGCCTTGTCAGTATTAAGTTTATTTTAAAAAATCTTTCAGGAAGAAACTATTAAAGGGCATTTTGATGTCAGAATATATAAGAAGGAAAAGTGCGGTTATATTTTTATCACAGAAAACTATCATAAATAACTTCACACTCATGATTCACAGATGTCCTCAATAAAGAGTTTGTAATTGTGAAAAAAAAAAAAGAAATGTGTGAAGGTGCTTTTATCATTTCCATTTTACAGTTGGAAGATCTGAGGCACAGAGAAATGCAAGTAATCAAGAATTATGGACAAAAATTATGGGTCAAAGGGAGCAGGTCTCTATTTTGAGAACATAGCATTCCTGTATTTTGATATTTTTATTGACTTTATAATAAAGTACTTATGAAAAAAAATTAATGGCTCTTACCCATTTGGATATTCTTCCTTTTTATACTTAATTATTTTGGCTTGCAAAATTTGTTGAAAAATTCCAACACAGTAATTCTCTAACTATGTTCCCTGGACCCCTGTGGGTCCCTGAGAAGTTTCCAGTCTGTCTTTGAGATTAAAACTATTTTCATAACAATACTAAGACATTATTTGCATTTTTCCCTTTGTTACATTTGCACTAATAGGGCAAAAGCTATGGTGAATGAAACTCCCATTGCCTTAGCACAAATCAAGGCAGTGGCTCCAAATTATACAAGTAGTCAGTTGTAGTCTTTGCCACCAAATACTCACAGAAAAAATACACTTCTGTCCACCACCATAAGCTTGAAAGCTTCCTAATACTTTAAGACTTTTCTATGAGATTGTGACCTCACAGATCTATGTGATTTTTGGATATTGTATAATTACAAATGTCAATGACCTTATAAAATGATCTTATAAAAATCATACATGGATAAAAGATTCACTTAAAAATACAAGATAGACCAATGGATTTTAGTGTAATAGAGTACAAAAAGTTTGTTGGTAATGTTTCAGATGCCTCATTGCAACTAATCTTTAAGAAATTACTACTTGTTGAGTTTGGGTAGAATGAATATCTATAATTCTCTAAAAAGATTATTAGAATAGTTTTCCCTTTTCTTTCTACATATCTGTGTGAGGCTAGATGTTCTTTACATAGTGTACTTCAACTAGAACAACACATCCTAACAGATGAAATGCAGATGTAGATATGAGAACCCAGTTCTCTTCTGTTAATCCAGACAATAAAGAGATGTGCAAACATATGACATAATGTCACCCTTTTTACTAAATCTTGTTTTGGTGACATTAGTTTTATAAAAATGTTTAATTTTCACCACAGTAAACATCAACAGACAAAATACACATAACAAAAGGTCTGTAGAGTCTGAGTAATTTTTAAGGGTATGAAAAGGTCCAGAACTGAAATGTCTACAAACTTCTGCTCTTAGAGAAACAAAGCCCCACCATAAGAGAGATGATTTTATCTGCTCCCTGAGCCTGTCAGAGAGAAGACATTTGTGTGGGATGTCAATGAAATGAAGGTAATAACAAGGCATAACAGGGTGGATCAGGACCAGGCAGAAAAATGGATTACATTGTCTATGTTTTATTTTAGTTTAGTAAGGAAACTTTTCCTAAAGTGATTTTTAAAGTAATAGTACTAGCTTGTTCTCTCTCTAAAGACATTTTGTTTTTATAAAATTACAGCCTGGAAAACACACTATGTGTTTAGTCTGAGTAGGTAGCCTGAGTTGTTTGTTAAATACCAGATCTCAGATTTGTGGCTGTTCCTCAAAAATAACTACACAACACCAGCAATTAAATTTATGTATCATTTTGATTATTTATACTTTGGCAAATCAAAGGAGATAAATAATGGTGTGCAGGTGAGTACTTCAATCAGCACTTCATCGACAAGCCCCTTAGATTCCCTCCATTATGAAGCTGGACACACCACATAATCTTCCCATTAAACAGTCTAGAGGGAGCCATCTCCACGCTGGCTTTCATCCCAACAACTTCCCATTTCTGGAGTTGGCTGTTCCTAAACCACAAACATGCCCTTTGAACTATGTAAGGCAGGGATGTTTAGTCTCAACCGTTTTTACATTTCTCCTTCCTTTTCCGTAGGATATTGTTGATCTATCAGAATTAGGGTTTCTTTAGCCCTGCCTCTCCAAGTTCTACAATATTGGACACAAATGTAATATTGCACTGACTTAAGCAAGCAGTTGATGGCCTTGCTAGGGAAGATTACAGAATAGGTGGGTTCTCTTTCCTTCCCAGGTGCCACTGCTCCAGCTGCTTCAACTTTTCTGCATGTGACTAATATGCCTTTAATTTGGTCTTGCTGAATGAAGGTGCTGGGGAACTTCTGACTTGCCTCAGCCCATGGTCTTCAGTGACAGGGAACTAACTGTATGTTAGGTGGGAGAGTGAGCTAAATCACTTCTAAGATCTCTTCTCACATTTAACATTTGGTGGCTCTTAGATTTACTTTGCCCATTAAATGAAAAACAGCCACATGGTTGGGGGGAGCATCTACAGCAGCGGGGTGTGTATATGACTATAATTGATCTCAGCCTCCTTGTCTGGAAGAAATACTGAAGTGGGGCAAGCAAGCTCAGCTTCCACCTCATGACATGCCACCTCATAATATTAAACCAGACTGCTGCCTGTCATACCTAAAAATGAAAATATACATTTTATTTTGAAGCAGCCGCTATGAGAACAGTCAGGCACGGTGGAGACCTCCTGTGTAATTGGTTTCAACTAATGGCGATGATCTAGTGAGACTTGGAAGCTGTGAATCAAACCAAGAAATAATTTAGGTTCCTGAAAGGAGTTAGATTACAACTTAAAAAAATAGTGGCTTTTAATTTGTCTACAGAATTTGTCATCAATAGCAGTAAAAATCCCCTTGATTTATTGAAAAATCAATGTTTATTTATTGTTGTTTAAATATTGTTTGTATGTTGAATCTCACTGGAAATTCTATTCAATTAGGAATGGCTGAGGCTGCCTGGGGCTCTGTATTGAGAAGGGTCTGAGGCTCAGTCTGGATCTGAGGGAGAGAACGTCATGGTTGGCTAATGATTGGATTCAATTCTCACAATAGTTTGTGCGGATTATTATCATTATTCCTCTTTTATTCATGAGCTGAGTGCAGAGAGGTTAAATAACTTTCCAGAAATACATGGTGCAACTGTGATTCAAATACTAAGTTCCTCTGAGGAACTATTAGTCACTGTAATACCATGGACATTTCTCAGGTACCTTCAATTTTCTCATTTTTGAAAAGCTTTGGACTGCATTTCTTTCTTGACAATCTTTCAGCCTAAATGTACTTTGGTCTCTGAACAGTTCAATTAAACACCTCATATCCTGGCAATCTTGCCCTCCTTTCAACCCCTGGAATATTTATTATCATTTGGCCATTCGATGCTATTCTGGGAACCACAATGCTTGTATGCTTTTTTGTGTTTAGATCCTGTTTCTGCAAGTACATGGGACATGCTTTAAAAGGAAGGATGCGGCCAGGCGCAGTGGCTCACGCCTGTGGTCCCAGCACTTTGGGAGGCTGAGGCAGGTGGATCATGAGGTTTGGAGTTCAAGACCAGTCTGGCCAAGGTGGTGAAACCCTGTCTCTACTAAAAATACAAAAATTAGCCTCGTGTGGTGGCAGGCTCCTGTAATCCCAGCTACTTGGGAGGCTGAGGCAGAGAATTGCTTGAACCCAGGAGGCAGAGGTTGCAGTGAGGCTGAGATCATGCCAGTGCACTCCAGCCTGAGTGAGAGAGTGAGACTCCATCTCAAAAAAAAAAAAAAAGGAAAGATGAATCAGTGATCCCCTTCCCGCCCCACGCCCACCCCACCCCCCCCGTGACACTCCCGGCAGTGATGAGCATAGTATTTTGCATATGGTCAATGTTTAAAAATATTAGTTGGTTGGTTGATATGACCCAGGCCACCAAGCTATGAGATATTGTAATAGACTGAACCTAGTATTTGCCACAGAATGAGGGGCAACCAGATGCTGGTTTCTGAGTCAGTATTGCCTGAGGTATGTTTGACTTGGTGATCAGGAATGGCAAGTGCCCTCTACCCCACAGCTGATGCTCTCTAACCTTCTGGCCATTAAGAATGCCTGTTTATCTTCTTGCCTTCATCAACAGCAGCTGTTTATTTAGCAGCCTGACTTAAGACATTTCGTATATATACTCAATGAAGGCTTTCTTTCCCTATTATTTTTCTGTGGAGGGTAAAATACTGTCTTGTTTTTCCAGTTCTCCTCCTAAGTGTGATGATTTAGATGTTCCTGCTGTTAACTGGCAGCTTTTCCATTTCCTTCTAGCATGGAGTGCCCCAGACTTCTCCACAGAAGCCACTAATGAGCTTCTTGCCTTTCAAGCCCCTGATTCACTAATAACAGAATTTCAGCAATGTCTGAAGTTCGGGACCTTATCTTTTCTTCCTTTAGAAAACAAACAAGCAAAGAAAATATGTTACTTGCTGAAGCCACTGACTCAATCCTGTCTGTTTAAGGTTTTAAAACAGAGAATTTATTCAAGAATCTCAGCTTCTGCTTTGCAAATGAGTTGAAAGCTTAAGGATTTGACCCCAACTTTCAAAGTAAGTATACCTTGTCAAGTTTTTTTCCATCTCTTGCTGCCTACATTCAGTCTTTTTCAATGATACTTCATGCTTCTAAGTATGTTTCTGCCTTCTTCCTAATTAATATTGACCGAGTTCCCAAGTGTGTTGGGAACAATTCTAGGGACTGTGTGGATGGAACACAGAAATGAAAATGTTCCCGCCCTATCCCTTCTGCTTGACTTCTGGCTCTAAATGATGCCATTCATTCTATCCGCCTGTTGGCCCCACACGCAACTTTCTGTCATTCACACTATGCCAAGAGATCATCAATGCCCTTTTGTCCTGCGTCCCTCGGAGCCTTGCAAAGCACAGAGCACAGCAGAACTGTCAGCAGCACAAATGCCACTTCTGCCAAACCTGCTCTTACTGTGTCCTCTGATGAACCAGCAGCCTTTGCAGCTGTCTTCCCAGAGTGGGTTTATGAATATAAGGCCTGCCGTCTTTCCTCTCCAGTTCTGTCTGCCTCAGTACTAGTTAGAATGACTAAACCAGACAGAGTGCAAAGCCCATGTCTCCCAGTGGGTAACTCAGTCCACTGGTCTCTTCACATTCAGATTCTCTCATCTTACACCTCCAAGGACAACATGGTATAGTTTTGCTTTCCTTTTGATGTCTTGTCTTGTCTTTCTTTTTTCTTTTCTTTTTTTCCTTTTTTTTCTGCCCTTCTGTGTCAGGGCTCTCAAATGTGTGTTCCTGTACCTCAAAAATACATAGAGATGATTGCAAAGAAAAATAAATATACTTCTTCTTTCTCCAAACATGCGTAAGTCATCATTCCCGTGTTCATAAACACATGCTGTATCTGCCTCAGCATTCTTGCCAGACATGGATGATGTTTTACTTTCCCTTCTGAAAAAAATTCGAAATTTCATCTCTTGTGAAATTATCTTGGGCTTCTCTTCAGACTCAAGTCCAATGTGTGTGAAGTCATACAGATTAGAGAGCTCTGTTCCCAGAATCTGTGAGGTAACCATGAGCTTTTTCCAGCCCTCTGGATGCCTCCTCATCTTGTCAACTACGAGAAGTTAGAAGTGGTAGCTTTTCATATCATTACATTAATTATACAAGGTAGAGGCATATGCACACTTTCTTTAAAAAGACAGAAAATAGAGATTTTAATTATACAAGATAGAGGCATATGCACACTTTCTTTAAAAAGACAGAAAATAGAGATTATAATTCTTTCATGTTTGTGAGGTACTTATCACTACTCCATTTTACAGTTATAACTTTTTCTGTCTTCTAAATATTTTATTCCTGTATGTTGGAAACTTGGAAGTTTAAATTCACCCAGAATCCACTGATGGAGATTCATTCTTATCTGAGACTTCACACAGTAAACTTGTTTCTTTTTGTTAGTTTGTTCAGGAATTGTTTCCTTGCCTTTGTTTTTCTAAGAAATTATAGAAAGTTCTTTCCATTATGCTGAATACAATAGTCTTCAAAACTTCACAGCCACAAACATACAGCTTACTTATATCTTAGGTATCACTTAATATGCTGTGAAGAGATGAGAGCTTTCCTAAGGCCTTCCTGCTCTATGAACTTTGGTGAATTTACCAACAGGACCTCTGCTGTCTCCAATCCCATCACTAACCTGCCTTCAGCTGCGTTCTCAACTCATTCTTCAATACCTATTGAGAGCTTACTACCTTTCAGACCTATTCTAGGGACAAACAGAGAACTAAGACACGGCTCCTGCCCCAGTTAAACTTAAGTTCTGGGGGGAGGTAAGTGGTGGGAATGGGGAGAGGTGACATGTGCTCACTTAGTTATGATATAATGTGATGAATTCTCTAAGAGGAAAGAAATCAATTTTGTGAGACACCTCCTCCCCCATGAAAAAATTCCTAACTTGGCTAAGGGATATCTTCTAGAAAAAAAAAATTTTTTTTTGAGCTGGTTTTGAAGACTGGGTAACAGTGCTCCATACCCTGGAGAGGAGAAGACATTTCAGATAGGGAAGGTAACAGCATTCAAACCCTTAGTGGCCATAAATAGGCTAGGCTGGTTTAAAGAAAGTAAGACATTTGATATGGCTGGAGTATAAGATGTATGACTGGGGACTCTAAAATATTTACCTAGTTTCTTATTACCATTTAAATCATTATAGATTATCCTACTTTATGAAGGTAGAGGCACTGCTTGAAGACTGGTAAGAATGTATCTACCGTGCCTGTCACTGTTTTTTGCTTAGTAGCAACATTCTCAAAACAGTTAAGAAGCTCAGTTAACTGATGTTCCTTTTCTCAAGCACTGACTCTGGTTAATCTTCTCCCCAAGCTCTTTATCTTGGTGTAGATAACTTGAGGTCTTCCTCTTATTCGTCAGTTAAATGGCTGAGCAATCAGACTTGCAGTGTCTCCCACATTGCCGTATTGATACCAGCTTCTGGCCTCATTATCAGGAATCACTAGCTGCTAGTTTCCAGACACAGTTGGTGGTATGTCAGTTTTTAATATCAATTTAGAGATTTATATTTATCTGACTTCCAAAAAGAAAAGGTACTTGAAAAACTGACTATTGGTACTGACATGTATTAGATACCATGAGTCATATATTCTCTTTTTTAAATTTGAAAATTATACTTTTAAAAGTCATTTAATTTTCATTCAATGAGAGGTTGGAGCCTGGAGAGAAGTCTCATGGGGCTTATAAAAGGTTGAACCTCTCTACCTGGCTCCTCTACCTGCTCAGGTATAGGATGTATCTGGAGTCTTATTTGGGAGTGGGACACTAACAACTGCTATAAAAATTCATATTCCCTACTCTGGCAATGTGGACACTAAAGATTCAGTATGGCCATGTTGTTTGTTGTTTATGCCCTGCCTGACATTTCAAAAACCATGTGAGAAGTTGCTAGGGTAGAGGAATTACAGTCAGAAAGAAGAATAGGTGACAAAAAACAGAAAGAAGGTAAGGAAGAGGAAATAGGAGGATTGAAGAGAAGCAGGCAGGGTGGGGTGAGGACCTTGTTGTTCTCACTGAGTAGATCTAGACACAGGTGCCACGTTATTTAATACTAATATTAGCCAGGAGAAGACAGGTCTGAAGGTAGAAAGCCAGGGAGGAGTGGCGTTGAATTCTTTTCTGCTGAAAGTGGTGTGCAGTGGTGGGCTCTTGTGCAAATTTCCCTTGGGATTGTAGCCTTCTCTTTTATGAACTTCTCACTCCTGTTATTTCCAGTTCCGGACCTTCTGATCAGAGACTACTGGAATTTCCAGCTCTCTAGGCACTAATTTCAGGGGCTGAAACAGCAACCCCTCTGCAGCGCCTACCACAACCACTGCTGCCCTGCTGGGCTGTGGGGTTGTGCCAGCCCGGGCACTCTTGCCCAGGAAATAGAAGGTGGCATTTAAGTAGCACTTAGGACTATCCTAACCAATCCTAAAGACTCGGAGTCAGGCCAATTCTAAATTAAGCTTTCTTGGGCAAATGAATAAGGACTCAAGAAACCTCAGAGTGGAAACAAAAAAATATATGAAAATTCGTTAGCTCCAAACATATTTCTACTATCCTTCAGTTTTGACAGATATTAACATGATTCAATGTTTCTATAATTTATTTTTTGTTTTAGATATTTTCAGGGTTCAAGTTTTAAAATATATCTCAATCGAAACTCAGTACTATTTAAAATACCCAAATGATGATATTATAGAATTGAAAAAGATCTTTTTTTAAAAAAAATTTATAAGAAAACTGAAGCTCAGGAGAAGCAGGTGGCTTGATCAAAGTCTCACAGCTGGCATAGAGGGACAAAAAAGCAAACTTTCTGATGTCAGGTAAAGTGTGCTTTCCTTCATAAAACCACATCAAATTCATTTTCTGAAATACGTAACAAAAAGATGGAGCAATGGATTTATTTTTGTTTCATAGTATTCTTTAAAGTCCCTTATAAAGTGATTCTGGAGTGGCTACTTGCATTTTTTTTTTATGTTGTTCATCTAAAGGCTGAATTGCTTGGTGTCTTGGTGTCTCCCAGTGATCTCACCCAGAATCAGTGCCATGAAAGTAAGCTGGTAGAAATCTATGGCTAAGATGCTCTGTCTTGACCTCAGAGCAATTACTTTCCCTGAACAAAATGCACACTGAGGGATGCCAGTGCCTACTGTTCTGGAAGAGGGCAACATTTGTCTTAGGATTCTTACCCAGATTTTCACAATGCATTCTGAAACTCGGCACTAGGTCATTAGGCTGAAGCTCTGTACTGAAGCCAAGTGGCGTTTAAACCACCAGACTGAAAGCTTATGCACCATGGGCTGTAGCCATGTTCTCAAATGTGACTCAACTGTGGTTTGAGATGTGTCTGTATGGGGTACTGGAAAGAATGCTGGTTTGGGTTGGGCACACTAAATTTTGGTTCCAGCTCTGCCTCTAATCAGGTGGTCACAGTAAATCCTGTCAGCTCCCTGCAATTCAGTTACTCATCTGTGAAGTATCTCTGTCTTGCCTATATAGAGTGAGTTATTCCATCCAGCAAATGAGTTAACAGAAATGAAGAATATTTGTAAATGTAATGGGTTAAAGAAATGCAGATTACTATTATGTTGATACTAATATTTGGATAGTATTGAAACGGTTAAGCTATTGTTTGACCGTGTGTGGTCAAATGTCTCCTAACAGGCCTCGTATGCTCAAATACAAAGCTAAGGATTAAAGCCAAAGTCTGTATGACACACATTATGCTGTAGAGGAAGATATTCTGGTTTGTTCTGTGCCTTTCAAATTAAATATACTCAGTTCTGTGCATTGACGTAACAGACCAGGGAAGATGTGTCGATAAACTGTGGGCTGTGCAATGCTATTCACATTCTGTGTATTACTATTACAAAAAGTCTTTTCCTTTTGGACCCTTTCCCTGTACCAGACCTTCATTTCTAAGCAAGTTCCTTACATTACTTTTGAAAATTAAAGCTAAAGAAATAAGTTTTTCCTCTGGATTTTTTTTACAGTAATTTTGTTCCTTCATCTAGATGTTTCTGTCAAATATTACAAATAAATTCAATCATTAATTTAACAGATATTTATTTAAATCTGCTGGGCACCACCACTGCTCTAGAGATAGATCTGTGAACAAAACAGACAGTCTTCCAGCATTATCATGTTTCATATTTTTATGATATTTCTAGGTATCTCAATTTATATTATAGGATCTTCTATGTGTTCAAGACTAACAGTGACCAACCTCTGATGGTCAGTATTCTGAAATGTTTGTTTACTTTTGTTTCTTTCCTAGATCTCTGATCTGTCTAGCTCTACTCTGCCACTCTTCTTCCCTTAAAATCAGCTTTTGACCTTTATTCCAGGTCAAGCTATTACATAATTCATCTTTGGATGAAGGAAGTTTAAGATGGGCAGCTCCAATATAATTATTTATTTATGAGGATTCGTAAATGTTCATTCTGTCTAACTAATCTCCAGCCCCAGGACATGCTCAAGGCCTTAATCTTCCCAGGTCACTTTGCATTGCTGGATAGTTTTATAGGATTTGTTAACTTAGTCAATTGCACATTCAGGTTCCCTAAAATTAGTTGGGCCCTTGCCGAGCAGAGCAAAATCCATGTTCCTCTTTGTTGACAACATACTAGTCTCTCCAACTATCACTACTTAAAACTTTCAGTCCTTAGGATGTGCACTTCTCATATCAATTCAACCCCGATATTTGTCCTTGGTTAGTGATCTCTCTTTCAACCACTTCTCACTCCCTGTTTCCCATCTGACTCTTTTGCAAACCTTTTGCTACACGGAATCCAGAGGAATGTTTCTGAACCCGAAGTCCTGTTGTGGCAAGCTCTCTCTGATAATAAAGAGTTGAAAATCCTTAACTCAGTGTGATGGTTAATATTAAGTGTCAACTTGATTGGACTGAAGAATGCAAAGTATTGTTTTTGGGTATGTCTTCCAGGGTGTTGCTAGAGGAGATTAACATTTGAGTCAGTGGACTGGGAGAGGCAGACCCACCCTTAATCTGGGTGGGCGCCATCCCCTCAGCTGCCAGTGTGGCTAGAAAAAACAGGCAGAAGGTGGAATTAGCAGACTTGCTGAGTCTTCTAGGCTTCACCTTTTTCCCATGCTGGATGCTTCCTGCCCTTGAACATTAAACTCCAAGTTATTTGGCTTTTGGCCTCTTGAATTTACACTAGTGGTTTTGCCAGGGCCTCTCAAGCCTTCAGCCACATACTGAAGGCTACACTGTCGGCTTCTCTACTTTTGAAGTTTTGGGACTCAGACTCATCCACTACTGGCTTCCTTGCCCCTCAACTTGCAGACGGCCTGTCATGGGACTTTACCTTGTGATCATGTGAGTCAATTCTCCTTAATAAACTCCCTTTCATATATATATATCTTTCCTGTTACTTCTGTCCTTCTAGAGAACCCTAACACAGATTATGGTACTGAGAGTGGTTCTAGAGGAGCAGAATTTTAAGGATGAATTTCTTTAGTTGGTTTTGGGGTTTCTGGAGTTGGTTGCTTAATATGATTAGACCCCAAAATGCTAAGGACTCTATCTCTAATAGTATGGAGAACACTGAGAGTCCTTGGTGTGAACTGTTTAGAGAGTTATGCAAAATAAATGCATCTGATACTGCTGATTTACTGCTCATGAGGGACAAGGAGTTTAGTGTCTCTATACATAATACATTTGACCATATGTGGAGAACCAAGGAATATAATGAAGTTGGTTGGTTGTGCCTAAGTTTGCTGGACAAAGTGATGGAAGAAAAAGATGAGCCCAGGGATCCTAACTTCTTGCTCCAGACACACATACTAAGCCACAAGTCTTCAAAGATTGCCCTGAGTGAGACTCTAATCTCCTGTAGACAAAGAGCTGAAATTTCAGAAAATCAGACACAAGCTCTTATCATGTGAGTGGCTGAGCTGCAATGAAAGGGATACACTTAGTCTCACCAGGTGTCTACTGTTAAAGTGAGGACACTGATTGGAAAAGAATGGAACCCTGCAATTTGGAATGGGGATGTGTGGGAGGACCCTGATGAAGCTGGGGATACTGAGCTTGTAAACTCTGATGACCTTTTTTTGCCAGAGGATGCAGCCTCCCCACCCTCAGTGGTGGCAGCATCCCCTCCCCTGCCTAGGCTGCCCTTAGCATTTCCACCTTTGTCTGAGGAGATTAACCATGCACTGCCTGAGGCAACATTGATGACATCCCATGAGGCAGTTGCCAGGCAAGACAATGCTGATTCTCCTCAGGACCCACCCCCAATACCCCTGTTTGCTTCTAGACCTATAACTAGACTCAAGTCCCAGCAAGCCCTTAGAGGTAAGGTTCAGAGTATGACCCACAAGGAGGTGTGCTACACTCCAAAAGAACTATTTTAGTTTTCTAACTTATATAAGCAGAAATCTGGAGAACAGACATGGAAATGGATATTAAGGGTGTGGGATAATGGTGGAAAGAACAGAAAGTTGGATTAGGCTGAATTTATTGACAGTGAATAAGTCCGACGAGATCTGATGGCTTTATAAAGGGAAACCCCTTTCGCTTGGTTCTCATTTTCTCTTGCCTGCCACCATGTAAAACAAGCCTTCTGCCTTCCACCATGATTTTGAGGCCTCCCCAGCTATGTGGTACTATGAACCTATTCAACCTCTTTTTCTTTGTCAATTACCCAGTCTCAGTATGTCTTTATCAGCAGCGTGAAAATTGACTAATACATCCAGTTAAAGTAGGGCCTTATGGAGGTCAGGTAGTTAATGGAGTTTTAGCTCAGATCTAACTTACAGTGGGTCCTGTGGGTCCCTAAACTCATCCTGTGGTCATTTCCCTAGTACCAGAATGCATAATTGGCATAGCATTCTTAGAAATCCCCACATTGGATCCCTGACTGTTAGGGTGAGGGCTACTATGGTGGGAAAGGCCAAATGGAAGCCATTAGGGCTGCCTCTACCTAGAAAAATAGTAAATCAAAACCAGTATCATATCCCTGGAGGGATTGTGGAGATTAGTGCAACCAACGAGGACGTGAAAGACGCAGGGGTGGTGATTCTCACTATATCCCTGTTCAATTCTCCTATTTGGCCTATGCAGAAGACAGATGGATCTTGGAGAATAACAGTGGATTATCTTAAACTTAACCAAATGGTGACTCCAATTGCAGCTGCTGTACCAGATGTGGTTTCATTGCTGAAACATATTAACACATCTCCTGGCACTTGGTATGTAGCCATTTGCCATTGATTTGGCAAATACCTTTTTCTCCACTCCTGTCCATAAGGCCCACCAGAAGCAATTTGCCTTCAGCTGGCAAGGCCAGCAATATACCTTCACTGTCCTACCTCAGGGGTATATCAACTCTCCAGCTTTTTATCATAATCTCATTCACAGAGATCCTGATTGTTTGTCCCTTCCACAGTATATCACACCGGTCTATTAAATTGATAACATTATGCTGATTGGATCCAGTGAGCAAGAAGTAGCAAACACACTTGACTTATTGATGAGACTTTTGAGTGTCATGACATGGGAAATTAACTAAAATTCATGGACCTTCTACCTCAGTACAATTTCTAGGGGTCCGGTAGTTGTGGGGCTGGTTGAGATATTCTTTCTGAGGTGAAGGATAAGTTGCTGCATTTGGCCCCTCCTACAACCAAGAAAGAAGCACAATGCCTAGTGGGCCTATCTGGATTTTGGAGGCAACACATTCCTCATTTAGGTTTGTTATTCCAGCCCATTTATCGAGTAACCTGAAAGGCTGTCAGTTTTGAGTGGGGTCCAGAACAAGAGAAGGCTCTGCCACAGGTTCTGGCTGCTATGCAAGCTGCTCTGCCACTTGGACCATATTACCCAGCAGATCCAATGGGACTTGAGATGTCAGTGGCAGATAGGGATATTGTTTGGAGCCTTTGGCACGCCCCCATAGGTCACTGCAAAGGCCTCTTGGATTTTGGAGCAAGGCTCTGCCATCTTCTACAGATAACTACTCTGCTTTTGAGAGACAGCTCTTGGCCTGTTACTGGGTTTTGGTAGAAACTGAACATTTGACTATGACTCATCAAGTCACCATGTGACCTGAACCGCCTATCATGAACTGGGTGCTTTCTGACCCATCTAGCCATAAAGTGGGGCATGCACACTTCAGCAGCCTTCCATCATGAAATGGAAGTTATTTATACTTGATTGGGTTTGAGTAGCTCCTGAAGACACAAGTAAGTTACATGAGGAAGTGGCTCAAATGTCCATGGTCTCCACTCCTGCCACCCTGCCCTCTCTCCCCCAGCCTGCACTGATGGCCTCATTGGGAGTTTCCTAAGATCAGTTGACAGAGGAAGAGGAGACTAGGGCCTGGTTTACAGAAGGCCATTCATGATATGCAGGCACCACCCGAAAGTGGACAGCTACAGCACTACAGCCCCTTTCTAGGACATTCCTGAAGAACAAGTGGCCAAGGGAAATCTTCCCAGTGGGCAGAACTTCGAGCAGTGACTTTGCTTGGAAAGAGAAATGGCCAGATGTGTGATTATATACTAATTCATGAGCTGTAGCCAATGGTTTCACTGGCTGGTCAGGGACTTGGAAGAAACATGATTGGAAAATTGGTGACAAAGAAATTTGGGGAAGGGGGATGTGGATGGACCTCTCTGAGTGGTCAAAAACTGAAGATATTTGTATCCCATGTGAATGCTAACCAGAGGATGACCTTAACAGAGAAGGACTTTAATAATCAAGTGAATAGGATGATTCATCCTGTGAACACTGCTCAGCCTTTTTCCCCAGCCACCCGTGTCATTGCCTAATGGGCCCATGGACAAAGTGGCCATCGTGGCAGGGATGGAGGTTGCACATGGGCTTAGCAACATGGACTTCCACTCACCAAGGCTGACCTGGCTATGGCCGTTGCTGAGTGTTTAATTTGCCAGCAGTAGAGACCAACACTGAGCCCTTGATATGGCACCTTTTTTCGGGATGATCAGCCAGCTACTTGGTGGCAGGTTGATTATACTGGACCTCTTCCATTATGGAAAGGGCAGCAGTCTGTCCTCAGTGGAATAAACATTTACTCCCCATGTGAGTTTGCCTATCCTGCACTCAATGCTTCTGCGAAGACTACCATCTGTGGACTCACAAAATGCCTTATCCACCATCATGGTATTCCACACAGCATTGCCTCTGACAAAGCCATTCACTTTACAGCTAAAGAAGTACAGCAATGGGCTCATGCTCATGGAATTAACTGGTCTTACTATGTTTCCCATCATCCTGAAGCAGCTGGATTGATAGATGGGTGGAATGGCCTTTTGAAGTCACAATTACAACACCAAGTAGGTGACAGGGCTTTTCAGGGCTTTTCAGAAGGCTATGTATGCTCTAAATTAGGATCCAATATATGGTACTCTTTTTCCCATAGCCAGGATTCATGGGTTCAGGAATGAAGGGGTGGAAGTTGAAGTGGCACCACTCACCATCACCCCCAGTGACTCACTAGCAAAATTTTTGCTTTCTGTTACCCGACATTCTGCTGGCCTAGAGGTCTTAACTCCAGAGGGAGGAATGCTGTCACCAGGAGACACAACAATGATTCCACTAAACTGGAAGTTAAGATTGCCACCTTTGCAGCACTATTCACAATAGCAAAGTCTTGGAACCAACCCAAATGTCCAACAATGATAGACTGAATTAAGAAAATGTGGCACATATACACCATGGAATACTATGCAGCCATAAAAAAGGATGAGTTCATGTCCTTTGTAGGGACATGGATGAAGCTGGAAACCATCATTCTCAGCAAACTGTCACAAGGACAAAAAACCAAACACCACATGTTCTCACTCACAGGTGGGAATTGAACAATGAGAACACATGGACACAGGAAGGGGAACATCACACATCAGAGACTGTTGTGGGGTGGGGGGAGGGGGGAGGGATAGCACTGGGAGTTATACCTAATGCTAAATGATGAGTTGATGGGTGCAGCACACCAACATGGCACATGTATACATATGTAACAAACCTGCACATTGTGCACATGTACCCTAAAACTTAAAGTATAATAATAATAATAATAAATAAATAAATAAAAATTATTTAGGAAAAAAAAAAAAAAGATTGCCACCTGGCCATGTTGGGTTCCTCCTACTTCTAAATTAACAGGCTAAGAAGGGAGTTAGAGTGTTGGTTGGGGTGATTGACCTTAGACTATCAAGATGAAAGTCTACCACTCCACAATGGAGGTAAGGAAGAGTATGTGTGGAATGCAGGAGATCTTTTCGGGCATCTCTTAGTATTACCATGCCCTGTGATTAAGTCAGTGGGAAACTACAACAACCCAGTCATGCAGGGACTACAAACGGCCCAGACTCTTCAGGAATGAAGGTTTGGTTCACTCCACCAGGTGAAAAACCATGCCTGCTGAGGTGCTAGCTGAAGGCAAAGGGAATACAGGATGGGTAGTAGAAGAAGATAGTCGTCAATACCAGCTATGACCACGTGACCAGTTGCAGAAACGAGGACTGTAATTGTCATGAATATTTCCTCCTTATTTTGTTAAGAAAATGTTTGTGTATATATATATACTTGTACTAAGAAAATATCTTCATTTTATTTCCTTTCTTTTTCCTTTATCATGCAACATAAGATTTATTGACTCCATATCAGCATTAAGTGTTGTTAACTTTATGTAGTAACATTTAGGTTAAGGATTAGTGCACTTCTGGTTGTACAAAAGATAGCTGTATTATGTTAGGCATAATTATGACCTTATTATTGTCTTTATTTGGAGATCTATATGGGTTCAAGTTGACAAGGGGTGGATTTGTGATGGTTAGTATTAAATGTCAACTTGATTGGGTTGAAGGATTGATTGAATTGAAGTATTGTTTCTGGGTATGTCTGCCAGGGTGTTGCTAGAGGAGATTAACATTTGGGTCAGCGGACTGGGAGAGGAAGACCTACCCTTCATCTGGGTGGGCACCATTTCCTCAGCTGCCAGTGCAGCTAGTAAAAAACAGGCAGAAGGTAGAATTAGCAGACATTCTGAGTTTCTGGCCTTCATCTTTCTCCTGTGCTAGATGCTTCCTGACCTTGAATATCAGACTCCAGGTTCTTTGGTTTTTGGACTCTTGAACTTACACCAGTGTTTTTTCCAGGGACTCTCAGGCCTTCAGTCACAGACTGAAGGCTACAGTGTCAGCTTCCCTACTTTTGAGGTTTTGGGACTCCAGACTGATCCACTACTGGCTTCCTTGCCCCTCAACTTGCAAACTGCCTATCGTGGGACTTTACCTTGTGATCGTGTGAATCAATTCTCTTTAATAAAGTCCCTTTCATATATACATGTAACCTATTAGTTCTGTCCCTTCAGAGAACCCTAACTAATACGCTCAGTTCACAAGGCCTTCCACAATCTGACCTCTACTCATGTCCTGTCTCTCCACTCTGTCTTCTGATCACCTCCTTTCATGCCTTGGGTCTTTGAACATATTTTCCTGTTCCTGGATTACCTTTGTTCTCTCTTCCATCAACACCTCACTCAACTCACTCCAATTTATCCTCCAAGTCGGCCTTGGGCGTCACTTACTTCAGAAAAAAGCAATAGCAGCACACAACGTTAACAACTTTCCAGCCTTTCTGTGGGCTTTCATAGGGGACCCCCCCATCTATACATTCTATTCTAACTATCTGGTTGTCTGTTTCACAGTCTTAAGGTTTCTGAAGTTAAAGACCCTATCTATTTTGTTCCCTATTATATTTTTAGTATCCACTTCAGTGGCTGGCACTTAGTAGATATTCAATAGTTATTTATGAAATGAATGGATGCAATTTAGTTTCTTAGCACCCTCTTTTTTTTCAAGATTGACAATAGGCTTTAAATCAATGACACAGCCGATGCTTATTTTCTTCCACCTCTACCCAATAATTTTAACACGGTTGATTCTTCCTTTAAAATCTCTTTTTCTCCATTGATGTAGATGAAACTGCTCTTTATTGGTTTTCTCTTTGTTACCAATCTGTCTTCTGCTATGAATTCTTTTCATCTTTTATGTCCTCAATATGGGCACACTCTTTGTTGTGATTACAACAACCTTCTATGTTTAGATGACTCCCAAATTTCTTGTTCAACCCATAATAGTAACTTAAGTTCAAGCCCTTTCTCACTGAATATTTCTGTTGGGACCTTTTTCTCCTGGAACTTAATAGATCTGAATCTGTGCTTATCTTTTCTTTCCTCCAAACAGCTTTCTGTCAACATGGACCCACATATCCTCAATTATCTCGTGTCTGAACTTTACCATCAAAGCTCAGACCCCATGATTCCTTATCTGCCTTCCTTGAATATCTCATATCTACATGCCCTAGACATTTCTATATTTACATCTTTTTTCTGCCTTCCTAGAATACACTTTGCTTACTGTTCTGCTCATCTGAGTTCTACATTTCTCTCAAGGTTCATCTAATACTATCTTTTATTATAAACATTTCTAAGTTACACCAATCTTAAGAGAGAGTTACAGGAATGTCTCTCAAAAGATAGTACATATCATCTTTACTATATTGTTTGTAATTTAGCATACATTGCAAAAAATATATGTTATGTATTTGTTTCCCTTTTCGTTCTATGATCCAATTCAGAACTCAATACTGGGAAAGTAGATTAGAGTGATATTATAAAAGGTCTCGGCTGAGCATGGTGGCTCACACCTGTAATCTCAGCACTTTGGGAAGCCCAGGCGGGTGGATCATGGGATCAGGAGATCGAGACCATCTGGCTAACATGGTGAAACCCATCTCTAATAAAAATACAAAAAAAAAATTAGCGGGGCATGGTGGTGGGCCCCTGTATTCCCAGCTACTCGGGAGGCTGAGGAAGGAGAATGGCGTGAACCTGGGAGGCAGAGGTTGCAGTGAGCCAAGATCACACCACTGTACTCCAGCTTGGGCGACAGAGTGAGACTCCTTCTCAAAAAAAAAAAAAAAAAAGCCTCGAGTTCTAGGATAACATGTTTGTATTTGGATCAAAACTGTTTTAAAAATCTGAATCTAGTGGCAATGAGTCCATGGAGATGTGTGTGTGTGTGTGTGTGTGTGTGTGTGTGTGTGTGTGTGTGTGTGTGTGTGTGTGAAGGACAGGGAGCCTGGGTAGAAAAGGAAAATGGATACACAGAGGCCAGTTAGAAGACTTTATAGTGGCCTTATAGTACTCAACCAAAAAGTGAAAGTGGAGACAGTGGACAAAGAAGAAGACATACAAGTGAATGATCTTATAGAAGTAGGATTAATAGGTTTTGACAGCTGAGATTTTAAGAGTAAGTGACAGAGAATCATCATGAGTCATTTATTTATTGAACAAATTTTCACTGAGCTTCCAGTGTGAAGCGCACTCTAGATGGTGCCAACAACAAGGTAGGCATACTCCCAACCCTCATGGAGCTCACATTCTAGTGGGTGACATCAAGATTCCAACCTGTATGACTGGAAGATAGTGAGCCATTGATATGGAGAGTAAATATAGAAATACAAAGTTTCAGAAATGTTGATATACTTAGTTTTATACATAATTATTGTGGCTCACTCTCTGCCAGACACTGTTTTAATCACTTTGCATGTATTAACTCATTTAATGTTCATTAAAATCCTATGAAGTAGTTCTTATCATTATCCCCACCAAATAGATGAGGTACCAGTACATAGAAAGGCTAAGTAACTGGGCTAAGTTCAATACAGTGTTGAGTGAAAGAGCAGGGATCAAATAAAGGCAGCCTGGTTCATGAGTCCACAGGATTATTACTAAAGCATAATTAGCTTTTATATATTTTGAGACTAACAGATGAACAATTTTAGAAGGTAATTGGAAGACAAAATAGAGGTTTAGAAAGAGTTAGAGACTGTATATACATAAACACTTGGGAATCATCTACGTACAAGTAATACGTTACCTAAGTTCACAAGATCCTGCACAATCTGACCTCTGCTAATGTCCTTCTTAACACTCTGTTCTAATCATATCCTTTCATGCCTTGGGGTCTTTGAATATATTTCCTCTTCTTGGATTACCTTTTTCTATCTTCCATCAACACCTCACTAAAATAACTCAATTTTTTCCTTCAAGTCTGTTTTGGGCATCACTTTCTTCAGAAAACAACAATAGCAGCACACAACATTAACAACTTTCCAGCCTTTCTGTGGGCTCACATAGGTATGTACCTTACCCCATTGTAAACTCACCTAACATACATTCTATTCTAATTATCTGGTTACTTATCCACTTAAATCTGTGGAACTAAAGGACATTGCTCAGAGACAAATTTATATTTTAGCTGTACCTTGCAATATATCAGTGACACATCCTAAAACTTTCACTGGATTTGTGTCATTACAGGTTTCTGAATATTCTCTTTTCCCTCTGACTCCTCTTTTTCTTTTTCTTCTCCTCCACTCCCTCTCAACTGGTTTCTCAGGACTACCTTTTAATATACCTATTCTTTGCATTCCACATCTTCTCCCTGAGTGATCTCATATTAACCCATGGTTTCTGTTACAACTTATTTGGTAAAACATCTTTTTTTTTTTTTGAGACAGCGTCTGTCTCTGTCACCAGGCCAGAGTGCAGTAGCATGATCTTAGCTCACTGCAACCTCCACCTCCCAGGTTCAAGCAATTCTCCTGCTCAGCCTCCCGAGTAGCTGGGACTACAGGCGCATGCCACCATGCCCAGCTAATTTTTGTGTTTTTAGTAGAGACGGGGTTCACCATGTTGGTCAGGATGGTCTTGATCTCTTAACCTCATTATCTGCCTGCCTTGGCCTCCCAAAGTGCTGGGATTACAGGCGTGAGTTACCGCACCAGGCCAGTAACAAATCTTAATGTTCAGTGCAGTCGTCTTTCCTGAGCTCCTGACCCACATACTCACTAGCTTCCTGGACATATTCAGTTAGATAGTCAATTCACCTGAAATCCAATATGACCAGCTGGAGTTTATCCTATTTATCTCCAAACTTGCTCTTCTTATATGCCTTATCTTCATGAATGGAACCATTATTCACTGCAGCATCCAGGTTAGAAAACTTGGAGCCATCTTGAACCCATCTCTTTCATTTATCCTTCCATCCCTCCCCTCCAATAGGTCATCAACTATGTTTTAAAATTTTCTGCTGGATTCATAACAGGAGATCCAGCATGCTTTCATTCAGTTCTCATCACTTTTAAGATGGATTTATGCAATTACCACCTAATTATCTTTTTTTTTTTTTTTTTTTTTTTTTTTTTTGAGACGGAGTCTCGCTCTGTCGCCCAGGCTGGAGTGCAGTGGCGCGATCTCGGCTCACTGCAAGCTCCGCCTCCCGGGTTCACCCCATTCTCCTGCCTCAGCCTCCCGAGAGTAGCTGGGACTACAGGCGCCCGCTACCACGCCCGGCTAATATTTTGTATTTTTAGTAGAGACGGGGTTTCACCGTGTTAGCCAGGATGGTCTCGATCTCCTGACCTCGTGATCCGCCCGCCTCGGCCTCCCAAAGTGCTGGGATTACAGGCGTGAGCCACCGCGCCCGGCCCTAATTATCTTTTCCACACTGTTTTCAGGGTAGTCATTATTAAATTTAAAGGAATTTAAACCCCTGCTTAAATTTCTTCAGTGGCTCCCCATAGCTTTCAGAATAATTTTTAAATCCTCAGCAGAGCTTCCTTGTCTGCCTTCTAACCTTATCTACTGCCCCTGATTGTCATAAACACTTCACTTTCTAGAGGTTTTCCAGGCACATCATGTTGCTTCACTCCTGCCTTGGCACTTTCTAGTCCCTCTGCTGAGGAGGCCCCTCCCCTTCTTCACTTGGCTGAAACCCAGAGATTTTATGAAATTTTACCACCATCAACCCAGAAGCCTCCATGTCCTTTCCTTACTCTGAGTCTGATTTGGATGGCCCCTCTCTGTTCCTATCCAGTTCCATATGTTCCTCTATGAGAGCATGCATCTGCCATTCTGTGCTTCCTGATAAATTAGTCTTTGTTCCCCCTAGGCTGTAAATTCCCTGAGAACAGGAATCACCTTTACTGACCTTTATAGTCCTAGCATATATTACAGCCTGGTACAGAATGTGAGCCCAATAAGTTGGTTAAAAGTATGATGAATTAAGAAACAGGAAATATTCCTTAAAAATATACATTACCCCATTGTGGGACCCTGTAGCATGAGAATTATAATATTTCCAAAACAATGGAAAACATAATAGAACTATGGAGAAATAAATAAACAAATGGATTAGAATTATTTATTAGTACTGTGGGCACAGAGAGATGATCCTATAATGGAATGCTTTTATCACGTAAGAATCAAATCCAAACTGTAAGTTACCTGAGAGAGTGGTACACATCTGTTGTGTTTATACTGATCTCTCTAGCCCTTAGTACATGTTAGGCATGAAAAGATATTTATTGAACTTTCTCGAATGAGCACAGTAGTGGGCATTCAAATTAGATGTCCTGCTAATGTTGACAGAAGTTAAAATGGACTTCTAAAAATGTTTTGTATTGATTTCTTGGAGGTCTTTCTGTATTATCTATTAATGCCTTATATGCATTTTGCCAGCTTCTCCCCACCCCCCAGGTTTTGCTGTGTTTTAAACTAGATTTATGAGATTTTTGCCTTTCAGAGTTATTTTTATTTTATATATATATTTTAGAGATGGAGTGTTGCTCTGTTGCTCAGGCTGAAGTACAGTGGCACAATTACAGCTCATGTAACATCGAACCACTTGACTCAAGTGATCCTCCTGCCTCAGCCTCCTGAGTAGCTAGGACCACAGGCACACACCACTATATCTGGCTCATTTTTTAAAAATGTTCTGCAGAGACAGGGTCTCACTATGTGGCCCAGGCTGGTCTTAAACTCCTGACCTCAATCAATCCTCTTGCCTTAATCTCCTAAAGTGCTGGGTTAAAGATGTGAGCCATTGTGCCTGACAAGACTTTTTATTTTTATGTAGTTAAACTTTTCATTTTTTTCCTTTATTGTTTCTGGGTTTCAGGCTATGCTTAGAAAGGCTTTCTGAGCCTCAGAATTGAAAAAATATTCCTTTGCATTTTATGGTTGTTATCTATGTTAAGATTTTTAATCCATCTGGAATTTATATTTGTATATAATATATCTTGATTTAATGATTATTGTGCATTCTTTGTTGTATATCACTTTATACTGGTTGGATTTTAAAAGACAATGAATGTGCATTGAAATCATCTTATTCATACAATCATACCAGGCTAGGTGAGTCATTCAACTGGAGACCTGCATTCATCATCTGTCTATTAGAATCTGGTGAGAAATTTCTTATTGGTCGTTTCATAGTCTTGGCTGCCCTGATCCCTTCTTCACTCAGCAATCACTAGGATATTCTTAAAACACTATAATGAAATTTCTATGCCACCTGATATTTGTGTCTATTTTGTTCACTGCTATGTCCCCAGTGTCTAAACCCATGCCTGGCACACCGTAGGCACTTAATAAATATATTTTGATGGAAACGTAAGTAGACTCATGCTACTTCCCTGCTTAAAACCTTTTAAAGTCTTCCGATATCTAACATAATAAAATTTCAACCACAAGGTTGTGTGTTACCTGGCCTCTGCCTACGTTTCACACTTGATGTGATTCTGCCCCCTCCCTGGTTAATCCTGATCCCCTGCTTTGGCCCTATATCACAGCAGCCATCTCTCTACTGTACAAACATACTGAATTGATCCCCCTCAAGGCCTTTGTAGACCTCCTGCTCTTCCCCACTTTGAGAACCTTCTCGTCCACTAGACAGCAGTGTGAATATGACTGCCTCACAGAAATAGTTCCTGACTCTGCTATTGAGAGTATATGTGTCTCAAGTTGTGCTTTTAAAAATCTCATGATTTTGCAACTTACAATCTTTTATAATTCTGTTTACTTTGCTTTTTATTTTCTTTCTTCCAGACCAAAATGTAAGCTCTGTGAGAGTCTGCATTTTGTCTGTTTTCTCTAATGTGACTTCAGTCTCCAACATAATGCCTGAGGTTTAGTAGGTACCCAAGAAATATTTGTTAAAAATTTTTTAAAAACTTTTTAATTTTGCTGTACTTATAATTATTTTTTATTATAGGAAAAGGATAAAAATTCAGAACCAGAAAAAAAAAAAAAGATGCAGAAAGTCGAATGTGAGTGTTGCAGGCTCCCAAATGCACAGGGGTGTTCTTAAGGATGTGTTACCCTTCTGGTATTCATATGTAGAAAAACACAGAGTATTGTCAACTCCAGAAGCTTGACCAAGCATCAGTGTCCAGAGTATTGACTGAGGCTTCATTACGTAGGCAGTATTGATTGAGTTATTGCACACATGGTTGAGCTCAATCTCCACCCTCTCCCTCCTTAGAGCCTCTCCCTCCTTAGAGGCTGTTTCATGTGGCTCAAATTCCAAACCTTTAACCACTGGGTTGGTCTTTCTGGCACTGCCAGCCCCCACCTTGAGTCATCTCATTAGCATAAACCTTCAGTTATGTTGACAGGGGAGAGATTTCCGTCATTTGAATAATTCTAAGCATTTACAGCTTACTTCCCAAAGGTCAATCAGTCCTCTCTTTGGATAAAGTTAATTCTTTGCTAAACAGAATTGTGTTCATTTCAAAAATTATACTTTTGTAATAAATATTTCTAATTGCATATATTATATAATTTTTTAAATTATTATTTTACTGAAGCTCTGGGATACATGTGCAGAACGTACAGGTTTGTTGCATAGGTATATACATGCTATGGTGGTTTGCCGCACTCATCAACCTGTCATCTACATTAGGTATTTCTCCTAATGCTATCCTTCCCCTAGCTCCTCACCCTGCAACAGGCCCCAGTGTGTGATGTTCCCCTCCCTGTGTCCATGTGTTCTCATTGTTCAGCTCCCACTTATGAGTGAGAACATGCAGTGTTTGGTTTCCTGCTCCTGTGTTAGTTTGCTGATAATAATGGTTTCCAGCTTCATCCATGTCCCTGCAAAGGACATGAACTCATCCTTTTTTATGGCTGCATAGTATTCCATGGTATATATGTGCCACATTTTCTTAATCCAGTCTATCTTTGATGGGCATTTGGGCTGGTTCCAAGTCTTTGCTATTGTGAATAGTGCTGCAATAAACATACATGTGCATGTGTCTTTATAGTAGAATGATTTATAATCCTTTGGGTATATACCCAGTAATAGGATTGCTGGGTGAAATGCTATTTCTGGTTCTAGATCCTTGAGGAATCGCCACACTGTCTTTCACAATGTTGAACTAATTTACACTCCCACCAACAGTGTAAAAGCATTCCTATTTCTCCACATCCTCTCCAGCATCTGTTGTTTCCTGTCTTTTTAATGTTTGCCATTTTAACTGGTGTGAGATGGTATCTCATTGTGGTTTTGACTTGCATTTCTCTAATGACCAGTGATGATGAGCTTTTTTTCTTATGTTTGGTAGCTGCATAAATGTCTTCTTTGAGAAGTGTCTGTTCATATCCTTCATCCACTTTTTGTGAGTTTTTTTTTTCTTGTAAATTTATTTAAGTTCCTTGTAGATTCTGGATATTAGCCCTTTGTCAGATGGATAGATTGCAAAAATTTTATCCTATTCTGTAGGTTGCCTGTTCACTCTGATGATAGTTTATTTTGCTGTGCAGAAGCTCTTTAGTTTACTTGTATCCCATTTGTCAATTTTGGCTTTTGTTGCCATTGCTTTTGTTGTTTTAGTCATGAAGTCTTTGCCCATGCCTATGTCCTGAATGGTATTGCCTAGGTTTTCTTCTAGGGTTTTTATTGTTTTAGGTCTTATATTTAAGTGTTTAATCCATCTTTAGTTACTTTTTGTATAAGGTGTAAGGAAGGGGTCCAGTTTCAGTTTTCTGCTCATGGGTAGCCAGTTTTCCCAACACCATTTATTAAATATGGAATGCTTTCCCCATTGCTTGTATTTGTCAGGTTTGTCAAAGATCAGATTGTTGTAGATGTGTGGCATTATTTCTGAGGCCTCTGTTCTGTTCCATTGGTCTATATATCTGTTTTGGCACCATTACCATGCTGTTTTGATTACTGTAGCCTTATAGTATAGTTTGAAGTCAGGTAGTGTGATCCCTCCAGCTTTGTTCTTTTTGCTTAGGATTGTCTTGGCTATCCAGGTTTTTTTCAAATTCCATATGAAATTTAAGGCAGTTTTCTTCTAATTCTGTGAGGAAAGTCAATGGTAGCTTGATGGGGATAGCATTGAATCTATAAATTACCTTGAGCAATATGGCCATTTTCACAATATTGATTTTTCCTATCCATGAGCATGGAATGTTTTTCCATTTGTTTGTGTCCTCTCTTATTGCCTTGAGCAGTGATTTGTAGTTCTCCTTGAAGAGGTCCTTCACATCCCTTGTAAGTTGTATTCCTAGGTATTTTATTCTCTTTGTAGCAATTGTGAATGTGAGTTCACTCATAATTTGACTGTTTATTATTGGCATAGGAATGCTTGTGATTTTTGCACATTGATTTTGTATCCTGAGACTTTGCTGAAGTTGCTCATCAGCTTAAGGAGATTTTGGGCTGAGACGATGGGGTTTTTGAAATATATAATCATGTCATCTGCAAAGAGACAATTCAACTTCCTCTCTTTCCATTTGAATACCACTTATTTCTTTCTCTTGCCTGATTGCCCTGGCCAGAACTTCCCATACTATGTTGAATAGGAGTGGTGAGAGAGGACATTCTTGTCTTGTGCCAGTTTTCAAAGGAAATGCTACCAGGTTTTGCCCATTCAGTATGATATTGGTTGTGGGTTTGTCATAAATAGCTCTTATTATTTTGAGATACATTCCATCAATATCTAGTTTATTGAGAGTTTTCAGCATGAAGGGGTGTTGAATTTTATTGAAGGCCTTTTCTTCATCTATTGAGATAATCATGTGGTTTGTGTCATTGGTTCTGTTTATGTGATGGATTACGTTTATTGATTTGCATATGTTGAACCAGCCTTGCATCCCAGGGATGAAGCTGACTTGATTGTGATGGATAAGCTTTTTGATGTGCTGCTGGATTTGGTTTGCCAGTATTTTATTGTGGATTTTTGCATCGATGTTCATCAGGGATATTGGCCTGAAATTTTCTGTTTTTGTTGTGTCTCAGTCAGGTTTTGGTATCAGGATGATGCTGGCCTCATAAAATGAGTTAGGGAGCAGTCCCTCCTTTTCTATAGTTTGGAATAGTTTCAGAAGGAATGGTACCAGCTCCTCTTTGTAACTTTGGTAGAATTCGGCTGTGAATCCATCTGGTCCTGGACTTTTTTTGGTTGGTAGGCTATTAATTACTGCCTCAATTTCAGAACATTTGGGGATTCGACTTCTTCCTGGTTTAGCCTTGGAAGGGTGTATGTGTCCAGGAATTTATCCATTTCTTCTAGATTTTCTAGTTTATTTGCATAGAGGTGTTTGTAGTATTCTCTGATGGTAGTTTGTATTTCTCTGGGATCAGTGGTGATGTCCCCTTTATCATTTTTTATTGTGTCCCTTTGATTCTTCTCTCTTTTCTTTTTTATTAGTCTTGCTAGTGATCTATCTATTTTGTTAATCTTTTCAAAAAAACAGCTCTTGGATTCATTGATTGTTTGAAGGGTTTTTGTGTCTCTATCTCCTTCAGTTCTGCTCTGATCTTAGTTATTTGTTGTCTTTTGCTAGCTTTTTGTTTGCTCTTGCTTCTCTAGTTTTTTTAATTGTGATGTTAGGGTGTTGATTTTAAATCTTTCCCACTTTCTCCTGTGGGCATATGGTGCTATAAATTTCCCTCTAAACACTGCTTTAGCTGTGTCCCAGAGATTCTGGTACATTGTGTTTTTGTTCTCATTGGTTTCAAATAACTTCTTTATTTCTTCCTTAATTTCATTATTTACCCAGTAGTCATTCAGGAGCAGGTTGTTCAGTTTCCACGCAGTTGTGCAGTTTTGAGTGAATTTCTTAATCTTGAGTTCTAATTTGGTTGCACTGTGGTCTGAGAGACTGTTATGATTTCCATTATTTTCCATTTGCTGAGGAGTGTTTTACTTCCAATTATGTGGTCAATTTTAGAATAAGTGCGATGTGGTTTTGAGAAGAATGTATATTCTATTGATTTGGGGTGGAGAGTTCTATAGATGTCTATTAGGTCCACTTGCTCCAGATCTGAGTTCAAGTCTTGAATATCCTTGTTAATTTCCTGTCTCATTGATCTGTCTAATATTGACAGTGAAGTGTTAAAGTCTCCCACAATTGTTGTGTGGAAGTCTAATTCTCTTTGTAGGTCTCTAAGGACTTGCTTTATGAATCTGGGTGCTCCTGTATTGGGTACATGTATATTTAGGACAATTAGCTCTTCTTGTTGCATTGATCCTTTTACCATTATGTAATGCCCTTCTTCATCTTTTTTGATCTTTGTCGGTTTAAAGTCTGTTTTATCAGAGACTAGGATTGCAACCCCTGTTTTTTTTTCTTGTTGTTGTTTGTTTGTTTTGCTTTCCATTTGCTTGGTAAATATTCTTCCATCCCTTTATTTTGAGCCTATGTGTGTCTTTGCACATGAGATGGGTCTCCTGAATACAGCACACCAGTGGGTCTTGACTCTTTACACAGTTTGTCAGTCTGTGTCTTTTAATTGGGCCATTTAGCCCATTTACATTTAAGGTTAATATTGTTATGTGTGAATTTGATCCTATCATTATGATGCTAAGTGGTTATTTTGCCCATTAGTTGATGCAGTTTCTTCATGGTGTCAATGGCCTTTGCAATTTGGTACATTTTTGCAGTGACTGGTACCAGTTTTTCCTTTCCATGTTTAGTGCTTCCTTCAGGAGCTCTTGTAAGGCAGGCCTGGTGGTAATGAAATCCCTCAGCATTTGCTTGTCTGTAAAGGATTTTATTTTTCCTTCACTTATGAAACTTAATTTGGCTGGATATGAAATTCTGGGTTGAAAATTGTTTTCTTTTAGAATGTTGAATATTGGCCCCAACTCTCTTCTGGCTTGTAGGGTTTCTGCAGAGTGGTCAGCTGTTAGTCTGATGGGCTTCCCTTGGTGGGTAACCCGATCTTTCTCTCTGGCTGCCCTTAACATTTTTTCCTTCATTTCAACCTTGGTCAGTCTGATGATTATGTGTCTTGGGGTTGCTCTTCTCTAGGATTATCTTTGTGGTGTTCTCTGTGTTTCCTAAATTTGAATGTTGGCCTGTCTTGCTATGTTGGGAAGTTCTCCTGGATAATATCCTGAAGAGTGTTTTCCAACTTGGTTCCACTCTCCTCATCACTTTCAGGTACACCAATCAAACATAGGTTTGGTCTTTTCACATAGTCCCATATTTCTTGGAGGCTTTGTTCATTCATTTTCATTCTTTTTTTCTTTAATCTTGTCTTCATGCTTTATTTTGCTAAGTTGATCTTCAATCTCTGATATCCTTTCTTCCGCTTGATCAATTTGATTATTGATACTTGTATATGCTTCACGAAGTTCTCATGCTGTGTTTTTCAGCTTCATCAGGTCATTTATGTTCTTCTCTAAACTGGTTATTTTAGTTAGCAATTTGTCTAACCTTTTTTCAAGTTCTTAGCTTCCTTGCATTGGGTTAGAACATGTTCCCTTAGCTTGGAGGAGTTTGTTATTACCCCCTTCTGAAGAATACTTCTGTCAATTTGTCAAACTCATTCTCCACCCAGTTTTGTTTCCTTGCTGGCAAGGAGTTGTGATCCTTTGGAGGAAAAGAGGCATTCTGGTCTTCGGAATTTTCAGGCTTTTTGCGCTGGTTTTTCCTCATCTTTGTGAATTTATCTACCTTTGGTCTTTGATGCCAGTGACCTTTGGATGGAGTTTTTGTGTGGACATCCTTTTTGTTGATGTTGATGCTATTCCTTTCTGTTTGTTAGCTTTCCTTCTAACAGTCAGGCCCCTCTGCAGCAGGTCTGCTGGAGTTAGCTGGAGATCCACTCCAGACCCTGTTTGCCTGGGTATCACTAGTGGAGGCTGCAGAACAGCAAAGATTGCTGCCTGTTCCTTCCTCTGGAAGCTTCATTTCAGAGGGGCACCTGCCAGATGCCAGCCCGAGCTCTCCTGTATGACGTGTCTGTTGACCCCTGCTGGGAGGTGTCTCCGGGTCGGGAGGCACGGGGGTCGGGGACCCATTTGAGGAGGCAGTCTGTCCCTTAGCAGAGCTCCAGTTCTGTGCTGGGAGATCCACTGCTCTCTTTAGAGCCAGCAGGCAGGAATGTTTAAGTCTGCTGAAGCTGCACCCACAGTCACCCCTTCCCCCACGTGCTCTGTCCCAGGGAGATGGGAGTTTTATCTATAAGCCCCTTAATGGGGCTGCTGCCTTTCTTTCAGAGATACCCTGCCCAGGGAGGAGGAATCTAGAAAGGCATTCTGGCTACAGCAGCTTTGTGGTGCTGCAGTGGACCCCAGCCAGTATGAACTTCCTCGTGGTTTTGTTTACACTATGAGAGGAAAACTGCCTACTCAAGCCTCAGTAATGGCAGTCGTTCCTCCCTCCACCAGGCTCGAGCATCCCAGGTCAACTTCAGACTGCTGTGCTGGCAGCGAGAATTTCAAGCCAGTGGATCTTAGATTGCAGGGCTCCCTAGGGGTGGGATCCACTGAGCTAGACCACTTAGTTCCCTGGCTTCAGCCACCTTTCCAGGGGAGTGAACGGTTCTGTCTCGCTGGCATTCCAGGCGCCAGTGAGGTATGAAAAAAATCTCCTGCAGCTAGCTTGGTGTCTGCCCAAATGGCCGCCCAGTTTTGTGCTTGAAACCTAGGGCCCTGGTAGTGTAGGCAACCGAGGGAATCTCCTGGTCTGCGGGTTGCGAAGACCATGGAAAAGCTTAGTTTCTGGGCCAGAATGCACAGTTCCTCAAGGCACAGTTCCTCGCGGCTTCCCTTGACTAGGGGTGGGAGTTCCCTGACCCCTTGCACTTCCTGGGTGAGGGATGCCCCACCCTGTTTAGGATCGCCATCTGTGGGCTGTACCCATTGTTTAACCAGTCCCAATGAGAAGAGCTGGGTACCTCAGTTGGAAATGCAGAAATCACCTGCCTTCTGCATTGATCTTGCTGGGAGCTGCGTATCAGAGTTGTTTCTATTTGGCTATCTTGACAGCTACCCAAACTTATTTTTATAACAATTATTTTGTCAATGCTGAATTACCTAGTAATTAGCTTGACAATTTTTAAGAAAGTAATCCATTGGACCAAAAGAAACTCATGATATAACTAATGTCTTCGATTTTAATTACTCTTGAATATAAAAACAATAATAACAAAACAGCTTATGCTTAACAGGTTTGGTTATCTGCTCATTTTATTCAAAATGCTTAATTATCAATAGATGAATTTATATAAAGATACATAATTGAAAAAGAAATGAAGAACATATTCTTCATCAACACACAATTATATAGAAGTTATACAGAAACAGACGGGTAAAGTTATATCACAAACCGGGTGTTAAACGCATTACATAATTAAGAACGGGAAGTTAGAGAAAATGTGTGATCTCTTTGGAAGAACAGAATAAAGGACAAAAAACCCATTATAATGGAAAGCTGAAAAAAAAAAGAAACATAAATTAGGACTGAGATTGTAAATAGACTTGATGCTACCATCCTACAAGTCCACTTAAGCATCACTTGAGTATGTAGTCATGCTAAGAACAGTGTCAGGGATATTAGAGGTAAAAGGAGGTCCAGTTAAAGCTGTAAAGTGAAAACATCTGGACAATCAAGAAGAAAGAAACAGTTAACAACAAAAACCCTCAACAAAATAGCATATAAATACTAAATTGGACATTATTTTAAAAGATAAATAACATACCAGAAGAGAGATGAAGAAACTTTCAAAAACAAAATAAGAGGATAGAAGAATATTAAAAAGAATAGAAAGTTTAAAAAATACATAAAGGCAGAGCAAGAAATCTGGTATAAACTCATGCAAAATTATGGCTGTCCTAGAAACTGAAAATAATGTGTTAAAAAGAAGACAACCAAATCATATAAAATCATAATGATTGGCTGGTAACAATGTTTTCTTTTCCGCTACTCTGTGGTATGTGTCAGCTTTCAATAACTTTAAAGTGCTTTTTTCTTTACCCAAGTTGAAAATCATCAGGTAAATCTAGAAAAATTAGAATAAATAACTCTCTTCTTTTTCCAGAAAAGTCTTTGGCTTTATTTAGGATATTTTACCTCTGCCATTAGAAGGTGAAAATACAAATAACTAGTCCAAATGGAAAGTATTAATGGGAAGCTGAAAATTGTTTCAGTCAATCAACCAATCCATACTTACTAATTGAGCACTTAGTATGAGATCTGTGTTTGGGATGATAGAGATAACAAGTATGAGAATCTTTTATTTATAATTGAGGGTTTAAGAAATAATCACATTATTCAGTTCATAAAAAGTCATATTATATCTACATTAAATGCATTTGTTGATCTCTATCTAGTTATTATATAAGATGCAAAGATAAGTAAGGCAGCCTTACCACTATCAGCAAAACAAAGGTGGTTCCAATATTTGAACAGCTGATGCAGTTTATTGTTTGAATTAGAGATCTGCTTCTCTGTAGCTGTAAATTTATAGATACACTTCAGTTTCTTTATCTATAAAATGGAGATAATGCCTACTCTATAGAATATAGAAAATATACTGCTCAGTAAATATCCATGTGCTTCCTCACATTTCCCACCTCCTTTGCAGTTACATTTAGACATACAAGTAATTCTGGTCAGTGGGCTGTTAATAAAAGTGATGTGTGCCACTTCTAGTCCAAAGAATTTGAAAGCTGCGGTGCAATGTGTAGCTGTTTTGTATTGCAGTGATGTGAAATCTGAGGATGACTACCCTGGAAATTTACCTGACCCACACTGGATTAGAATAAACTTTTGTGTGTCAGAAATAAACTTTTGAGTTGTCAATTGTGTTGAATTTCTATTTGTCATAGATTTGTGGGGCCAGTGTTGACCAATGTACAGGGTTACTTTGAAGATCATATGAGATGATGCATGTAAACTTCTTAGTATAGTGTCTTGCACAGAGTAAGCAATCAATAAATGAAAGCCATCATTATTTACAGACTTTCCTAAATAGAATTAGTTATTAAAAGCTTTTTCTGTCCAGGCAAGGTGGCACATGCCTGTAAGCCAAGTTCTTTGGGAGACTCAGGTGGGAGGATCTCTTAAGGCTGGGAGTTGGAGCAGCCTAGGCAACATAGTGAGATCCTTGTTTCTACAAATAAGAAAAAGTATTAGCTCAGAGTGGTGACATATACTTGTAGTCCTTGCTATTTGGGAGGCTGAGGTGGAAGGATCACTTTATCTCAGGAATCTGGAATTACAGTGATCACATCACTGCACTTCAGCCTTGGCAACAGAGCAAGACCCTGTCTCAAAACGAAACAAAGGAAAAACAAAAACAAAAGTTCTTCTTCTTTTTTTTTTTTTTTGGTTATAAAATAAGTCAGTATGGGAAAGAAAACTCTAGAATATGTTGGCAGAAAATTTCCAAAGCTACTTCATGCTTTTACTTTCTCTAACTTTTTTTTCAAATTGAATACACTTAATCTTTTTGATAGGAGTGGCTACTCATTGAACTTGTACTTTTTGTAAACAAAGTATATGTTTTTGGTCAGAGATCTCTAAGGTTTTTATTTATGGATAATTCATTGCTCCAAACCAATGGTGAAAACTAGTGATCTTTCAAACATGGGAACACCCTATAATTTTCTTCTGGCATTGCAACAATTTGATGTTCATCTTTCTCTTTTCTGGCTGAACCTATATACACTTAAGTACAGGATCACATTAAGAAAATGCTCAGACCACATGTAAACAACCTGTGGCTAGACAATTCCTGAACCCTATGCAATGTCCAATTTTCAAAGGATGTAAGCTTCTGTGTTGTTTTCTCTACCATGTATTTTTCCACAAAAGTCCTACTTACTACTTTATCATGAACCGATGTATTTGGGCATAAGTCTAGACATGCTGTGATTTTAAAGAAGTAGATCATTTCCTGCCTACCCTATACTTTTGCCCTCTGGAGAGGGGATTTGGACATCTCCTGGGCCCTGAGACCCAGCTCTCTGGGTGTGTCTAGATAGAACTCCCAAATTAAAAAGATTCGGGGAAAAGATTTGGAAGGATATGAAGGAATTACAATAAGTTTGAATCATCTGCAGATGAAAATAAGATGACCATAGTAAGTCATGAAGAAAAGGGCAAGGAGAGTTGAATTAGGTTTATTCAATTGATGATCAGTTTTTATTTTTTATTAAGTAAAGCTGCCACTTTAAAGGAAATAAAAAATGTGAATGTATTTGATAAATCAGATGACTCCGTAACATTCAAGTGTGAGTTGGTGGAAAAACAAACCAAGAGTGTCTGTTCTTTTAGTCAGTGGATTTATAAACTAAATCAGGAAGCTGTTTCCCTCAGCTTTTCTCCCATTCCCTTTCCCTCAGTAGTGAAGATATGACTCATCAGGATTGATTATACAGCTGACTAAAACAACCAGGAGAAGGCATGATGAGTGGTGAGAGGTGGGGGTAAACAACTGTCATTTAAATACTGCAGAAACATCTCCGTCTATGGTTCCTATGCAGGAGATTTCTCCCAAGCATGTTTCAGAGCTTAGAGGTGGGCATAAGAGGCCACGTGGGATATTCTGTCAGGATGGGCAAGGCCTCAGTTGAGGGCCACAGCATGTCATCTGGATGGGTTCTGGCCACAGCACATAAGGCCAGAAATCTGAATGAAGAAAATGACAGTTGCTCTTATGGAAGGATGCGAGCACAAGGCTGGGAGGGGAATTAATGCAGTGGATGATGGCATCACGACACAGGCTGGCAGAATGGCTGAAACAAACAAGAGAAGCTTTAACAAAGATAAATACAAAAGATGCAGACAGAGTGTGAGAAAGAAAATAATAAAGTAAAATAAAAATTCTGATTGTAGGTTAGATTATTAATAAATATTCATATTATCAAACTGTGCATGAACTTCTAAAAATGGGTTGAAGTAGTTCAACATAGAACACAAAACCTTAGAAAGTCTAGAAAATGAATCTAAATGACTCATATTTTTAAAAAACTAAGAATAATATGCTACTTTTCACTAGTCAGATGTACAAAGATAAATCAAGTTTGATAGTAGGGTGTTGGCTCTGGGATGGGCAAAGAAACATTCGTAAATCCTATTTCTGTTGTTGTAAGCCCTTGATAGAGCAATTTGGAAATTGGTACCAAAATTTAAAATAAATATGCCCTTTAAACACAGCAATTTCTAGCTATAATTTCATATGTTCAAAGACACACACATAAAGATACACCAATTTACAATCTTTTGCAGCCTTTTTCGTTATTGCACAAACTGGACACTACTAATAGTGCCAATAAGGGACTGAATAAATTGTTTTATGTAATGTAATGGAAAACTTTGTAGTACATTAAAAATACATCTATATATGCTAATAGAATATGATAGAATATGAGATAATCTCCACATGTTGTTAAATGACAAAGCAGTTTGCCATTTAACATATATATAGTCTACATATAGTTTTCTCTAATACTGAAGGAAAGATAAAGGAAATTGAGTCTTCAGGAGGTAAACAGAAATGCATTGTTGGGAAAAGAAAGGGTGTTCCAAGCATCCAGAACAGAGTGTGCAATTAATGTAAGTGTAAACTAGTATGAATTTCCAGGAAATAGTGACTAGTCCACTTAAGATACATACCAAAGCACCTAGTTGCTAATTTTATATTGTTTTCTCCCTTGAATTCTGGTGCATGTGCCAGAGTAAATGTGTACAATATCCAAAAAATAAAACAATTCCTGGTTACCTAGAGTAACTACTAACATTGTTAGAAATGATTCAGACAAACATATTGATAGGGCCTGAACACATAGAGAACTCCTTAGCTTTCAGTAGTAGAATTCATCCACTCCTCCCAAGAGTAGAGATATGAAAGCTTTTAGTTAGAGCACGAAATCAACTTTAACTATCTCCTATAGTAACAAGGGAATCAACGCCAACCTTTTAAGTAAACAGGTACCTATGCTGTTTAAATATTTGCACCAATTGACAATGGAGGCAAATATTTACCTACATTCTGGTAAATATGGCAATTTAAGTTTCCTTCTATGAAATTTTGAGCTAATTCTGGGGACTTTTTTTGTTGTGTGTGTAACTTGTAGTTTTACACTATTATACTGTATTTATCCTAATTTGTAGATTCAAATTTATAATATATTTGCTTGGATGAGGTTTGTTTTAGAATCATAGTCTCAACTTCATAAGTGTTTTAGAATCATAGTCTCAACTTCATAACTGGTTAAGCTAGAAATGGTACCAGAGTTAATACTGGGTATCATACCATGAACTAAAGTGTAAAGTTGGCAAATACATTTTGTGTCCTGTTCATAAAGGATCCTATCTTAATGGGTCTTTCCTCCTGAGTCATCTTTTCATAGATTTCTTGCTGAATCCAACTCCCTGGAAGTCACCAGGGAGACCAGAGACACTTTGGTGAAAATCGTTCCTAAATAGAATAAAATATGTCCTAGTAGAAAAGTTTTCATACGTTTTCAGTGACTGTTTCTCTAATTCATTCTTAATATTCTTGTAGCCATAAATAAAAATAATAATATGATGAATCTCATTTCCTTTTTTTTGTCTTTTTAAAGATTCTTGACTCTTGGCTGTTTTCCTCTACTTAGCATCTTGAAGCCCTTTCCCACCTATAGTTAGCGCTTACTGGTGAATATGTCACCTAATTTTTGTTCTAGCTTAGACCAGAACTCAAACGGTTTCTGGTGGCATTATTCATCATTATTTTAATAACCTTTTCTTTTTCTGCAATTGACTTTGAGGTCTTGGATACTCTCTCCTTTTCAGTATAATCAGTTGTGAAATACAAATGTCAGGCTAGGTTTTCTCTAACTGAGATTGGACTTCAAAACTCTATAATCCTGTAATGCTTGTTTCCCTATGTCAGCTGCTGATATTTTTGGTTACTTGGAAGTTGGTCTTCACAATCAGACTCCCCTGCCTGTTTGGCATTAGCTGCCTGTTCGTCCTGCACTCCATGAGCCTCCTCTCACACAGGAATCTCTTTGATCTCAAAGACAGCTCTGTAAGGTGCAGAGAAAAACAAATACCAGGCTATTTCCCTCTATGGTGCTCATGACAATAATGAGTTGTTCAAGAGAATAAGAAAGCTTAAAAACAACTCATAGTACTATCCTTGAAGCACCTTTCACAAGTGCCAAATTAATTTCTGTCAATACAAACATGTTATTTAAAAAAAGAAATTTCCCAAACATAAAAGGAATAGAATAAATGACATTTCAAAATGGCTTTGATTATCCATTTTCATAAATATACCAGCAGCCTGGGAGGAAAAATTTCTGCTTGTACCACTAACCTAAATTCTCCAGAGGTTTGAGGGAATGATTTTTATAGCAGTCCTTTCTTTATTAAGCAGTCATATTAAATTATTGCAGCATACATGTAATTTACCAATGTCTGACCTGCTTTGAAATATGCTTTTTCTTAGAAATAAGTAATGAATCATGCGTGGATACACATAAATTAAATTAATTTGATAGTGAACATTAGGAAGCAAGAAATCAGTAATAAAATATGACCCTAGTGCCTTCCAAGTAAAAAGTAAAGACATCTAATATTGGAGCCTAGCAAAGCATTGAATATGCATTAAATTTAAAACCTGGGATAAATAAGAATCATAAGACTTGAGTTAAGATATGTTGCTTTTTAAGTGAGGTACTTCTGTAATAAGATAGTTGATTAGAAAATATTGAAGAATACTAAGCCAGAGCATGTATACATAGTCTATATTTCGAAGAGATGACTCTGAAATTGCACATAACTCCATTTGCATACAGCAACCCTCCCGTATCTGCAGAGGCTATGTTCCAAGAACCACAGTGGATGCCTGAAACCATGGATAATGCCAAACCATACACATACAATACTATTTTTTTAATCTGGTAATTGAGATGGTGACGAAGTGAGTAACAGGCAGGTAGCATGTACAGTGTCCTTATGCTGGACCAAGGGATGATTTGCATCCCATGCAAGATAAAGGAGGATGGCACAAGATTTCATCATGCTACTCAGAACAGCACACAATAAAAAACTTATAAATTGTTTCTTTCTGAAATTTTTTATTTAATATTTTTGAACCATGGTTGACTGCAAGTAACTGAAACTTCAGAAAGAAGAGTTGCAGATGGAGGGGGCTACTGTATGTGTTAGATACTTCACTTGAATGTGATATATGAGAATGATGGATTGCATCTATTTAATAAAACTAAAACAAATCTTGGCCTCCAAAGGACAAGAGTGTTTTGCTTTCAAACTGTGGAGAAATTGTTTGAGTATTTCTACCTCTTATTTCTGTAGAGATTAAGAATACAGCCTTTGGAATTATAAATATTTTGCATACTTTCTCAATAACTTCGGGAAAACTACTTGAGAAAACTCTCCAAACATCATTTCTTCATTTCTAAGCCAGGGACAATAATACCTATATCATAGAATTGTTGGAATAATAAGATAAAAAATAAAATAAAAAATATGTATGTGTATGGTAAGGTCTGACACCGTTATTGTTATTTATTTTTCTGGATGTCATGGGTTTTCTGTACCTGATGAACATGTATGACTGTTCTATAGGTGTCTGTGGGGTTGAAAGGAGGTCTGGTACCAGGAAGTGGATGGAACAATTCTGCACCTTCCTGCTTCTGTGTGAGCACTGGCCATATGATTTGAAGCTGCTGAAATTTGAGGTTGATCTAGCATTTTGATTGGGAAAGGGGCAAGTGTTGAGAAAAAGGAATAAAGTTTTTGCAGGGATGACAGAGATGTTACTCAGCACTCCAAAAACATGGTCTCACCCCAAGCCTGACATGGCCTCAGAATCTTTCCCAACAGAGCACACCAATAATTGGAGTTGGCCCAAGTGATGAAATTTGTTTTCTGTCTGTTAAGATGATCAGTGACACTCAAAGTGTGTTGTTGGACCAGCAGCATCAACGTGATCTGGGTATTTGTTAGAGGTATAAGTTCTCAGGCCTACCCACAGACCTACTGAATCAGAATTTTGGGGTGTGGGACCCAGGGGTCTGCATTTATCAAGCCTTCTAGGTGATTCTGATGGATGCCCACTTAGATGTTTGGCACATTAATAAAATAGGGATTGCTCACATGGAAAACCAGTGAAATCCACAGAATCTAATGCTTATGGAGGAGTTATTACATTCCAGGCAATGTCTGCTTTTCATATGCCTAATCCTCCCAACAATCCTTTGATTATTGAATAATCAAATAATCAGATAAATAGATGAGAAACATGAGATAAAGAGAAGGAAAGAAGGGAGGGAAGGAGGGAGAGAGGTAGGAAGGAGAGAAAGAAAGGAATAAAAACTACATTTCAGAATTGTTATATAACATTCATGCAGCTACTAGGAGGTAGGGTTAGAAGTCAATTCTTAATTCCCAGTTTAACTTCAAATTTCAAAGCCAAACATGTTTCCCCTTCCATTCTGCCACACTAAGCAATATAGGTAATAAACAAATGTTTCTATGGTGCCAACACAATTTAAAGAATTGTTTGGGCCAGAAAAAAGTCACTGGAAAAATTAGACCTGAGTTCACTTCTCTTTTCACAGAGTAATGTAATTTCTCACAAAATCATTATGAACCAAGAAGTCATCCAATTTCTAAAATCTTGGAATAACTTTATCCACCATGAAATCCAGAGAGGCTGTGGGAAGAAAATCATATGTCAATGCAGATTTGGCTCTTAGAGCTAGAAGAGAAAGTTTTGGTCAGAACACTGGGATTGATAATAAAAATTCCCAGTCACTTTTAAAATTTTTAGCAGATTATGTGTTATGTTTTCTGAAATGGCTTGCCAGATAAAGTTTCAGGAAGAGGTCTGAATAAAATGTTCTAGCAACTGTTTCTTTTTCTTCCATGTTTTCTTTTTGAATACTTCTCCTTTTTGGCCAGAAAGCATTTTTCTTGTGCCTGACAAAATAAGCAAAATGCAAACTAGACAAAGAATAGTGTACCTTAAAAAAATACTGTATGAATGTATTTATTTTGGCTGATGAAGATATTTCCCTAAGATCCGAAGACTCCATAGAAGCTACTTTTATTAGAACCTCAGTGTTTGATCAGGTACGTAAAAGATGAATGCCTTTGCACAAGAAAGCAGAACATGAAGATCACATGGACTTGTCTGGATTGGGTGATTCCTGGCCACTTGTTGCTGATGACATCATCATTGATAATCATTGGTCTCAAATGCTGGCGTGGCCTGGGAGGCTGGTGTCTTGCCAAATGGTGCATATTCCCTGTGCAGGATATGAAGGCCTGTTTTGGTTTTCACTTCTTGCAGTCATTTGATATACATGCAATTATTTCAGCATACAAAGGGAAAACTAAATGTCAGATGTCAGGTCAAAGATAAATAGATTGGTTCCCAACTGACTGTCATGCTATATATGTGACCTTAGTCCTAGGGTTTTTTTTATCTGAACCAAGTTACTGGGAAAAGGAACCATGAATTTTCTTTGCTTAATACTAGTTTGTCAGAATCTATTGATGGATTTCTGTGTGGCATATTGAACTTCATCCAATATTATGTGTAGAAGTTTTCTTTTCTTCTTTTCTTCCCCCTTCTAGTTGTGGCTATTCAGCAGGTTATCACATTTCTGTAGATTGTTTTAAAGCTTCCATACTTTTCATTCTCTGCTGAAAGTTGGTCAAAGTATGAGAAACAGAAAAAAAAGTATTATACTTTTATAGCCAGGGTCCCAAAGTCTCAAACTTTGATGCTAATTGTTTCTATGAGATTTTCTACAGTGAGTGAGAGAATTCCTCAGTTTATAGTATTATCTCTTGTCAGTGGTTGCTCTTTTGTAGAGCTTAACAAATATTTTCGGGCAGTCTGTGTGTGTTACTGCACCTGCACAATGCTGAAGCTGCTACAGATATGTGCGTAGTGTTTGTGAACAATCACCAGCATTATAGGTGGCAATTCTAACAGTTCAGATAGAGAGGCAGTTCCTAAGACCAGTGGCATGGCATGCCAATGGCAGTTGCCTCCCAGCTGGGAGAGGCCGGGGGTTTGTGCCATCTCCAAATGTAACCCTAACTCTGTCTTCAACACAGAGATTCATCACATGGATTTGAGCTGTCCAAAACACTTGATTAAAAATTCAGTTGAATCCAATAAATATTTACTGAGCATTGTATTTTGCCTTCAGGATAAATAAAATGCGATAGTATGTCTGCCCTTAGTTTTGTGAATTGTAGTGGAGGCAAAGCAAAGTTAAAACCTATTTAATGGTCCCAGAATGACAGCCTTTCATCAGGATTCATGATGATAAACATGATAACAGTAACTAGGAATGAAAATCACGTATTGTGAAATTGCTGTGTGCTAGATATGATGCTTGACTCCTTATGCATATTATTTCCTTTAATCCCCCCAAGCCCTCTACATATTACTATTTATATATTAAAATTGAAGAAACTGAAGCTCATAGAAGTTAATCATGCAAACATACCCTGACCACTTGGTGTAGCTTAAACCTGACCACAGGTCTGCACTCTTTCCTTTTCTATTCTGGATATTTCCAGTCTCCAAACTGGCAATTCTGGTACTGGCATTTTGATAAAGAGAGCTACCTGGAGCAAGGCTTATCTAGGTTGATTTTTACTGAAGGACAGAAAGGCACAATCAAAGCCTATGGGAAAGAGATAGTCATCAGGCAAATGACATCATTATATCATAATAATAACTACCACATCAACAGGCACATTTTATAAGGCAAATATCTAGATATCTACCATTTTAAGCATTTTTTTTGTGAATTGACTTTTTAAAAATCCCACAACAGCCCTATTAGGCGGATAGTGTTATTATCTACATATTACAGTTGAGGAAACTGAGGCACTCAGCTGCTAAATTACCCAAAGTCACCCAACTAATGTGGTGACAGATCTAGAAGATACCATTCTTTTGAATTAATTCCGGATGTTGGTTTCAAGACAAATGGCCAAATAAAATGCAGGAATTAGCTTTAAAAAAATTAAACTGCCTCTGGAATGTTGCTTTGCCATGACAGGAGGAAGGAAGACAAAAAGTCATATATCACTCCTAAATTCTTCTGCCTGAATGCAATTCACATCACTTTTCCTCACTTATCATTGGCCAAAGCAAGTCATATGGTCATGCCCATCTTCAAGGGGGTGGGGAGTGCTATCCTACCATGTACCCAGAAGAGTATCTGGAAATAGTGAAAACACTGTTAATAAGTCCCACAGGGGTGATATTTGAAGAGTGTTCCAGACACAGTCAACAGCTGAGGCTTGATAAAGTTCCATGAGCCTGGGAAACTACAGATATTTTTATACTACTAAATAGTGAGTCAGGGAGTATCAGGCATCTTTGGCAATGGTAGACTGAAGTCAGGTTTTAAAGGCCCTTGTACCCACTCTTACAAACTTAGACTTTATTCTGTAAGCTATAGGGAAGCTTTGAGGACTGTAAGAAGGAGAATGCTCATCAGATTTGGTTTTACCCCAGGTGGCTTTGGTGCAGTGAATGAGTTTGGAGAAGTCAAGACTACAAATAAGAAACTCAATTAGAATGTAATTAAACTTATGAGACTAAAACTACATGAGAGATATAGAAGTAAAGCAGAGAAGATTAATAAATATCTAGGAGATACAATGCACAGAATATGTTATTTAATTGAACATGCAGAATGAGAGCACAGAGAAAACTAGCAAAGCTCTCAGAATTAAGGTTTGTAGATGTTTATTTATAAAATGATGTACAGAGAAAACTAGCAAAGCTCTCAGAATTAAGGTTTGTAGATGTTTATTTATAAAATGATGTAGGGAATATGGGAAGGGCAGGATTGAGCATAAAATAAATTTTATATGTAGCCTATGGATCTCATATTATTGGAAGCATCCAACAGATATTTGTATATGTGAGTTGAAATCTGGAGGGAAGGTCGTGGATGAAGATTTAGTTTCAAAAATCAATAGGACATGGAAAGTAGTTAAAATCCTGAAAGTGGATGACAGTCCAAAGAGAACCTTCACCATGAAAAAAGCAGTGGAAGAAGAATGGAACTAGGAAACTCAACGTTTAAGAGAGAGGCAAACTGGGAGTAGCTCATGAAAGAGATAGAGAAGGACTGGACAGAGGTAAATATAAAGAGTTGAGAAAGAGACCTCAACAAAGCTAAATACATCAATCAGATCAAGAACAATAAATAAAATCTCAAAGTGCCCTTTGGACTTGAGTATAATTGAGTCAGTGAATGCACTTTGATAGAACATGTCAATTAATTGGTTGGAACAGAAAGCAAATTTCTGTGAGCTAAGGAGTGATTGGGTAGTGCCAGAATGAAGATGGGGAATATAGGTTATTTTGTCAAAAAGTTTAAAAAGAGGAAGCAGCAAACTAGTTTATTAATGGGGACATAAGGTCAAGAGATTTCATAAAATTAGAGATTCTTGGTCATGTTTATAAGCTACGCAGAAAGAAATGGTAATGCTGGGAATATGAGAAATGGAAGACGTAAAATAAATAAATGGCATCCTTATTTCCTAAATAGTCAACAATTATAGTTTTGACTACTATGCATTTGCTATAGGAGACTAATTTTTCAAGAAAAATAAATATATTATGAAACAACAAAATCCTTATAAAAAGGGCTGAATTATTCAGGGAACTGAGCAGGAGTTTCTGAGACTGAGGGTTTTAATCATGGCCAGGTGATTATTTTACTACACAATGTAGGGCAAATTATTTTGATTTTCACTGGCTAGGAGGCATGCAAAGTTAACTTCACTAAGCTGAACTTACCTCTCTCATTTTTCATATATGTAATGTAAGGGTGGTCTAGTTCCTGAATAACTAGGATGGATAATTAGCTAGGATGTTTGTAACAAAAATATTTTGCAAATAAAAAATGCTGCACAACAATTTTTCAAAAATATGTCATTTTCAATAAAATTTCAAACTGCTTCATGGTGTACCCTATTTAGTGCCTAAAAGCCTAGTATTAAAAAAATTAATAATGGTAGAATTTCAGAGAGTGAGGAAGCATAGGTGTTACTTGTAAAAGACTCAGCCTTTGAATTTATTCCAAACACCCCAGGTTAGCAGATACCACCAGCCCTGTGAAAACTTTGAAATAACACCTTTGTAGCCATCTGGTTCAGACTTGTTTTCTGATATCTCAATCAGCAACTTATCTAAGTGGGGCAGCTTTTTTGCTTTTGCTCAGTTTGCAACCAGGTAAGCACTTGCCATACTGAGGTCATGATACAAGATGCGATGTCGAAGAACATTATTTTTGCTGTTCTTCTCTACTTTAGTTCACTTTCTCATTTAACAGCTATTGAGCGTTATTTATCTCTGCATGGTTGCTAGCCTGGCAAGCTTACTCTCAAAGCTGTGGTGATATAGCCTCCTCTTCTTGCTACTCTAGCCTAATCTGAAACAAGAAGAATTTCAAAATTGTAGTTCTTATTTCATAGGAAATGCATTTTCAACTGACTATTGGTGGTGACTTTGAGTACTGGGTTGAAGAAAATGATGAGGCAAAGGTGCAAGCCAATGAGAAAGAATACAGTGTCTGTTGTGGGTGTAGAAAAAGGAGAGACAGCATGACCACCGGGTATTTACCATCCCCACTGTTTAACCACACTTTGGGATGTGGCATCTATCATTGGAAGCACTGATCCTGTAGCCCAATGATCACCAATTTTCTGTCATAGTTCAAGTTCTAGGAGCTTTATTTTCATGTTGTGCCCTGTTTCTGAGTCAATCCTACTAACTGTTAGTTAGTTGGCTGGGTCTTGAGAAGAGACAAGCATCTATCATATAAAAGGCCATGTGCTAATTATTACAAGAGAAGAAGAGATGAAAAAAACTAAGGTATCCGTTCATATGCATGAATTATTTTAATTTACTTTTTTCTTTGGTTTAGTTGTTGTTGTAACTTTTCAATTCACTTTCTGTGGTAGGTTTTTGTGGAGCTGACTAGCTGTCAAACAATTATTTTCAGTTGTTTGGCAGAGAGAAAAAAGGGGAATTTATAAAAACCACAGGCTTCATCTTTACCAAAGGAAAAATAATCTCTACATTTGAATCAGTATCCTTATTATGACATAAAAAAGTCTAATAAGCTTAAAAATATTACGTGAAATGCTTAGAAGACCTATTTGTTGTATTAATAATGCTTGGCCATTAAAACTTTGATACCCATTGCATATGAATAATATCATCTGATTGAAATAGGGTTTAAAAAGAAGTTCCGCACTGCAGTGAACAATATAACAAGTCAATATTTAAACTATCTCAGTTGTCCCAAAATGATTTGTTTGTTTGGTTGTTTGTTTGTTTTGTAATGTATCTTTTAGCTGATTTTAAAAATCCAGACTCTAATCAAGGATCCCACACCTTGCATTAGTTGTACTGTCTTTCTTAAGTTCCAAGCAGTTTCCCACCTATGTTTTGCCTTTGATTAACCTGCCATTTTTGAAGAGTTAAGGCTTGTCTTAGAGAATTTCTCTAAATCTGTCTGATTGTATCCCATGACTAGATTTAGGTTAAATATCTTCGGCAGAAAAACTGCACAAGTGCTGTTGTGTACATTTGATTACATCACATCAGGGGCCTCTGTGCGTTTTGTGTGATGTTTGGTTACCTGGTTAAGATGGTGTCTGTCAAGTTTTTTTTTTTTTTCATTTTGAAGTTATGCTTTTCCTTTATAATTAATAAGTAATCAATCAATGGGATGACATTTTGATACTATGTGAATATCATGTTCTCCAATACACTTTCACCCAGTAGTTTTAGCATGCACTGATGACCTTTGTCTGAACTACATTAGAGACTGCAAAATAGTCATTTCCTAATTTTATTATCCCTTTTACATTTATTTTCTGGCATTCTTGTGTAAACAAAAGACTCCTTCCTCCAGTATCACTACAGGCTCAAGAATTTTAAAAAATTCAATGTGTTACGATCCATTATGTTCATTTTTTAAATTCCCAAATTATCTCATATTTGGCCTTTCATGCTTGCCGCTTTGTTCTTTTGATTGTATTTATCATTCTCTGGGCACTTCCTTAGCTTTCTGACACAGAATGTTCAGGGTTCACCTTGTACACTATCTGTCTGTAATCTGGAATTAGCCATTTCTCCAGGAAACATTGTTTGCTTTCAGTAGTGAGTAGTGAGTAGTATTTCAAAACCAAGATCTTGATATTAATATGTTCAATGACTCAAGGTGACATTGTTTCTGGGTCCCTTCAGGAGGCAGAGAATATATACATTTTTGAAATCATGAATTGGTGCTGATGACTCCATTTCAGATCCAATACCTCTGGATTTCTCCTTACCTTCCCCATTCCATATTTACACACTGCTTCTCCCACAGTGTGAAACCTGAATCCTGACAACACCAATGTATTTGCTCATTTGCTTTATATTATAATATACAAAATAGTTTTAATAATCAACAAACTTACTAAGTCATGTTCTTCTTTCTATCTTGAGAAAATATCTCACTAAAGGTGTACATTAAGTAAAATGTGTTCATGAGTTATTTGAATCATTCTTTTCTTTCCTATGAGGTTGTGTTATTTTAATATACAGTTGGGTCAATTTGTTTCTGTTTGAGTTATATTTTAGCACGTGTTTTCCATCCTTGCTGATACAATTTTATTTTTGAATACGTAAAATATTTATACATCCCCCAAACCCTCAAAACTATTAAAAATTTGTACTTTGAGAAGCCTTATATGCCTCCCAACTTGTGTTACCACCGATTTCCTCTCCTCTGACCCCAAAGAGTGAACCATTTATATTTATTTCTGGTATAGTCTTCCTTTTTTTTGACAAAATAAACAATTATATATTTATGTAAGATAGATATATACAAATGGCAACATACTCTTTTGTATCTTGCTTTTTTTCTCTCCATATTCACTCTCAGAAGTCTTCATTTTTTTTTTGTATAGCTCTAGTGCAAAAGGGTACTCCATTGTGTGGCTATGGTAGAACTTGTTAAATTAGCCTCCTGTAGATAGACATGGATAATTTCCATTTTTTAAAAAATGAATTTTAAAAAATTCATTGCCACAGTGAGTAACCTTTTTACCTAGAATTGTTTTCTTTTTGTATTTATAGCACTGTAACCCATTGGAAGCAAATTCCTAAAAGTGGGATTTCTGGGTGGAAAGGCATTTTGTTAGATATTATCAAATTTTTCTCCATGAGTATTGTCAGATTTTTTTTGTATTACTACTAGCAATGTATGAGAAAATCTTTTTCCATAATTTTTTCAACAGAGTGTGTTACCAAGCTTCTGAATTTTAGGAATAAATTCTCAAAAAATGTTTTCAAACTAATTCTGATGTTCAGTCAGGTCGAGAACCACTAGCCTAGACAGTTAGGGATTCTAAGAGGATACAAAACGAAAGCCGTGATTATGGTAACAAGCAACACAGAAGTAACTTAAAAGGAAGAAGGAAGAAACAGCTCATTCAATTTTTATTTTTTTTCCCAGGCTTGATATTCCCCAGAAGTAAAGATTAACACCACATGATACAACCCATGTTTACCTTAAAACGAATTACACCTGTTTGGTATCATTTTACATACCTTACTTATCGACAATGTCCAGTTTGGGTTGATGTCTGTTTAGACACTAAGTGGGAAGTACTTTCAAGGTACCTGGCATCTTAGATGATGCACAAGTTAACACTCACCCAAACATTATTATTTAACTGAGCTGATAGAATCGAGGTACCATATTTTATAGATTCTAAGATACTGTTTTTTTTAACATCTTTAAATTAGTTTGCATCTTACAACTGACGATGTGCCATCATTGAATTGGCGTTCTTTTTTTTTTTTTTTTTTTTTGAGACAGAGTCTCGCTCTGTTGACCAGCTTGGTGTGCAGTGGCACGATCTTGGCTCCCTGCAACCTCCGCCTCCTGGGTTCAAGTGATTCTTCTGCTGCAGCCCCCCAAGTAGCTGGAACTACAGGCATGCACCACCATGCCTGGCCAATTTTTGTATTTTTGGTAGAGACGGGGTTTCACCATATTGGCCAGGCTGGTCTCCAACTCCTGACCTCATGATCCACCCGCCTCAGCCACCCAAAGTGCTAGGATTACAGGTGTGAGCCACCGCTCTCAGCAAATTGACAGCTTTTTAAAATCTCTTCAAGGTGCATAATATAACAGGGCATCTTGTAATCAATGGTGTATCAGATTTGATGAGATATGGTATGCCTTTTTTTTCTGTATTCGTTTCCTAGGCCTGCATAACAAAGTACCACAAAGTGGGTGGCTTAAAACAATGGAAATTTATTATCTCACAATTCTGGAGTCTAAAAATTCAAAATCAAGGTGTCAGCAGGTCCATACTCTCCTCTCTAATCTGTAGGATAGAATCCTCCTTTGTGTCTTTCTTGCTTTTGGTGGTTCACAGCAATCCTTGGCACTCCTTGACTTGAAGCTGCAGCACTTCAATCTCTGCCTCCATCACCACATGGCCTTCTCCCTCAGGTGTCTGTCTTCTCCTCTCCCTATAAGGACACCAGTTATATTGGGTGAAAGACCCACCCTACTATAGTATGATAGCTGATTATATCTGCAAAGACTCTATTTCCAAATTAGACCCTTCTGAGCGAGATACTGGGAATTAGGACTTTGACGTATCTTTTTGGGGAACCACAACCCAATTTATATATCATCTTATACCTTTTTATTTTTTTCAATTACTTCTCATTTGTCTGCTCTGACTGGATTTAAATCTTTATTAACAGCACGTTTTTTGTATAGTTTTTTTTGCATTAGTCCACTCTTGTATTGCTATAAAGAAATACCAGAGATTGGGTAATTTATAAAGAAAAGAGGTTTAATTGGCCCATGATTCCACAGGCTGTACAGGATGCATGGCAGCATCTGCTTCTGGGGAGGCCTCAGGGAGCTCTTACTTATGGCAGAAGGCAAAGCTGGAGCAGGTGTCTTTTATGGTGGGAGCAGGAGGAAGAAAGAAATGGGGGAGGTGCTACATCCTTTTAAACAACCAGATCTCATGGTAACTCACTCCCTATTACAAGAACAGCACCAAGAAGACAGTGCTAAACCATTCATGACGATTCCATCCCCATGATCCACTCACTCTCACCAGGCCCCAAATACAATATGGAGGATTACAATTTGACATGAGATTTGGGTGGGGACACAGATCCAAACCATACCAATTCTCCTTTCATTTCTCATTTCTCTCTCTCACTCTTCATCTCTTCTTGTTTTTCTGGAAGGTGCACGTTCCTTCCTGTTCATTTTTTTTTTTTTTTTAACGGAGTCTCGCTCTGTCACCAGGCTGGAGTGCAGTGGTGCAATCTCGGTTCACTGCAACCTCCGCCTCCCGGGTTCAAGCGATTTTCCTGCCCCAGCCTCCTCCACAGCTGGGACTACAGGCGCCCGCCACCACGCCCGGCTAATTTTTGTATTTTTAGTAGAGACAGGGTTTCACCGTGTTGGCCAGGATGGTCTCCATCTCCTGACCTCATGATCCACCCTCCTCAGCCTCTCAAAGTGCTTGGATTACAGCTGTGAGCCACCGCGCCCAGCCCCTTCCTGTTCATTTTTAGGCAGCTTCCATGGCTGCTGTTGATCATGCCTGAAGCTGCTTTGAAGGCAGAGAACTAGCAGTGATATCAAGATTTGTAAGAATTCAAGTACATAGAGAAAGGCATTTCAGATGATCCGGGAAGTTGATGTGGGAGAACGAGGTGGGGAGCACTTGTCCTACCAGAGAAAAGACTTATTCTAGAGCTGCAGCCATAAAATAATGGTGGTGACAGATAGATAAATACAACAATATGAAATATAATAGAGGATCTAGAATTATAACACACATATAGGGAAACCTGAGATATGGCAGAGATAACACTGAAGTTTCTAATACTTGTAATATGAGATTTTTGAAATAAAAGGATAATTAACTGAAAGGATCCAAGTGGCTTTCTAGGCTAATTATATGCATGCTTTCCTTAGTGATCCTGAGTACCCATATGGTAAGAATGTGGGCAGAGAATAATGTGATGGTGGTTACTTTTCAATATCTCTGCCCTAAATCCTGTGACTGGTGGTGAGTACAGGCGGTCCTAGTTCCTAGTGCCTGTATTCTTTTGCATCCCTAGTCCAACCTTCAGTGTTCTCCTCTTGACTCTCAAGCTGGTCTCTGCCAGCTGGTTATGGGGCTTTTTGGGCTGCCTCTCTTTGCCCTAGTGTCCAGTTATTTATAAAAATAGAGTTGATGGCCAGGCGCAGTGGCTCACGCCTGTAATCCCAGCACTTTGGGAGGCCGAGGCGGGTGGATCACGAGGTCAGGAGATCGAGACCATCCTGGCTAACACGATGAAACCCCGTCTCTACTAAAAATACAAAAAATTAGCCCGGCGTGGTGGCGGGCGCCTGTAGTCCCAGCTACTCGGGAGGCTGAGGCAGGAGAATGGCATGAACCCGGGAGGAGGAGTTTGCAGTGAGCTGAGATTGGTGCCATTGCACTCCAGCCTGGGTGACAGAGTGAGACTCCATCTCAAAAAAAAAAAATAAATAAATAAAATAAAAAGAGTTGACTTTCTTTACTCCTAAAATGTTCCCTGTCACAGCTATGAATACTATTACACTACTTTCAGTCAGACACTGAGCTCTTAACGTACTTACAGAGCTACCTGCCCTCTATGGTCAGTTAAAGGTCCCCTTCATGGTCCTGGAAGGGAGCCCACCCCTGCTTACAAGATCAGTAGCCTGCCTGGCCATATCTCTCTGGACTAGCTGATCAACTGTGGCTGTCAGCTGCACTGCCTCCTCCCCTCACCATGGTCACAGGCTTTCCTGGCCGCTCAGTGGACACTTGTTCCATGCCAGGCTGCTCCCCAATCCCTTACCATCTGTGGTGATACGAAGTCTCCCTCCTTGCTGGTTCACGACCCTTGGACAAGTAAGGCAGATTCTGAAATCATTTCATGATTTCAAATAGCAAGATAGAGTTTCCTAGAAGACCTCAACTAGAAAGGTCCTAAGAAGAACCAGACTACCTTTTAATTCTACTTTAGAACTTCCCTTGAAATATCTGGCTGTTGGAAATGAGAGCCAAGCAGGTGGAAGAAAGCCCATCAGAAATTTAGAATTAATATTTTTCACCAGGAATTTTTGTTTGACAGATTTTCCCCCAGTTTTTTTGTGGCAACTACATATATCATAAAATTTACCATGTTAATCACTTTTAAGTTCAGTGGGATTATATACATTCATAATGTTGTACAAGCGTCACTGCCATCTATCTCCAGAATTGTTTTTATATTGTAAAACTCTATACTTATTACACAGTATAGATGACAGATTTTCAAAGAATGCTTTGCAATAGTTGTTTTTGTTGCTGCTTTTTGAAGGTACCATCACATCAGTCGCTGAAAGTATTTGGAATATGATTAGCAAGCTATTGGAAAAATACTTATGATGCTATCTAGAAAAACAAAATATCACTTACAGTATTGTTAACTGAAAATTTTATTTGAATTTAAATTTATCTTCTCCACTCACAGCTCAAAAGGAATTTCAATTCAATGTCTAACTTGAGTGCAAACTAATTGTTTTCTCAGTTGACTCAACTATGTTTTGTGATATGAAATCTAATGTTTTGGGGAGTTCATACCTGGATAAGGAGATAAAAATATTCTTTTGTACATGGAATTCTTTAAGTATGGGACTCCCTCTCCATGGTCAGTGGGCATAAAAATAGAAGTAAGACATTGTTCCTGCTTATGGAGCTCAGTCTAGTGGGTGAGTCCACACATTGAGATACGCTGAGAGTAGAACTGCAAGGACAGAACTAACATGAGAGCTCAAAGGAAGCAAAGCTGCCAGAGTGTGAAAAGAGGAGCGTTCCTGGAGAGGGTGCCAACTGAGCCAAGCATGAGTAGGAGTTGGCCAGGTAAGCCTGAGAAGGTTGTGGAGGAGAGTCTGAGAAGACATTCCAGGTGGAGAGATGGAGCAAAGACACAGCTAGACAACAGAATTGTGTAGTGGAGATGCTGGTTAAGTTAAAGTTCAGGGCGTGGAAGAGAAAGGGAGGAAACCAGATTGGAAACCAAGCAAGACAATGAGGACTTTATCCTTCTTGTTGAGGGGCCTGAACAAAGTTCTTTGAAGCAAGAAACTATACAAAAGTCTATTGAGGCCTTATCATGTAGCATTCCCTTCCCAATCAGGAGAGTGACCATCAACTTCCTGTGGGTAGCGCAAAGGCAGATTTTCAAGAGGTCAAGATAACCTATGGGGAAGCTGATTTAAAGGCTGTTTTATGTTGCATACCAGCTAGAAATAAACCAAATATACAAAAAAGAGTTCAGACAAGCTCTGATCACTACAGAGATTAGGACGGCCACACTTTAGTCTACTTTTGGAGTCTGGCTCCTGATAGTTAAACCTAACCAAATTCCTGAGTTGCTAAACTTTAGTTTGCATTTTTTGATTTCTTCTTACAGAAATGTCTCTAATGTTAAGTTATACCTTCACGTTTGTGAGCAAGGAAGTTAAATGTAAAATATTCAAATTACCAAAAGAAAATTCAATTGTGGGTATGAAAAGGATGTCTTGGGCAGATATCCACTCAGAGGGAGCATTTTTTGACAAATGCAAATACAATTGTTTGAAGAGATGATAAAAGATACTTTCATTGCAATTATGCTAAAGAAGGTGTCAGAAAGAAAACATGACCTGAAACCTGTTCAATAATTTTGCAGGTACTTTCACTTCTACATGTACATCAGTAAGGATAGACTTACAGGAATGATTGAAATCAATCTGGTTTGAGTTGAAAATGTAGTTTGGTTAGAATCAATTTTAAAAAAATCTTCCTTGTCCCGTATGGTTCAAATAATGAGGAAGCTAAAAAGCTTTAAGTTGTCCACAAAGGAAAGGTCAATAAGAAATATGAATCCCTGTTTGCAAGCAAAAGAAAATTCAACTGTGGCTGACTTACAAACTAAAGGAAATGTATTGACTAATGTGTTTGAAAAATATAGAGATCAGGCGTAATTTAACTTGGATATTCATGATGTAAGAGCTGTGGGAGGTACAAAGAGGAGCTGGTGCCATTCCTTCTGAAACTATTCCAAACAATAGAAAAAGAGGGACTTCTCCCTATCTCATTTTATGAGGCCAGCATCATCCTAATAGCAAAACCTGGCAGTGACACAACAAAAAATTTCAGGCCAATATCCCTGATGAACATCGATGCAAAAATCCTCAGTGAAATACTGGCAAGCCGAATCCAGCAGCACATCAAAAAGCTTATCCACCACAATCAAGTCGGCTTCATTCCTGGGATGCAAGGCTGGTTCAACATATGCAAATCAATAAACGTAATCTGTCACATAAACAGAACCAACGACAAAAACCACATGATTATCTCAATAGATGCAGAAGAGGCCTTCAATAAAATTCAACACCTCTTCATGCCAAAAACCTCAATCAACTAGGTATTGATGGAATGTATCTCAAAATAATAGCTATTTACGACAAACCCACAGCTAATATCATACTGGATGGGCAAAACCTGGAAGCATTCACTTTGAAAATCGGCACAAGACAAGAATGTCCTCTCTCACCACTCCTATTCAATATAGTGTTGGAAGATCTGGCCAGGGCAATCAGGCAAGAGAAAGAAATAAATGGTATTCAAATAGGAAGAGAGGAAGTCAAATTGTCTCTGTTTGCAGATGACATGATTGGATATTTAGAAAACCCCATCGTCTTAGCCCAAAATCTCCTTAAGCTGATAAGCAACTTCAGCAAAGTCTCAGGATACAAAAAGTATAATAATAAAAATAAGAGCTGTGGATAATTTCTTCATTTTGTTGCCCTTTAGACACCGGGCCTATTCTTAGTCTGGCTTCCCTTATGGTAAATGCTAGAATCTCTCAGGACCATAAATAAGCTCCCTTGTTCACTTGGGGAAGGAAGAAAGAATTTTTTGAACAGTCATAGATCAAATGTTCTGAACTTCACTCCCATCAGGCTATTGCCAGACACATGCCTGCCCTTGAATCATTGGCTTTTACCAGGGGATAGTCAGGATGCTGACTGGTTTGGACTAGGTTCTGCACTGATCATCAAACCAATAACTCTGGCAAGGGGAATAGAATTACTTCAATTGGCTCAGATTGATCAGAGTCCAGTAGAACAAAACCCTGTGCACTAATAGGTCTGCGTCACTCAAAAAGGCATTTTATTTTTCTAGTTCACAAAGAGGTACCTATGAATTAGCAGCAGCCATGACCTTGGAGTTTGGGAATCAATCTCATTGGTTTTTGTATTTCTTTTATTTTCACTTTCAGATCCAGAATTCACCCTGCTGTTTCTCCATGAGTCTGACCTGCATCAACTGCCTCCCTTATTCTGGGATTCCAGTTGTGGAGCTCAAGGACAAGTCCATTCTGGGCTGGCTGTATCCAACTTCTTTAGTCCAACTATATCCCCACTGGAAGCCAGGCTCTTTCCAACAGCTGTCACCCATGCCTCTTTCTATGTTTGTTATCTGTCTCTAGGTTCTGGTAACTACTTCCTTCCCTTGCCCCTTCTGGCCTAGGGTGCTACCAATCCCTCCTCCAAATCCAACTGTCACTAGCCTCAAAGTACTTGTAGCTTCCTCACCTTACTTTCACCTTAATAAATGGTCCCCCTACTATCTCTCTTCAAAGCACCCAATTTGAGTGTGCCATCTGTTTCTTGCCAGGATCCTGGTTGGTACATCAACCAAGCTGCACTGATGGAGGAGCACTGTGCTGAACTTTAGGAATGAAGCCACAGGGCCCTCACTGCCCCCATAGTCACCTTGGTCATCTTCTGCCTCCCTGAAAGACTAAATTCAGTCAGTTCAGATACATACACATCCAGACATGTCAGGGAAAACTCCATTTTGTAAGGATCTCTGCTTAAAATGCCAAAAGTTTGAAAGTTGGCAAACACTTGAGAAAAGCACAGTTCTCTGTCTTACTCTTACTCTAAACTTGGAGATAAATGCATTTTTAAAATTGTGCATGTTAGAGTGCTAACGTGTACAAGATCATTTCTGGTGAGACACCACAAACAATATTTTATGAGGCCAAAATAAGAAAGAAGGAAATGAAATAGCTCAGGAATCTCAGGAAGAGCTCATCGAACACTTTGCCTTTATCTCAGACCATTTTATCCACAGCCCTGTTAATCAGGATTGGATATACCTCCATGAGGGAGTCTTAAACGGAGGGAAAGAGATGCCACAACTAAAAAAAAGAATGCAATAGAAGTTTGTCTTAATGCCTGTTCTGTGATGCACAACTTTCGTAAGCCAAAATTTTAACCTTATGAACAATCAGTTCTGTGCTGCCCTTAGCAGAGAACCATAAATTAAAGATAAGCAATGGTTCAGACTTTCCAGGGCCTTGACTCAGGAGTAACTCTGAAATCCCAACCAAATATGTATTTGGTTAAGCAATTTGGCACATTTTTCTATTTTGAGGCATTAAACTATAATTACAAGTCACTTTTATTTCATTCCAAATAAATGTCCCTAAAGTAGATAGAACTAGAGGTTTCCTTTTTTTAAAAAAAGGAAACAGGAAAACAACAAACAAAACCAAAAAGAACAAAAGCAAAACAAAACTTAGTCAAGCTAACAAATTGCATGTATGGTGTGTTTTATAATTTAATCAATATAAAAAATTGAGTGTGCTAGTGCCTCAGGAGGACTCAGAGGACTCAAATACTCAATAGGTTATCTGGAGGAATTTCTCATTGGAGAAAAAAATTAAAGTTCTTTTGAACAACCCACATAATCAAGATAGTAATAATTTAACCTCAAGTTTTTCCTTGATTAAAAAATCCCTTTGCTATTCTGCTCCAGTGTTTGTAATAGATGGTTCAACAAGACTGGTGTTTTGTTAGTTGGAAAAGTAAGCTGATATGAGGGGTGGGGAGAGGAAGGGCAGAAATTTATTAACAATCAGCAAGTAAAGAAAAACAGCCTGCAAATTGTAATGAAAGGAAGAAAGGACAGGAAAGGAAAGGTAGGGCTGGTGGAGAGTGACTGTTCTGCCTGCTTACTGCACAGGCCAAGAACAAACTCACGATAAATACTCCAGGTCCTCAAGAAAAAGGTTTCTGTGCTGAATTATGGTAGTCTACCTGAAATTGGGATGATGAATTAGAAAACCTCTCTCATCGCTTCAAGTCTTGTGATTTATTCATTCAGTGCCATTTATTGTATAACTATATAATTTCTAAAGGGGGATAACTACAAGAAAAAGATGTGATTTCTTCTTTCAGAGATCCCCAAATATAGAAAGCTATTCATATACTGCTTAGATAAACAAAGATTATCTTCTTTTTCTACATTCTATATAATGTTCCTTAAACTCAAGCTCTCTTCTCCCCATCTCTACCTTACCCCTCTGGGTAGCAAGGAAAAATAAAAATAATGTCATTCAATGGTTTCTTTGCCTCCTCTGATTTAAACAGTCTATTTTGATTTCAGATTTCTCTTTGAGGTAAATATTCCGGGAATTCTAAATTTAAGTCCTTATTATAGCGACTTCTTCCTTTCAATTCTTACTTCTTTCCAACGTGGTGTCTGTCCTAGTGATCCTCTTGATGCTGGGAGGAGGAGGAGTCACCTGTTCTCCTGTGGTCTTTCACTGGTTTCCACAGTGGGTGGCTGGTCCAATCCTTGGGTGCAACTTGGTCAGCTCCAGTGTGCTTTGTGGGGTCATGTTTCTGAGCTGAAGTCAGCAGCAAGGGAACTCATGGTCTACTTCTTTGACACACATTCTTTTCAGTCTATATTTGTGGTTCATGGAACTCCTAGAGGCAAACATGGTGCCTGACCACAATGGCATTTGATTTTTTGTTTACTCTGGTATCAATCATAATTTTCTTGTAGCATTTGAAAGGAGAAATCATATATTTCTAAAAACCCTATACATCAAATAATATGTTTTCAGTAAATGTTGGTTTTTTACTGTGCCACCTATTTTTTATCATAATTAACTATTGAACGATGAACTATCTTACATATACTTTTTAAACAGAAAAAATCAATACGATGTTTTTTCACTTCAAACTTGCTAAGTCATGACACATAGGTTTCCTATTACACATGTGAAATGAACACTGCTTTAGTAACAGTATCAATACAAGCAGAAAGGTAAAACAAATCCTCTACTAATTCATGAAATTGAACAGTTATTTAAGCTATTGGTTTGTTACAACATGAGTTACTTGATTGATTTTAGCATTATGCTTCATATATGTGTTTATGTTTTAATTTTGTATTTATTCAGTATCAACGTAGAACAGTACAAAGAAATTATACTCACAAAAACAGTGCAAAGAAATTATCAGAAAACCCAACTATTTTTTCTCAGCTTGCTTATTGCCTTTTATCATATAATTGCATTAAATATTTATGAATGTATTTCCATAAAGATGCAGTAATAAGCTGTATACACTTTCGAGTCCTTTTTTCTTAGTATTAAACATTATTTTCCATGTTGCTAATTTTAATATGTATGATTTTAATAATATTTCATCAACTAGAGATTTCCCTATGAGCTAGGTCATTTCATAGTTTTTCAAGATTATACATAATACTGAAATAGCCATTTTTATAAACATGGTAGAGTTTATTCCCCTCTTGACTGATTTTTTTAGCACTTATATTCCTCAGAAGAGCTCACTGAGTAGTAGAGAATGAAAGTTGCATAGTTTTGACCTGTGTCCCTGGGCTGTCTCCAAAAAGACTGTGTGTTCAACAATGCTTTGCAGGCTCCTGTTTTCACATGGTGACCTCTGCTAGCAATAGTTCAAGTTTCATGGGCAATTTTTTCTCCTGGTGTGACTGAGTCTCCTCTTCTTGAGGTCTTCCATTTCAATTCTAAGATATAAAATATGATTTTTCTGCAACTAGTAGACTAATAGAATTTTCTTTCTTTACCTTTCTTTCTTTCATTTCACCTTAAGCAACTCTTGTTTTCTAACAGCAGAGCAGATTAATTTTTACAAAAAAAACCCATTTTAATTTAAAAAAAAATGGATGTAATAAGTAAAACTTACTGAACATTTACTATGTTCTGGGCATTTTATATGTATTAACTTATTGAATCTTAACAACTGTATATTATTCTCACTGTACACATGAGAATATAGAGATAAAACAGTCAAATAATTTGCCCTCTGTCCCACAGCTAGAGCGTGACAGAGCAGAGATCCCAACCCAAAAGTCTGATATTAGAGTCCCACACTAAATCATGGTGCTTTTCTGGAAATGACAGCAGAAATTGATGTCTGCTAAGTAGCAGTTACATGGAAGACGTGTCTTTTTTTCTTGGGAATTTAGATTTAGATTAGAAATTGGCCAGAAAATAAATAGTCCTCCTTTAATAAATCTCTCCTGTCGTCATCTCCCTATCATCCCCCAGTGCACATATATGAGGGCAGAATGGGAAGGAATATAATATAAAAGACAAACATCTTCATAAAATTTTCATTCAATGAAAGTCACCAAATAAAATTTGAATACAAGTTTTCTGTCAACAATTTGTGGGCCAAACTCTAATCATATTCTTCAGTGGAGCCTAAAATCAACATGGGATTGGTAAAATAATAATTTCTTATACAGCATCCTTTCCCTGAAGTCCACAAAGACGTTTTCAAATAGGAAAACCCAATAAAATTATAAATTATTTACTTAAACATTTTTTCTTTTAGTTTATTGCGGTAAAATGTTTAACATGAGATCTACTCTCAAGAAATTTTTAAGTGTAATTTACTTTTTGAAAATTTGTTCATTAATGACATGTTCTATTTCAGGTTGTTATTTAGAATCTTGTTGATCTAGTAGAGTTAAGCACATTGGCAGATTAATATCTAATTATGTTTTTAATATTAGATTTGAACAACTTTCTTTTGTATTTGTAAGTATTAAGTACTCTCGCCCGGGCGCAGTGGCTCACGCCTGTAATCCCAGCACTTTGGGAGGCTGAGGTGGGAGGACCACCTAAGGTCAGGAGTTCGAGATGAACCTGGCCAACACGGTGAAACCCCATCTCTACTAAAAATACAAAAATTAGCCAAGTGTGGTGGCGGGCACCTGTAATCCCAGCTACTTGGGAGGCTGAGGCACAAGAATCGCTTGAACCCAGGAGGCAGAGGTTGCAGTGAGCCAAGACCGCACCATTGCACTCCAGCCTGGGCAACAAGAGCAAACTTCGTCTCAAAAAAAAAAAAAAAAAAAAAAGTATTCTTATGCTACAAAGGTAGAAACAAAACACAAAGAAAATAAGACTTTAAAAAAATCAGTAGCTTAAAGAGAAAAATCATCCACTATAAAAATTACACTTGAATTTTTAGCTTTTAAAATGCATTTCTTATTTATGTTACTTTCAGCTCAATACTAGGAGGTGCCTTTAAACAGATATTTGTCTGTCTCATCTTGTAGACAAATGCACTGAGGCAAAATAAATCCAAGTCATGAGTGTTAAATGAATCCATCTTTTCTGTGCACTTTCAAGAACTTAATTCAGTTAGAAAGATAAACGAATGTCTCATCTATACTTCATAGCCTATACCTCAACCCAACTGATGATAAGATATATAAAAACATGTCTTAGGAAAATTTTAGGCCCAGCACAGATACTCTGTTAAATAGTTACTGTCTTGGGCTGTCTGAATGTGCAATTTGGCAGCTGTAGCCAATTTGCTGAAGAATCATATCTGTGCCACCTCTCCTTTTCTCATTCAGGTGGTAAAATGATAGCCTACTCCTATGAATCTACTCATTTAGTTTGCTAGTATCTAATTAACGAAGATGTGAACTGTTCTTTCTCTCACTTCAGAGATGAGCTGACTGGCTCATGGCTCCTGCATTCAGGTGAGTTCTCAATCGAGGTTGGCTGGCCTGACTGAGTCAGCACACATCTAGTGGAACTGACTTTCACTGGGGCCTCTTAAGAAGAATGAGTTGAGAAGATGGTAGGGGATCAGCAGAGGAAAATGCTTCTGGGGTTCTATTGGGTGGAGGAGCTATTGCCAAGCTGTGATTAATCAAACACACTTTTTTTTTTTTTTGGTTTCTTTGTTTTAAATTTTTGTTTCCTTTCCAATCTAGTTAGGCTAAATGTTTGTAGACTCAGCCCCAATACCCTTCACGAAGTTTCTACTGCAATATTCTGGCAAAATTAGACTTTCTTTTTGCTTAAGTTGAGCCAGTAAACTATTTAACCAACTATAATTTTTACCATAACTCTGTTGATTATGTTTGTTTGAGCTTGGCTCCTTGATCCACATAATAATGTAAGACTTTGGTCTTGAAGGCTGCAGTGGAGGTGACAGTGGGGTAGGCATTCTAGCTGAAGGGTTTTGAAAGAAAGACAACTGTCCGAAATGATACACACTAGATATAGATATTGACTAGAATAAACATCTAATTAAGATTATTCCAGTTCTTTTGGTCTTTGTTTTACTTAATATAGCTGAATACGCATATCTAAGTTTTCTGACACCAATTTCTTTGTTATTGTTTAATGGATTTAAAGAGCAAGACTTTTTTCTGTCTTATGCAGGTTCACATGAGACACCTTATTAAACCGTATTTCATTGTTCAACACATGTCCTCATTCATTTTTCATCAGTGAGAGATACTGCCTCCTTCTACTTATGGTTTCTGTTCTGTAGCATTAAGTCCTGTAGATTCTTAGTATTTAACTAAAGGTAATTTAAAATAAAATATTGTGAATAAATGTTAGTAATAATAGTAATTGTTGTGGTTGTTAGTGTTACCTTGGAGTTGTGTGAACTTTAGAAATAATTCAAGTGGCTGTCCAGTCTCAGATGTATTTTATTCCCCTTCATAAACTTTCTGTTCAGCAATGCAATGGATTAGTTCAGTGCCTTATGGAGATTTTGGTGGAGGAAATATGCAATTGCTGTGAAAGTCTGCTCAAGGGCTATCTCCTCTCTGAAGTCTCCCTGCTGTCCTCCAGGAGGCATTAGAACTTCTGTGTTCCAGTAGGACTCTGCTTATACACGTATCAAAACACTTGCTCAACATTATTGTAAGGATTTAATTTGGAGGTCTAACTCCTAGAGTATTGCACTTTGTCCAGTTTTCTATGGGTTTAATTCCTTTTTCCTCCTGCCCTAAGCAATACCCCTGCCATTTATTACCTGTGTAAAATATATATAGTGACTTCCTGCCTGCCTCAATGGATGAATGACCCTTCTCATTTATTGAGAGTTTCTTTTCTTTTTCTTTCTTCCTTTTCTTTTCTCTTTCTTCTCTCTTCTCTTTCTTCCTTTTTTCTTTCTGTCCTTCCTTCCTTCTTTCTTTTCTTTCTTTTTTTCTTTCTTCTTTCTCACTCTCTCTCTTCTTTTCTCTTTTCTTGTCTTTTCATTTTTCTTTATCTTCTTCAGCTCTGTTAGGCCTAAATGGAGAAAAAAGTTCATAACTATTTCTTATGTCCCATGTATATCACTCATAGTTCATGCTTTATGACAGTCAGTAGATGATTCTTCTTGAATTTCTAGGAAAGACATGTTGCCATTATTCTATTTTTAAATATCCATGAGTGGGAAACTTGAACTACTGAAAACCATGTTACTCACCCAATTTTCTCTCACCTGTGCTAAAAGACATTTGGGGGCAGAATATATGTGTTAACAGTAAAAATGTTAATATCATGATTAGCATATTTTATATTGGCAAGATAAGCCTTATGAATACTTACATGCAGTCAGATAGTTAAAAAAAGGAATTAAAATAAGTCAGACAAAGTTTTCTGACACTGTCCTTCCTGATGATTTGGTCTATTTCTCTCATTGCATGTGTTTTTTTAAACACTTAGCTCCCGCTTATAATGAATAGCCACCTCTTTTTGGCTAGACTTTTAATATATTACAGAACTAGACACATCAGAGTAGCTCCAACCCTCACTAAATGGAATTGAAAATACCAGAAGCCCAAGATAAGCAAGAGGATTACTAGATAGTAACCTAGCAACACAAGTCAAGCAACTGTACTCTAGTTACTTCTTATGTTTGTTAAACCTCCTGTGATGTTATACACTCTATGAATCATGTTGTGCATACTGAAGGCGTGCACCTGTATCGACAACATCACAAAGATTCTAAGAAGGAAATCAGAGGTATGCGGTTGCATCCTTATTGAAAAATCATGGGTATAATAATGGAATTGGAAACAATTCATAGAATTGCTTCTGCTGCACATTAGATGTGAATGGCCCATGAAGCTTGCCTGTTTAAAAGTGGTATTTCTTCCTGTATTTCCTCTATATACCCACTGAAAATTTAGCTGTATTTTATTATGAGAAACTTTTTAAAAACAATATTGAGTTAAGTGCTGGGGACTCAGACGGACATAAAATCATTTTCAGGTTTGCCAAATTATATAAAATGACCTTGTTGGAAATATACCCAACCATTTTCTACTTACAAGAGCATTACTTGAAGAGAAGCAAATGTGAATTTGTGAAGTGCTTTCACCTCTTCATTCATTCCTTCAACAAATACTTTTAAAGCACCTACTATGTGCCAGGAATTATGGGGTACTATAGAAACACAGAAGAAAGCAAGAAAAATTGCTGACCCAGCTCTCATGGGATGAAAATCTAGGGGAGGAAACAGACAGAAACTAAACCAATAATAAAATGGAAAATATGGTGAGTAGAAAAGTCTAGACAACTATGAGAAAAGAGGAGGTGGTGTTAGGAGAGTCTTCTCAGAAGTAATGGTTGAGCTAAAGGACAAGTTAATACATGGTAGATTAAGGGAAGGATGAGTCTAATGGAAGAAATGATTGTGCAAAGGCACCAAGGAGGTAGAGCACTTTTGAATTATTTAACCCATAATATAGAAGGCATGGGAATGCTGGAAGAGAAAAGAGAAGGCAGGAATTTGGACGGAGAGGTTGGCAAAGCCCACTCTATTCAAAGATTTCCTCATAATCCAGAAAAGTAGAATGTAGGAAACTCTTGCACAAAAATAGAAAATTTATATAAATCCATCCAGTATAAATATCTACATGCAGAGTTATACATACTGATGCACATAAAACAACAATAATAATATCCATCTCACCTGTATCCCTCTTGTTATCTATCTGGGAATTCTGGAGAGCTAAGGAAGTCCCTATGCAAAGCAAGAATTTGGGTTGGCCAAAAGGGTGATATTACTCTACACATTTGCAAACATGGTCTACTCACCAGCATCTTTACACAAGTTCACCCAGTCAATAACTATTTATTGTATTTTGTCTGTGTATCAGATATAGAATGAAAGAGCCCTGGGCAGAAGACAGGGAAGAAGGATTGAAACTGAGGGGCAGAGAGGTGGAAACTGACCCTGATACTGATCATCTATCATCTGCCAATCATTTCACATACATTAGTTTATTTCATATTTCCAGAAATTTCTTGAGGTATTATTAGGTGAATTTTAAAGATGAGAAAGTGGACATTCATCAAGGTTAAAGGACTTGTCCATGTAAATTGTGCAGCCAGGAATCTGATCCAGTTCTGAGTGACTCCAAACCCATTTCCCTTTCCATTTATTGAAATTTAAATTTAAATGTTTTTAATCAACAAATAAAAATTGTATATATTTATGGTATACAGCATGATATTTATATATATATATATACACACACACACACGTTGTGGAATGACTAAGTCAAGCTAATTAACATATTTATTATTGCACATACTTATCATTTTTTGTGATGGGAACACTTAAAATCTATTCCCTTAGCGATTTTCAAGTGTACAATGCATTATTATTAACTATAACCCTCATGATGTACAATAAATCTTCTGAATTTATTCCTTCTACTTAACTAAAATCTTATATCCTCAGACAACATCTCCCCATGCCAACCCCACCTGTCCACCCTACTTCAACTTGCTGCTGGTAACCACTGTTCCACTCTTTGCTTCTGTGAGTTTGACTTTCCTAGATTGCACATATAAATGAAATTGTGCAGTTATATGCCTTTCTGTGCTTCTTATTTCACTCAGCGTCATGTCCTTCAGGTTCTTCCATGTTGTGGCACATGACAGGACTTCCCTCTTTTTAACAGCTGAATAGTATTTCATTGTGTGTACACACCACATATCCATTCATCTGTTGATGGGCACTCAGGTTGGTTTCATATTTTGGGTGTTGTGAATAGTGCTGCAATGAACATGTGAGTGCAGATATCCCTTATGCAAACTGATCTGATTTCCTCCCTTCCCATGATGACACTGTGGTCCTGCTGTTGAATTTTCTCCACCCTTCTTAATTAGGCATTAGGACAACAATCATGGGTGCCTCTTGAGAACATGTTCTCAGGCCAACAATTTAACCTTGTCAGAGTCTGGAGCAATTGGAGAAGTGGGGAGAAATCATAGGGGTCTTCTCTGGGAGCACAAACAAACAAATGTACCAGTGTAAGAAGTCAGCAGGGTGGAACAGGAAGAGAAAGAGAGGGAAGGCTGGACTTCTAAAAGTTTTATGAGCCAGACAATGCCCTATAAATTAAATATAATAGTCAGATAAGTGTAACTGAACAGATAAATGGGCCCTCGCTGCTTCCACATTATGTGCTACATACCCCAAGTCCCTCAAGGAAAGATCCTGATAAATAACTTGAGGTCACAAAGAAGAGAAGAGAAAGAAGGTAAGGATCCACTGAAACACAGTGAGTGCAAGGTGAAGGTAAAACTGAGACATCAACTCATCAGTCAACAAATGTTGATAAACAAAGGTGAGAAGACCGTGGATTAAAGAGAGGGCAATAGACTGGATAAAGAAAATGTGGCACATATATACCATGGAATACTATGCAGTCATAAAAAAGGATGAGTTCATGTCCTTTGCAGGGACATGGATGAAGCTGGAAACCATCATTCTCAGCGAACTATCACAAGAACAGAAAACCAAACACCGCATGTTCTCACTGATAAGTGGGAGTTGAACAATGAGAACACATGGACACAGGGCAGGGACCATCACACACAGGGGTCTGTTGGGGGCTGGGGGGCTATGGGAGGGATAACATTAGGAGAAATACCTAATGCAGGTGACGGGTTGATGGGTGCAGCAAACCACCATGGCACGTGTATGCCTATGTAACAAAACCGTACGTTCTGCACATGTACCCCAGAACTTAAAGTATAATAAAAAAAAGAAAAAAAAATGAGTGATACAAATTTTGAAAAAAAAAGGCAGAATTCCTCCTCCCTCATTCTTCTTCCTTTAGATGCTTTCAGCACAAAACTGAAGTGTAGAACAGGAATAAAGACATTGAAATCTTGGAGGACTGGAATTCCTGGAAGTGTCTCTGAGCTGGGGTTAAAATGCAGAAGATGTTCAGTCTCTTTGGCATGGAAAACTCCAAACCTAAAGGGCTGATAGAAAGGATGTTGCAGTCACATGAATGCCTCTGGGAACAGCTGGTAAACATCTATATGTTTAGAAATATTTTTCTGTCTGACTTGGATAAAAATAATCAGTCGTTGGCAGAAAACATTTCAATTTCTTTCTGATTTTGTGCAATAATAGCTTGGAAAGGCCCACACACTTCCATGATATCTACAGTTTGTAGAAGTCTTTCTTCCACTTCTCTGATAAAGGGAAATAGCCATGGTGACGCATGTTGTTTATCTAGTTTCCATAAAAAGACTACTACATGATAGTTGGTAAGGCCTACAGAACTCGGTAAACAGACACAACGGGCCTTGCACTGCTCCCTGCCTTCACTTCCCGATGGTGCTGTGAATGGCTCCAGGCCACCGAGCACAAGAGTCACAGCTCTCAGTTCCACCCAGGATGTTTCTACTGTCTCTTTAGCCAATGAACTAGGAGGGATTTTTGTTTTCAGTGTGACATTTGCATGCTTGTTGTCATTTTCATTCCTTGATTCTGAATCATCTGTATGAATTCTCTTCTCTCCTTGAAGAAAAATGTGTGGGGCTGATTTCCTCTGTGATGTGTGATGTCAGAGAGGACTAAACTTAACCAGGCACAATTATCCATTTTGGGCACAGCTGTTGGCCAAACCCTCAGGAATCAGATGGCCAAAATTGTTTCAGGATGCCAATGTTGCCTCTGAGGATAGCAAGCCTTACTTAGCATTTTAAAATTTCCTTGAAGCAGAAAAGAACAATTTGTTCTCCCAGGTAAGAAAGTCCATCTGCAAAGTTACAAGTCTTAAATTAGTGAGTTTTCAAACGTAGTTTGGAGAACTCTAGATATTTCTAGAAGGAAGCTGTACAAGAACATCTTGAAAAACTACCCCTCCGCTACTACCTTAATGCCCCAGTAGGATTTTAAGTTTTATGGGAATAAAACATAAGATAAAAAAGATTTTCAAAGCTGCCTGAAAATCTCCAGAGCTTGAGAACATCACTTCTTCTGTTTCTTTCTTACATAATTCTTCAGTTATCTCTTGTTCAAGGTTCAAATTCATAGATTAAGTGGACTTATGGTGTTGTTAAAGGGAGAGTAATTATTATCCAAGAAATCTATGGAATGTCAGAGGCATGCAGGTAAAAATACAGCATTGAACCTGGTTCTTTGATTCATAGTCCAAATTCAATGATTATAATTGCAAAAAGAAGGCTGTAATATACCTGGAGAAAAATAGAAAGGCTGTTGGTGATACTCATCTTCAAAAAGGAAATGTGATTTAACACATTATAAATTCATCTATTCCACACAACAAGCTGAAACACACGAAAACCTTTTATCCACAAAAATGTTTAATGGATTGTTAGTTATGATACAAAACAATTGAAAACTCTAAAGTTCATCAATAATGAAATAGTTCAATAAGTTGTAGCACTTTTATATGTTGGAACATTATTCAGCAGTTTATGATGATATTCTCATAGTATTTGTAATCACATGGGGAAAATGCTACTATTATGTTTTGTGAATAAAAGTAGGATATATATATGTGTCTGTGTGTGTGTGTGTGTATATATATATATATATACACACACACACTTTTAGTATATATACACACACACACACACACACACATATATATATATCCTACTTTTATCCTATATATATAAGTAGAATTTCACCCAGGTACCTACATCTGTACATTACGAAAAGTAGTGAATATAAAATCCAACAAATCTTAGTTGTATCTTTTATTATCCAATTCTTTGGGATTTCCCATAAGGCAGATATACTATAAAAATGACTTTATATTAAAAAACAGGATATATTTTAAAGGTATTAAACAGCACTTTGTCAAGTCCTTTGCTCTTTCCTCTGTTTCACTTAGTCATTCATCAAGTTCTAAAGTAAAACTGCTTTATTAATAAACAGAAATTCTATTAAATGTTTGAGTTTTCAATCAGGCAGCATTTCCTTTTCTGATGACTTTAATTTCTATGCATACATACTCTTAGCATTTCTATTTGTAGAGTCCTGTATTCCTTAACATCTGTGAAATATTCCTCTTCAAGCATTTGGCAAATCTAAAGGTTTTCTTAGGTTTTCAATTGAGGAGATAAAGATTAAACCTTTAGCTAGAGTAACTAGCTGTCTCTAGCAAGTGCATTACTGGGTTCAAATGACTTCCTTAGACTGCAGATTTCTCCCTGGGCTGAGTGAATTTTGATGTTCCCTGGGCTGTTCCCTGGGTGGCTGGCTCCTACCCACTCTGGGTCAAGAAGAGCGGCCCTAATCAAATCAACATCAACTCTCCCTGGGAAGTGATTTTATGGTTTCCAAAGGTCGCATAAATTAGGAGGTTGGCTGAGGCTTTTATGTGGAAAATGGTGATATAATTTGAAAGGTCATATTTTCTCTAACCAGTCGCCTCACATAAAATGTGCTTTTATAAGCTCTATTATAAAGACCTTGTGATCCAGCAGCATTAGAACCAGGCCCGGGAATTAAAGAACCAGGACTTTCAATCTGCCATTGTGTTGCTGGGTGGGTCGGAGCAAATCTAACCATGAGCATCTCAATTGCCTTTTCTAAAAAAAATTGACCTATTATGTTGTAACTGATAACCAATGAAATTTTTTCAAGGGCCTGCAAAACATAGTCTTATATGAATGCTTTTTAATGAGAATAATCTATACCACATATTTGACTTAAACCATCTTCTGAAATACTTTTATAATGCTATAGATAGGACCTATTTCATGAAGAGCCATTGCTTTGCCTCAAAAATCTTTTCTATAATTTGAGTGCCCAGGAAGGGTCACAGTACTTTAGAATTTTAATTTGGTGTCTTAATCAAATGGTGGCTCACTCCTATGGTCCTAGCTACTCAAGAGGCTAAGATAGGAGGATTGCTTGAGCCTGGGAGGTTGACACTGAAGGGAGCTATGATGGTGTTACTGCCCTTCAGCCTGGGTGACAAAGCGAGACACTGTCTCAAAAAAAACAAAAAACAAAAAACAAAAAATCCCCCTAATTTTCATAGGTAAGTTACGATGCTGGAGCCATTTGTGCACTTAGAAAAGATGGTGTGCTGTTTCAGCCTTTGAATTAAATGCAAACAAAAATAAACCATCCTTAAAATGTACTAGACTTTCCCAGTCAAATGGGGGACATTTAGAATACATGTTGTACCAGACTTAATGTGCAGTATCCAAGGTTTTTATCATTCAACGTGCAATATTCCCGTACAACATTAGCTTGGCAAATAATCAGAGCAGCTGGTTAATCGTTAGCCAGTATGCAGCCTTTGACTATATACCTGTGTTGAAAAACAAATACATTTATGAAAGAAAGGAAAGGAATGTTGAAAGAGAAAAACGTTTTGCAAAATATCCTGTCAAACCATTTTTCTACAGCATCTTGGTACCTCTACACTCAATGTCACTATTCAAAATCATTTTCAATGTGAAGGCTTGCTCCTAGAAAGCAACTTCTTGCATTCGTCTAATCAGTGGATGAGCTGGAACTGTTTATTGCCACAAGATTAATACACTCTTCCAAAAAAAGAGGTCTTTAGAATATTTCTTAAAATTTTTGTTCTTACAACAAAAAATGTAACGCCAATAGAGGAAAATATATGTCTATATATGTAGGATATGAGCTTGACTTAAAATATGTATATATCCATAAGAAAAAGATTGGAATGGAATATTCAAAATGTTAGTGGTGCCTGTCTCCAGAACATAGAGTTATCGATGGTGTTAATTTTCATTTTAAACCTCTCCATGGGTTTTTAAAAATTGAGCTATAATTCACATATCATAAAATTCACATTTCTTAAAGTGTAAAATTCAGTGGTTTTTAGTATACCCACAAGGGTATCCAACCATCACCTCTGTCTAATGCCAAAACACTTTCATCACACCAAAAAGAAACTCAGTACCATTTAGCAGTCATTCCCTATTTCTCCTTGCCCCCAAGCCCCTGGAAACTACTGAGTTACATTCTGTCTCTATGAGATTTCCCGGTCTAGATATTTTCTATAAATGGACACAACTTGTAGTCTTTTAGGTCTGTTATCTTTCACTTAGCATAGTGTTTCCAAGGTTTTTGTATGTTGTATCATGTATGAGTACTTGATTACTGTTTATGGCTGAATAATGTTCCATTTGGATATAACGTATTTTGTTTATCCACTCATCAGTTGATGAATATTTGGGTTGTTTTCACTTAATGACTATTATGAGTAATGCTGCTATGAACATGCATGCATAAGTTTTTGTATGGACATAAGCTTTCAATTCTCTTGGGTACATGTTTAGGAGTAGAATTGCTGAATCTTATTATTAAACTCTATGTTTAGTTTTGAGGACCTGCCAAATTGTTTTCCACAGTGGCTATGCTGTTTTTACATTCCCACCAGCAATATATGATGGTTCTAATTTTTTCACATCTTCCACTGTGCTTACATTTGTTCATTTTTCTTGATTCTAGACATCCTAGTGGGTGTGAAGTTGTATGACATTGTGGTTTGATTTGCATTTCTCCTAGAGATAATGATATTAGGCATTTTTTCATGTGCTTATTGGCCATCTGTATATCTTATGTGGAGAAATGTCTATTCAGATCCTTTGCCCATTTTAAAACTGGATTATTTATCATCTTGTTATTGAGTTATAAGGGTTCTGTATATATTCTAAATAAAAGTACCTATTAGCTCTATGATTTGCAAGTGTTTTCACTTTCTCAAAGGTGTCCTTTGAAGCTCACAAGTTTTTGTTTTGAAAAATGCGATTTACCTATTTTATTATTATTATTCCTTGTGCTTTTGGAGTAATAACTAGAAATCATTGTCTAATCTCAGGTCATAAAGACCTGTCCCTATGGTTCATTTGAAGATTTTACAGTCTCCTCACTTACATATAGTTTTGAATAGATTTTTATATGGTGTGAAGTAGGAATCCGAATTCGTTATTTTTACACGTGAATATCTAATTATCTCAGCACAATTTGTTGAAAAAAATATTCTTTTCTAAATCAATTGTCTTGGCACCCTTGTTAAAAAATTAGCAGTATATGGGCCGGGCTTGGTGGCTCATGCCTGTAATCCCAGCACTTTGGGAGGCCAAGGTGGGCAGATCACCTGAGGTCAGGAGTTTGAGACCAGCCTGACCAACGTTGTGAAACCCTTTCTCTACTAAAAATACAAAATCAGCTGGGCGTGGTGGCACTTGCCTGTAATCCCAGCTACTCAGGAGGCTGAGGCAGAAGAATCTCCTGAACCCAGGAGGTGGAGGTTGCAGTGTGCTGAGATCACGCCATTGCACTTCAGCCTAGGCAACAAGAGTGAAACTCCGTCTCAGGAAAAAAAAAAAAAAAAAAGCTGTAAATGTAGCAGGATTCTTTCTTCTTTTTCTTTTTCTTTCTCTCTTTTTCTTTTTTTTTTTTTAATTCTCAATTATATTCCATTGACGTATATGTCTATCCTGGACCATTACCACACAGTCTCAACTGGAAATAGAAATAGAGAATTATCCAAATTTTTTCTTCTTTTTCAAGGTTGTTTTGGCTTTTTGGGCCCCTTAAATTTCTGAGTTTTAGGATCAGTTTGTTAATTTCTCTAAAAAAGGAAGCTGGAATTGTGAGACTGATTACATTAAATCTGTAGATCCATTTGGAGAATATTGCCATTTTTACCATATTAAATCTTCCAAATTATGAACATGGGATGCCTTTCCATCTATTTATGTCTTTTTAAATTTCCTTCAAGTTTTTTTTTTATTTTTCAATGTAGAATACAAAACTTTTTTGTTAAATGTATTACTAAGTATTTTATTATTTTTGATACTATTACAGATGCGATAGCTTTCTTAATTTTTTTCAGATTATTCATTGGTAGTATGTGGAAAAACAGTTAATTTTTGTATGCTGATCTTATATCCTGCAACCTTGCCGAACTAATTTATTAGTTCTAATAGTTTTTTGTGGATTTTTATTATTATTATTATACTTTAAGTTTTAGGGTACATGTGGATTTTTTAAAAAGAATTTTCTATATGCAAGATTATGTCATCTGGAAATAGAGATAGTTTTACTTGTTTCTTTCCAGTCTGTATTCCTTTCATTACTTCTTCTTGCCTAGTTGCTCTGGCTAGAATATTAAATTCAATGTTGAATAGACATTATGAGAGGGGATATACCTGTCCCATTTCTGATCTTAAGGAGAAAGCTTTCAGTCTTTTACCATTAAGAATAATGTTAATAGTGGATTTTTACAGATGCCCTTTATCAAGTTAAAGGAACCCGGGAGACAGAGCTTGCAGTGAGCCGAGATCATGCCACTGCACTTCAGCCTGAGCAACAGAGCAAGAATCCATCTCACAAAAAAAAATAAATAAATAAATAAAAATAAAATAAAATAAAAGATTCTTAGATTATTGTGTGTTTTATCATAAAAATACTGTTTTATCATAATAAATCTGTTTTATCATAATAAATACTGTTAGGTGTTTGTCAAATGTCTTTTCTGTGCCCATTGAGATCATCATGTGGAATTTGTCCTTTATTATATTACTATGGTTATATAATATATTACTATGTCAAGAACTGAACTTAAGATTGCTGAGCTGCCAGGGTCTAGGTGGCCAATTAAAATAATAAGCCAAAGCTAAAGTAACAGTCAAACCTTTAATCACTTAGTGGTGATAATATAAGCAAGAGGCTAAATAGGAAAAAGTGCTGGCTCTCTCAATGTTCCATTTTCTCCCATGGAATGGTGTTGGGAGGAGTCAGATGTATCATTGCAGACATGGAGATTATCTCACTGCCAAGGGATTCCTCCCAAGAAGGTTCCTGCTGTTTCCTGACCCAAGGGATGGAAGGGGAAGAGACAGAAAAGCTAGGAGTGGGAAAGTACTTAATATTAAGTCAGAGTGAAGAAAAGTGTCTTCAAGGTCCCCCAGGTATGGTGGGCTTAGTAGATGCACCTGAAAAGGCCTTGGCCCAGGGCCTCCTGCTAACGATGCCTTCGAAGGGAGGATCCTGAGCTAGGAATGCAAGTGACTGCAACTTTCGTTGGAGCCTGCAGTGCACTAGCTGTACGCCATGTCTTGTGTAGAGAAGGTAGCTTTCCCCCAAGAGGCCTGCCAGGTAAAGCTTTTGAAATTGGTCCTGTGGTCAGACCTGAAAAATGGCACATAATATTTTGGGAGTCAGACTACTCATGTATTACATGGATTTTTGTATGCTGAACCAATATTTCATTACTGAAATAAATCTAATTTAATGGTCTCATGATGTATAATTCTTGATATATGTTGCTAGATTTAGTTTGCTAGTTTTGTATTGTTTTTGAGGATTTTTGTGTCCATATTCATAAGGGATATTGGTTTGCACTTTTTTTTTAGATATACTATTGTCTAGTTTTGGTATCAGAATTATCCTAACCTCATAAAATGAGTTCTGAAATGTTTTCTATTTTTTATATAAGTTTGTGAAGTTTTGATGTTAATTCTTTAAACATTTGGTTGATTGACCAGTGAAGCCAATTGGTCCTGGAATTTTCTTTATGGGAAATTTTTTGATTGCTAATTCAATCTCTTTTCTTGCTATATGTCTATTTAGTTATTTTATTTCTTCTTGAGTCAGTTTTGGTAGTTTTTGCCTTTCTAAGAAAGTGTTCATTTTGTTTAGATTATTTAATATGTTACCATATATTTGTTCATAGTAGTATTTCTTTTGGGGCCCAACTAGCAACAAATTCTCTGGTTCTACATATGGGGAATGTCTTAATTTCTCTTTCCTCTTTAAGAAATAGTTTTGCTTAGTTGACAGTTTTTTTTTCTTTTGTCACTCTGAATACGTGATTGACACCATGGTTTCTAATAAAAAATTAACTGTTAATTTAGAGGATCCCTTTTATGTATATGATGAGCTGCTTTTCTCTTGTGGCTTTCAAGATTTTCTCTTTGTCTTTTTCAACAGTTTTATTATGAGTTTTGGTGTGAATCTTCTTGTTTGTCTACTTGGATACATTCAGCTTCTTGGATGTGTAGATTAATGTTTTTTAAACAAATTTTGGAAAATTTTAGTCATTATTTACTCAAATATTCCTTTTTTCCCTTCTGCTTTCTTTTTATCTTGAAACTTATTACGCTTATGTTGGACTTGGTATCTTGCAATTTTCTAAGGCTCTGGTTTCCTTTTTTTTTTCCATTCTTTTTTCTTTCTTCTCTTCAGACTGGATATATTTGATTGATCTGTTTTCAAGTTCACTGATTCTCTTTTGCCAGTTCAAATCTGCTGTTGAATGTCTCTACTAAATTTTTCATTTCAGTTATTATACTTTTCAACATCAGACTTTCTGTTTGACCCTTTTTTATAATTTATATCTCTTTATTGATAGTCTCTGTTTGGTGAGATGTTGTTTTTACACTTCAGTTCTTCAGATACTATTTACTTGAGTTCTTTGAACATATTTAAAATAGCTGATTTAAAGTCTCTGCCTAGTAAATTCAACATTTAGGGCTTCCTCAAAGACAGTTTTCAGTGATCTTTCATCCTTGCATGTGGGCCATATGTTCTTGTTTCTTTGTATGTCTCACAATTTTTTGTTAAAAGCTGGACGTTTGAAAAATATATTTCAACTGTAGAAAGAAGAACCTCCCCTTTCTCTGAAAGGGAAAATCATGGTAATTTAAATCTCTGTGTGTATGCTTACTTGGATATTAGCATGATTCTTTTGGAAAGCTGCAAAAGAAAGTAGAGAAGTGAAGTCTTCTATTGATCATATATGGCCTTCACAAACCCCTTTTTAGTTTGTATTGCATTCTTGAAAACTTGTTGGCATGTTAGACAACTTTACAGGCAGACAGAAAAGCAAGAATAAATCAAATGCAAATTTAGTAGAAGGAAAGAAACAATGAGTATTAGAGCAGAAATGAATGAAATTGAGACTAAAATAATACAGAAGATCAACAAAATGAAAAGTTGACTTTTTGAAAAGATAAACAAAATTGACAATCTTTCAGTTAGACTAAGAAAATGAGAAAAAACTCAAATATATAAAATCAGAAACAAAAAAGGAGACACAACAATAAAGACCACAGAAATACAAAGAATCATTAGAGACTATGATGAACAACTATATGTGAACAAATTGGAAAACCTAGAAGAAGTGGATAAATTCCTGGATACATATAACCTTCCAAGATTGAACCATGAAACTAGAAAACCTCAACAAACTAATAATGAGTAATGAGATTGAAGCTTCACCAAACATTTAAAGAAAAACTAACACAAGTTCTACTCAAAGTCTTCCAAAAAATTGAAGAGGAGGGAATACTTCCAAACTTATTCTAAGACCAGCATTCCCCTGTTACCAAAATCACACAAGCACACAACGACAAAAAAACTACAAGACAATGTCACTGATCAATATATATGCAAAAAACCTCAACAAAATACTAGCAATTTGAATGCTACAATAAATTAAAGAGATCATTTATCATGATCAAGTGAGATTTATCCCAGGGATGCAAGAGTGGTTTAACATATGCAAATCAGTGAAAATAATACATCACATTAACAGAACCAAGAACAAAAATTTTATGATCATTCCAATAGATGCTGAAAAGCACTTAATAAAATTCAACATTCCTTTATGATACAAACCTTCAACAAATGGGGTATAGAAGGAACATACCTCAAAATAATAAAGACCATATTTTACAAACCCATAGCTAACATCATACTGAATGGGGGAAACATTGAAAGTTTTTCTTCTAAGATCTGGAACAAAACAAGGATGCCTGCTTACACCACTTTTATTCAATATAATATAGAATTCCTGGTCAGGGTAATTAGGTAAGAGAAATAAATAAAGTTCAAATCAGAAAGGAACAAGTCAAATTAGCCTTGTTTCCAGGTGACACGGTCTCACACTTAGAAAAGCCTAAAAACTCCACCAAAAAACTGTTAGAACTGGTAAACAAATTCAGTAAAGTTGCAGGCACAAAATCGATGTACAAAAATCTATAGCATTTATATATGTCAACTATCTGAATAATCTGAAAAAGAAATCAAGAAAGCAATCTCATTTATAGTAGTTACAAATAATATAAAATACTTTGAAATCCATCTAACCAAAGTGAAAATTCTATCCAAGCAAGGCAATAAAACACTGATGAAAGAAACTGAAGAGGACACCAAAAAAAATGGAAATATATTCCATGCTCATGGATAGAAAGAATTAATATTGTTAAAATGACAATTGTACCCAAAATAATGTACAGATTCAATGCAATCCCTATCAATATATGAATGGCATTTTTCACAAAACTAAAAAGAAGTTCTAAAATTTATATGGAACTACACAAACCCTAAATAGCCAAAGCTGGAGGCATCACACTACCTAACTTCAAAATATACTACAAACCTATAATAACCAAACCAGAATGGTACTGGAATAAAAGCAGACACATAGAATAGAGAACCCAGATATAAATCCACACATTTAAAGCCAAACTCATTTTTGACAAAGGTACCAAGAACATACAATAGAAAAAGGACAGTCTCTGGGAAATGGTGCTGGGAAAACAAGATAACAATATGCAGAATAATGAAATTAGAATTCTGTCTCTCACCATATACAAAAGTCAACTCAAAATGGATTAAAGACTTAAATCTAAGACCTGAAACTATAAAACTACTGGAAGAAAACATTGGGGAAATGGTCCAGAACTTGATGTGGGCACATATTTTTCTTGTGTAAGACTTGTGTAAAAGGACAGACCACCAAAGCAAAAATGAATAAATGGGACCACATTAAGCTAAAAATCTTCTGCACAGCAAAGGAAACCATCAGCAAAGTAAAGAGACAACATAAAGAATGGCAGAAAATATTCACAAACTCTATCTGACAATAAGTTAATAACTGAAATATATAAGGAACTCCAGCAACTCCATAACAAAAAAAAAATAAACAATTCAATTAAAAACCGGGCAAAAGATCTGAACACATATTTCTCAAAATAAGACATACAAATGATGTGTATATGAAAAATAGTTTGACATCACTAATCATCAGAGAAATGCAAATCAAAACCATAGTGAGATATCTCACTCCAGTTAAAATGAGTTATCAAAAAAACATAGAATAATGGAAGCCGGTGAGGGTATGGAGAAAGGGGAATTCTTGTACACTGTTGGTGGGCATGTAAATTAGGAGAACTACTATGGAAAGCTATATGGAGGTTTCTCAAAATACTAAAAATGGAAGTACCATGTGGTCCAGCAATTCCACCACTGGGTGTATATCCAAAAGAAATCAATATGCTGTAGAGATATCTGCACTCTCACATTTATTGCAAGACTATTTACAGTAGACAAAATATGGAATCAGACTAAGTGCCTATCAATGAATGAATGGATAAAGAAAATGTAACATATATACACGGTAGAATATTATTCATCCATAAAAAAGAATAAACTCCTGTCGTTGTAGCAACATGGAAGGAACTGGAGGACATTGCATTAAATGAAGTAAGCCAGAAAGACATATATCACATATTCTCACTCATATGTGGGAACTAAATAGAATGGATCTCATGAAGATAGGGAGTAGATTTGTGGTTACCAGAGGCCAGGAAAGGTGGAGGGGACTGGGGAAAATAAAATATACATAAATATAAAAAAAGTAATAAAGTTCAGACAAATAATAGTTATATAACTATGTACAATAATAAATATATATAATAATAAAGTTCAAACAAAGATGTGCTATTTAAATCAATTCTATACTGAATCCTGTTGCAAAGTGATAAATCATACCTATAATGATTTTACATAAAATAAAAAATTTCATATAGTAGTTCTGTTGAAATAGAATGACATCTTCACCTCTTTCTGAAAGCAAGTTTAAAAGGTCAAGTGTGATTTTGGGTAAAGTATTACATAGGTTTTATTCACAGGACTGCTGTAAAACATTGTTTACTTTTCCAAGCAAACTTAAACCAGATTTGAAATGGTTCCAGAGAAGTAGGCTGCCTGTTGTCTATCACCTTCATTTCCATGGGAGTTGCAAAGTACTCACCTAAGTCCATTTTCCAGGGCAGTATTTACAGGGATCAGAAGCAATTCTAATTCTAGTGACGCAGACACCTTATAACCTCCACGTGGAGACCTCAGATCCAGACACTTGCTTGTCCTCGAGTTGAGTTCTCCCTCTCTCATAGGCATTGCTGCTTAATCTCCCTCTCTCATAGGCATTTATCAGTGGGTAGAGAATATATGAGATAGGCAGCACGTGAAACTTTGTCCATGACTGCACTTTTTGGAATGGCCAGGCATTTACTGCATGATTCTTCAATGCCAACTACTTTTCATGTATTATTCCTTTTAATCCCACAAGCCTATAAGATAGGAACTACTATTATCCTCATCTGTCAAATGAGGAAAATTAGGCTTGGAGAAGTTAAATAATATGTCCAAGGTCACTTGGGAATTGGTGAAAACAGAAGCCAAACCAATATTCCTCCTACTGTGATATTCTGCTGTTAAAAATTTAGCATCCTCCAGGGTAGAGAGGCACAAGCCAAAAAGAGGCTTGACTATGATCTGGATTTTGGAGATGAGGGAATTGTGACAGAACTGATTACAGCTGTATAGTGCTTCTGTGTTACAGTAATGGCTCCACATTTCTTTTTGGACATTAGGTACCATGTGGTACTTCCTGGCTGGCATATTTAATTGTTGGTAGAAGACCTCCAGCAACACTGTTTTCTCTGGTGAAGTGATCAGCCATCTTGAAAATACATGCTGAAATGGAAGTAAAACAAGATCAAAAAGCCTATCCTGGACAATCACCTGGACTAGCAGTATACACTATGGGAGGCAGAAATAAGATTTTATTAAGTTAAAATTGTGATTTTGGGGGTCGTTTAATATTACAGCACTGTCATTCTTATCCAGGCTAATATGAGGAAGGTAACTGCTCCTTTTGTATAGTATTCATTATTTTGCAACATAAAGTCTACAGAGCAAGCTTGTGATAACCTACAGAAGAATGTGAGAATTAGGGCCCACACCCACTGAGTTTTAATGAAAACACAGTTTTCATCTCCATTTTGACACTTAGGTATGTGCAAATGTGCCTAGAATAGAACTGGGATTTCCCCTTTTCTAGATCAATAAAACCCTAATTAGTTGACTTTTCTGGTCTACTTCAAAACATTGTTTTTGTGTCATATCATTTGTTTATTCTTGATCTTCATTTGCTTTTCCTTTGCCCAAATACTGTGGCAGAGGAAGCTTGCCATATGTTTTATGAATTAACCAATAAACTCATTTATCAGAATTATTATTTGTTCATTATAGACAATCCTCATGAACCCATTAGGGCAAGACCAAGGGAAAAGTAAGCACAAATCTCAATTACTCTGCCTTGGCCCAAATGCCTTCTGTGTTCAGATAGTTTAGTGTCAACAGGTTATGGGGTGTGTGTGTGTGTGAGTGTTTTCTTTTTAATCAGTTCCTTTCTTTGAAATAGCCGACTTTGCTTTCACACATGATCAAGTTGTGAAGTTTTATTTTCCATGAAAAGAAACTGAATTGAAACTGAAACTTCTCTACCAGTTATTCAAATGGATTATTTTATGCCTCATTAGCATCAATTATCTCTAGAAGGAAGTATGGTAGGACTTTAAATGGGTTACTGCACTACAGCTAACAGCTGGCAACAAACTATGCTTCAAGCAAACAAATGAAAATAGCAAAGAGACTTTAACCTGGGAGCTTACAGAAAGAGACTGATGAAGGGAGGTTGCAGACGAAAAGTCTTGTGGAGAAGTGGAGGCAGTTCCAGTTCTCCACGGGGTCTAAGATGTACTCTTGATAGAAGTGCTTGGCACCTGGTAACGAGTTTTGTCCATTGATGCTGATAAGAAATGCTAATATATTTTATAGAAGGCTTAGCAAAGGATGCCTCATAAAAGGGAAAAGTGTCATTCTATAAAAAGTCAGTCTCTTTTTGTTTCAGACTATTTTCTGCTGCTGTAACAGAATACTACAGACTGGGCAGTTTATAAAGAAAATATATTATTTGACTAATTGTTCTGGAAGCTGGAAAGTCCATGATAATGGTGCCGGACATCTGGCAAGGGTTATCCCATGGTGCAAAGTGAAAGGAAGAACAAGCCAGCAAGCGAGACTCAGGGAGAGTAGGGGCTGAACCCTCATGATAACAAACCCATTTCTGTGATTAATCCATTCATGAGGGCAGAGTCTTTAAGACTGTATCACCTTTAAAAGATCCCACCTCTTAATACTGCCACAATGACAATTAAATTTCAGCATGAGTTTTGGAGGACACATTCAAGGCAGTGTATTTTTTAAAAACTTGAACAGTGTTTTTTTTTTTTTTTTGAGACAGTGTTTTGCACTGTCACCCAGGTTGGAGTGCAAAGGTGTGATCTCAACTCTTTACAACTTCTGCCTCCTAGGCTCAAGACATCCTCCCACCTCAGCCTCTCAAGTAGCTGGGACTACAGATGTGCACCACCATGCTGCCCACTAATTTTCGTATTTTTTTTTTTTTTTTTTTGTATAGACGGGGTTTCACCATGTTGCCCAGGCTGGTCTCAAGCTCCTGGACTCAAGAGATCTACCTTCCCAAAGGGCTGAGATTACAGGTGTGACCCAACGCGCCCAACCCAGTGTTTTTTTGTTTTGTTTTTTTTTTTTTTCCTCATGTGCTTGACGCTGCCAGTTGCTAGGGATGTAGGGACAAATAAGCACATAGGTGAAAGGTGTGTGTTGTAACTTCACAAAGTACTCTAATGTACACTCTATCAACTGGGTGTCAGTCAGGAAGCAGTTCGCATGCTCACATAGAGTAGAGTTCAATAAAGAAACTATTTATAAGGGAGTCACCACAGTGAAGCAAAACCAAGATAATATAATATCCCAGAGCTAGTAATAGCAGGACATCACTACCAAGAGGAGGGACTGGTTACTCGTCCCCAGACAATATATACAGTGCGTAGGGCATCCTGTGGAGAAAGTCATTTGACAGGAACCACGGACCTTCCCAGGGAGGGAGCACATCTCCTGCTAGTGCCTCCATTTGCGCAAACAGAAGCCCAAGGATGAAGGAGCGTTGATGGAGGCCCTCCAACTGAGCTTCATGGGGCCCGAGTTGGGGGAAGAAGGCTGGGGCAGAGTGGATATAGAGGGACAAACAGAGGCTGTCCAGGACATGGACATTAGCTCATGGGTATTTACAGTGACCCCATAATAATAATTGTAATAATTGACCTGAATCGAGGGCTTCCTATGTGCCAGGCAGTGTATCAGGGTTTTACATCTCATCAAATCTGTACAGCAACCTTATGAAGTGGGCCTCATTATTCATACTTTCATCAAGGAAGACTTCAAGGCTTGGAGACATGAATTTGCCCTTTCACCCAGCTAAAAGTAGCAGAGCTGTGATATGACCCAAGGAGTCTATTGCTAGAGCCAGGATGCCTGGCTGCCTGCTCATTTTTCACTTAGAGAAACAGAAGCTTATACAGTTTAAGGGACTGATTCAAGTTAACATGGCTGTGAAATGATGATCCTGTGATAAGTTCAGTTTTTCCTCTAAGGCTTACACTTGTCCCATGACATCTTGCAGTTGTGAGGGAGGTGGGTGAGATGGGATCATGTGAACACAAGGCAATTTGAGCTGAACAGAGGAGACTTGAGTTTGCACTGTTTTCTCTGTCTGAATTTGTCTGTTTTCTTCAGGCTAAGGGAGTAGCGTGAGTGAAATCAGGAAGGTGAAAAGTGTGGTTATATCCGGCTAGAGTCAGAAGAGAAGAGGGTGGTAGAAAGGCTGCTAGGCACAGCCTTTAAGAGATCAAGGGAGTAAAAGATGGCACAGAAGCCAGCTGCCTAAAAGGGGAAGAATTCAATGAAAGGAGAACCAGGAGAGGCTTAGAGGGATTAAATTATATACCCAAGAAAATAATGACAGGAGCAGAACGACGTTTATCTCACTTAAAAGTATTGTTCTTTTTAGGAAAGCACACAGCCTGCCTTTATATATGCCCCTATTCCATATCAGAAGTGCTGGAATTTTCTAAAATTCCACACCCTTCACTGATTCTCAGCGAGAAACCTGAAGAGGCTAGATTCTGAGTTGTCCAGTTGAAATGTTCCATTTTCCTATGACTCCCCTAACTCCCTTCTCCCTACCTCCTCTCCCATCCTACCACACCTTCCAAATTGTGTTTGAAATAACTTCATTTTCTATGGGTTGGTATCCATTTATCCAACTGATAGCTGAGACCCACCATGCTGGGCATTGTTTCTAGGTGCTGGGGATACAGCAGTGAACAAAACAGAAATCTCTACCCTCAGGAAGCTTAACTTCTTCCAGGAAGAAAAAAAGTAAAATGTACAGTCTAGTGATAAGTGCAATGGAGAAGAAAGCCAAAGGAGATTTGGATGGAGGTTACAATTCTGAAGACAGGTGAAGAGATGACATTCAGAAAAGGCTTAATGGATGGGAAAGGAGGCCGTGAGAATATCTGGGGAAAGAACATTTCTTAGGGAACAGTAGAATCAAAGGCCTAAGGACTCTGGCTTTTACTCTAAGTGAAATAGGGAGACATTGAGTTATTTCCCCAGAGAAAATAAGTGACTGGAATTAAGTTGTAAAAGGCTCGTGGTAGCTGTTGTAAGAATGGGCAGTAGGTGGGCAAGTCCAGAAACAGAGACCGGCTAGGATGCTATTGCAATAATGAAGGGGAGAGATTATAAAAGCTGTGTTGGATGTGGTGAAAAGGTCAGCTTCTGGATGTATTTTGAAGGCAGAGATGACAAGATTTGCCCCCAGATAGAATGTGGGACAGAGAGAAAGAGGTGTCAAAGATGAGGCCATGACTCTTGGCCAGGAAACTGGAAGGATGGAGTAGCCGTTTTCTGACTTGGTGAACACAGTGACGGGGCAGTTCACTTTTGAACACGTTAGGTTTGAGCTGCCTGTTAAATGTTCAAGGAGAGATGCTGAATAGGCAGTGGCTATTAGATACTGGAGTCTCCAGTTCAGGGGAGGGATGCATCAGCATGTAGCTGTCACTTAAAGCCACGAGGCTTCTTGAAGGGGTGTGCTTGGCTAAGCGCTGATTTGGAAGCACTCCTGCCTTCAGAGGCAATGAAAATGAATGCAACAAGCCATGGAAAGAGAGGTTTGGAGAGTTGTAAATCAGAGTTCACAAATCTTACCCTAAGGTGGCAGCTACCTCTCAGATCCAGCTGATTTCTGCAGTGCTAAATGCACAAGCTGGCCCAGTGGGATCAGAACTCCCCAGCAAAAGATATTTTTCAGCCCCCTAATTGGTGACCTCTGCCCTACAGGCTGGAATTTGGAAATGTGGTTTTGTGTTTATTCCTCAAGCCTATAGTGCCATTTGATCAGCCTCTTCTCTGCTCACAGGCTCAGGGTTTTCACAGTATCTAATGCTTGATGTTGTGCCTGGGTTCTCCTTTAATTCATAAATCTGGGCTTCACCTTCCAGAGGACCAGTTGTGTGCTGAAACTGGCTACTATTGGCTCATGTAAGCCAATCTTAGATTTTCAGGAATTTTGTAAAGATGGATGATAAACACAACCATTTAAAAAACTAAATTATATAAACTTACAGTTATGTAAATTTTATTGAAAACAAGGTCAAAAATGCTCAAAACTTATCACTTACTGCTTATTTTACTACATTTTATTATTACGTATACTCCTGGGATTTTTTCCTTCAACTGTATCTGTGTTCTGGAAATACTACATAATGGTGTATCTCTTCCCAACTTTGCTTCCAAGAACTTCATGTTGATAGCTTGAAATGAGCCATGTGGAAGTATTTACACCAAGGAAATTGTCAAACAATACAAATCAGTCCTATTTTCCCCAGAGAGCCAGTTTTAAATCTTTACCAGCATACCACTGTACAAATGTCACCTTTGGGACTGCATCACAGCTGGCTGATAAAAACTGAAATGACAATGATAGGCAGACACAGAGAGATAAGTTCAGATGTACAATTCCTAATTCCTGACAGGATATTTACCTGATGATTAAAAAAATAGGTCAAAGAAATTGTTACATGCATCTTCAGAGACTGGCTTTGAAGCAGCCACATCTACAATCTGCACCTCCTGCTTTTCCAGTAGCGATGACAAAGATTGATTGGATAAACAACAGAAGGTCAACGGAGCCATGCCCCAGGGAATTCCCTGGAGAAGAGCTTGACATTTTGAGTCAGTGTTTTCTGACTTCCACCCAATGACATACCCTAATATAAAAATGCAATTGAAGAGTACATCATTTTTCCTCAGCATTCAAGGAGCAGGTAAAGAGAGAGAATGTATAAGCAGGACAGTGGAGAAATGATTCTTTAGGGAACAAAACATATATATTGCACGTAAAAAATTCTGTGCCTTTCTAATAAATGTATCTCCAACCATCAAGGAAGGCTTCAGGTTGGGTGTAAGATAGCTCTCATGTAGGTAAAACCAAATGAGGCTCACTTTCTCCTTCCAGGTTTCCTGAAGCTAACCTTTTTCCTTCCTTTTTACATGCCCTCTCCACAAATAGAGTTGGTAAAAAGTATCTGTTACAATGACCCGGGCTTTACCATCCATGGCAAATCTTTCTAAATTATAGGCCTTTCCTCATAGAGACCATTTACGGTGGGCATAATACAAGGCTGTGTTCAACCATGCCACTCTTTGAACTAGCTGCACCATGTTATTACCACACTAAACTGGAGTGGCCAGTTTTTCTATAAATAAATATTCTCCTTGCTGGGCAGATGAAAACCCTTAGTAGCAGTTCCTACATTATTGATTTGCTCGTTTCTAGCTTCTCTGCTGGGAGTGTCTTTTGAGTTGTTTTGAAAAGAGAAGTCTTGTAAACACTTGACTGTTGCTGGACTCAAGAAAAATCCGATTAGCAGGGAATCAACAACATTATTACTCAGCTGGGTTCCCTGTAATTCCTCCATCTCTGGGCCAGGTGGGTGGATAGGGGTGAGGAGGTTTCAAAGAGATTGTGTGTTCTTCCTGGATTCCATTTGTTTCTTTGCAACAGTCCTTTAATTTTTGTGGTGTTGGAAATGGAGCTAATAATGACAATTTGAACACAACTGGCTTCCTCTCTCTGAAGGATAACAAAGCAGAGATTATTGGCTTTGACCAGACAAAAGTGGTTAGACGTTTAATGAGTTACTCTTTGAGACTCCTCAACACCCCCAGAAAATAAAGTCCAGGAACTCACTAGGAATAGGATAGCTCCTCACACAGCCTCCTAAGACCGTAAATACATTTTACCTTCAGGGCAGTGGTTTTGTTATTGCTGTTTGTCTTGTTTTCTTTCTTTATAAAACACTATAAAGAGATATGTGTATTCGAGATATTAAAAGGTAGGATGTCTTGTAAAAGCCTCAGATGCCCTCTGAATTCCTTCACTGCCATCTCTTGGGTTTCTGCAGCTATATCCTCTGGCCCTGGCAACAGCTTCCTGGCCAGGAGACCCTGGCACAAACCTGTGCCACCAGAGTCAAATCAGCTCTGTGGATTACAGCTGAGTTCTAATCTTTCACACTCGTTCCGATGTTGGTGTCTTATAAACTGGCTGTCTCACACACCTCTATGCTATTACCTGAATTCTCAGTCTCTTCACTCTTGCTTTAGGGCTTAGCTGAATATGCTGTCCTAAGCCAGACTTCTCATGGTTGGGTTCCTGCTACCTCATAGCACCCTCTATTCCTGGTAGGGTCTACCTGCCTTACTGGGCAGCATGTGGCCACTGATGGCTACATCTCCTGCCATGTGCCCAACTGTTTGGCCTTTTACCCATTATAGCCTGATTCTCAGCCCTGCTACACATATGACTCACAAGAGAGCTTTTAAGAAATACTTATGCCAGGGCCCCACCCTTAAGAATTCAGAGTCAGTTGGTCTCATGTGATATTGATATTTCTAAATGAAAGGTTCTTGTTATGATCTGAGCTATTTAGGGTGTTACCTCATAACACCCCTAAAATTCATATATTGAAGTCCTAAACCCCAGGGCCTCAGAATGTGACTGTATTTGGAGATAGCATATTTAAAGAGGTAATTAAGTTAGAATGAGGTTATTAGGGTAGGCCCTAATCTGACTGATGTCCTTCTAAGAAGAGGAAATTAGGACACAGAGACAGACACGTGGAAGAAATGTCATGTGAAGACAGTGAGAAGACAGCTGTCTATAAACCAAGAAGAGAGGCTTCAGAAGAAACCCGCCCTGTGAACACTTTAATCTCAGACTCCTATTCTTCAGAACTGTGAGAAAATAATTTTCATTTAAGCTTCCCAGTCTGTGGTATTTGTCATGGCCACCCTAGAAAACTAACATAGTCCTTAAATAGATTCAATAAGTAGCCAGGAGTGGGGACCACTAATCTAGTGGTTCTCAACCATCAAGTCACTTGGAGGGTTTGTTAAAGCACACATTATTGGATCCTACCCTCAAGGGGTCTGGCTCAATATATATCCTGGCCTGACAATTTGCATTTCTATCAAGTTCCCGGTGATGCTGACATAGCTGGTTCTAGGACCATATTTGCAAATCACTGCACCAATTTCTGTGTTGTAGTTGGTTTTTGAGTCTCCAGCTTCACCTCTCAACTCCTGCCACTTTATGGAACACCCTCAGTGCCCAGGGGTCTCTTGTCCTTGGTCCTGGTTCTCCCTGGGCTGCCTTGGTAAGTTACTCTTGATTCATACACATATTTCTTAGAAATGTGGAAAATTTTTAGTGAAAAAAACATGTCTGGGAAGAGTTACAATCTCAATAATCCTGTATATGTGTTTGTGAATTTATGTATCTTTCTACAAAGAGTTTCAGACAACTACTAAAACTTGGATGAACTGGGTCACTGCACATATGAAGATGTGAATAAAGGTTTAAATCTTAATACATTAATATTAAATGCATTTTATAGTTTCTGTGGGATTAATACTTACTAGGTATTAAAATATTTTTTTCTCGATTTACTAACATTTGCTTTGAAGAGCCAATAATAATAATAATAATAATGCTGTTTCATATTGCAGAGACTTTGCAGTGTGCCAATAAGAGGATGTATATGAGACCCTTACTCATGTATTTTTCTCTTGTGAAGCTGATCACACTGGACTTTTAAGTCCTTTCTTCCTGACATTCAGTCTTTGACTCTGAATTAGCTGAGGCATGAGAAGTTCACCACAGGAAGGTCCTGCCCTTTGTTTGCTCCTAAAGGTTCCTTTAAAGTTCAACTTGACCAACACACCATTGCAAGCACTCCAGAGGAGAAGACAGCCTTGCTGTGTCAAATCCACTTTAGTTTGTAAATTTCTTGTCAGTCACTTTTATGCCCCCACTGAATAGGACAGTGTGAAGCATGGATTAAGTATGCAATAAATGGTTGTTGAATAAATCAGAAAATTAAATGCATTCTGCACAGAATATGCTATTTCTCACCTTTGTGCCTTTGTGTATGCTCTTCCTTCTCCTGGGCTGCTTGACCCTATTCTTTACCTAACTTGGACTTCAAGATTTAGTTGAAAAAGTTATTATGAACAGAGCTTAGGCCCTAGCGGAGTCCATAACTGTGCTTTTTCTCTCATTTGCTTTGAAATACAGTGGCCACTGATTTAGTAATCCTATCAATAAGATAGGATCCTATCAATAAGATCAATCTTTAGAGAGTCCTGTGTAAAGTGCAGTCACATGGATAATCTCCTTTCATCTTCACAAGAGTCACCTGGTGGTGGGGGCGGGGAGGGGAAAGCTTTTAAACACTACACTTTTCAGCCCCACCTAAAACCGTTAAATCAGAACATCCAGAGGTGAGTGCTGCAAATTATCATCTTATAAATGTCTTTGTGATTTCAATGTACAGCCAAGATTGAGAATCACTGAGTCAAAGGGTCCACATCTATGGCACCAAACATCAAACATAAGTCTTCTTTTGATGAAATGAGCTCTTACAACCTGAAAGAGATTTGAAAATAGTTCGGAAAGCTCTCTTCCAATCTTGGTCTCTCTGCTCCGTTTTCATTTTTGTTTCATTTCCACTCCTCCAGGTTTCGGCTCTTCTCCACAGCTTGGAACCCAGTTCCTCCACCTGCTTCCTAGACTAAAACAATTTCAGTCCCCTCTTACTTCCTCCTGTTTGCTTCCCCAATTACCATGAGCTCAGCAAAACAGAAATAAAAACTATTCTCCAATCAGCTCTTGGGATATCTCAGTCCATCCCAACGCTAGTGTTTTAACTACCTTTTCAAAGAAAGTAAGTCACTTGAGAGAAAGGCTTGGCATGTCTTTTTAATCTTTGGTTAGAATCATTCAACAAATGCAAGCCCATTGCTTTCTCGGCGATAAGTCTGGAGGCATAGATGATGTAGGGATTTGTAAATTGGGTTAAATATTTTGTAGTTTCCTTATTGGGGGCCCTTGAAACGTTCTGTACTGCGGAGATACAGGTTCAGAGAAGCATTTGCAAAAAATAGCAAGGGCTGCAAGTAAATTCAAGGGGACTAAGAATTAGGAGACTATTGGAGACAAAGATTGGAGTTGTGAAAAAACAAATGGGAAAATATTTTAGATATAGCATCTACAAGGCAGCTTAAGATGATACAATACCCCATTCTCTGTGTTGTTGCATTCCATGAGGGAATTAGATGTCACTGTACATGGCGCTTCCAGATTTTAAAATGTGTTATGAAAAAAGAGTATTTTAATATCTTCTTAGAGTGTACAATTTATCACTTCTTAGCCTTGCTTTCCTTTTTAAATTAAACTGAACTTGGCTCTTAAACAAAGAACGGGAGTAGGGAGCCAATGGTAATTAAAAATAAACTGGATTTCTCCTTTTGATCAACACTGGTTTCTGATGTAAGTGTTCTGCAAACACAAAAAATGTTTTATATCCAACAAACAGTTAGAGGTTTTAAGTCAGCTGGAAGCAAAAACAAAAAAAAATTAATATTAATATATCTCATCTTTTTCTTTACTCTGTTGCTTTGTGCATATCTCTGCATGTGTTCATTATAATTTGAGATCTTAAAAGTTGTTAAATCAATTGACGCCTGAAAGTTACAATGTAGTGGAACTTCTAGGGGCTGTACATCACATTTCACGCATAGATTACTGTTCAGGGTCCACTAAACTTCCCGGCATTCAATGCCTTTTCCAGTGAAATCTTAGAGGAGTTCGTGGAGTGCCCTGTGTAGCCATTTTTAGGTTGGCCATGTTACAATATGCCTAGCACAGTCCTAATTTATGCCTGTAACCCTGGCCTAGTTTTAACCTTGCTCCTGTCATTTTCAAAAGTTTCCTGATGTAGACTATGAATCATTTGATCATCCTAGCTGTGAAGGATAGAACAAATGCTTGTGTTGTGAATGGGCCAAGGTTCTCTAAGAAAAAACAGTTCACTTTTCCCTTCCTTCATCACTTTCTGAGTAACTGAGCTGTGTGAGGCAGGATCATGGGCTTCAGGGAGTTGGGATTGGGAATGGCCAAAGGAAAGGAAATTGGGGTAGCAGGGGAAGATTAGAGTTCTAAGACTAGATTTCTCAAAAGTTATTCATACATGATAGGAGTTATAAGAGAGCAAATGAAGTTTATTATTAATAATATACCAGTGGATCTGGGCAAAAATATTGAAACAGGACATTCACTTGTGCTGAGAACCAATCTTAACATCTCACTGGCAAACTGAGTTAGAAACTGCCTAAAATTCCAGCATATCAATGATGAAAATCAGGTCAGGCATGGTGCTCATGTCTGTAATCCCAGAACTTTGGAAAGCTGAGTCAGGAGGATCACTTGAGGCCAGGAGTTGGAGAGTAGCCTGGGCAACATAGCGAGACCCTGCCTCTAAAGGAAAATTGGCAGAGCATGGCGGTGTGCACTATGTCTCAGCTGCTCAAGAAGTTGAGGCGGGAGGACCACTTGAGCCCAGAAATTCTAAGGGGTCAATGACATTTCTGAAGGTGAGAAGTCCAGGGGATAGGAAAGCCAAGTTGGGTGGAAACCTAAGCAGGCAGGCAGCATAGGGAGAGGAAGGAACTGGCCTCAGCATCAGTGAGCTGGCTTTTATTCTCATGACTTATCCTCTGGAGCTAATGACTCCAGCAATCTTAAACAAGTGGACTAATCTCTCCGCGCCTTGATTTTCTGATCTGGGAAATGAGAAGAATCAAGCTTTATTTCACTATATCTCTGACAAAGATACTGTTTTACTTTATAACTGGAAATCTTATTTCAGTATTTTTTTTTCTAGCCAGAAGCTTCTGAAAGAGAAGGAGCAAATCTGTGTCCCTCAATTATTTATGGAGCATTTTCTTAGACTAGGTTACCCCTGGCTAGACTGAAACTTACTACTGCTTGTCGAAAAGAAACCTTAAAATTGTGTTTTATGTATTTTCGCCTTAAAATCCGTTTAGATTCAGATGACGTATGTACTATACAAATAATGACATTGATTTTATTTTTATTTTATTTTTAGAGATAGGGTCTCACTCTTTTGCACAGTTTAGAGTGCAGTGTTGTGATCATAGCTTACTGCAGCTTCAAACCCCTGGGCTCAACTGATGCTCCCACCTCAGCTTCCTGAGTAGCTTTGACTCCAGGTACACAGCACCATGTCCAGCTATTTTTTTTTTTTTGAGACAGGGTCTTACTATGTTGCCCAGGCTGCTTTCCAGCTCCTGGCCTCAAGTGATCCTCCCACCTCAGCCTCCCAAAGTGCTGGGACTATAGGCATGAACCACCATGACTTAGTTGGTTTTGATTTTTGTGGCTTCACAGATTCATCCATAAGAGAAAAAAAGAATCCTATTGAACCCTTGAAAGTAGAAATCTAAATTCATTTTTTGTTACATAAACACAGACTTAACATTTGAGGAACTAACTGGTCTCAAATGCTAGAAGTCAGCAAAACAAGAAAAATGTTGTTTATATTAAAAAGGAAAGCATAACGAGTTTCTGAAATCTGATAAAAGATGTCAATACTGATAGCCCAAAATTGGAGAATTCTTAGAAATGCAAACTAAGTAAATATTCTTTTTAACTCCATTTTCTAAGGCACTAGATCTTTTTATTCCTCTCCCCGCTCATACTCCACAATATAGTGTCTTATGAACAAGAGCCTTGCTTCTCAAATGGGGTTCTAAAATTGTCCAGCAGCATGGATATTAACTGCGAGCTTGTTAGAAACACAGTCTCTTCAGGGCTTACTCCAGAGCTACTGGGTCAGAATCCGCATTTTAACAAACTCTCCTAGTGATTTTCATGCAGTCAGGTTTGAGGAGTACTGCACTGGAGAACATTTGGCTATAAATAGAAGAGATCATAAAAACAACCTTGTCAAATAGAGAAGTAAGTGAAATTAAACTGCCTTGTGCTTGCCACTAAAAGGGGAAATTGTATTAATCCTCTGAGGGTCCGTTTCTTTTTCTCCTGTGTATGCACTGATATCTATTTCCATCTTTCTTTGCCACTTGCTTATAATATCTTTCTCTTTTATATTATATATGATGCTTACATGTAATTATGCTTAAACTGTATAATTGCTATCACTTTGCAAAATTTCAAACTTCCTCTAATATTACTTCACTCTGAAGCCTAGGATATGCTGTGTTTACACAGCCTCTATCTGTTTCCTTTTCTCTGAGACTCCTTCCCCCATTAAAGCAGACATAATACGAAATAGAAGAATGGTTTGGCTTGGGAATGTACTGATTCTGGGAGTGCAGCCATGGAGCAGTGCCAGCCAGAATTGGATGAATGATACGAGGGGTACAGTGAGACCTGGGATCTTCATTATCAAAAGGAGGGGCATATTTTAGTTATGGGCAATACAAAATTTTGCTGCGACATAAACCATAGCTGATGAGAATGTTTGTTTTAATCTGCTTTGAGGGCTGAAATATGACATTCTCTTGGTTGTTAATGCTTTCCGGAAGAATCATAAATGGAAGGAGAGGCTTAGAAATTTCTTTTTCTTTTCTACTACATTTCCAATGATACCTTATAAAGCTTCTTCCCCATTAAAATTCAAATAAAGAATATAAACCCATCTTGATTAAAACAAAAGAGATGAAGTAATACAGTTATAGAGTGAAAAGAACAAAAGCTTTAGAATCAGACAGACTTACTGGAGTTGACATCCCATATCTGTCACTTTACAAACTGTAAACTGTATCAAATTCTTGACCTCTTTGAGCCTCAGATTTCTCATCTGTGAAATGGAGATTGTGATACTTATTTTGAAGAATTGTTTTAGAGAATTAAAAGAGATAATGTATTAGAGACCCTAGAATAGGAACTGATAATTAATCACTCAACTAATATTCATTATCTTCCTTTCTTCCTATTCTGAATCAGCGGGCAGGATTATTTTAATATGACTGGCTAAAAAACCATTGAGAGATAGTCATTGCTGTGATTGAAAGCCAAATTGGTAAATGTGATCTCCACACAGAAATGTTATAAACAGATGCATGAGTATTGTTTGTGCAGGTTACACTGCTGTGCTGAGGGAATAGGGCTGATTAATTTGAATAAACGTAAAGATTGGTATGGTTCTACAATTCTTCTGCAATCTGCAAAAGGAAGGAAAGAACCATAGAAATCCTCAAATGTTTTCCAATATTTAGGCGGGACCCTTCCTTTCTACTGTTTCACTTTTGAAGACTATGCAGAAAGTATTTTTAAAAGGAAAACATTACTGAAATGCATACATGAATATAACTTTTCTATAAAAGTCATTGTTGTCTCATATATTGAGGCATTAGTTTAACATTTAACTATTTATTGTGCCAGAGTACTGAGTTAGGTGTTAGGGATACATGAGTCAACAAAAAGGCCAGTTAATAAATAAATATAATTGCAAATGTTGGTAAGGGGCCAAAGAAGAAAAAGGAGGTTATCACAACGTAGTTCCTTCCTATAACCTTAGTGTTTCTATCTGGAATAAAGTAGCCCTTTTTTGCCCCCTTTTTCTCTTTACGCAAGTTGAGCTTGGGTCCATATATCTCTCATACTTTGTAAAACCACAGCTTTTAAGACATATTTTTCTTGGTGTTTGGGATTAAATTTCATTCAGCTTCCTTAATTCCACTAAATCTCTTTTTAATTTTTCTTCTACAACCTGATTCTAATTGCAAATTTGCATTATATGGGATTTTTTTTTATGAGAAAAGAGAAACTGAGACTAAATTCTAGCTACTTTATCCTTGTCTCAGTAGGTCTACTAAATTGTTCATATTCAGAAAATGGGAGAGCAGGACCATAATCCAGGGACAAAGAAGATTTTGTTTGTCGGTTTACAGCTGGGCCGGCCCCATTCACAGGCAGTTTGTTTAACCAAGGTAAATAGGATTTCAGCTGGATCCTGAAGTGAGCATACGTAGATGGGAGAAAACGTTGTGGTAGATGATGACTCAAATTGCCAATGCCTCTCTATATCCATATCCTTTGACTTCCCAGACTCCCATTAAGAGGTGGAAGTTATTTTCCCACCTCTGAATCTGAGCTGTATTTGTGACTTGTTTTAGTCAACAATTAGGAGCAAGTGAGTTTTATGCCACTTCTAAGCCCAGGCTCCAAGAGGCCTTGTGTTAATCTTGCCCATAACTATGAAAATGAGCTGAGGTATCCCGTTGGCAGGTGGATACATGTGGCTCGATTACCTCTATCACCCCAGACAACAACCTGACTGTTGCCAGACATACGAGCAAAGCCATCCTAGACCAGCTAGTTGATTGTGAATGCATGAGTAAACCCAGTCAAACCTGTTTCAGATGAGCAGGACTACATAGCTGAACCATAAATTCAGAGCAATAAAAAATATTCTCAGTTTTAAGCTTCTGATTTTGAGGCTATTTGTTTTGCAGCAATAACTGATTATAAATATTTGCTACTTGAACGATTCCATGGTTTTCTAAGGTGATGTCCATTTTTCCTTTTCACCATCTCATTTTTGTATGAATTCCACCCTTAGCAAAGTTATTTTATCCTTTGATTGGTAAGAAAATCCAAAGGCAGACGTGTGCAGTGAATGTTTCATAATAAAGCTTTTAGGAAAAAAGCATGTGTATGTGTACAGATATGTATATGTACGTGTGCATATATATACATACTTGTTATACATTTTACATATAAAGTTTATAAATGTAATATAATAAAGCATAACACAAATTTATAAGTAGTAAAATATATAATACCCTTTTGTAAATTCCACGTATCCAATTGATTCTTACAGTATACTTTTGTTATTTTTTGTAGAACTCTTGTATGCATAACCAACTTATGGTTGCAATGCTACCATGATTTCACAAATGATTAGACCCCAATCTGCTACCTCTTTTTCCAATAAATTTGTTGCCATTAAATCCTATAAGTGATTTATTGTTGAGCTATTGCTAACGCTTGTACAAAGTTACGTTCATTAAATTGAAATAGCTTTTGGCTTTAATATTAAGCACAACACACTGTTAAGTTTAATTAGCATTATTAACATTTTCTCCATCATTTTCTTTAGTCTAAACAATCAACAGAATACTAAACCAAGTCCTGATTTGTAGTGTTGGCTCCTTTCTTTCATGAAGCATTGCCATCATGACCATTTTCAAGCTACTAGGGTGACGTCACCGAACACAGAGTGGGGAAGAGAAGCACAGTAGTACACCATCATACAGTATTTCTGCCATGCTGATACGATTGAGTTAAATAGCCTCAAAAACCTAAGTAATATAAAATATAGTAAAATAATTAGAAAGTGATGAGTTTGGGGTGCTTATAACCCTTATTTTTAATATAATTTATTGAATTATAAGTTCATATAATTTTTAATGATGGGCATGTCCAACAATTGGCTTGTTAAATTTCTAAAAGTAATAAAATGACATTCTGGGATGGATGATTAAAAAATAATAAAAATATTAACAATCAAATAAGTTGGCCTTGGCATACCCCTGCTGAAGGACATTGGAAACACCCAATGGTTCTAGGTATATTAATAACTCCCATGCATCGAATGCTCACTAAATCCCAGATACTGTTTTAAGTACTTTAGTGAGGTGATCTGCAGGAGTTGACAGGGAAAATGGAAATCTAGATGACATGAGCTTACATACAAAAGCGATATTCAGTGTTGATGGTGGAACAGTGGTATGGAAACACCTTGGTGATACCAAGATTTCAATGTTTAGAAACTGAATGTGGAACAGAATCTGTAACCTCCTCCAGAGAGTTCCCAAAGGAAATAATATCAATCGCAACAAATTTGACCTTCCATTGGAAGCAGTTTCAGAATTCTACATAGATGGATTTAATGGCAACAATATGGCTGGAAGATAAATTATGGACTCATCTGGAAGCTGAATTTGCATCACAAGTAATGTTTTTACTTCATACATGTTTTGGGTCAATAAAAATAGTGAGTTTCTAATGTAGTTTATGTTCATGCTGCTTGAGTTTGAGAAAGGATCAACTTTCTAGAGATTATTATACTATTACATTGGTGTAGCTATAGGATCACTGATAGAAATTCCAGGGGCCAGCCACTCATCTCTATCAACCCCTTGGTGTCACTGGAATCAAAGTATGATTGCCTTCATCATTGTAGGTGTGTGATAGGACTAAGAAAACAGTGTCAGTGACATAAACTGATGGCCACATTAGGTGTCTCCTTTCCATTTTCATAGTCTTGGTTTCCTGTGACTGAATCTTCCCAAAGTCTTTTGTGAAGCCAAAAGTTACCCAAGGCAGTGCAATGGGCATGCTTTAGCATCCATAAACTTGGCCTCTTGAATTGTTTTCAGCTTTGTTGCACATCTCATCTTCTTTTAGTCTCATTTTCTTTCTCAATAATACTTTCAGTTGGTGTTGGGAAAAAAAATGGTGACAAAGATGCTCAGGAAACTCCAGAACACCTGACACTATGATTCATTCCCAAGTTTTAGATTGTTTTTTTGAGTGGCCTCAGGGGGCATGATTATCCACAAGTGACAGGTACCAATGAGTGTTGTCTGGTGTGGGGAAATGTGTTAGCATATTACATTTAAAAACTCTTCAAATTAATTTATGTATCACTGTTGTGCGTGACTGAAATAGGACTCAACAGTGGGATGTAGGAAATTTGGAAGATTAATCAACATATAATTTTTGAGCTCCTACCACAGGAAGGACATTTAGTAAGTGTTGTGATGAATAAAAAGCTATGTAACATATGTAACACCATTATACCTGCTTTTAGAAATGTTGCAGATTAATTGGGGAGAAAAGATGTGATTATGTGAAAAATCAGAAATAATAAAAGATTAGATAAAGGAGCAGGGTATGGGTTATTTGTACATAAAGTACACAAAGATAATTTGGCACCAGGGTGAATGTAAGAAAGTTTGAAATTTATCCTGTAGGCAATGGGCAGCCATTGAAAAGTTAATGTCTAGAAATGTGGAAGTCAGCTAATGCAGATAAGGCTAGCAGTAGAGTGACTGACAGGGTTGCCATGAAGATACTCTTGCAGAATATTCTGAATTTGATGTTTGACTCTCTCATTTATTAGTTGAATGACCTTTGTCAAGTTGCTCACATTTCTAAACCTCAGTTTCTCACTCCAACAAAAATAGATAATGATAACATTTTTCTCATCATAGCTTTGTGACAATTAAGTGAAATATATAGGCAAAATGCAGAGCACAGTGCCTGGGCCAGAGAGTTATAATAAAAATAATGATCATAATGATCATCATGGTTGACAGTAACTGTTTGGATCACATGATGGGAATGGTAATAAAACTGAATGGGAGGAAAAATGAAGAATGGACAAGATGAGTCCAGATGCAGGAAGCCAGAGAAGGCAGTGTAACAGTGGAGTCTCTGTTTAGAGCCTGAGAAAGCATATGATACCACTAAGGTTTATGGAAAATATGTCAAGCAAGAGAGAGGCAAGTGATTTTTCCATTGTCTCTGGGAAGGGCCGTGTGTTGTCCCCTAAATCAGGTCAGACACAGGCAAGGTCACATATAAATCTTGAAGACTACATTGGGGCGAGGCAAGTGGTGATGGGAGTAGTCAGCAGTGGCAATATGTCAGAGAGCTGGGGTGAGGCAGATCCCCTCATAGGCATCCTGATCAGTCCTGGAAGGTCAGGGGTGTGGTGCCAGCATGAAGGCAACAGAATGATTTAGGCTGCAAACAAAGTGTTATGGATGTCAAGCAGCAGCTGAGCTTTCACTGACAGGTAAAAGTAAAGTTTTAATGAAAGACGCTTTTCCAGGGGAACTAAAAAATTGGAACTCAAGGGAATAAGGTAAAGGAAGATTGTGCATTGGAAGATGTGATGAAATGATGAGTAAGGAGCGAGAAAGAGAAATAAGATAGAAAAACAGATACTAGAATTAAGCATTAAAATAGGAACCGACTCATTGGGAGAAAAGCATGAATCTAGAGCTGGAACTGGAATAGAACACAGAGCAAGACCAGCCATTGTAAACTAAAGGCTCCTCTTTTCCTTTTTAAAAATTGTATTAGTTTTATTAAATGTTCCATATATCTGAAAATATTTACAAAATATGCATAAGGTATAAGAACAGCAACCAGGTGTAAGAAAACCATCCAGATTTTATGAAGTCTATAGTTTACTTAATTGACAAGACCTTCTTTAAAGAAAAGAAGACAAAATCGTGATACAAATGGTTACTAGAAACTTTACAAAATCCCAAAAAATATAATTTTGATTTAATTATTTATTTTTGCTTTATTTTTAGTTGCATAATGGGGGGAAGGTACAGAGTCTCATATCCCTTTGATGGTTAGAAGTTATAACTAAAGAGTTTGCTCTAGCCCTTAATATGATTTTCTGAGACCCAGTTGTGAAGAGAAAAATGATTGAGGAGAAAATGGCAGAAAGTGGAGCTCCCCCCCAAGAATGCTTCACATAATACCTTATATCTGTGCCAATTAAACAGAATAGTGTGGCGTTCTGAGATTTAACCTGAACAGCGTGTTGTTTATGCCTGGAAATCCACCCTGCACTGTATAGGGTTACTCATGTCATGCATTTGTACTTGCCAGTTGTGCTGGAGTGTGATGATATACACTGTAGGTAGGTAGCATAGGCAGGGGAGTACAGGAAGGAGGGAAAAATTGAGGCATAATTTTTGGGGAGTCTTTGATGATGCAATCTTTCTTCATGTATGTTCTAGATAGATGGTAGTGAAAATTGAAGCATATTTTATAACAAGAATGTATTTATGCATATTTATGCAATTTGGAATGATATATAACTTTGGCGGTCGGAGAAAATGATGTGTATTTATATGTTTTCATAAGAAAAGATGTCTGCCTTTTAAATTTTTATCTTTTCTATTTTTAATTTTTTAGAAGCCTAGATTACAGAATAAGATGAATAGAAAAGACTTTAATTTGTATTAAAAGAAACACCCACACAACCACCTACCCACCCATACACCAAACACACACACACACACACAGATGCCTCATAAAAACATGCGAAATAACACACATTAAACCATTTCTTAATAGTTGTTATACCACAGGACCAGAGAAATGAGATTGGTATTGGGGAATCAGAAAGTTTTTACTTAATCTAACTCTTTTGTTTTTTACTTTGTACGAATAATATCTATTTTAGTGAAATAAAATTTAAAGACATGAACCAGAGCTAGAGCAGTGATTGAGACCGATTGAGCTACAAAAACTCAAGTTTTTCTGAGGCATATTCAGTTAATCGTACTCTGTGTCTTAGTCTGTTCAGGCTGCTATAACAAAATACCATAGACTGAGTGGTTGGCAAACAACAGAAATTTATTTCTCACAGTTCTAGTGGCTGGGAAGCCTGAAATTAAAGTACCAACAGATCAGTGTCTAGTCAAGGTTGTTTGCTAGATAGCTAATCTTTTTGCTGTAGGCTCATATAGCGAAAGGAACAAGGCAACTCTGATAACGACACTAATCCCATTCAGGAGGGCCCTGCTCTCATGGCCTAATCATGCCAAAAACCTAAGCTCCTAACACCATCACACTGGGGATTAGACTTCAACATATGGCTTTTGTGGGGACACAAACATTCAGACCAAAGTAGTCTATAATTTTGTTAGTCACTTTTGGTCAGCCCTGAAAACTGACATGTGCAAGTGGGTTCTACAGTTTCGAATTACAAGAATGTGAAGTGTTGCATGGTACTAAAAATTTTATTGTGGGGGCACACAAAACCTTCCCTGGGTTATTAGAAAAGAAAATAGACTATTGTATATACAAAAGATTTTAAAATGAAAAGTACTATAAAAAATAGATGGCTTTGTTACTATTGCTTTAATAATTACTGTCCTCTGTAAGTAACTGTTATGTTCTATTTAAAGTCTTGAAACATTCCAATTTTATAGAAGTGTATATAACCTTTTTCTTCTGTAAAATTTTTGCTAAATATCTTTTTCATTTAGTTATCTCTAATAGCTTTGTGCTTAGAAACCATATGGCATTATAAGACAATAGAATCCATGTCCTTAGCTAAAGCATACTTTAAACAAAATGGTATGGCCTATCCTTTACCAACAATTCCATTGTTAGATGAAGAAACCATATATACATATTTCTATGGTTTGGATATGGTTTGGTTGGTCCTTTCAAGTTTCATGTTGAAATTTGATCCACAGTGGTGGAGACAGGGCCTGGTGGGAGGTGTTTGGATCATGGGGTGGAGTGGAGTGGATTTCTCATGAATGGCTTGGTGTCATTCTCTGGAGAGAGAGTGAGTTCTTATTCTTAGTTCCCGACAGAACTGGTTGTTGGAAACAACCTGACACTTTCTCCTCTTGTTCTTCCTCTCTCTCACCATGTGATCTGCAACCACGGGCTCCCCTTTGCCTTCCATCAAGGGTGGAAGCAGCCTGAGTCCCTTGCTAGAAGCAGATGCCAGCACTATGATTCTTGTGTAGCTTGCAAAACCATGAGCCAAATAAATATTGATTTTTTATAAATTGCCCACCCTCGGGTAATCCTATATAGCAACACAATGGACTGAGACACACTCATATAGATAGATGTAAATATTTAAGAAAGACCTTACTTATAAATTTGACTATAAAAGAATATAAGCATATAATAGGTAACTTGGAAAATACTAGCATAAATAAGAAAACATTTGAAACATTTCTCAAATTCATCAATTATATAAGCTATTCACTAATAGTTCAGTATGTCTCTTTTTACTCTTTAAATTTTTAGCTTACACATGCACACACACATCACACACACTTTTTCTTTTCAAAATTGAAGTCATACTCATGCTATTATTATATATCCTTTTTTCCTTATTCTGAGCATTTTCTTATAAAGTTAAGTATTTGTAAAAAATTATGTTTAATGATTATATAATATCTCATCATATGGCTATATTAAAATATAATTTATTCCCATATTGTATTAGTCAGGGTCCTGTTAGAAAACAGGTGACCCACCCAACTGGGACAACCAACAGTACTTTATAAAAGGATAATTTACAGGTGTATGGGCATGGTCAGGGATACCAAAAAGCAATGATAAAATACTGGGAGTCATTATCATCCAAGCTTGAGAGGGAGTCAGGTAGAATGGTTATCAGAATCCTCAGAGAGGTATAGCTGTCAGAGGAGATCTCTGGTACAAGCCTGGTAGGGAGGGAAAAAGGTAAATAAACACCCCAATTTCTCTCTGATTCTGCCTTCCAATCTCCTGATGCTGCTTCTCCATGGCCAAATTCAGTCAGAGTGCAAAGAAGTCTTTGACATAGAGCCCACAGAGGTCAGCCATCCTTGGAACAGAGTTAAATGAAGAAGGATGTAGAGTATATCTGGACTGGGAAATAGCCAGCGCACATTTTTTTTAAAGTATTTCCCCCTCTACATTTTCACTGTTGTATAAATAAGATTGTGAGAAATGCTGTTGCACAAAATACTTCCTAGCTAGTGAGAATTAGATAGTAAGTTTAATTACAATATTAGGTAAGTATCTTGAATGAATGAACAATCAGCCTGCTCTGTTGATCATGAGATATAATGGAAAAATAAACCTGCTTCGAGCATCCCATGAATGATTAAAATCATGTCATCTAATCAAGAATCAGTAGTCCTTGTTTTGCTCCATAGCTGACATTAATAAGGCCCATAGGGTAGGAATTTTGATTTCCTATCTAGGAATCCATTCCATACAGCCACACCCAAATGGCATTTTATATCTGTTAGCAAAATGAGGCAAAGTCACAGACTACTGACCTCAAGCTGTTTCTGCTGTCCAAAGAAAATCAGAGTTAAAATAAACAAGTCAAGACTTCTAGGAGGACAAAAGAAATAACCCAGGTTTTTATGTTCATACTTCATTCTGTTATTTTTCTTAAAAAGAACTCAGCATGAAAGGAAACTCAATTGTAAAACTGTTTAATCTTTATAGCATAGGTCTTTAAAGCATGGTTGGATTTGGCCATGCCAATAACTTACAAACAGTAACTCAACACACTATTAGAAAGGAGCAAGATAAAATTATGCCTCTGTCATTCACTTGTCATACAATGTTGACTATTCAACAAATCCTGTGCTGTTACCTGAGGTACTACTTACATGAATTTATATGACCTCTGCTGAAAAGTCTTCTGACAGAGATATATTAAATTACCTCTTTTTCTTTATGAGAGAAAAAATTATTTTCAAAGTGTAAATAAGAGAATGTTGTTTCTCCTTTTAATCCATCAAAATAGCAGGGTATGATGGGGAATTTCCTAACTAAGGATGTGAGAAGATGGCAGCATGAAAGTTTTACATCCATCCCAATACAGGGCTAGGGTTTGGGAAGCATTGGGAAACTTTTATCTTTTACTTCTTTGACTTACTCCAAAGAAACTCTTCAGCAGGCTGGGGTGGGTCTCTGGTTGTTGCTGTTGTTGTTGTTGTTTTGTGTGTGTGTGTGTGTGTGTCTGCTGTTGAGCTGTAGGATTTCCTTACAATAGTAAGGAAATCATCCTATATGTAGCCTTTTCATTTTGTTGACTGTTTCCTTTGTTTTGCAGAAGCTTTTTAGTCTGATATAATTCCACTTATCTATTTTTGCTTTTGTTTCATGTATTCTTGGTGTTATATCCGAAAAAAACATTATTGCCAAAGCCTACATCAAGAAACTTTTCCCCTCTTTTCTTCTATGAGTTTTATGGGTTGAGGTCTTCTGTTTGAGTCTTTAATCTATGTTGTGTTGATTTTATATATGGAATAAAATAAGAGTTCAATCCCATTCTTTTGCCTGTGGCTCTCTAGTTTTCAGAACACCATTTATTGAAGAGACTATCTTTTTCCTATTGCATATTCTTAGCATACTTATCAAAGACCAGTTGAGTGGCAGCATTAAGTACAGTATAAAAACTTTTTTGGAAAAATAAATCTCAGTTGACTGAATATGTATAAATTTATTTCTTGATTTTTTTTATTTTGTGTCATTGGTTTATATGTCTGTTTTTATGCCAGTACCATATTACTGCAGCTTTGTAATGTAATTGGAAATCAGGATGTATGATGCATCCAGGTTTGTTTTTCTTACTCAAAATTGCTTTGGCTATTCAGCATCTTTTGTGGTTCTATGTGCACTTTTAGGGTTGTTTTTTCTATTTCTGTAAAAATTGCCCTTGGGATTTGATAGGGATTACATTGAATCTGTAGGTCACTTTAAGTAGTATGGACATGTTAACAGTATTAATTCTACAACTCAGTAGAAAGAAACCCACAAATAATCCTGAATAGACATTTCTCCAAAGAACACATACAATGGCCAAAAAGTATATAAAAACTTGCTTAGCATCACTAATCACTAGGGAAATGCAAGTTAAAACCACAATGAGGTATCACTTCCTATGTATTAGGATGGCTATTATCCAAAAAACAAAAGGTTACAAGTGTTGGTGGGGATGTGGAGAAAAGGGAAGCCTTATACACAGTTGGTGGGAATGTTAATTGTGCAGCAACTGTGAAAAACAGTAAGGAGTTCCTCAAAAAATTAAAAATAGAACTACCATATGACTAAACAATCCAACTTTTCGGTATATATCCAAAGGATATGAAATCACTATGTCAAAGAGATATCTGTACTTCCATGTTCACTGCAGTATTATTCACAATAGCCCAATTATGGAATCAACCTGAGTCCATACATGGATGAAATTATAAAGAAAATATAACATGTATATACAATGCAATATTATTCATCCTTTTAAAAAAAGGCAATTCTGCCATTAATGACATAGATGAAACTGGAGGAAATGATGCTGAGTGAAACAAGAAAGGAACAGAAAGACAAATACCACACAATCTCACTTACATGCGCAATCTATCAAACTTATAGAAGCAGAGAGTAGAATGGTAGTTGCCTAGGTTGGGGACAGGGGAAAATGTGAAAGTGTTGGTCAAAGGCAACAAAGTTTAAGTTATGCAAGATGAGTTAGTCTTAGATATGTACTATACAGCATAGTGTCTGTAACCATAACTGTATTGTATAATTAAAATTATGCTAGAAATGCTGACCTTATTTTAAGTGTTCTTATTGTACATAAGACTAATAAAGAGAGCACGAAGAAACTTTTGGAGGTGATGGATATGTTTATAGCATTGATTGTAGTGATGGTTTTCAAACTCATTAAGTCATAACATTTAATACATTAAATATGCACAGCTATTTGTATTCAATCATACTTCAATAAAGTGTTTTTTTAAAATAGGCTATATAGAAAGGAATGTTTCCAACAGGATCATTTTGTATCTTGTGCCACAAAAAAATCAATACAATCATAGCACAGCATAGAAACCTGGTAATTTGATTGTCTTCTTTTGATATTAGGCACTGCCGTGACAAAGAAAACCCACAACAATATTCATCACCAACATTCAATTTACATAACAAACCTTTCATAATATCCACAGTTAAAGAATCAGAGAGATAGACTTTATATGGAAAAATCTCACTTCTTTTTTCCTTCTATACCAAAAGTGAATCTTAGCTTTAGTTTAATTCAGTAAATATTATTATTGAGAACTTTACAATGTGTTAAATATTTTATGTATTTTTAATATTTTTACTTTCGTTTTATATGCTCAGGGCAATTAAGGACTACATTCACCTAAGTGGAAGTGGTGGAGGAAATATTTTATACCCTTTCACTCTTTTGCAACTAGGGGGGATTTATGAATTTGAGTTAAATGAAATTAACTGAACAAACATCATTGACTATAAACTATGCTGGAATAGTGTTTTTTACATTCAATGTAAATGGCAAATATTCAGATATACTAAGATGCAAATTACATAGTCTTTGTCTTCAATAACCTTAAAATCTAGTACAGTAATAAGATAAAAGCTGAATTTTATAAGTCTCTTGCAAGAGGAATGAGGTACTTTAAAAGAGAGAGAGAGAGGAACAGTAAGGGAAAGTGATGTCAAATGAAAATTAGAATGGGAAAATGGGCCAAGTCGTAGGAAAAGCTTCAAGTAAGTGAGACCATTTCATAAAAATTTGGAAGGTACAGTCATATTTTTAAAAAAATTTATTTTAAGATAGTTCTATACTCATAAGAAGTTGCAAATTAGTAGAGTTCTCAAATACCCTTTGCCCAGCTTCCCCAATGGTAACATCTTACATAATCACAGTGCATTTTAATCAACCCAGGAAATCAACATTGGTACAATACTGTTAACTGAGCTGCAGACCTCATTAGGATTTTACCAGTTTTTATGTGCATTCATGTATGTGCATGTGTATGTGTGTAGTTCTATGAAATTTTGTCACATGCATAGATTCATGTAAACATTACCACAATCAGCACATAGAACTGTTCCATCACCACAAAAAACTCCTTTGTGTTACCCCTTAACAGTAACACTCTTCTACCCAATTCTAACCCCTGATCTCTTCTCCACCTTTATACTTTTGTCATTTCAAGAATGTCATATAAATAGAATCAAATAATATGCTACCTTCTGTGATTGGCTTTTTTATTTAGGATAACACCATGATGACCCATCTAAGTAGTTGTACCTACTAACAGTTCATTGTTTTAAACTGCTGAATGGTATTTCATTGTATGGATAAGTCACAGTTTGTTCATCTATTCACCTGTTGGAAGAAATTTTGTATGTTTCCAGTACTTGGCGATTACAAAAAAAAAAAAGCTGCTATGAATGTATACAGGTTTTTGTGTGTAAATGTGTTTTTATTTCTCTAGGACAAACACACCCAAGAGCGTAATTCCTGGGACATAGGGGAAGTGCATGTTTAGAGGTGATATTTTAATAAATTTGCAGTTCTTAACCAATATAAACATCCTTATATATCTATTGTTTGTGAGTTTTCACAATTTTTTATTTATAATAAGAATTAGATCTGCTATGCCAAGGCTATAGGCATATTTAAAATGCCTTAATACATATTTTGTTCTCAAGAAGTCATGCTAATGTCTACTCCTTCCCACCACAATTATACGAGCAAGTCTATTCTCTAACTGACAATAGTGATGAATACCTTTTTAATTGTTGCTAATCTGAAAATCCAAAATTGGTGTCTTGTTTTAACTTGCATTTTGATTTCTTATAAGTAGAGCATTTCTATAGAGTATTTGCATTTCTTCATAAATTTTCTATGTATGCCTTTTGCCCACGTTTGTATGCGGATTTAAAAATTTTTCCTACTGATTTGTTTATGTGTGTTTGTGTATGTGCATGTGTGTGTGAGTGTGTGTAAAGGAAAGTAATATAGTATCATGTATGCTGCAAATATTTTTAAAGTTTGTGCTTTGCCTTTTAACCTTTTTAAAAAATGCTTTTTGTCATAAATATATTTCAGTTGTCTTACAGTCAAATCTAACATCTTTTTTCCCCTAAATATATGTAAGTACTAATGACATATAATTTATGTTAATTATATGTAAATCAGCTATGAAGCATTCTTTCATTCTCTATTCTCTGAAATAATTTAAGTAACATTAGAGTTACTTATTCAGGAAATATTTGGGGGAAAAATTCTACTCATACATCCAAATGGGTAGGGTACCAAGGCAAGGAGAGAGTACTTCTTTGGTATCTCTCTTCATTGCTTATAGTATGATTGTTTCTTAGAACTTCCAGTCTCTTCTTTAGCCCATTTTGCTATTTTGGCTCTACACATTTCCTTAGAAAATAATCAATTTTCCTTAAGGTTGTTGAAGTTATTGCCATAGAACTGCACAAAGCACTACTTATGATTTAGCGATTTACATTATTCATGAGAACAATTAGAACCACTAATTAATGTTTTTCTTATTTGAGTGTTATGCAAAGAAAAAGAAAAAGAAAATACTCTTTCCTTAAATTTAGTGAAAATTTTCTTTTTTCCCCCGTTTCCACATTTTCCTCCAAAGAGGGAACATTTAACTCACATCCATTTCCACACACTTTTTTTTCTTAATAATAATTTCTTTCACATCCTCTTTTCTCTACTTCCCTTTAACCTGAATTAAGTTTAGCCTTTTTTCCTTCTCTCCTTCAAAAAACAATTATGACTTGGAAAGGATTGAATTTAACATATTCCCAAATGCTTCAGTTAATGTACTCCTCCCAGCCTGAGTAGAATCATAATTCCCATGAAGATGGTATGCGATTTCCAAGAACTCTACAGTCTGGCTCAATAAGAACTTTTCAGACTGCCACATGTGTCAGGAGTAGCCTTGCTTACCAAACAGAAGCCAAGTGGGGTAAGATTACTCATGAGGATTATCTTCCTGTGGATGAAATTCTGTCTTCTAACTTCAATTACACTTAGCTAAAGAAATATGGACAGAAACAAATAACTTGAAATAAAAGATGAATACAGTTCCATGCTAACGTACAAAAGTTGTACTCATGAAGAGAACCTCACGCTCCAGGAAAGTACTTGGTTATTTCTTATGATAAATTATCATAAATCTTGACACTTGACTACTTTTCAAGTTGGGGACTTTAGGGTACCAGGAAAGTAAATTTAGCTCAAGTCATGTTAAGAAAACATGTTTTTTGAAGGAGGTAGCTGGTAACAGAACTAGGAAACCACCAGGGCTGAAGTAGGAGGATAACTTTTTGCATACGTTGTTTTCACGTGCTCCCAGTAAAGGTCACACCTTAGTAAGCCACCCAATTCCCTCCAACATTGCCTCTACTGCTCCCCCACCCAAGCAATGCATGATGTGATTGATCCCTAACAACAAGAAGCTCGCAGCCAAACTACATAACCTCTAAAATAGGGATAGCCTCATTGTTGCTATCTGCAACCCCACAGTAATGGGGTCATTAATTTCAACATTGTTTAGGGGAAGGATGTTTTATATCTGGTGAATAGCTTAGGTAGGGACAAGAAAAGTAAAATTAGAAATTGTAATAAAAAACACAAAATGAATAGTTTTATTTAATCAATGTTGCAATTTATTCTTTTTAAATCTTAGTACCTGACAAATAGTTGTTTTTCATCCCTCCCTCAGCTTTCAGTGCCAATTAAAGAAAACATCCCAGGATTTGTATTATTGCACTCTAATTATAGTTGAGGGTACAGTGGCATGTGATTGTGGTATAATAACTAAAGCCCTGGAGTGCCTTTTATTCCATTAAAAATGACCTTAGCCTTGGATCACAGAGCTTTGCATTGATTTGTCTTTTTGTGGTTTCCTCTCCACAGGTCTGCTTCCTCAACCAGGGTGATGCATTGAATTGTGACACATGGGGGTCAGTGAAATTAACTATCTTTCCCATGAGAAATAATTTATCATTCAGCATTTGCTATTAATGTGCCTCTGCTGCAAGTGAATGAAGACGTATAAAGTGTATGGAAATTGTAGAGCAGATGAACACTGCATAAATATCCTTTAATGTTTATGATGAGTACAATAATTTTCTCATCTGTAAATGGGAGGGATTTGGGCTGCAGAAAAAGAGACGTTGATAAATTTGGTTGCTGTAAAAAAATGGCTGTAATTTCTTCTATAGAAGCTGTACCTCTTTGGGTCTAATTTGAATTTTGTTTTCTGCCTGTTTCAAGGAGGTCTTTTAAAACTTGTGATTACTATTGGATATGATTGTGTCTGTAGAAAGACTTCCCAGCCTTCTTTAGAACTTAGGAGGTGCCTCTGTTCTCAGCATAGGCAATATTAATCTCAGCTCACATTGTCTCTGGATGGGATTTCTGTTTGAGAAACAAGAACTAGAATGGACAAGGTGAGCTTTAATTATTCAAATTCATCTAAAAAATATCTCCTGAAGGCTTATTGAAAGCCAGATACTGTGCTGGACAGTGAGCGAGGGATACAAAATTCATGAGAAAGCCAGTGATTCTCACTTATCCATCTTAGAAAGTGTACTTGAACCCAAGGGGGCATGTACCAAAGTGTTCACTGATGTATTGTTAATAATAGTGAAAATTCAGAAATGACCTACATGCCCATCATTAAGAGACTGGCAAAACCAATTCTGAGATATTCATACAATGGAAAACCATGCATCATTTGTAAAGAGGAAGGTAGATCCACAAGTGGAAAGGTCTCCAAGACATGATGTTAGAGAAAAAATAACTATATAAAGTGATGCATCCAGTATGATACTCTATGTAAATGCACAACACACACAAACACACAGTCACACAAATACACACACTCTCTCTCTCTTTCTCTGTTATTTATTTTTTCCATAATCACTGTGATGCATAGCAATGACCCTGGAACAATACCCTCTGATGTGGGTCCTCCCACTGCACAGTGGCAGGAAGTGTTATTCACATGGGTGATGGGTTGTTTGGGACAGTCTGGCAGCCACAGCTGATAGCCCCACACCAATATGATGACTTTTGTTAACTTGGGGGCGTGAAGGGGGCCAGGATTAAAGATAGTCGCCAAAGGGAGTTTTAACTATTAGCTACAATGATATAATTCTCAAAGGAGATTATATTAATGAATTAAATGTGTATCAAATATTAATTTTAAAATGAGTAATATGTAATTCCTGCATTCTGGGTGCTAACAGTCCAGAGGAGAAATATGTACATACTCAAGTAATTCTGATATAAAACATAGTGTGGCCAGTACTAGCCTTGATAACCATGTATTATGGCAATATGAAGGGGAGAGGGGTCTGTATTTCTGCTTCTTGGCTGAGGAGAGATTTATTGTAAATCTCCTTAGTGAAAGGAAGACTTTCTATTGTACAGTATTCTGGCCTACACATTAAGCCAGGCTAGGCAACTGTGATGTTATCACTAGCTGTCTTCTAGCAATTCAATCATCTTAGAAGATTTAATAAGGGGAGAAGAGGAAGGCCCTAGAGGGAGAGCCAGAGGGAAGGTTCTAGCCTGTATTCCCTAGGAATCATTTGTTTGTAACTAAATAAACTCACTCTGGCTATCTAAAGCTAAGGGAAATGAATTGGTGGGAGATGAGGGGTTCACAGTATCAAAAAGAGGCTGGAGGATTGCATTTGGATAATATAGGTTGGGTACCAAAGCACCTTGAGGCAGTGGGAATGGTGTTGGTGGAGGACAGACCCAAATCCCTTGTGTAGCAGAGAGCCTGGCTGTGAATAAAGCATAGTAACTCCATCATCTTTGCATCTTAATTACCCTGATCGGCCCAGACTAGGTCACAGTGCACTCATTTTTCATAGTGGATGGCAGAGCATCATTAAGCACAGCACTGTGGGAGTCCCCCAAAATGGGAATAGAGTGGTCAGGGTGGATGACGGGGAACCAAAAGAAGCAGTGGTTTTATCAACTGGGTACTTATTTACCAATTACTGTACTAAGCACTTTAGAGGGACATTATTTCATTTAACATTCACAATAACTCTGTGAATGAGGTACTATTACCAGTATCATTATTCCCATTTTACAGACGGAGTTAAGTAACTTTCTCAGGATTGCACATACCAATTTAGTAGTTTGGTTCTGAGCCTGTAATTTTAATGACTGGCTATTGCAGACGTCCACTCTCTACATTCCCTGTCACCTTTCTTCTCTCCATTTTCCATAGGTATATGGAACATTTTAAAACACTGAATAGAAAATATGTAAGATACATTATCCTTAAAGCAACTCAAAGGGCTTTTACAGCATAATCTCAGTTCTTGTCATACCTCCAAATATAAGGTGAGAAAATAGATTGTTTCTTATTTTTCTGATAATAAAAGGAGGCAATTATGAATTATATGACTTGTCAAATGATCTCTCTGTTGAAAGCTAAATTGAGACAAAGGATCAGGACTGTTGAATTAATAAAGTAGGTAATTCATCCCTCTCTTCAGAAAATAGTGACTGCCACCACCAGTGAGGTTTCTGGCATCAGTCCTTATTTTTAAAAAGACACTATAAACCACAAATCAGAATAAGCCACCCAACCCCCATTATTTAAAACACAATGGCTCCCATCACATTTAGAATAAAACCTGAATTCCTTCCCACAGCTGTGAGGCTTACAGGAATCCACCTCCCCTCTTAAGACTCTTCTACTCTCTCCCGCATTCATTGTCTTCCTTTTGTACCCAGATACTCCAAACCAGTTTCTACCTTGGGCTTGAACCACTGGTCCCTCTGCTTGGAATGCTCTTCCCTGAGTCTTCAGATAGCTGGCTTCTTCTTGCCCTGCAGTTCTCAACTTAAATAACATCTCGAAGAGAACTTTCCTGACCACCCAAACTAAAGTAACCTATTCTTTCATATCCTTTCATCATGTGTTAGTTCTCTCACAGCACTTTTCACTACCTGGAATATTTTTCTGTATTTGTTAGTCTATATCAATTGATGGATTCTTTCTCTAGATGACAAACTCCAGGAGGGCAGAATTCTTGTCTGTCTTGTTCCAATCTTTATCCCCAACTAGGACCCACAACTGTATGTGGCACACAAATATTCACTGAATGAATTATTTTCAGTTTACTGAACCATTTAGGTTTTTCTTTTATCCCTCAAAGGCCAAGTAATTGTAGTGTAGTAAGTCTGGATAAGCCTTTGGAAGATTTGCTTAATTTTATAGTTCAGAAAACTGGGACAAAAAGATGCATAACTGCCCAAGATCATAGCAAGTTAATAGCAAACATGGATTAAAATTTGTGTCTTTTCACTTACAGAATAGAGCTCTTTCAGTACATTGTCCTGATCATACTTTTAACGTGGTGCTGAGGTGACCTTTGATTTATGACTTCTGTGGTCATCATACATTAGAGATAACAGAGTCACATATAGGTGTTGTTTTTCTGAAGATGAATATATTTATCACTGGGCTAGTTGGGCACCTGAGCTGATTACAGTGACAAATACATGTTGAGCACTTTCCATGTGCTACACACTATTTTAAGAGCTTAACATGCATTAATCCATATAATCCTCATAACATCTCTACTAAGTAGGTACTATTATCATCTCCATTTATAGATGTGGAATTTGAGGCAAAAATGTTAGGAAACTTGCACAAGGTCACATAACCAGTAAGTTGTGGAGCCAGGCTCCAAACCCAGGCAGTCTACCTAAAAGCCACACGCTTTTCACCATTAATGCTGTTCTGCCTGCCCTGACCATGAGACACAGTTTATTCTTTAAAACCCTACCAGACAATTTCCATTGACAGGAAATAGGGAAAAATCCTGGGTGACTCATGAGGCAAATGAGAATCAATAGTGCAGTTTCCACCCATGTAACATTGGCAGAACTGTCTTTTTTAAGCTTTAATTTTCCTTGTACAATGGTCCTCCATAAACAGCAATGAAAAAAAAAAAAAACAGAACAAACACCATTGAGTCACCAGCTCCCAAGGTCCTGTGTGGTGCTTTATTGATGGTAGGTGTATGGAGCTTCCTGGAACATGTTGTTCACAAATAAAGATGTCTTTCTGGCCTTAAGAGAGTGTGTGAATCCCACTGGTCTGGGAGCATGACATATTGAGCCAGAGTGTTTTACTAAAGCTGCTCTCTGAAGTTGGAGATGGCAATTGGGTTAGGAGATAGGCGCTGGGCTGGGGAGAGACTCAAGCAACAGAGAACAACATTTCTCCCTCCTGAATGGGAGCAAGCATCTTCCTTTAGATTAAGTGCTCTCTATTTCCTGAGTGAATAGGGACAAGTTTCCTAAGCTAGAACCTTTCTCAATTCTGATAAGTTTGAGTTATTGACTTTCCATTCTGATTACTATTAAAATTTCTTTTAAAATAAATCAGAGGTAGAGTCCAGTAGTCCAGTAGAATATAGAATCTCAGATATAAAAGGAAATAAACTGTCTTCAGGAAGATTAGAGTGCAAAGTGAGTATTTAAATATTTTATTTGATAATATGGGTTACTGATGTATCTTCCTCATCCCCAATTTTTAAACCCTATTATGTTTATAAGTTTTGGAAGTTTCTGTGGAAATATTTACTTCACAGTTTTAATAAGTATCACAATTAATTAATTGAACTCCTGCTATGTAGAAGGAAAATAATATTAAATAAAGTCACATTGTCATGAAATATTTTCAAACTAGTTAGTAATTATATAAAATTCAAACCTGTTTCCTCCTACTGCACACTCCATACTCCCACATAAAAACTACCAACAATGACAATATTCATTGCAAGAAGCACATTTGAGAGACCATATGAAATTGTCCTTCTTATTGGTCTAAAAATGTTCTAACAGCATAGAAATTTAAAAATGCTCAACCGAAATAGTACAAATAATATGGGCTAGGTATTAGGAAACCTGGATCTTCCCCTAATTAGTTGTTTGCCCTTTTGTGAGTCATTTAGACCTTCTGACTGACCTCCACTCCTCTCTGCTCTAAACTGGGATTAACAGTTTATGCTCTCTGCAAACCTCTTAAGGTTGCTGCCAGTTTCAAAGCAATATTTGTAAACCAAAATATACTCTACGAATTCAGGGTATTATGAACCTTAAATAGCTAAGCTCTGTGTCAAAGTTTTGTTCTTAAGGCATCATATTTCTCTGAGTAGAAGTGTGTGAGCTATAATACTATGCTGCTACTATCAAACAGCCAATTTTGTCTTTCAATGGTTTTAAATATCAGCCTGAGATTGAAGAAAATAAAAATGGACAGACCTGTTGGGTTTTTATTTTCAGATTCAGCCTGAGAATCACAGTTTCTGGGACTGAGTAAATACTACTTATGCTTGTCTAGGAGTAGAGTCAATTCAAATGGCACTATGTCAACTTTGTTAACGTCATCAGCCACAGACTTTTTCTTATGCTGCCAATAATACAATTTATTGCTGTTTTTAAAAAAGTTATAGGACTACCATTTTCTTTTCCTGCTAAAGTTTTCCTTGTCATTCTGATTCTTTGAGGTAAAATGAAGAACTGGGGAGGACCTGTTTTGGGGAGACATTTAAAGGAGCAATGTTGGTCATTGTTAGATAAATGACAGGACTTGCCTCATACAGTAAAATGTAAACAAATATTTGAAGTTCTTTTGAAACCGACATGAATGAATTTTGAACAAGGCAAAATAGTAATAGCCACTGGGCAAGAAAAAAATATTAGAAAGCGCACACACAAAAAATCACACAAGGATGTGTGTCTGAGTAAAGAAAGCAAAAAGCATCTTGAATAAAGTAAATACAGTAAAAACAAAAAGGAAATTGCATTGACACAATCACTCTGGTATATAATTTGAAAATATTATCAATTTCCTAAAAATGAAACTGAAACTAAAGCACTGAAATATCAAGTAGCAGTGAATATTTTAATAATATCTGCCTCAGAAAATGTAAAAACATAAAATTTTAGGCATCGGAGCAACAGCTGAAGACTAAATGCAAAATGAGACGAATTATTTTAGAAAAGCCAATTAAAAAGTAAATCCATTTTGCTGTCTACATAACTCATCTTCCCCAGAAAGCATAAATGTCAAAATTTTAATAAATCCTATTAAAACAATTCTTCAAGTTGCCATTTTGCTACACAGAGGGTCATAGACATTCCAAGCTTCTATATACATAAACTCTATCGTAGTACCCATTGTCCTGTTGTGTATTGCAGACTTGCCCATGTGAGCCATCAGACAGACAGATTATAAAATGTCCCGCAGAGAAGGCAGCTCTGGTCTAACATTCAACTCTTTATGGTAGCTAGGAACACCTTAACAGAAGTCCCTTCTGTCAGAAGGCTACTCAAGGTGGTGGGCCCAAGGAGATGTCCTTATTATTCCCTGAAATGGTTCAGTGGAAAGATAACTTGATTCAGATTCAGAACCTGGGTCTGAGCTCCAACACTGACACCACAAGTGGAATGACCTCAGGCAACTCACCAAATTTCTCAAGGCTGGGCTTTGTTCATCTGTGAGTTGTGAATAATAATAGCCTAACTCATAGGATTGATGTGAAAGTCAGACGAAACACAATGTATCTGTGAATGTGCTTGGTAAACCATGAAATGCTAATAAATGCATGGCATATATAGTTCCTGACAGAGTAGTTCAAGTACAGTACTTGCTTTGATTTCACAGAATTACTTAGATGAAAAACTCAGTGAAGTGTGAGCACTTCTGCTCCCTCTTTTTGTACAATGGATTTCATGTTAATTAGTTCTAACCAGCTCCATGTTGGGGAGAAATGCATTTAACTTTGGAAACTGCCCCATATGATATTACAAATATTAACTGCCTCCACATTGTTTTCACTGCTGGGATTACCGCCCTGTGCAATAAGCAGTAGAAGCGGCATAATGCCATTATGCGTATCTAGATGGTGTCGAGACAGTGGCCACACTTTCACATCACTTTCTACCAGATTTCCATACATCTGCCCCTGCCCCAGCCAAGACTATTTGCTTTCTACCTTTCTCATACCACTTGATTGTTTCCACTTCTATGTTTTTAGAAGCTGTTTAACTTCACGTTATCCTCATTTTTCTACATGGATGTATTGCTCTTACCATCTTAAAGATCTACCTTTCTGGAAACCTTGCATGGTTGATCCCATTCTGCTTTCTTAATTCTAACTTCAATGCCACTTAATAGAGAGTTGTGCAAGACCCCATATTTCAGTAGATGTTAATGGAGTTTCAGGATAGTGTATGCAACTAAGAGTGGGTGTACATAATGAGGGTGGATCAATTCAGTCACTTCATCGCAGCTTTCAAAAAAAAAAAACAGAAATGCAAAACTGGTCCATCCAGTTTCCATTTATGAAGAGAAACTGCCATGAATCAGATTATAAGTGATGTTTGTCTCAGTTTCTTTCACACTCCAACTTAATGTGTGTATGCCTGAGTGTATATATGTATGTTTGTGTATTTGTGACCTTCTCAGCAGCTTAACTCAATTGCTTAATCCGTACAGCATAGAGAAAATTCATTAGATAGGAAATTGTAGTCTGTGCTGCCGTTAATTTGCCAAATTAATTTTCCAAAGCTCAATCTCTCCTGTAAATTGAGTATGTCACACTAGCTGATCCAGAAGGTCCCTCTAAGCATATATGACTTGTAGACGGGAGAAATCTGTAATATATCTATGCTAGGTCATATCAGAAAAATACCTTGCCATTCTCTGCCATGCCATTCACAGTGAGTTTAAAGTTGCTATACTTTATATGAATGTTATTGTATAGACAGAAAAGAAAATGAAATAAAGGGAAGGAACATGGAAAATATGCTTCTCTCTTCTAGGCTTTTTCAGTGGGAGTATATTGAGGACTGACGTAGTAAGTCCAAATGTTACAGCTTGTTCCTGAGTCTGGTGCCACTAGAAGCCTTGCAGAGGAGTGCAGTCTCCTCCATGATTAAGTTCCAGATACCTAACGGCCTACTGCCCTGCACCAGTCTGAGTCCCAGAGTCTCCAGATCCAACAACTACACTAATTAAAAAGGCTCTTTTATTCTGTAGTAATTGTTTGGCTCACTCAGACTGTGCTAGAGCTTTGGAATGGAGTAGGAAGCTGTACAGGTAGCTCCCTGTAGCAGCCCTAAAGTGGAGTTAGGTCTACTGACTACTGCTGCTGCTGCCCTAGGCAACCTGACCCAGGGTTCCAGATCATCAGGTACAAAGAACAGCATCCTGAGTCCAAAATCAAATTACTCCTTTGATTAAAATACTCCAATGGATCTGTAAGCAGTTGATGGATAACCTGGGAACTTTGAAACTTTCATCGACTTTCTAAGGAGAACCAATATGCTATGTGTCATACTGAATAAATGCTTAGTATTTATTGAATTACTAAACCAGACTAAATAACATTTTAAAGAAAGTTTTCCACAAGCTGTGATGATAAGTCAAAATCAGGAAGTTAAAATTATATGGAAATAAGCATCAAGATCTATTCTTAGGTTGACAGTAATTTAAAAAAGATTTTATGTTTGTATAATTACAGATTGCAAATCATTTATACATATTTAGTTCATTTAATGACTGCCAAAAATGCCACATTTCTATATTAGGATATTCTTATGATATTCCTATAAAGATTTTTTTTTAATAAAGTGTGACACAGACAGTATAAACAACTTTCCTGAAGTCACATATCTAGTAAATTGCCAATTGAAATCAAAGTCAGTCTTCCAATTTTAAGTCCTAGGCTCTAAATTGCTGCATGCAGCTAAGGGACTATTTGTTTAGTCCCTGCTATCTCTTAATCCACTATCAGTACCAATCCTTTGTGTTTAGATAGAGGGAGCCCCGGCTTCATTAAAATACCTTTGGAGAGCAGCAATCTTTCTTACCTTCATGAAAATACATCATCTAGAACAAGACTAACCGTCCTACTCAACTGTGTATTGGCCAGGCCATATCTAGAGCATACTCTTTTGAGTATTACATTGAAAGATTTGAGATTTATGAAGAGTCAGAAAGTGGAAAGCTGAGGGAGTTTAGTCTAGTGGTTAAAGTTTTTAAAACTATGTCTTACAAGGAGCAATTGAAGAAATTTGGGTGTTCAGCCTAGAAAAAGGAATATGGGGGTTGAGGTGGGGTAATATATAGGCAGAGAAAATATATTTATTGTCTGGTCTGAAGGCTATTACATCAGAGGGATGAGACGTGTAGCTCTAGAGGCCAAAATAGCACTGGTGAAGAGAAGTTATAAAAAGGCCATTTAAAAATTCAATATAAAGGAAAATTTCAAAAAGTAAAAATCACTAAAAAATTCAATACATTTTCTTGTGAGGTGTAACTTGTAAATGATCAAGCAAAGATGAGTAGACCATTTTCTGAGGATGATATAGACATGATTAGCACTAGGTAGGAGGTTGAAATAAACACTCTTTAAGACCTTTTCTAAGGGCCTCTAAGATTCTATGATTTAATCTTTCTCAAAAATAATTAAGCTTAAACAGAGGACAAAAAACACATCTGTTCTCGTAACCCACCTTTCTAGTAGTATCTAGGTTCCACTATCAGTGCCAATCATTATCCCAAAATTTAGCAGCTTAAAACCTGTATCTTGTGTGTCAAGATTATGGGGAGACCTCTACATTGTTTAGTGCTTAACTGGGAAGACTCCATAGCTGCTGTGGGAGTGGAGGAGAACTTGATGGCTGAAGGCTGGAATTTTCCAAAGCTGTGCTGTCCAGTAGAGAAGGCAATAATCACACATTGCTACTGAGTGCTTGAAATGTGTCTAGTCTGAATTGAGTTGTGCTCTAAGTTCAAAACACACACACACACACACACACATACACAGACACACACACACACACACACACATCCACTATTTCAAAGACTTTGTATGGCAAATAAAATAAATTAAGCTATCTTGTTAATAATTCATATATTGATTATATGTTGAAATAATACTCTTTTAGATATAATGGGTAAAGTAAAATATATTAACAACATTAATTTCACTCATTTTATTTAATTTTTAAAATATGGCTAATAGAAAATTTAAAACTTCATATGTGATTAATATATTCTTATTGAACATGGTTTATCTCATGGTATTGTTCATTGATGTATACTGTGGTTGATGCTGGCTATGGACTGGCACTTCAGCTGGTGATATGGTTTGGCTGTGTCCACACCCAAATCTCATCTTGAATTGTAGTTTCCCAAATCCCCATGTGTCGTGGGAGGGACCAGATGAAGGTAATTGAATCATGGGGGCATTTTCCTCATCCTATTCTCATGATAGTGAGTTAGTTCTTTTGAGATCTGATGGTTTTATAAAGGGCTTCCCACTTCACTGGGAAGTGATTCTTCTCTCTCCTGCTGCCATGTGAAGAAGGATGTGTTTGCTTCCCCTTCCACCATGATTGTAAGTTTCCTGAGGCCTCTCTAGCATGTACTGAACTGTGAGTCAATTAAACCTCTTTCCTTTATAAACTACCCAGTCTCAGATGTGTCTTTTTTTAGCAGAATGAGAACACACTAATACAGCCGGGCAATTGATGGGAACACCAACATGTGGTCTTTTCATGTGGCTTAAGCTTCCTCCTAGCACGGTGGTCTCAAGAGAGTTGAAATTTTTATATGATGGGAGAAGACTCCAAAAACAACCTTTCCAGTGAGCAAGGTGAAAGCTGCATTGGCTTTTTTGACTTAGGCTTGGAAGTCATGAAGTCATGTTGCATCAATTTGCTGTGTTCCATCTGTTATCAGCAAATCATAACCCTGCACAGATTCAAGAGTAAGAAACACATTGTAGTAGAACACGTGGAACACAAGCTGTTGTTGCAGACATCTTGGAAAATATAACCTTCCACAACTTATTACCAACATAGACCAACAGAGTTATGGAATCTCCTTCTTAAGATTAAAAGGGCCATTTCTGAAGTCTAAGTAAGTCCTGGATTGTGAGATTGGAGTTCTTCTAAAGACACCCTCAAGTCTTACAATTAAGCAAGGATATACTTTAGGAATGTCACTGATAGTCATTTTTAAGCGGGGATGCAATTGAAAGGGCAAACTGTCCTCTAAGAGTTTTAAAAGCTGCCTACATGCTAATAAAACAATCATGATTCCAGCTTCCGGGTCACAGAGTTGAATCACACAACACAGAATACTCCCAGTTTTTTTTTCTTTTTTCTTTTGGTTTATTTATAGTTAACCAATAAGAAGTGTATTCCTAATTTCTGAGAGGTACATGTTCAAAACTGACTGGCACAAATCTTTCCTTTTTCCAAATGTTTTAATTTTTTTTCTTCATTTAAGTTCAGCCTTTTGAACGTCATTTAACAATTTATATACAATATGATGTGAAGATGTATTATGTATGTCCATTTAGGAATAAATGATTTTTGTCACAAGCATAAAATTCTTTTATGAGGTTATTTATTTAGCATAATCACCCTGTATTTGCTTTTTAAGAATGGGTTATGGCTGGGAGGGATGTGTGAAGCTGCCCCCAGAGCATAACGTATCTTGAAGGTTAAATCAGAATTTGACTTTAATCAAACAAATGTAATTGGCCCAGAGGGCCTAGTAAAGATGGAATTCCGGAAATGAGTGACTGTTGGTTTTTGTGTGTTTTCTTCCTTAAATATTAATAGGAACTGTCCATGTAGAGTTAGTTCAGAAAATCAGTTTGCATTCTTTTCTTTAAGCTTCCTCTTTAGAGTTTTGATTTCTCAGATGATTTGCACTTTGATATTAATTTGGTAATAATTATTAATTCATTTATAATGAATTTAATTAGTTATCAATCATTGAATAACCATAATTTAATTCTAATTTGCAATTTAATATTAAATAATCCTCAGAGTGTCAGTGCCTGAGTCCATTACATTCCCCTAGGTTATAAGTGGAAAGTGCTGTCCTGCAGCACCTTTTGATATGCCTCATCGAAAGATGATTTGATGAGCAGTTAATTAAACTGAGCAATAGAAGAGGAGAGATTACAAAATAACTACAACAATATATAAAACCAAAAGTAGAAGCAAACAAGCCAGCATTATTTGCAAATGTTAACAGAATTCTGCACTGCCTTCTAATTCCAACTGGCATTTTATTCCTCTTCATACAGCAACTATTGAATGGTTTCCCTATTCCTTCAGAATGGTGGCTAGATTCACATGCTTGAGAAGCACACAGATGTGGACTGGATTTTATGGCACACACAGAGGAAGTTCAGCTCTTCTAACATTTGCTTTCTAAATAACGAAGGCTCTTGAAAGAAATCATAAAACAGAAAATAAGTTCTAATGCTTTTACCAAAGGATGATTTTTTTTTTTTTTTTTTTTTTGAGATGGAGTCTTGCTCTATCACCTAGGCTGGAGTGCAGTGGCACGATCTCGGCTCACTGCAAGCTCCGCCTCCCGGGATCAAGCCATTCTCCTGCCTCAGCCTCCCGAGTAGCTGGGACTACAGGCACCCGCCACCACGCCTGGCTAATTTTTTGTATTTTTAGTAGAGATGGGGTTTCACCATTTTAGCCAGTATGGTCTTGATCTCCTGACTTTGTGATCCGCCTGCCCCGGCCTCCCAAAGTGCTGGTATTACAGGCATGAGCCACCATGCCTGGCCTACCAACTGATTTTTATTTAGAAGAGAGGCTCTTTAGCCTGTGGAACTTTTTGCTTTTATTCCTTGTTTTTATGTAAATAAGACTAATAGGTAGCATAGAATACTAATGTTCTCAATGTAGTCTTACACAGAGATGGGTACTACTCAGAGAAGTGACAAGAGTGCTAAATGAAATAACCCAAAAATAATATAAAGCCCTTGGGTTGTCTATTTATTTAAATTAACTAATAAATCTGGTGCATGCAATGCTATTAATGTGAAAGTTAATAACATGGACTGGCTTATACATACATAGGCCATATAAGTTTGCTTATCTGTAAAATGAGTATAAAAACATCGAATAGGATTTTTGGAAAGATTATATAGGATAACTTTAATCTACAGCTTAACAGAGCACACAGTGAGTCCTCAATGTTGTCATTACTATAAGACAGTAAAATAGAGCAAAGGGCTCTGAACTGGAAGATAAGAACCCCAACTTTTAATAATGATTTTCTTACAAATTAACTGGATGACTTTAGTACTTTAGTCATGTCTCCTAATTTCTGTCAGTAAAATCAGAGGGTTTACTACTTGGTTCCTATATTGTGTATCTTAAAAATAATATGATTATGAATAAACAAGACAATTGCCAACTGTGTTTATGTGTGTGTGTGTGTGTGTGTGTGTGTGTGTGCTATGCTGTATATATTTAAACTAAGGGCTGCTGGTTACCAAAAGAAGACTTTTAAATTGAATAAAATAATCCTGGGATAATGATTTCATTTTGTTGATTAGTCAATATCTAGAAACTAAGGACTAAGCAAGTGGTGAAGAGGCTAAGTGTGTGCTCTGGATCCAGAATGCCTGGGCTTGAATCTAGACCTATTATTTATAGTTTTGTGATCTTGGGAAAGTTAGTTTCGTTGCCTGTATGATTAAGACAATGAGTATCTTACATCAGAGCGTTGTTGGATGGATTCACATGTAAAAAACTCTTAGAACAGTGCCTGACAAGGATAAGAACTCAATAAACATTGGCGATAATTCATCTGCCTCGTTTTTATTCTGCCTCCTATTTTCCTTCTGATAATTTACCATTTAGAAATGAGATAACTTACCATTTATTTATCATTTACTAATGAGATAACAAGTCTTTAAAAGTAATAATACATTTTAAAATACTAAAGCATTTTTTGTTAGAAATCTCCAAAATCAGTTGGGCCTTAGCTCCAAGTCTCATCAAAATCTGGTATAGACTGTATTGATACATCAAATTGAATTTTACTCACTTTTTAATCTCTAATTGAAATGCTTTTTCTTTGTAATTAAAGGAGTTTCTAGCATCATCTGAACAAGTGGAGTAGAAGTGGCTCTAATTGGTGAGTGTTTACTACATGTCAGGCTATTATTCTCCATTTCGCAAATGTTCCCTCACATAATCCTCACAACCTGTGAAGTGAATATCATTCCCATTTTATAAGCAAGAAAGACTCTAGCAAGTAGGAAATGGTGAAGCCAGGATTTTTAACCCAAATTTCAAATCTTTTACTGTTTCCACAACAAATAATGTGAATAGAGGGGAAGGAGAAAGGGTGAAAGAAAGGATGGAAATAAGTAACTTCCAGGGAGCTCTGAATCATGGTCCCTTTACTATCCTTACATTCCTATAAGTCCCCCAAACCCTTAGCATTCATTTTCCTCTGTAGTCTTCATCTCTGCTCTTAGTCCAGTCTTTAGAGGATCAGGCTCCATCCTAAAGGGGAGTGTAGAAGACGTGGCTTTGGGCAGCCTTGTGGACTTTTTATCCTGTGCACTGGGGCATAAAGCACATTTTCACATAATATCTAGGAATTCTCAAAGTTCTTGCCACATATGATGTCCTGGAAAATCTATTTTAAATAGCCTCCTAAATTGTTTTATTTGGGGGCAATGAAGACTGGTGTTTGCAAATAGAAAACAAAACAAACAAACAAACAAAACTCTGTGAGAAACACTTTAGGATCCTGATGTCTGGCTTAATTCAATTATATACTAAATATCAGTTAAAAGCAAGAAGGTGAGTAGTAACAAATTTTATGTGAGATGAAAAGGAAAAATCTGAAAAGCCAGTCCTGAAGTTAAAACTCTCCTTCAAGTAGGGAAGGGTGATTGGCATCTGGTGACAGTAACAGAGCTCACATTGTCTTTGTCCTTACCACATTGCTGCGGTGTATAAATTTTTGCCATTCCAGGTTCCCAAAGCTATTCTCTCTGATCTACAGGCAGGCCAAATGATCTCTGTTCTATCAGAATCTAACCCAACTAGCCCCAGAGTCCACTGGAAGGAGTGGGAAGGGGATGCCAGAAAGCCTGGGCATGCAGGGGAAGTTGTGCCTGCTGAAGTCTGCCTGCTGGGGCTGTATAGTGTGAGTGCCCTCACAAATGCCAACTCCTTTTGACATATTCTATGCAGCTCTGGAGGACTGGTTGATATAGTGTGTATATTTATTCCCTTTAAATCTCACAGTGAAATGTGATCAGTGTTGGAGGTGGGGCCTGGTAGCAGGTGTTTCAGTCATGGGGGTGGATCCTTCATGAATGGCTTGGTGTCCTCCCCACTGTAAGGAGTGAGTTCTCACTCTGTTAGTTCACGGGAGGTTTGGTTGTTAAAAAGAGTCTGGGACTTCCCTCTCCACACTCTCTTGCTCCTGTTCTTGCCATGGGATATGCCTGCACCCCTTCACCTTCCTCTGTGATTGAAAGCTTCCTGACGCCCTCACCAGAAATAGATGCTAGCACCATGCTTCTTGTACAGTCTGCAGAACCATGAGCCAAATAAACCTCCTTTCTTTGTAAATTACCCAGACTCATATTGATGTGGTTTTGCTCTGTGTTCCCACCCAAATCTCATCTTGTAACTCCCATAATTTCCATGTGTTGTGGCAGGGACCCAGTGGGAGATGACTGAATTATCGGGATGGGTCTTTCCCGTACTGTTCTGGCAGTAGTGAACAAGTCTCCAGAGATCTGATGGTTTGATAAGGGGAAACTCGTTTCACTTGGTACTCATTCTCTCTTTGCCTGCTGCCATCCATGCAAGACGTGACTTGCTCCTCCTTGCGTTCCACCATGATTGTGAGGCTTCCCCAGCCACGTGGAACTGTAAGTCCAATTAAACCTCTTTCTTTTGTAAATTGCCCAGTCTCTGGTATGTCTTTATCAACAGCATGGAAATGGACTAATACACAGATGTTCCTTTACAGCAACACAAAATGAAGTAGTGACACACAGGCACACACACATACACAAGTCAAAACCAAAATCTCACTCTGGCAGTTGTATGTATGTTATGTATGTATTTTAAGATGGAGTTTTGCTCTGTCGCCCAGACTGGAGCACAGTGGTGTAGCTCACTGCAACCTCCGCCTCTGGCGTTCAAGCAATTCTCCTGCCTCAGCCTGCCAAGTAGCTGGGATTACAGGTACCTGCCACCGTGCCAGTACTCTTTCCTCTCTTTTTGTATCTTTTCTTAGGTGACCTCTTCCATTTCCATGTATCTGAAGGCATCTTTATCGTTTTTCTGCTTCCACCATCACCATTTTTGTCTAGGCCAGTGCCTTTTTGATCACTATGCAGAGTGACAAAGTCACTTCACAGTACAATCCAGTACTTGCATATGCATACCTATAAGCACAAAAATCTGAGAGGAAATGTTATGGAATGACGTGATGGCCTCTGATGTTTTCTCTCTCTTTCTTTCTCTCTCTTCTTTTTCTTTCCTTCCTTCCTTCCTTTCTTTTTTCTTTCTTTCATCTTTTTTTTTTTTTTTTTGACAGAGCCTCACTTTGTCGGCCAGGCTGGAGTGCAGTTGTGCAATCTCAGTTTGTTGCAACATCTGCCTCCCAGGGTCAAGCAATTCTCATGCTTCAGCCTCTCAAGTACCTGGAATTGCAAGTTCATGTCACCACACCCAGCTAATCTTTGTATTTTTAGTAGAGATGGTGTTTCACCATGTTGACCAGGCTGGTCTCGAGCTCCTGGCCTCAAGTGATCCACCCGCCTCAGTCTCCCAAAGTGCTGGGATTACCAGAGTAAGCCACCACGCCAGGCCTGGCAGTTTTAACGTATTCACATAGTCATGATCAGGGGCCTAGGCTGACATGATATGTTTCACATTTGAAGAATGTTGCAGCTCAGAAAATCTTTGATAATTGGCCACCTGGCTCTAGCTTCTTTCTCCTGATGTGACAAGGGAACCATATTTCTCTGAAGGACTTGGCCTCTGACTGGATCACGCACATCCCAAGTCCTGGTTGACTTTTCATCCTGGCCACAACCTGGCCTTGGAGTCACCAGGTTACTGCTGTGAAAAAGTCCCCCAGTATGGAGCCCCTTACTGTGGGCCCCATTGTGAGGTTCATCCAGAGGAACAAGGTGACCAGGTCAGGACGTGGAAGCCTAAAAGGCTGCTTATTTCTGACTTTCCAAGAAACGAGCTTCTGTTATGAAATAATTCCTTCAATGCCCTCAGTTCAACATTGATCATTGTAGGCTGTTTCTTTTACTAAAAGTGTCGTTCTTCCATCAAGAATGTGCCACACTTTCCTTGAGGTCAGCTAAAGGGATTTTTTTTATTTTTATTTTTATTTTTTTTTTTGGTGTTTGAGTGGACATCCATGCAAACTTCCTTCAGCAGGTAATTTTGTTTAAAAAAGTTTTATTTTTTTCCATCTGAACTGAGATGCCAGTCAATTGGAATTTTTAAAAAATTATTAACACCCTTGCTGATATAGATACGGAAAAGATGATCCTGAAGAAAAAGCCTTTCTAGATTGTGTTTATTGAAGCATTTTTTAAATGAACTGAATTATCTTTTTACAATGCACTGCATATAATTTTGCTCCCATAAAAATGAACTGCCAAAGTGGAATGTTTTAGTAACAATTAGTAAGTTGAAACAATACAAACTTATGCTAAAAAAGTAGTGTCTTTCAAAAATGGAAATAACAATAAAAAATTTTAATAACCCTGTCTGTGCCAGAAAATAAATATGAAGTTTAAAAAAGATATCACTAAATAGCATACTTAAATCACATCTAAATAAGAAAATTAGAGTTGGTGAAAATGTACCTACTCTCTTTTAAAAAATAATTATCAATTAGCCTTTTGGCATCATACTGCCTTAATATCAAAGACTAGAACAAAGATAAGCACTTTTTTTTCTGTAAAAGGTAGGTAAATATTTTAGGGTTTATGGGCCAAGAAGCTAAATTGAGTATAAGTGGCTACTTACATAGCAAAAGAGAACACATGTTTCCACAATTTTAATTGATGAAATTAAAAATATAATGGAGTACAATTTTCTGCAATACAATTTTGCTAAGAAGAATCGATTTTTTTAAAAGAACATTTTACTTAACAGATGTTTAACATTGGTGTTCCATATCCTCTAATGGATTGTAAATATTTTTCTCTATAAACCTTTCCTAGCTCCTGGACTATACAAAAACAGGCTATTGGCTAGATTTTTCCTGTTGGCTGTTGTTTGTTGATCTTGGGCTAGATGCCCAAGAGAAGACCAGCAAAAGCATTGCCCACAAAAGAGCAAGCAATAGTTAATCAGTAACAGCTTCTGGCTACTGCTTCCTACATATGGGCTGTTGCTGGGATCCTGGGTCTTGATAGCGGCACTGTGCACTAGTTTTAAATAACAGAGAGTCCTTCATGTAAATTTGGAATCATTGTTTTAGCAGGTATTAGGAGTAATGTGAAAATGATAGTAAGCATCCTCATATAAGAAAAAGAACCTAGCACAGAGCAGTGTGAGCTGAGAACATCCAACACAGAAGGGGAAAGAAGAGGCTTTCCAAATGGGCAAAAGAAGAGGAATTCCCTTCATGTCAGTGGCAAAGAGTAATAATATAGCCTTTTTCTCAATGAGGAGGAACTAGAAATTTAAATCAGACCTTACCTAGAATTGTGTATATTTGTGTTCATGTTAATTGTTATTAAAATAAATTATCACTATTATTTCAGAATATACGGTGACTTCAGTTGTTACTTATCAATCCCTTTGCCATCTTTATAAAGTCCTAAGTGAAGAAACTACCTGTGTACACAGTATATAGAGCCAGTTATATGTTGGTACCTACTGGAGTCAAGTTTCTGAGCTTCAAAGTGAGCAAAAACATATTAGCAGCCATGAACCCACCTTCTCAGCCTCCCTTCCAACCCAATGGTGTATTAACATGACTCTAATCTGTTACGTAACAATGTCTTAACTTGTCCACATCCAGGTTCTATTTCACATATGGGGATCCATTAAACACAGTTTTGTTTTTTTTTGCCAGGTGAAGTAATTTATTCATTCAAAAGCCTTCAATCATTTGTGTAAGTATTTAATCCACTTTTCACATTTCTGTCTCCCAGGTAAAAACATTATTTTTAAGGAAAGAACTCACTCTCTAGAGTCAGGCAGCTGGGTTTGAATCTTGAAGCTACCCTATGTGACCTTGAGCAAGTTTCTTATTTTTCTCTGTATCAGTTGCTTCAGCTGTAAAATGAAGATGACAGTTTTTTGTGAGTATGAAATGGTTTTTTGTTTTTTGTTTTGTATTAAATGAGTTAATCTAGGTAAACTGTTTAGCATATTGCCAGGCATATATGTACACCATAAATATGATCTATTTGTATTCATTATTATTATTCAACTCACCTATGATATTTATCACAATTCTAATATCATTTTTGACATCAAAGAAATAGATACTTAATTTAACAAACTGATTCACAAATATTTATCTAACACTTACTCTGTGCCAGGCAGTATTGTAGGCACTGGAGACATAGCATGAACAAAGTAGATAAATACTCATAGTCTTGAGGGCCTTTAATCTTGGCGGGAGGAGGAAAGATCAGAGAATAAAAAAAAATACAATAAAATAAAATGTATCCTATGACAGGTGACAATAAATGCTATGGGGAGAATTAACCCAGGAGTAAGATAGGAAATGTTGAGGGAGGAAAGGTTGCAAGTTAAAAAAACAGGCTGGGTGGTCTGGAAAGTCTTCCTGGATATGGTGGCATTTTCATCTAAAGGGTTGAGAGGCCTGGGCTAGAGTTTCCAGAATTAGCAAATAAAAATACAGGGTGTCCAGTTAAATTTGATCAGTCATCCTATATTTTATCTGGCAACTATACTTGGTAATGAGGAATGCACCGGGAGCCTTGAATCTTCCTCTGGGATAAAGGGGCAAATGTGTTTCAGTGATAAATTTTGATGTGAAGAGGGTGTCATAGGTTGTGGAATGAAGAACACTGCAGAGCCCTGGGGCTCCATTTGCCCTGCTGCAGAGGCCTGGACAGGGCTGTCTTATTCTGAGTCATTGAGGTTTGGGGATTTCTCTTAGATTCTTAACTGTGGGTGAGTGGAAAGTAGAACGTGTTGGAGCTCTAAGACTTCCTCTTAACCCCTGATATTTGTTACTTAGGGTCACATAAAGCCAGATGGAAAATGATATTAGATGTCAGGTACAGGCAATACCATTTTCCCCCTAAACCCAAATCAGCTTTATTTATTTATTACTTATTTATTTAATTTTAGTATTTTTTCAGGCAATACCATTTTCAGGGAACAGACCCAGAAATGTCACACACTTTGTTTAATATCAAGAAAACAGTGCTTCTTCGAACCAGGATTATTGATTTAGATGCTCGAAAGGTCAGTGAGCTTCAAGAAAAAGATCCTCCATATACGATTTTCCATTTTTTTCTGTAATTTCTTTTTAAAATTTTTATTTTATTATTTTATTTTACTTTAAATTCTAGGATACACATGTAGGATATGCAGGTTTGTCACACAGGTAAACATGTGCCATGGTGGTTTGCTACACCTGTCAACTCACCACCTAGGTATTAAGGCCAGCATTCCCCCAGAAGCATGATGTCAATAGTCAGTAACAGTAGTTTCTGCTGTAATTTTGCTTGTAATGATTCAATGCTGTTCTCTTATACAGTGAGGGAAGAGTTGGCTTCTTCTTGGCTCTGCAAGTATGGTGGTGGTGTTATTATTGCATGACATTTAAAGATGGAGATGCCTTATTTGAACATGAGGGCAGGAGTTTGTGTCCATTTTGTTCATTTTTGAAAGTTCAGTTTCTAGAAGAGTGCCTAGTAAATTACTAGGTACTCAGTCAATATGTTCTGAGTAACAAATATTTCCAGTATTACAAGATTTTTTAAATGCAAAAACTGGTTTTTGTCAAGTCACTTTAAAATAATGCTTATTTGTATGCTTCTGCCTAAAAAGAGTATGTTAGAGATGTCTTCTTGCAAATGCTGTAAAAATGAATGCCACAGTGGTTAGAATAGGCCCAGAGAGTGACTGCTGAGTTAATCCTTGCTTCCTGATTCCTAGCTGTGTGTTTTTCCCTTATCTTTGCACCTCTGTTCACTCTTCTATAAAGTTGGGATGATAATAACAGTGTAATATTAGTACCTCCTCTGTCACCAAATTTTTGAAATAAATTGATATACAAAGCACTTAGATCAGTGCCTGTCCCATACAAGATACTTAAATATTAGCTATTAATATTTTAATTTCATATTATCTCTAATATACTTTCTAGCACATGGTTTATTTTCTATAATAATTTTTGAGTGACTAATAATGTTTCACTATTAGAAAAAATGTAAACTACTTCAATATTTAGAGTCCTTTTTTAAGATACTGAAAAAGGGTAAAAGAGTATAATGATTAGAAACATCACCACTTGACTAGTCTAGGCATTAATAATACCTTTGAGAGAGAGGGTGGGCTGAGTAAATCATGAAGATAAATATAACTTTTTCATTGACCTCTCTCAGGAGCTGGAGAGCAAACATATTTCTATGGGAAGGAGGCAGTGCCTTCCTCTTCTAATCATAGATCATGTCCACCTTGGCAAGTTCAGGGCCTTTCACGGGATTTTATTGTTGGGAATCCAAAGAAAACACAGTTGAGAGTAAGGTCTCAGAGGGTGGCTTGTCAAGATGAATGTCTGCACCATTTTCCTCTTACAACTATGCCTATGTACAAAGTGTATCACAGAGGTAAGTGACTCCATCCTCAATCTATCACAATTTGCTCTCTTTCTCCCATGCCAATACATTCACTGTGGCTAAATTTACTGATGTTCTTCTTAATAGTCAAACCCCATAATCCCTCCTCAGCCCCCTACCTTGATTCTTTGAAGTGTTTCCAGGATGCCATCCTTTGTGAAACTACGTCCTTGAAGTCTCAGACAACCCCCTTTCACCTCATCTTCTCCTCTAGCCCCCCTTTCCTTCTCATTTCCCTGTGGTATCTCTTCTTTGCTTCCCTGTTATGTGTTTATGGTTCGGTGTTCTGTATTTAGTCTTCTCTTCACATAATTTCATCTTCACCTATGTCTTGCAGTATCGTGTATTAATTAGTATAGTAGACTGATTAAGTGGCTTCCAATGATATCAGATCCTAATCCTTGGAATCTATAGATGCTAGTTTATTTGCTGGGGTGGGCATCTTTGTAATTAAGTTAATGCTCTTCAGATGGAGGGATTACTCTGCATTATCCTGGGTTATCCAGGTAGGCCCTGAATGCCATGATTCAGTGTCTTTATAAGAAGAAGAGTGAGGGAGATTTGATACAGACAGGAGGGGAGAAGGCAATGTAACCACAGAGGCAGTGATTGCAACAATGCTGTCATGATTCAAGAAATGCCATCAGCCACCAGAAACTGGAAGAGGCAAGAAATGGAATCTCCCCTAACATCTCCAGAGGGAGGGTGCTTGCCAACACCATGATTTTGGCCCCATGATACCGATTTTGGGCTTTTGGCCTCCAGAACTGTAAGAAAATAATCTGTTATTTTCAACCCAAGTTTGTGGTAACTTGTTACAGGCACCACAAGAAAGGAATAAAACTAGAAAATATAAAACCTGTGGCTTTAATTACTATCTTTTTTTTCTGAGTGCCAGATCCACATAACCAAACACCTGCTGGACATCCCTACCAGCTTTCCCCTTTAACATTAGAGCTAGCCATTACTGAGCACTTGCAATGAAGGGCTTTAGGCACTGTTCTAAAGCCCTTCAGAAATGTTACCTCATTTAATACTCACTAAAACCTTATTAGGTAGATACTTTATTATCCTTGCTTTATAATGAAGGAACTGAGTCACAGATGATTTAAGCAGCTTGCCCAAGGTTGTAAATATGGTAAATGCTAGAGCTGGAATTTGGGGCCGGGCCTGATCTGACTTCAGAGCCAATACTAATGACAATGCTCTGATGCCTCAAATTGCCTGATGTCTCAGGTTACTCAGAGCCTGTGCCTTGCCCAGGCAGCAGTGTACAGGGCCTCTGAGGACAGATCACTTTAGATGAATTCAGAAATCTTTTACAGAGTCATTACTACCTGCCAGGTGCTTAGTGCCAGTCACTTGCAACCATTACCAGGGGCAACTTGCTGTTTTCTGTTCAAATATCAAACTATCAAAATCTGAGACAAGAAAATTTCCCAAATCTCATGCAACGTCAGAGATAGATCCTACACCAGGAGGAACACCTGAGCCAGACAGGAATTCTTGTGGCCTCCTAAAAGCATCATGTTTATTGATACACTCTGTTCATAGAGTACTGTGGCTGTCATGTTGCCACGGCCACTTTCATTGTGTTGCCATTGGGCTCTGGGAGCAAGTAAAAAAGTTGAAACTGAAATAATCCCTTTTAGCATTTATGGAGTTTGATCTTCCATGCTGTGTTTGGTAATCTGGAGTCCTGGCTGTTCAATATTCCCTTTCTAGTTCCTCCCTTATAGTTATCACTTGAAATGTGAACAATAATAAAATGGCTACAATATCTTAGTTATCTACTAGGTGCCAGGTAATGTACATACACTATCCATTTAATCTTTTTCACAGTTATGCAAATAAAATATTTTTGCCATTTTATGTATGAGAATACAAACGCTTAGGCTAATTTGTCCCAGCTCACACAGCTAGTTAGTGACAGAGTAGAGTTTGGATTCAGAGAATCAATTAAAATTATTGAACTAGATAAGATTAAAGACAATTGCTTCTTCAGGTCACTTTGGGCAGAGCTGAGGGAGGGGACAGGAAAGAACCAGGTTCTTCATAGTTCAAGATGTGGACAGTTCCAGTTTCTTCTCCATTCTCCAAAGAGCCTGATATTGTGATTTCTGCCTGAGATTGCTTCATGCTTGGACAAAATGGACTTCAGTAATAATGCTGATATTATTTTTGTTATATAAGTTCTTATAGTATACAGTGCTTCTGCCTAAAATAGCTCTTTCTGTAAGCATGGGAGGGCAGGAACTCACCTTCATCCTCAGGATCCTATGGGGCTAATTCCTCTGTGCAGAGGTAGATTTTCTGTGAAGCGAAAGAAGTTTACATCTTCAGGGACTCTCACTTGCTTGGGCATATGCTTTTCTAATATTTGAAAGAGCAAAACATTTTAGCCACGATTAAGACTGCAGTTTAGGCTGAGTGTGGTGGCTCACAATTGTTATCCCAGCTACTTGGGAGGCTTAGGCAGGAGTATAATTGCTTCAGCCCAGGAGTTCAAGGTTACAGTGAGCTATGATCACACCACTGTACTCCAGCCTGGTGACAGTGAGACCTTCTAAAAAAAAAAAGACTGCAATCTCTTTTCATATGAATTATTTTCCATGCCTTTTCATGTTGGATAGTCCCAGACTAGCTGTGGACATTTTTGAGATTTGGCTAATGGGAAATTAAATTGGGAGTCCCTCTATTTGGGTTTAGGGAGATGGATTTATGTGGTTTGCAGTCATTTTCAGGTATAGTAATTATTATTGCTACCTGTCCATGTGCAGGAATACTTTCAGAAACCCTCTTCCCACTCATCTGCAATCACAGAATGAAGACACAGTGGTTGTAATACTATATGAGCATGCTGTGCTGTGCCAGAAGTATGTGGGCAGTAGAAGAGAAAGAAGACTTGAACATTTTTCAAATCATCATAACAAAAAAATTGTAAGCAAAGGTTTTGAATCTCATCAATGCTGTGTTAAGTCAGAAAAGTCAGAAATCCTCTTCTACCATACATAGGGGTGCAATCAAAGAGTATGCAATCAAGAAGAAAAAAGTAGAAAAAAAGTGTAGGATGAATCAGGGATTTAATTAATAAATATTTTTCTGGATTTTTTATGTTTGTGGTATTTGTTAGCTGTTTATATGTATACTTTGTGGTGATTTCTCATCTTAACTAAATATTCACACATATCTATTACTTATAATTTTGTATTCTTTTAAAGAGTTCCCCCATAATTATATAATCTTTAGATCCCACAGATCTTATATCTGCCCCTCCAATACAGCATTTAAACATCCACTAACTAATTAGACTCTTCACTGAATCTTGGTGACAGGAGGGAGGAGGAAGAATCCAGACAGGTGTTCTGCCAGGGGAGTGGCTTTGGAACTGGACCAGGACATGGGCTCTCTTGCTCTGGTGTAAGCAGGGCAGGTCCCGCATGTTGTCTTGGTCCCCATGCCTGACTCATATTATCATTTTTTTTCAACAAGGCCAGTCTAATGAACAGGTAGCTGTCAGCACTACAAAGGAGGGAAGACTCCCGCACTCGCTACCACATTTCTTCTCCACCTCCTGTGGTGGCCTCAAATACTAGAACTAGAGGCACATTCCTTTGGGCTTGGTAAGTTTTTTAGTCTTTGAGAATAAAATTAAAAGCAAATGTTTTACAAACAATTTCATCATAAGTCAATATGAAATATCCCTTAGTCCCGAGGTTTAGGAATGTTGATGAGGATGATGATGATAACCTACCAATTTCTGAACATTTACTATGCCTCAGGGAATGTGCTGCACACTGCACTGTGTGCAGTCAATCCTGCAACAGGAGGAAACTGAAGCTTAGAGGGGGTCATGCAGCTCTAAGTGACTGAACAAGAGATTAAGGCACAAAAATAGTTAAATGACAAATTATGAGGCAAAGGCTTTAAAATTTCAGGCATTTCCCAATTATGCCTTGGGCTAGCCCTTCCCTTTGCTGCTTTCCTCAACTCTAGTAAAATGCTGATTACTACTCTTAATCACAAGCAACAGAGTAGAATATATTCTACATTATGTGGGGTTCAAAAAATTAACCCCTAGGCAATGAAAATATGTTTTCTTCAGCATAAGAAACAAAATTGGGATAAAACACCGAACGACACCTGGATTGCAGAAAAAGTCAATTACCAAAGGGGAAAAGGTTTGCAAGACAACTAGAGCTAGGCAGTTAAACATTAGCATTCAATGGTTTGAAGTGTTTAGGTTTTGCAATGGTGTGGTTTGGAAGCTTTCCAGCAGAAAGGCTATTTTCTTTTAAAAGGATAACTCTCTGCAATATTTTCTTTGCTGAAATAATGTGATCCTTAATGACGTCTTATATGACCCAAACTTAAAATAGACCCTATTATTTTAGCTGACCTCATTCTAACCAGGTTTTTACAGGTCAGCCATTAACTATCAACAGCTTCCTGATAATTAATCCTACTTACCCAAATAACTGTTAGCCTGTTAGCCTTATCTATGCTAAGAGGAAGCTTTTCTACGTACCAGACTTCCTCAGTGAATAAAACACAAACTGAAATTCTGCAGAAAGAGCCAACATTGTGAGGTTTGAGAATGAAGAAACAGATTGAAGATTACAACGCTCCCCTGTCTTTAGCTCCTTACTTGCTGAAATTCTGTGGTTCATCTGGCACAGGAATGGCTTTACAGTAGAGTCAGCAGCACAACTACTCAGGTCAGGAGTGGTTCTCTGGATGGCTCTATCAAAATGCATGGACAACAACATATGCAGTTACCTAAGTGGTCTGGATTGAGAAGCAATGGGGGAAGATATCTTAAGTAGCCATTAGTGTTATTTCCTCTAGGATTTAATTTTCTGCCATTAGAGGCTCATTCTTGTGACTCTGAAGAGCTCTAAGATTCTACTAGGAAAATACAGCTGCCATCTTTGTTTGTCACCTACTCAAATGCAAGACTGGTGTTTGATAAAATGAGGGAAAAGAGGCATGCTGTTATAACTGATGCTGTCAGGACTCCAGGAAGAAGAAAGGTGATGAAATAACAAAATTGCTTTCTTCATTTGGTGAAGGGAGTAAGGCGCTCATGCTGGTCCCATCTAGCAATTTGTAAATGGGTTGTTTGAACATATGGGTCTTAACATGTTCATAGATCGTGGGTGTGTGTTTGTGTGTGTAAAATGAAAAGGCTTATTATTAGATGTAGCCTCATGTCAGCATAGTATAAAGTTCCTCAGGTAAGGGCATGCTTTATAATTAAAGGATTTCTGCATCTGTAATTGCCCATGACATGTACCTTTTCTTTCCAAGTCACATTTCTGATTTTCAGTGACAATTTATTATTAACCTATTTTCTCATCGGGTTAAAAGCATATCCCAAAATTTTAAATCCAATGTGCTCCAGTACATATAAAGAGACTTATTAAGATGATCTTTTCTTAATAAGTCTCTTTATATGTACTGGAGCCCGAAACTTCATTAGCAATTTTAATTTCGCCCTGGTCCTGTGGTCCTGTGATCTCGCCCTGCCTACATTTGCCTTGTGATATTCTATTACCTTGTGAAGCATGTGATCTCTGTGACCCACACCCTATTCATACACTCCCTCCCCTTTTGAAAATCCCTAATAAAAACTTGCTGGTTTTTCAGCTCAGGGGACATCACGGAACCTGCTGACATGTGATGTCTCCCCCAGGACACCCAGCTTTAAAATTTAAAAAAAAAAAAAAGATGATATTTTCTAAGAAAGGTAATTATATCTTACATTACACAAAAAAAAACACTAAAATGACTATATAACCCTGATGGGTTGTGACCTACAGTTTGAATAGCAGTAATCTAAGATAGTATCATCATTTGCCCAGATATCTGCAGCAGTCTATTAACCCATTTCTCTTCTATTTTTCCCTCATGAATTCCCCATACAGCAGCAAAAAGGATCTCAAAAGATAAATCCAGTCATGCAACTCTCCTGCTCAAAGCCTTCAATAGCTTCTAACACTTACACAAAAAATCTAAAATCTTTCAAACTCCTCACCACAACCTACATGATCTGAACTTTGACATTCTGTTCAGCCTAATCTCATGCCATCTCTCCCTTCCTCTGCATGCTCTGGTTCCATAGAACACATTTGAGTTCCTCCAGTACAAGAGATTCTTGCCTGCCCAGGTACAAGTTGCTCCCTCTGCCAGGAACACTCTTTTCTCAACTTCTCATGACTGGCTGGTGTTTACTCTTTAGTCTGGTCTTTTCTCTACAAAGACACCTTTTTTAACCATCCCAGTTACAGTGGATCATTCCTTCTTATTTTTTATTTCAACCCATTGTTTGAACACTTACCACACTTGGAAAGATGGAAAGAAAATATGACAGCTAGAAAACTGACCAAATAACAGGCAGGATGGGGGTGGGTGGAGGACTCACAGCAAGAGATAGTGAAGTCTTTTAGGGCTGGATATGTTCATCTTAGGATCAAGGACTTAAAACTTTGGAATTGTGACTTTACGCAATGTAGCTTGCCTGTAATGCCTGCCTTTTCATTTTTGTGTAATACCGAATTACATTAATTTGGAAAATTCTACATGCCTCTACTTTGATAAGAAGGATGAAGGAAAGAAAGGGTTTGGTTAAACATATGCTAACATTTTTTTTTCTTTGTCAGAAAGTATTGGTGAGCCTAAGAGACAGCAGAACAGTGGAAGCCTTCCTGAGTGCAAGGCCTGACACTTGTTGCGGAGCCATGACTGGGGATGCATTTGACCCCACAGCCATCTGAGATAAGACACTTCTCAACTACCATGTCTTCAGATTCATCTGCATTAAACTTGATAGAGCCCCATTTCTTTGTGATGTGGCCAAGCAACTTGAACTTGGCCCTGTGTAGGGACTCAGTCACATGCTCCTTGTTCTGCACCTTGGTATGGATGGACATGATGACTTACCAATGTAAATTCTGGCCATGGTACCCTGGGGCTTTCTAGAGATACCCTGCACACCTGTCTGGAGCCTACAATGGGAACAGTGCAAGGTCAAAGGTCAGAGGCATAAACATACATTGGAAACGGCTGTCTCCTATGTTCTTTAGAGCAACCCATACAAGAAACAAGCTGTGTATACAACAAAGGAGGCTGTTGTTTGCAGCCATTACACCGAGCCCCTGTGAGGAAAGGAGTACAGCTGGCTTAATTGACTGCAGATGAATAATTTTAAAAGTCTGCTGAGTTCCAGAATTCGGGGTGACAGTGGTAATCAGAGTGACAGAACTCTAGAGAAAGGCAGTGTTCATAGAAAAGAGTCAGAGGTTGCTGGTGGGGTCAGCTCCCACCAGCTGGAGGTTCTTTCTTGATTCAGAACTCACAGAATTTTATGTGGTGTTTTAATAAGAAAGATGTTTCCATCCTTGAACCATCCCTTCTCTAGCTTGGAGGTCCTTCCTGTGCTATAAAGATCACAGATAATTTTCTGGCTTTGTACAAGGGCAGTACTGTTGAAGGGGACCTGCAAGCTTCTTTGTCCTAGAGACTAAAAGTCCCTATTTCTGCCGCAGCAGTTCCAAATCTACAAACAGATATTTTCACATGGTATCACTCCTCACTAGCCACCAGTTGCAGGATGGAGATGCAGGATATATTATAATAGTTGTTTTTGAGTTCAGGTAGAACTTGGAATCAGCCAAATTTGCCTTAGGCTCAAACTGGATGCCCTGAGAGATAACTCCCACAGTGTAAGATTGAGAACATCTTTGAACTCCCATGGGCCTGATGCCTAGAAGGAGAGCAACCTGGGTTTTGCCCCTTCTTCTGCCTTTGCTGGTCTCCATGCCTAAGCATTACATTCTATCCAGCTCCTGCAGATGAGTTAGCTGGCCTGAGTGCCTACAAAGGACCAGGCATTCTCTAAGGCATACTTTACATGTTTCAAGGCACATTTAGCATGCTCTAAGGCATACTCTAAGGCATATTTACATATTTACATTCATCTAATACCGGCCATTCTGTTTTTCCAGCCTGGCCTTCTGTCACAATCTTGGGCTTATCCCTTCTCAGCTAAGCACTAGGGGAGTGTTTCTTCAAAGCTCTAACATGTACTGTGAGTGCTGTTCCCAATGATTCCCATCTTTCTGATTCCTTTTAATTCCTCAGTAATGATTTGTGCTAAGTATTTTTACTTTTTTTTCCTCCAAGTCTCAACCTTGAAGAGTTTACTGTGGCCACTTGAAATTAAGTATGGGCTGCTTTTAATGGGACTAATTGTTATAAGTTCTCATAGCAAGAATCAATTTCAAGAATGAGAAAAAAAATCCATCCCCAGGTTTCCTGCATCCTATTCTCAGCCTCGTGATTTAATCACTTAATTTTAGAATAACGCACTCAGCTGTTTCCACGTCAGCCACTGACTTTTCCCAAGAAACAAATAATGAGGAAGATGTGGCCTTAACTAAGATGGCCTTGCCGTAGGTTAAAGGATCATGGACAGCTGATCTCTAGTGCCTCTAGATCATTGGAACAAAGCCATTTTCTTCCTCAGACCAGGTTGCTTTGATTTGCAATTTATTATAAACAAAATGAACTGGCTATTTTGGGGCTTGGGTTTGAACTATTACCTAAATCCTGACTAGTCATAGTTTGTGAAGTTCTGCAACAAATGCCTGCCTCTGTCTCTTTCATTCTTTTTCTTCCTCTTCCTTTCTTTTTTTTTTTTAAAGAATATCTTTTTCTAGAACAATGAAGCAGATAAGAAATATAGGAAACCATAGAGAGTTAAATAGCATTTATGGAACTGTGAGGATCATCTACTGACAGTAAGAGCAATAACACAGAAACAGACTTCAACTGGCAAGAAACAGCAGGTCACTGCCTGCAGGGGTTGACCAGCTTAGAAACTTGACTGTTTCATGTGTTTGGGTAATGTAATCAAACACAGATGCTGAACCAACTCATGGTCTAATGGCATTATATTTGATATCTTCTACTTAATTGTAATTAAAGTTCAATTTAATTTCCTAGAGCAATTAAATATATTAAAATATTTTATGGGCATTTATTAGCCCAAACTGATTTTTAAAAAACACAAAGTGGCATCAGGAGGGTTCTGTGTTTGAGAAGGCCACAATGTTTTTCAGTGAGATACTACATTTGTCCATAGGCTTAGGGAGAATAATTTACATTTCAGTTTTACAAAATTAACATTATGGTCAGCTTTCAACTAGGTATGCAAAAGCCTTTAATTTTAAGTGGAAGAATATCTGTGGGTGTGTGAATATTGAATGAATTCCCCATATTTAATTTCTGCTGTAACTTAATAGCCAATAGACAATAAGAAATGTTGCTGTCAGGGAGGCTTTTATGGGAATGAACTGAAGAAAGAAGCATAATTCTATACAATGGATGGAAGAACACCATACATCTCAGATTTCTGAAGACGTGAAGAGATTTCAAATAGACTGCCCCTTTGTCCTTATAAGCATATTAGTTGTCGGGCCACATACTTTTATTTTTGATTTAGGACACGTATTCACTATACTTAAATGTCCTTAAAGTATAATAAGAACAAAAGTCTTAGTCAAAATGTATATATGCTATATGCTTATTATTGTAGAATTTGAGTAAGCATCCTCAGGAAAGGAAATGGTATGTTTTTAATTCTGTATCCCATGTATGAGAGCACAATTTGCAATCCAAAATTGATTAATTTTCATATGTCACTTGATTAAAAAACAGAATAGTGGTGGAAGCTTCTGGAGTATTCCCAGAAGCATTAAAAGATAAACAATAGATGGACAAGTTAAATCTGCAGTAAAATCCCATTAATCATATGTAGCTGAGGCTTTAGAAGTGAGTCATCAAATAATCACTGGAAACTTTGAGGATACTTACTAAAATTTTAAAGCTGACTATATTCCAACTGAAAATGTTATCCCCCTAAGTAAAAAGAGTACTTTTATCCGACACACAGAACATATCTAGGCTATTTAATCTATATTATTTGCTAGGTGATTTTTAAGTAACCATAGTTACTAGACTTAAAGAATTTACAGTAGGTGTCTGTTGCAGTGGTGATGGCACTAGATTGATTCAACAGTCATTTATTTGTATTAATGAATAGGAAATGAGAAAGATTTGTGAAAGAACAAATAATCTAGGGGAGTTAATGAGCACATGTGTGCACACATACTCTAACTTCCCAAGGAGGCTATGTTGTACAGTGCTCTCCCCCACCCACCCTCAACTCTGCAGCCCACAGGTAGGGAGGGGGCCATGCCCTATATTAGGAGGGGAGTCAAAGGCCAGGCTTACTCAAGTTTTAGTGCAGTATAAAGTGCAGTTTGTAAAGCCTCTGGGTAATTTGATCAATACAGGCACTCAAAATCTATAATGTGAGTTCCAGAGTAAATGTTTGGATCAAATCGATCTTTAATTAAATTTAGAAGAAAACTAAAATTTCCATTTTAGTTGAGTAAGAACAAGAAGTTTAGCCAGATATCTGGCTGTTAAATATGATGTATATAAAACATCTAAATAATTAGTTTTTCAAACTTTGAATTCAAATGTCTGCTATCTTTAGATTCAAAGTGGATTAAGAATTAGTCATGGTAACTCAATTTCTTTGATTTATGAAGAATGCGTGACTGAAAATAATGACCGATCCAATATGCAAAGGGTAATTACTTTTATGTCGGAAATATTCTTATGTCATTCCTGCACTTGGTCTAGAGTTATTTTATATATATATATAATGAAATACAATGCAATGTACTACAAAACATAATTCAAATATTATGATAGTATATTTATTCAAATGATTTCCATGATTCCACAAGTTTATATGGCAATTACAAAGTTTCTGAATTTAGTATATAAAAATGATGCTAGAAAAATGGGTATCTACCATTTTTAAACATCTCTTTGAAACATTAAAATCTCATATAAAAAATCATAAATGTATAATAACTAAAGTGAAATATACTATTCTTAACGTTATCATTTACTTTTAAGATAGTGAATTAAAAATACATACACTATTCTGCACTACTCTGAGCATGGACTAGACTTAATCTCCAAGTATTTCTAGCTCTCTGGAGTATACAAGGTGCCTGTCTCATGTCTGAGTACTTTGACCTCGACAAGCCTTGTAACCCACAGAACACAGATAATGTTCCAAGACATGTCCAGACTTGTAGAAGACATAGACAAGTCATAAGTGTTTGCAAGAAATACTTCTTTTTTAAAACACAGCAACACAATCCATATCTAGTCAGTGTGAGGATGACGAACTACTGCTCACAAAGATCTCACAATAAGTAAATAGAGTGGGATGTGGTTGCTGAGTTAATTCCAGTGAATTACAAAAAAAAAAAACCCACCAAAATCTTTGGAATTTCAATGGAAATCAGGGAGAAATTGTTGGGAAAAGAATCTTGAGTGCCATATATTTTTTCCCTTTCTAATATTTTGACATGAGTTTATGTTAAGAATATCACTTTTATGCTAATCAATTATTCACTTCCATAAATAATTATGAATTTCAAAACCTAGAGGGCAGTTCTATTACCCTTTAGGGATATCTTACTTATCTAAACTATCAATATTCAGCCTTCTTAATCATGTGTCAATCCAAATTCTCTTTTATTTCCCAGCTCCCCTGCAGGAGTTGTAGTTTATTGGAAACTGATCTCTTCCAGCCAGACACTTTCATGGTTCAAATATCAATAACTTTTATAGCTTTTGTTCTCCTCTACACCTTCTCGGCTAATGCCTAATTTACTAGCATCTTGAAGCCTTTTCTTTTGTTAGGAAAGAAAACATGAATTTCTTTTATTCCATATTACCAGAATAAATGTTGGCATCTTAGCGTGACTTCCTATAGAAAGTCCACAGCTAGTTTCCATACTTACACTTAACAATCTCAGGGTTTTTAAGGTAGTCATATTTTTCTTCGTAGAGTCTGGTTTGAACAGTTCTTTTTTTAAATGTTTTAAAAATGTCCATTTTCTGAGTAGCTTCAAGAGAAACTTTTGTTTAGTTATTATGTTTTGTTCAGTTTTTCAGACTTTCTAAGACGATGTGTTTTTTGGTTGCTTATCATATTCCATAGTAATTTCTCCCAAACATCAAGATAACATTAGTTGTACTATTTAATTTGTAATTTGTTTGGCAACAGATAATTTTGAGGTCAGGGAAGGAAGTTAATAGGAAAAGATAAAAACAAGTGATGGTAGAAATAACACTAAGAAGGTTATTTCAAACAAATATGCATTATTGAATCAATGTATGGTTTATGTATACATATGAGTAAATAGGCCTTCTACAGCTGCCATAAGTTTAAATCTCATATAAAAAATCAACTATCAGTAGCTAAAAAATGTATCAACATATGTTGAACAGGTAAGAATAGGCTGAAAATATATCAAGATGAGCTGGATATAACATACTCATTGAATACAGCCTTATTTTTTACAAGGTACCCAAACATTTTTGGCTAAATTCCTTCTAGAAAAGAGAAATAATATATTATATTCTTCCCTTGTACTCTTCACAAAACCTTACAGTTTCCATAAGTAAAATCAACACTTTCTTCAGAGCAGTTAAACATATTCCAGCACAAATTTACAAAAAAATTATAATACAAATATTAAAGTTTACTTATTCATATTTGATGGTTTTTGAAAATACAGTGTATTTCTAGTTTACGTTTTGCCAAATGAATGTAACTTTTGAATGTCTTTTTTGTCTGGAGTAAGGAAAACAGTCTGGTCCATGCGCCTTGCAACACTGATTGAAACGGCAAAATTTCACAGAGATGTCACAACAGGAAGAACTTCTGGCATAATAACACTGATAATAGCATAAGAAAATACTAGCTAGTCTTTCTGATGAAGAATTATGTTAAAGGACAATCCAAACCAAGTTCGATTATAAGAGTGATGATGTAGGTCTGTCTGACCATATTTGCTGCTTGCATATTAAATTTCCTAAACTCACTGATCTGTAACTCTCAATGGAGTTATTTTTATGTGGTCATATACTTCAAATAAACACACTTAAAATAAAATCTTAGGATATTACACTTATAAGATGCTCAACAGTAGAGTAATGATGCTTTATACTATGTCCACAGGTGAGAACGTAGCCCACATAAAAAATCCTCTGTGTCGCTACAGGATCTCTTTAAACTTAGCTGTTTGATGCTGATCATTTAAATGCACTCACACTGATGTAAGATTAAACAGTGTGGTTAGAAGGGCTTTTGCCGCATGATGAGGGCGACTGAGTCTAACTTTAACTTTCCCATAACTAGCTGTGTAAATATAGGGAAGATCATCTAGCCTTTCTTCATCTCTAAACTTAGAACTTCATGCTGATCAGCACAGTTTTGAAGATAAAATGAGATGATATAGAAGAAAAAGGGTTGAAAAGTTTAAAACTATAAAAGCTAATCTGTTGATTACAAAGAATATACAAGTAATACATTGGATGGTTTTTCCCAAACTAACCTGTATGACATAGGATGTTGCCGATCTTCCACAGGCCCTGAATAATGAATAAACATTTTTTATTTTCTGAAGAAACATAGGAAACGTCATTTCACAAGCACCATTTCCCTGTGAAAACAGGTAATTTATTTTCCCAAGTGAGTTTTAATTTTTACATGAAGCACTTTGATCAGTTGCTTTTCTACAAACACTAACTGGACAGCAGAGAGATGTTCAGTTTACTCTGCAAAGAAGGCATATGTGTGTGCATGCTTGGAAAAGCATGCAATACCCCAGTGGTCTCTGGAATTACTAGGATTTGCACCACAAAGGCAGCAAATAGGTGGGGGACAGACAAGGGTGGGGGAGTACTCAAATTCTTCACACTACCACTGCTCTGCCTGCATTGCAGGGTGCTTCTAGAAGTACATGCCACTTTTTGTAGAAAGGTTCCAAGAGCAGAAGTGGTAGAAGGTGGAAAATCAAGAGAGACAGTGGAGAGGGCTGGTGTGGAAAGACCAAAAGCAGGACAGGAATGTTGGGGGAGACTGGCTAGAATGCTATGAGAGAGGGAAGTAGCAGGCTTAATGGCAGGTTTTGTGTGTGGCGGCGGGGTGGGGGCTGGTGGGTGCTTTTTTCTTCTATCTCTCCTTCTGGGTATGAACTTGAATGAATAATTTCATATTTGGTGGCTTCCCATCTTCTGAAACCATTTTTGAGAAGGTAGGAAGCAGGGCAAGAAGGGGAAAGTACCACTAATTGAACATGGGGCAGTCTTCAAACACCCCATTGTGTTTCAGTGTGTCTGGTGTTTGTTGCAAATTCTCCATAAGGTGCTGGCTTGCTAGCTCTCTGCTGCCACAGAGGTCATTCGTGGCTGCTGGGGAAGAAGTGGCCATCTGCTTTGTCAGGTCATTGTGCATTCTGGCCCTCAGCAGTTGTTTCAGGATAAAATCACTTGGTCTCCAAAGTTATGCCCAACCTGAATGTCCAGAACTTGGAAAGAAAGAAGAATCAGAGTGCAGTTCCAGCTCAAGTTTAAGTCTAGGAGGAATATGACAAGACTGGGGACAAGCCAAGTCACAGAATGTAAGGAACTGACGTGCATGGGTCTGAACCAAGGCTCTGTGATTTCTCTAAGTTACTTAACCTTCTTATGCCCTATCTTTCCTATGGAGATATAATGTGTACAGCTCTGGTTTTTAGAGAAAGTTTAGAAAAAATAATGTATATAAAATATTTAGCAGAGTTTCTGGGATATAATAACAAACTCAATAATAATAACTATCATTAAGGCCGAAGCTGAACATCTTATTTTGCTAAGTCCAGATTGATTGTTACTGTAACTTTAAAAATAAGATGAACTAATTATAAGTGTTTCTTTCTCAAAATTCTATGCAAAGCTTTCCTTTAAAACTTTCAGGATAAGGACTTTTTTTCTGCTCGCTTAGAAAGCAGTTTAAATTTAGGCTGTCCGTATTTCAGTTTTGTGGTGGTCTTAACTTTATCAACTAAGAGCTTCATATTGCCACAGGTGTTTTTTTTTTTCCTTTTAAGTGGGAGAAAGTAAATAATTTATCAAATAGGTTCAGAAGCTAAAGCCTGGGGGAAAAATTTAGCAACTTTGCATCTAAATTTAATCTAAGAGTAACTGTGTTGAGAAATATCTTAGTTGTGAATGTATTTGGAAAGTATAGGCGTTCTCATTTCATAATTATTTTGGTTATCTAGAAAAAAATTATGGTTTCAATAGCAGAATATGCAATTTTATTTAAGGATGGATATTTTTTCCTAGAATGTAAATATTATTTCAGTTTGAAGACAGGAAAAAGTGGGACAGTGAACAACATATGCTTTCATTCAACAGTATGTAATGATTGGTCACTATGTATCAGGCACATATTAATCCAGTCAAAGATTAAATTGCCCACAAAGGCATTGCCAAAAGTAAGATATCCCAGATGTCCCAATGCAGGAGGCAGTAGGGTCTGGATTATGGTTGGGAAAGGGGGAATGTTTTGTTAAAGGTTTAAGGAAGTGTCAGCCACAAAGCATTGGATGCTTGGGGGAGAGGCGGTCTTGGCACACTGCTGCTGGGATTATCTTCTTCTCCCCAGCACAGCATATAGCACGTAAGCGGGCCCTGCAAGTCCAGCTTCATGCTGTGCTTCCACCTCTCAGTTGTGCCCTCCATTTCTGGGAATGGCCATGGGATCAGCCTTTGCTTGGGGGAGGGTCCCCACTTAGAGAACTGGACTATGGTGGCTGTTCTCAGTGCAGCGCAAAGTGTGGCTGGGCCCTTGTGTCAGGATCACCATGACAGCTTGCCAAAATGCAGATTCCTTTGGTGCTACAGAACGAAATCCTGGGTATGCATAGGCAGGTGTCCATCAGCTCTAAGAGTCTTCTTTATTTTCAGTTTTTGGAGCAAGGGTAAAAATAAAGTACAAAATAATTGTAGTAGAGCTAAACACACACACATGCACACACCCTTGGTTTTTAAAGTACAGCGTGTCTAATATACGATCTATTACTTTGGCTTTGTTTTAAGAAGGGGCAGAATTCATACCGGTCTTTGAAAGAAACATTTTTAACAGGTCTTTTTTCTTTTCTTTTTCTTTTCTCTTCTCTTTTCTTCTTTACTCTTCTCTTCCCCCCCTTTTCTTTTCTTTTTCCCTTCCCTTCCCCTCCCTTCCTCCATTTCCTTTTCTTCTTTTCCCCCTCCCCTTCCCTCCCCTCCCCATCGTTCCTTCTTCCTATTTGTGCTTGTCTTGTTTTCCAATAAGAAGGTACTGATAAGCTACAGACCACTCGTTACCCCGTAATGACCACTAAACAGCATTCACAGCCAAATGGGTTGGGTTAAAGGCCTGACCCCACAACTTATTAGTTGTGGAACTTGGGAATGTTTCTTAACTTCTTGGATTCCTCTGTTTCTAGATCCCTAGGAGATGGAAATACCTTCTTCTTGAAGATTAAATTAGGTATTATGTTAAGGAGCTAAACAGGTTATAGCCCAGACGTGTTCAATAAGTTCCTGGTACTCATAAACCTTATCTCAAGGCACTACCAATCTCATTTATTAATCACGGGAGTGTACATATCCTTCCTCAAACATTCTCCAACTCCATACGCTTCCCTTTGTAGATAACGCTCTTCTCCTCTTTCCCCGACTACTGAAAGAACATCCATTCTTTCAAGATCCAGTCCAAATGACACCTTCTCGGGTGTCTCTCCGTTTCCTATGTAGTTAGCCCGCCACGCGATTGCGTCAGAATATACTTCTCTCATAATACATATGCAACTGAACCATAATTATGCACCTAGGTGCTATGCCCTCTAGATTACGTGAAATGTCATTCTTAAATCTTCAGCACTTAGCCTGTTGCCTGGCACGTAACAGGTCACTAAATGCTCTCTCTATACACATGCTCACACAAGAATATGCATATGTATATATATGTATAAAATGCCTGGTTAAGATAGATTCATGCGCCGATGGCTGGTCAGAGGAACACATGGGTGTGCTCTGAAGGAAGCGATGGCCCTATGCGGACAGGGTAGTTGTCCTAGAGTCCCCAGGCGCACCTCAGTGCTTAGGCGCAGCGCTGAGGGGATGGCCTCTGCCACAGAGACAGTCGGATTTCTCCATTTTGGGACGCAGCTCGGCAGGGCACCGGGAGGGGGCGGCGTTGTCACGCAGCTGGATGCTCCACGGGTGACACCCCCGCACCCTACCCCTCACCCCCGAGCCGCGCAGCTTGAGTGACTAGGCCGGGGCTCCCCCAGTTAGGAGGTGCGGGCTGTTTTTCCTCCCAGTCTGGGCGGGCAGGGCTGAGCAGGGTTTGGGGAGTATTCTGTGACCCTGGCATTCTCCCCTCTGCCCCACCTCAGCCCCCGGCAGCGTCTAGGCGCTGGGAAAGCTGCTCCGGGTTAGTTGATGGAGGCAGCGAGCTGCCGAAGAGACGGCCACAGCTTTCTAGCAAAGAGTGGTGGTGGCGCGAGTGAGCGTGCGTAGAATTAGCTCTGCCGAAGTCACCGAAGCTGGAGGAGAGAATTCATTTTATTCTTGAAACTCCTACTTTTACGTCTCGTGGAAAACCAAATCGTATTCCACTGACACTATGATGCACTTAAAATGGCCAAACTTTAGGGGGCCGCGAGGAACGCGCTTCGCCGCCTCCAATTTTGTCAGAGAACTCGCAGCAAAGGCACCGGACACCTAGCGGCCCTTTCCCTGGACTCCGGGGCAGCACGCACTCCCCGGGCGCGCTCTCTGCGCCCACTCGGCCCGCCCAGTCCTCGGCCATTGGCTGCTCGCCCGCGTCTGCTCCGTGACGCGCCCTGACCCCCGCGAAGTACTGGCCCCTTGGAGCCACTCGTGCGCAGGAGCCGCGCACGCCCGAGGCCCGTGGTGCCGCCCCCGCGCCTTCTCGGGCTCGCCCAGAGCTCCCCGGCGCGCTTCCCGAGGTTTCGAGAATCGAAACCCAGTTATCAACAAGCCCTTCCCACTCACGCGCCGTGACTGATTTGCGTGCAAGAGTGGACTCATGAGTCCACACTTGGATCGGGTTTATCAATGGAGTAAATGGTCTACCTAAAAACCGAGGTTTAAAAGAGCGGTCGTGAGGAACCTCCGGAGCCCAACCGTGATGATCTAAAGACGGGCTGAGTCCGCGAGAATTTTGGGAAGTTTCTGCAGTTGCAGGATTTTAGTCGTGATCTGGTTTTGATGACCACTTATGATTCCTGGGGCATTTAAAGTGTCTCCTCCTGGGGAAAATGAAAAGAGATTTGTGGGAGGGGGCGTACATAAATTAAATGTATGTATAAATACACGCATCTACGGGCGCACACAGTATCCGCACATACAGCCCAGGACCTCACGCTCACCGGCAGTCGTCCCGCACTAACTGCTGGGCTAGTCAGCTGCGTGCCCTGCGGGCGGGGGAGGGCAGAGGGGGCGGCGCCCTATGCAGATGAGGAGGGTGTGGCGAACGTGCCGCTCTGGGCCCCGGAAGCGCAGAGAAGCCCGGTATAAAAAAAGTACTGAAGACATTTTCCCCGCACAACTGCTAAAGCTCCAGAGACACGAGCGTGTGTGGCAGCAAGAGCCGCCAGTTCGGGACCACCGCAGCTGGGGTGGCAGCGGCGCAGGAGGGGTCGCGGGGAGGGAGTGGTGAGCGCAGGCGGCAGGGGTCTGGGAAAGACGAAGTCGCTATTTGCTGTCTGAGCGCGCTCGCAGCTCCTGGAAGTGTTGCCGCCTCTCGGTTTCGCTCTCGCTCGCTGCGCTCCTAGAAGGGGCGGCCGCCTCCAGGTGACACAGACGGGACTCTCGCTTGCGCTTTCCAGATGCATCAGAGATACTTTTGGTGCGGGGCTGCTCTGCGGGGCGCGGTGCGCGGCTGGGGACTGTAAGGGCCGGGGGAGGGAGTCTCCGAGGAGGCCCGGGGTCAGGGAACTATCGGGGGAGGGGGCGCTCTTTTCCTGGCGGGCCTCTGCTCTCCGCCGCCGCGCGTGCTCTCCGCCGCCGCGCGTCCTCACCGCGCTCCTTTCCCTTTCTTTTTAGGACTGACCAGGGCCAAGTGGCGCTCGGCGGGCACTACATGGCGGAGGGTGAAGGGTACTTCGCCATGTCTGAGGACGAGCTGGCCTGCAGCCCCTACATCCCCCTAGGCGGCGACTTCGGCGGCGGCGACTTCGGCGGCGGCGACTTCGGCGGCGGCGACTTCGGCGGTGGCGGCAGCTTCGGTGGGCATTGCTTGGACTATTGCGAAAGCCCTACGGCGCACTGCAATGTGCTGAACTGGGAGCAAGTGCAGCGGCTGGACGGCATCCTGAGCGAGACCATTCCGATTCACGGGCGCGGCAACTTCCCCACGCTCGAGCTGCAGCCGAGCCTGATCGTGAAGGTGGTGCGGCGGCGCCTGGCCGAGAAGCGCATTGGCGTCCGCGACGTGCGCCTCAACGGCTCGGCAGCCAGCCATGTCCTGCACCAGGACAGCGGCCTGGGCTACAAGGACCTGGACCTCATCTTCTGCGCCGACCTGCGCGGGGAAGGGGAGTTTCAGACTGTGAAGGACGTCGTGCTGGACTGCCTGTTGGACTTCTTACCCGAGGGGGTGAACAAAGAGAAGATCACACCACTCACGCTCAAGGTAACACCACCCGAGATGCACTTGGGTCCTGACCCAGTCTGGGCCGGGTGTGACGGGGAGCGGGCAGAGGGGCATCGGTTAAATGCCATGAATCTGTGGCCATCACGAGTTTGGGCGCGCGTTATTTCTTTGATTTTTGATTTTTTAAACCAGTAAACTGACGTGCGTGGACGGTGTTGAGTGTTTCAGTTTACTTGATGCTTTGGCGCTACAACTCTTCTCCCAGGTCCTCCTCTGCCCTCTCTTCTCTTCTTTCTCCTTATGTTTTAACTCTTGGCTTTCCCTGTTGGAGTCTTGTCCAGAGTAGATTCTGATACTTGGCAGAATGAAATGATGTAAATAATTTTTGAGTCATTATATTTGAGTCTAGCCTTTGGGAAAATAACAGCCTGAAGCAGAAGTGAGTCAATGAGTTTTTTATTGTACTGGAAAAGGTGAATAGATTTCACAGCGGCATTCAGCTGACTACGTGTTAAAGGTCTATCTGGTGGTTCTTCGTGCTGGTTCATATGTTAAGGGTATAGTGGCACCCCCTCCCCACCCTCCACTTTAGTTCAAGACGGGTTTTATATGATTAGTTAAAATTGTCTGAGGAGGCAGGCTCCTGGAATGTCATAATTTAGTTTATATTTGATTGTAACTGCAGGGTGCCCCTGGAGGGACACACAAGATACTGATAACATTGATTGCCGCAGGCGGAGAGGAATTGGGTGGCTTGGAACAAGGGCGAGAGGCTGACTAACCTACCGCTGAATGCCCTTCCGAGTCTTTTGAATGTTGTTTGGATACTGTGTGAATATTGTGCCTATTAGACCGTTTTCAAAAAGTAACACTTAAAAAGTCAGACATGACAACAAAACCTCTTACTACTGTGCTACGTCTGCCAAAAGCCTCAAACTATTACCTCTAGTCCCTTTCCCAGACAGTAAAACTACTCGTTAAAAGTATTTTTTTTCTATTTTCAGAAGACCGTTTAAGCCTGTAGGTAGTGTTTGGCTGAAACTTGACAAAACAAAAGGGAAAGAGCAAAATAATTCTCAGCTGTGAAGAGGATGTATTTATTTATTGATTTATTATTTTCTAGGTTTGCTCATTTTGTTTTATCTTTTAAATTGTAGGAAGCTTATGTGCAGAAAATGGTTAAAGTGTGCAATGACTCTGACCGATGGAGTCTTATATCCCTGTCAAACAACAGTGGCAAAAATGTGGAACTGAAATTTGTGGATTCCCTCCGGAGGCAGTTTGAATTCAGTGTAGATTCTTTTCAAATCAAATTAGACTCTCTTCTGCTCTTTTATGAATGTTCAGAGAACCCAATGACTGAGACATTTCACCCCACAATAATCGGGGAGAGCGTCTATGGCGATTTCCAGGAAGCCTTTGATCACCTTTGTAACAAGATCATTGCCACCAGGAACCCAGAGGAAATCCGAGGGGGAGGCCTGCTTAAGTACTGCAACCTCTTGGTGAGGGGCTTTAGGCCCGCCTCTGATGAAATCAAGACCCTTCAAAGGTATATGTGTTCCAGGTTTTTCATCGACTTCTCAGACATTGGAGAGCAGCAGAGAAAACTGGAGTCCTATTTGCAGAACCACTTTGTGGGATTGGAAGACCGCAAGTATGAGTATCTCATGACCCTTCATGGAGTGGTAAATGAGAGCACAGTGTGCCTGATGGGACATGAAAGAAGACAGACTTTAAACCTTATCACCATGCTGGCTATCCGGGTGTTAGCTGACCAAAATGTCATTCCTAATGTGGCTAATGTCACTTGCTATTACCAGCCAGCCCCCTATGTAGCAGATGCCAACTTTAGCAATTACTACATTGCACAGGTTCAGCCAGTATTCACGTGCCAGCAACAGACCTACTCCACTTGGCTACCCTGCAATTAAGAATCATTTAAAAATGTCCTGTGGGGAAGCCATTTCAGACAAGACAGGAGAGAAAAAAAAAAAAAAGAAAAAAAAAAGAGTGATCCAGCCCTTATTAGGGATGTGTTTTGTGCAATGATGATATGCTCCTGGTTTTAAGTTTGGCAAAGCTTATGTATCTTTTAATAGATGTGGGAGCATGATCTCGAAAGGATCCTTTTCCCTTCTCTTATTCTCCTACCCAATTGGATTCTATCCTGCAAAAAAAGAGAGACCTGTCATTAGAAGCAACCAGGTTCTCCTGATACAAGAGAAGAAATGTGTGATGACAATATGGGTTTGCTGTATCTGCTCCCATAGCTTTGCCATAGGAAAAAAAAAAGTGGAAAGTTTCTTTTAAGATGGAATTCATAAAAGGGAAAATACGGAGGAAAAAAGGTCTCACTCCAACTTGTGAATCAGTTTAGGAGTTCAGATATTAATAGTAACAATACAGGAAAAAGGGGAACTCCAACGTTGGGATTACTGTCTGAGGCTTGTAGCAAGTGCTTTCTGTGGAATGATCTTGTTTTGCTAACAAACGGCTTGCTCCAAATGAACAGTAGTAGGTTGGTGCAGTTCTCGTAACAATCAGCAGAACTTATGATGACACAATCCATTAATTCCAGCTGCGTGCATAGATCACATTTTTAAAATGTAAAAATGCAAGCAAAAACAGCTGTAACAAAGAAAGTGTGCTCAAGGACCAAAGATTTAACAGATAAAAATACCCAATTAGAAGAGATATAGTAGACTATATGAAGAGAGATTATATTTGTTACACACCAATATACATCAAAGTGCCTGTTGCCTTCTGAAAATTTGAAGTGGCAAAATTATTTTATGGTTTAATGATTATTTTATTTTATCAGGGACTGCCTCAAGAAGAAAATAACATAAGCTTGTGAATGGTGGAGAAAATGCCCTATTTTTTCTTGCAAATACTTGTATAAAGTTAACATTTGTTGATCTGATATTATCATAGGTACATGTGTATGTGTGTATAAATTATATGTGTGTGTGTATATATACATTTTATATATACATTTTATATGTATATATACACAGTAGATTGACTATGATCTAGAATAATGTCTCAAATAGGAAATGTTTAAATACTGTGTGTTTTTATGTTTTCAACAGGATAACATGAGACGTGGGCATATTGCAATGATGAATTAAATCCACATCTAAAAAAATTAAATGAAGGAGGGAACCAAGTAATATATTTCATAGGAAGAGCAGAAATTATACTGTTTTAGTGGGATTTTTTTTTCTTTTTTTTTTTTTCTTTGGTGAGCCATAAAATTCCACAAATGGGAGAATATTTGTTTGGCAGAGCACTCTTTTTTATATTGAACTGCCATTTTGACAGTTGGAACCCATTTATTAAAAAAAAAATTGCATTCCTCTATGATGTTTAATCTAGTGGATCATGGATCAGTAATAGGCTACTTAAATCCCTGACTGCTAAAAAGGATTTCCGGTGATCTAAACACTACTTGCTAATGTTTAAATGAATTTTAATGAATGCATTCTGCATTTCTGGACCACTAGAATTTAGTAATGTGAAATGACCCTTTTTACAGAATATTTGCACAATTGCTTAAAATTTATATATGAGATATATATTATATATAACATTTTATAAATCATGTCAATATGAAACATCTTTGATCTGGTTGTCACACTGCATTTAAATATTTAGTACTGTACTTTAAATCGCTTTCCATTAAATCAAATCCAACTTTATTTTCTTTCTTACAAAAATACCAGTTATACCTTTGTGAAATGAACTGGCATTACTATTTCAGTTCAATAACAGCTAATCCTAAAACCACCCTTTCTCCTAGCCAGTAGTTCCTCTAGATACTGGTCTCTGAAAATGCATTTGTTAAAAACAAAACAAAACTAACACATAAGAACCTTCCCTTTGTGTTGTGAAACAACCACATAATCTCCACAACCTTAGTGGATGACTGCTTGCTATGATAATTCCTCGAAGACCCAATTAGAAGATTTTCATCATCAGTTAAAGAGAGACCACGGGAGAAAAAAATATCCTCCTGTTGGCAGTATAATTTGTTTGTTTGTTTATCTAGGGATCCTCAGATGCTTAGTGCTAGGTTAATCCAGGTTAATCCGTCTGGACTACCTTTTGTGCATCTTTCTTTGAAGCCTTAATGGGAACCTGATGGGTTTGCTGTAGCAGCTTCCTTGTGAATTCTGTCAGAGCTGCAACAGCCGCTGCACTGCCACTCAGTTTTCTAAGGAACTCCTCCTACTACCATCTTGGCTCAGTCTCCCTCACTTAAGCCCTGGGTTTGAAAAATTAATTGCAACTTCCCAGGAAACATTGTTCAGTTTGCAGATTAAGCCTGGCACTCACCTATCAGAAACCAGAGCTCCGCCTGCTTAGTTGTTTCAAAGTTTTCTGAAAGAAAACTAGGGGAGCACTTGTGAACACAGGAGCAGCTGGTGATCTGCTTTCTTACCCTAACTCTTGACAAATGAGTCGTCTACTATTTTAAAGAGTCTGGAGGTCTCTGACTCTGCCATAACAATAACCTGCTGTTAATTTATAACACAGATTTTTGTTTGGAAGAGCCTTATTTGAAATACACTTTGATTTATTTTCTTAAATATTTATATTCTTTTCTTGCTTACTTCAGGGTTGGTAGCTTAGTTGGAAGTGCCAGCACCTGGCACCTATTCATATAGAACAGGCTGTACTCAAGACAACTTCTAGCATTTACTTTAAGACTTATATAATTTATTTCTATTTTGTGTGTACTATAGTCTTGTGCATATGTAGTTGAACACACAGTGAAATATATGTCTCTCTTTGTGGATGTGCGGCCTAAAAATTTGAATGTCTGGTGAGAGAGAGCCATGTGTATAGGTCAGAGAAAAGAACAGCTCCCGACTCCCTATTAGCGCCTGTGATTTGTTTCCTTTTGTGTTTATCTGGCCTAGTGTGCTGTTTCTTTAAACCAGGAAGAAGTTTTGTCTTTTGGAGGCTCTTCTCACCTGTCCAGCCTGGCATGTCAGAGAACACATAGCCTGTGACAATGCCGTTTTTAAAGGTTTACTTAATTTGCAGTAAATCCAGCTGCCTCAAGAACTCCTACACCAAGATGGACATTTCCTTTCCAGAAATGGGATCAAGTATCTGCTCACTTTGGTATTGGATGGACTAATAATGTAGCTCCAAAAATGCAAGGATGGAAGAATATGTGTAATCCAAACCAAGGAAGGAAATGAAAAGTGAACGTACTGTTTTTACCACCCCTTTCTGTTTGCTTATTGTTGGTTGCTTCACTGTGCATAAAGTTGTTTTCAATGCAACGCTTGTTAAATAAATATTGTGAACTATTTTGTAAATGAAATGTATTATGTTGAAAGCTGTCAGTTCAAAAATAAGCTTTTTTGTTGTTGTTGAAGATGAAGTGTGTTAGGTGAAACCAAAAAGCCAAAAAAAGTAATTTCATATATAGCATCTATTTGAATATAATCTTTCTTTAAAATTTCTTTTAGCATAGCATTTTCAGTGCTAAGAAAGAATCTCTATGTTATATTTTGTTAAAATAATGGCTTTCTAACAAAGCAAATGGTAAAGTACAAAGTTGGAAGATGTCAAGTTAACGAGACTTGCTGCAAAGCCTTGCAGAACGGAGGAGGCTCTGCCTGCTGGCTGTCTCTCCCTCCAACCTCTCTACAATCATGCCTGCTTTGAGGTGTTCTGTTGCAGCAAGCTGCACCTTGGGTCACTCTTTTGGAATATTTTGACTATAGGCTGCGTCACAGGCAGAAAAGGAGTTGATGGAAAATGGACTAAAAAACTGACATGTTTGAATCAGTGCTAGAGGGAACAGATTGTGAATTTTGTTTACAGCATCCAATATTTGGATTTTTTTGTAAATAAAAAAGTTATTTTTTTCTATTGATTTGTGTTTGCTGTCTACAATGTCTGTATTGACTAAAGACCATGTCCTTTGAATCCCAACCCACGTCCTTTAGAAAAGGCAGAGCGGTACATAGAGAAGAGTAGCCTTCAGCCACTTTCTGATTGAAGCACAATAAATGAAAACATCCAGCTGTCAGTCAGCCCATCTCTGACTGGCTCAGTTAGCTCCAAAAGCATCTAGCTAATAGATGCCAACAATTTTTTTGTCTGGGTATCAATTTAGCAGTGTTAAGTGACCAGAAGTCAGAACTGTTTTCCGATATCAGTAGAGACTCATGGCTCTAGTAGGCTGTAGGGCTCTAGTAGCTCTGCGTGAGCCTTGGTCTTCCTGAGTAGCCTTAGGGCTGTGATTTCATCAGTGGTTATATAGATTCTGTTCGAGGCTCTATAGTGTTATTCAGAGTTTTTACGTTGGGGTGAGAGGAATTGGTGGCCAGGAATTGAAAGAGGAAGTATAGAGAAGGAAGAGCAATCAAAAGATCTAGTATGTTCTGTGTGTGTGTGTGTGTGTGTGTGTGTGTGTGTGTGTGTTGGGTGCAAGGAAATCACCCTTTTGTCTAGCATTTAATGTAACCTCACCTATTCAAATTGCTAGGGGGCATACATTTATGTATTAATTAAAATTTTTCTTAGTGTAATTTTGGAGATGGTCTCAATGCTAGTAGTATGAGAATTTGGTAAGCCCAGGCTACTATAGGATATACATGTGGTTGTAAAAACCACTTAAAGTCTTGATCTTGAATAGAATGCATGCTTGACACCGAGTCTGTGAAAGAGCAACTCTTGGCATTGAAAACCAGCTTCCTTCCCGTATACAGTGCATCATAAAAATACAAGGTGGTTATTTGGTTTGATAATGGTATTTGTGTGTCATTTTCTTCTTCCTTTGTTGCAGCCTCTTCATTCTACAGCCAGTTCCTCATATGTCTGTGGTCACCACATAATTATTTTTAAACAATGGTTGAATAAGAGCAGTATATATTAAACTTCTCCTAGGCTTAGATATACCCTGCCATTTCTAGTTGAATTACTAGGCTGCCCCTCCTAGCTGAGCCTGGAGAGAAGTAATCCACCCTTCCTTTCCTTAGTAACCTCATTCCCTAAACTTCTAATTCCTTTAGTAAGAAAAAGAAAGAACAAAATATACCAAAAAAGAAAAATAAATTAATATCATAGTTTTTAAATATAAAGTAGAATAAGGTTTGTTAAAATCAAGTAATTCCAAAATTAAACTCTAATTTTCTTTAAAGGACCAAGTTTGAGATCAACAATATGAACACAGTATCCTTCAGTCTAATAGCAAATACATCACGTAGGACCGAGGGAGGAGAAATGATTTTAAAATGACAGTGGCTTTTACCTAGCATGACTCAGATCTTGGTTTCTAATGCCATTCTCCAATAAAAGGAACTAGAAGTTGAATCTATGTCTGGAGCAGGAAATATATAAGAGAAGCCTGAAGCATCTTGTGGTGCCTTGAGAAAGCATAAAAAAAAGATAAAAATCATAATGATGAGGGTGGCAGGGGTATGTCAAAGGGACATAGGAGCTAACTGAAAGAGCTCCAATAGCCAAAGCTGGAACAATTTAAGCAACAAAATAAATAGTAATGGATTATAACACAACGAGTAAAGTATCCATGCATTCACACTGATATAAATAAATGATTGAATGAACAAATGGAGGGAAAGAAATTTACTGTGCAGGATTCCAAATAATCAATGTAGATATTGGCCCTTCAAGGAGGTGGAGGTTAACTACCCACCTCTTAAGTGTAGGCTGTGCATAGTGACTTATGTCCAAAGATTACAATCTGGAAAAGGGAAAAAGAAGAGTACTGTACCATTGCAAAAACCGAACAAACACTACCTCAGCCAGCTGATCAAGGCCAACATAAGTAGTGACAAGTCATGATGATAGTATGTGCCCTTGTTGTGATGTGATAAGAATGGCACTTCACCTCTGTGGTTTTTTCCTCAACACTCTAAAACCTGCCAAATCTTGAGAACAGCATCATCCAAAACTAAATTGTGGGGCATTCTGTAAAATACTGGACCAGTATTCCTTAAATTATTAAAACAAAGAAAGTGTGAAAACTGCCATTGCCAAGAGGAGCCTAAAGAGACATATGACTTAAGTGTAATGTGGGATCCTGGTGGGGTCTGGCAACAGAAAAGAGCACTTGGTAAAATCTAAGGAAATCTGAAGCAAGCATTATTGAAATAATAATGGTTCAATATCAGCTCATTAGTTGTAACATGTAGTATGATGTCGACAAAAGGAGAAACTGGGTATGGGGTATATAGGAACTTTCTATATCATCACTTTTTAAAAATAAAAGTATTCTCACATAAAAAGTTTATTTAAAAATGAAGACTGGCCGGGCATGGTGGCTCATGCCTGTAATCCCAGCACTTTGGGAGGCTGAGGCGGGAGGATCACGAGGTCAAGAGATCGGGACCATCCTGGCCAACATGGTGAAACCTCGTCTCTACTAAAAATGCAAAAATTAGCTGGATGTGGTGGTGCATGCCCATAGTCCCGCTACTTGGGAGGCTGAGGCAGGAGAATCGCTTGAACCCGGGAAGTGGAGGTTGCAGTGAGCCAAGATTGTACCACTGCTCTCCAGCCTGGCAACAGAGCGAGACTCCATCTCAAAAAAAAAAAAAAAAATGAAGACTGAATAATTCAGAATAACTCTTCTCTGCTATTTCTGAGGAATGACTCCATTTGCAAAAATAATAGTGAATTTTATTTCTTAATGTCTCAGTACTTACAGTGTAAGGAAATCATATGAAGGAGTGAAAATAAAAAGTTGTGGTTTACTCAAAAGTTTTAGAGAAGCTTTACCTACACGTTTTAGAAAAAAGGAAGGGAGTTGAAGAGAGCTGAGCTCTGTAGCCAATGCTTTCCTATAGAATAATACCTTAGAGTACTATTACCTTAGAGTTTTAAGGAAGGAGAATACTAACTAACTATAAACCATTATGTAGATATTTATAACATGGAATGCTAAAATGATCAAGGGGCTAAACTTTCACTGCCCAAACATAACACAAAATCTGAAAAATTGAGAATTCATTGCAAGGGAGAAAATGATGTAATTTTTAAAAAATAGCAAGGCAGTCTAATATTTAATGGAATGTTGCAATGAAATATTATTTAATGTAAATAACCACTTCCACAACCTATCTGCTTACCTAAGCTTATCTTTTAGCATATTCAGGATTTTTTTTTTTTTTTTTCGAGACAGAGTGTTGCTCTGTCCCCCAGGCTGGAGTGCAGTGGCACAATCTGGGCTCACTGCAAGCTCCGCCTCCCGGGTTCACACCATTGTCCTGCCTCAGCCTCCTGATTAGCTGGAACTACAGGCGCCCGCCAGCAGGCCTGGCTAATTTTTTCTATTTTTTTAGTAGAGACGGGGTTTCACCGCGTTAGCCAGGATGGTCTTGATCTCCTCACCTCGTGATCTGCCGCCTCGGCCTCCCAAAGTGCTGGGATTACAGGCGTGAGCCACCGCGCCCGGCCTATTCAGGCTTTCTTAAAGTGGGGGGACACTTGTACTTAAATTTACGTTCCTATCTCAATTACTGTCTGGCACTTGAAATAGTTAAAAATGCAGTTTTAAAAAAGTAGGTACTCTGTAATTTGTAAAAGCAATAATTCCAGCTCAGCAGGTTATGAAGTTAGGACAAGTCCCGTGCTTTCTTGCTTAGGAACACTGAGCACCCTGAACTCCAGGAATTTATGAGTGTGGGGCTAAGTTATTTCTAACTTCAATAATGGAAAGTTCCCTTCAGGATCCCCTTCAGAAACTATTGATTTTCCAGCACAGCGTGTGCTTATCAGTAATGCCAAGATTTTGTGGCATCATCTGGCCATGTCATTAGAAAATGCTGAAACCCTATTCCTTTATTTTTTTTCTTCTTTTTTAGCAAAATTCAACATACTGGGCTTTACTAGGCCCTGTGGATAATGCCATTCTACACATTGATCCAGAATTACATATGCTCTGGAGTTTCTTTTTCTGTATGTCTTCAAAGAAGGTCAAGAGGATCATGATTATACAGTCTTCATTTAATAGGGCATAAACACTATTAAAATAGTTTAATCGTATTTTGAGAAAAGAAGAGAAACAAATTCAATCAGGTTCAAGGCCAAAAGGCTGAATTAGAGTTGCCAGATTCAGTAAATAAAAACATAGTATATCCTGTATTTAATCTAAATTTTATTTCAGATAAACTGATTTTTTATACAAATATATATTTTAAAAATATATTTTTCATAAAAATATATGTCATGTAATATTTATATATAATATATAACATGATACACATTATATATAATATATAACATGATACACATTATATATAATATATAACATGATACACATTATATATAATATATAACATGATACACATATATAATATATAACATGATACACATTATATATTATATATAACATGATACACATTATATATAATATATAACATGATACACATTATATATAATATATAACATGATACACATATATAACATGATACACATTATATATAATATATAACATGATACACATATATAATATATAACATGATACACATTATATGTAATATATAACATGATACACATTATATGTAATATATAATTGATACACATTATATATAATATATAATTGATACACATTATATATAATATATAATTGATACACATTATATATAATATATACTATGATACACATTATATATAATATATACTATGATACACATTATATATAATATATACTATGATACACATTATATATAATATATACTATGATACACATTATATACTATATACTATGATACACATTATATACTATATACTATGATACATATTATATAGTATATAATATGATACATATTATATAGTATATAATATGATACATATTATATAGTATATAATATGATACATATTATATAGTATATAATATGTTTTTTATGTATATACTAAAAACTTTTTTTTCTGAAATTCATATGCAACTGAGAGTCCTGTATTTTTTCAGGCAATCCTAAAACCTAGCTAGGCTTACACAATAAAGCTCAAAAAGTTTCCTATAGCTTAAGTAATGAACATTTTATAATTTGTTAATACCTAACCTTTAGGTATCATTAAGTACTACATTGACATAGAGTACCCATAGCAGCAAACCCTTTGAAACATGGTTCATTTATTAAATATTTGCTGAATGCCTTTATGTGTTTAGACTTATGCTAGCTCTAAGGGGCACTCCAAAAAAGTGAAAAGCAAGTCTGTATCCTTTGACCAACTTGCTTTTCACATAAGATGAATAAGTTCGAGAAACCTAACGTGAAGCTTGGTAACTATAATATCTTGCATACTTGAAATTTGCTAAGAGAATAGATCTTAAGTATTCTAACTACACATGCATATGAAAAGGTAACTATGTGAAGTGGATATATTAATTAGTTTGATTGTGGTAATCATTTCACAACGTATACATATATCAAAATATTACATTCTTTACCTTGAATACATATAATTTTTATTGACACCTTAATAAAGCTAGAAAAAAATAAGTGAAAGGCCTAGTCCGATGCCCCTTAGAAGACTAGATTCTATTTGCAAATAGGACTCACTGCTGAAAATTAATTTTTCAGCTACCCTGGGGTTAATTGCTCATGAGGCTCAGCTCTGCATGGGGCACCATAAAGAGGCCTGTGGACTAACGGAGAATCAGGATTAGGGTAATAGCCCTTGAAATGTACCTTCTTGGGAGCTTACAGAAGTGGAGCTCCCCACAGGTAGCCACTACAGAGACAGGCACTGGCTATTTGCTTGTTTTGCAGTAAACGATAAGTGTAGATGTTTTGCAGTTTTTGCTGAGAGAAGCAAAAGGTTGTCCTGAGTCACTGGACACTTACATTCTCTTTTCAAAACTACTACAAAAATATTTAGTACTTAACTAGAATGTACATTGAAATTATATTTCCCTATAATCCTGTTTGTGTCAGCACATTAAAATTCCCTTGAATGTTTCTTATGTAACCACTTCTGGTTAACTCTTATCTTGAAGTTAGTACAATTTAGTCTTTGCTGTCTTTTTCATCACTGTGAAAGTCCCTTTCTCAGATTCTTCAATTGCATCAAATTCCCCATGCACTCCAAATCTTATTCCACTCCCAATTTATGTAAAACCAATTGTGCTTTCAGTCTATTTATTTTAGTTCAAGTAGACACCTTATTTAAAGAGGCTTTATAGCTCTCATACTAATTACTTATGCACTCACCTGTACTGCATGATGGGAGAAATGCGCAGCCTTCACCGTCATCAAAACGTTCAGTAAATACTTAATTTTTCATGTCTTTGATTGATACTATGTGAAGATTTACAAAGAGTTACACAAAACTGGCTTCTTTTCACTAGAAGCTGAAATTGGAAAGTTGACACAGGTATATGGACAAATACAACATAAAGCAAAAGTGCAATTATTTGGCCTGATCAATGTTTAAGTGTGCCCAAGCTCATTTCCACTTCATAACATATGCTGGTTGTTCCATCTCCTTTTAATTCTCTTCCTCCAGATCTTTATATCTCTTGCACTCTCACTTTATTATTAATTTTTGTTGCTGTTGAAATGCTACTTTCTCAGAGAAATTTTTTTCTGATCCTGTTTTCTAAAATAGAGTTTTCTCCAACATTTTTACAAAATTACTCTCTAAGTTCTTAACTTGATTTTTATATATATGTTACCATCACACTTGTCAGTACCTGAAACTGTATTATAGATCAATTTCTTTGTTTATGGTTTGTCACCATAGAATGAAATTCCATAAAGGCCACAAATTTGTCTTATTTATTACTATATTTTTAGTGTTTGAAATAGTGCCTGCTACCTAGGAGGTGCTTGTTAAATTTTTGTGAGTTAATGAATGAATAAGTCTCATTTGATTCAAAATGAAAGGTGAGGTGAAATATTGGGAACATATCAAAGAAGATGTTAAAATGGTGAAGGAAGAGTCATCAGGAACACTGTTGAAATAAGAGAAGGATCTTAGAGATTGCCTGCTTGTTGAAAAAGAATGGAGGAAAACCCAGGTGGAGAAATTCCAATTTTGAATCAATTTAGGAGCACTGAACAGTATGAAAGAGATATTCTCAGCTGAGTTGTTTAGGGCAGGGGTATTTGAACGAAAGAACCTGTTGCCTCTTTTTGATTCCTGAGCTTGAGGAGTTGAGAACAATGGGTAAACAATGTTTGTTGTGGCATGGTACTCAGGGACATATCTGCTAGCACCCATGGATCTGTTATCTGTTCCAAACCAAATCTGGCAGCCTGGTAAAGTGAGGATTCCAGTTGTCTTGGGTAGTAACTACACTTTCTTTCTTTCTTTCTTTTTTTTAAATCATCTGCTACATTTCTCAGAACTAGGGAATCCCTGAAAGAAATTTTCAAGACATAGAGCACAAAGACTGGATCTGTTTGTTATATTTTGAGTAAGAATAGAGGCTACTATTCAGGAAATGCACTTTGTTATTTGAGGAAGGGAAATGTAGAAAGGGCAGTCTGCCCATTAGCCTTTTCTAAAAAGCAATCAGTATTTCCAGTGGCATCCTTAGCTGGTCAAGCCTCATAGAACAGTCTTGCCCTGGGGCATTATACCTGTTGTGCCCATTTGTTATGGGTTTTTCATGAGTCTCCCAATTTCAGAATGTTGCCGTGTTGTCAGACCTTGTGCCTGCCATGCTATGGCATGTTGTCACAATAAGGCTTCTGATTTTAGGTGCCGTTTTATAATTATTGAAAAAGTTAGGTATGTGACAAAGTATGCTGGACTTCATAGATAAAACAAAGTCTACAAAAAATTTTAAAAATTAGTCTCTAATTTTTGCTACTTGTATATATTAAAACCAATGTGAATTCTCTGAATCTTGTCCAGAATTTCAACCTACTTAACCCACGTGATTCACATGAGAAGGGAGGCTAGGAGGGAGATGGATCGAGAAAAATGAAATAGGAGGATGTATTTCACAATAAATAATGAGAATTTTATGTAAAGTTCCAATTAGAAAGAAGGTAGATTTAGGCCTTCTAAATAAACTTAAGGTTTCAAGAACCACTTGAAGAAATCTGTAAAGAGGAGGATATCAAGAGCAGGAGGATATCTGAGCTATACACAGTTGTAGCCCAGATGAAGTAGTACAGGCCCCAAGAAAAAGAATGGTTATACAATGTGACCAATACTTCCCAATGGAAGGCTTTTCCATATAATGTATAACAGAAGTGGTACACATTCATAGCAATTTGATAAAACAATTATATTTTCCAGTTAATAGTCACAATAATCCTGATAGGTACAAAAGGTATTACAATTATCCCACTTTTAAGTTAAGAAAAATGAGTTCTGGAGTGTCTGAGCTTGTATGTAAGACATAAAGGCTTTTGGAACTCATTCAGTGATTACACAGAGAGAGTCTATTTCTGCCTGAAACACACAAGGTAAATTGTGTCTTTAACAACCCATCTCCTATCAACCATCTATCCAAAAGGCAGGTGCATCATAACAGCACAGTAAGTAGAAGGTTCAGGAAGAGCATGAGAGCTTTTCTTACAGAAAGAGATCACATCAATTGCCTATTGTGAGTGGATTACCTTGTGAAAAATAAGCATGATTTAAATTTTCAGTTGACAGTCAAAATTCAATAAACTACTTCGGTGTTGTCAAAGCTGTTTTCTGTATTCATATTACAGAAAATGGGCCACTTAATCTTTAAAAAGTGATCAATTAGTCTAGCCTACATCGCTTCTTATTGGCAATGCATGCTACCAGGTGGCTGCTTTTGAATCTTTAAAAAAAATTAAAGAAAATGTCTGAAAGGCAAGGTAAAGAGTATAATGAGATATGCTAACTTCTTACAAAATTCTGAATAAACTCATGAAACTCCTAAAATGTTAATTAGTCCTCTTGTGCTGTATGCTTATCACACCTGTTTAGTTATGCCACCACAGACATGTTCCCTGGAATTCTTATTCTAGTCTGTGACTTCTAGTTAATGATGTCATAAGCCTTTCTCAGTACATAGTGGCACCAAAATTCTCTTGTCACTTGGTACATAGTTCATAGGGATGGGAGCACAGAGAATCAGGTTAGTGGGCCTGGATTTTAGTTCTGAACTTGTACTAGTTCATGCATTTCTAAAACTGTACTTAAAGAAACACATGCATGCCCAGGCCCACCCTTAGCCATTTTTATATAGTCAGACTTGAGTGAAGCAAAAATACCTGTGATTTTCACAAAGTGTTTCTGAAGCACAGCTCTGCTCAGAGCCCTTGCTTTACAGGTTCCAATAGTGTCAAATCTATGTCACTTAGCCTGAATCCTCTGGAAAGCCGAGCCTGAAGCAATGATTATGATTCTAATAGTTTATTTTCCAGATACAATCACATCACAGGATGTTGAGGTAAGGAACAGATGTAATCTCTTGCAACACAGTGTGCTACCATGCTGGCTACTGCATCACAGCCATAACACAACATATCAGATAATTCAGCAGGCTTGTTCAGTCAGCAGGAAGGAATTATCTAGAAGGCTTGAAAGGAAGCACTGTACCTGGGAGTAGTATGCAGGGGAGAGAAAGGAGAAATAATTGCCTGCTTGCTTTCTCTCTGTCTCCCTTTTCCCACTGGTCAAAATTCACTCTGGGTAGAACTACCTCTTTCACATTTCTAGTTGCTTCATCTGGTCCTTGAGTAACTGTGCAGGAATGCAAATTTTATGTCCTGTAGGGTGATGCTTCATTTAATTCCAAAGGTAGGGTTGATTTGGCAACATATGGGGTTCTGACTAAGAAAGAGAGGAAGAAAGTAGCTAAAGTTTATGTCCTTCAATGCAATATTGTCACTGAAGGTGAAGGAGAGATTATTGAGGGGTTATTTCAGCATGTCAAAAAGATAAAGTTGGATTTAAAGAGGGCATATAAGATTGAGGAAAGACAGGAGCCACACAGAATACATTGGGAAAATAAAAATTAGTGTTAAATATTGTTGATTGGCACTTGACATCTCTTTCCACCTTTCTATATTCTAACCTGCATCCCAGGAGTTGGAAGGCAAAGAGCTACATTTACAAGACTCTCTTGCTGCTAGGTTTCTGGCTGCAATTCAGATTTTGCCAATAGGTTGCACTTGTGCATAGTATGTGGTAGAGAGCCCCTTTTTATGTGGCTGTGGTACCACCACCAAGTTTCTGTAGATGTGTGTACTGGCGACAACAGTAATTTCTTCACCTATGGATTTCAGCTGTAGTGGAGTGACTTTAAAAGCAAGAGTTGGCCAAGTGTGGTGGCTCATACCTGTAATCCCAGCACTTTGGGAGCCCAAGGGGGAAGATAGTTTGAGCCCAGGAGTTTGAGACCAGCTTGGGCAACATAGTGAGACCCTATCTATAAAAAAGTTTAAAAAATTAGCTGGGCGTGGTGGCACATGCCTGTAGTCCCAGCTACTCTGGAGGCTGAGGCAGGAGGATCACTTGAGCCTGGTAGGTTAAGGACGAGGGGAGCCATGATTGTTCCATTGCACTCTAGCCTGAATGACAGAGTGAGACCTTGTCCCTCAAAAAAAACCAAAAAAAAAAACAAAAAAACCAAGAGTCCAGTAGGGCCCTCTGACTTTTCCTCCTTTAGCTCTTCCAACCATTTTGTAAGCACCCTCTTTCTGCATTAAAACTCTTTATGAGTCATATCCCTGGAGCAGTTTGGGTTTCCCGTAAATGCAGTAAGACAGCAGAAGCACTGAAAAAGAAGTAGAGCTTGTGGGATCTTGATACACAGACCCTCATGCTCAGCTCCTCATCTGCATTCATCGTCAGCCCAGGAATGGAAAGGGTAAGAAACAGCAAGTCTGCATTGTGGGAAGAGACAGTGTTTGGGATCAGGCTTTCAGGTTTGAATTCTAGTCTCAACACTTACTACTTAGTGAACCTTGGACTTTTGTTTCCTCAGCCTATAAAATGAACTAATACCTCCTCTAAACAACTTAGATTATGGCTATACAGATTTAATGAGATAATGGATATAAAAGTTATTTTAGCAGCTGTAATGTGTCCTAAATGTTAAAATCATAAATCATCAGTACTTTGAGTAATGAATGTTGTGTGTTGTCACCTGGCCTGGAAATGAACTGGCCCAAACAATTCCATAGGCAAGAGCAATGTGCTCACCATTGTATTCCCAGTTTCTAATACAGGGCTTGACATGCTGTTTGATAAATATTCATTGAATGAATGAATTAATGACAGATACCTGACAGCTTATTTACAGACTACAAGTTGCAGATGGGAAAATTAGAGTATCCCAATGCTTGTTTTTATTCATGACTAGCCAAGACTGCTCCCTACAGAGTGAGTAGAAAGCTTTTAAGGGACTCTTTGATCAACTCCTGCCCCCTTTTGGTTGGTGATTTAGCCAAGTATTTGGGAGTTGTCAGTGCATTTTTTTTCCAGTAAATATTTGAAGAACTCCCCAATATGTAAAGTTTTCTGGCCAAATCTTATCAACAAAATAGAAATAAGGCTGTTAGGAACCTGTGGCAAACGTATGAATGTCTACCTCCATTTTGCACTCGTCTATCTCATGAGGTGGTGCTGTGCAGTTTCGATTTTCTATATATTAGCATCTCTGTGGAACATTGTACACAAGCTAACATATTCTAACAAGCCCTGTGAGTGATTCTGAGGCATATAGAAGTTTCAAAGCCAGTGGTGTGATGACTTTCAAACTTGTCTACTGAGAAAATATTTTTACATGATTATGCATGTATTATCTTGTGTGAAACTTTCACAAAATCATTCTGAACCTTACCATCTAAAATAAAGGATATTTCCTAATATGTTCTATTCTACTCTATTCTAATCTATTTATATTTTGGTAAAATGCTGGTTGTGACTCACCAGACTGATTCCGCAAATCCCATGTGTTAACACCTATAGTTTGAAAAATACTGGTTTACATATTAGACCTAGCTTAGGAAATATGGCCTCTAATAATGTTACTACCTTACATTTGTGTAACAAAAATCATTTTATACATATTTTTATTTTCACTACACAAGAGCCAATATGTATATTATGACTCCCAATTTTACAGAAGAGGAAACAGATGTTACCTGGAATTATAATGCTACTGAACCACATATTGGAACTACATCTTATTCCAAAGTACACTGATATTTCTGTTACGCATCTAGTTCACTAGTTTTGGTACAACTTTTGTCATAAATAAGCTTTGTTACTTGTGGTGAGTTATTTCCGTTTTCCACACTTCAGTTGCCCCACTTATAAATAGTTTGAGGGTGGCCTAGGGTGGAGGAGTAGGGGACTAGGACTGGATGAGCAAAAGATTGGGAATGGGCTCGTTTTCTGCCTTAATCCTGACTGAAAGAATGCCATTTTCTTTCAGGAAAGACAGACAGGCACACACACAATTTACTAATTCCTTAAATTATAAATTTAATTATTTATCTTTTGATAATAACAATAATAACAACAATTAACAGCTAACATGTATTGAGCACTCATTCCAATTCAGGAACAGTGCTAAGAGCTTTAGATACTTGATTAAATCCTCATTACCTTAAGAGTTAGATGCCATTGTCATCACCACTTGCAGAAGTAGAGATTGATGCTTAAAGAGTTAAGTAGTTGCCCAAGGATACCCAGCCTGTTTGGCACAGTGGGAGAGCAGTGGGCTTACTTCAGAAGATTTAACCACCAAGCCACACTCCTGGCAAGGTGGTGATCTTGGCCACTATGCCAGATTGTCTACTTCCAGGAAACACCATTGAACATGAGTGACTGCAGTATATCTTATAACAGAGTTTTCCTGGAAACCAATCGAACTAAATCAAAAGAGTAACACTTCATGAACTGCTGTCTCTTAACTTCTGTAACAAACTACTGGCATAGCTGATATTGGAGTTGAGTTGTTAGCTAAAACTTCCAAGTGCTCCTTCCATTCTAAATGTCTCTGTTGTTTGCTAAAGTGATTTTTTTTTAAAGACTACGTAAAATCCACATGTTTCCTTCAAATTTGGCACTTGTAATCTGTTCCTAACTAGTAGTTTGTCAAATCACCTGGAATTTCAGAACTATTATATAAACAATTTGCATGCTGCCTTCAGAAGTTTTTGAAGTTGGGTGAGCATAATAAACCTTTTGGGACCGGGGGAAATATCAGAATTTCTGTTTTTAGCTCCTCCTTTTGAAAGTTTATGTCTGTGCGTAGTACATTAGTGTAGTCATACATGTATTAAATCAATAAATAAGTAAACAAACATTTATTGTGATTGTGTGATCAAAAAATTATAGAGACTATTGATTTAGTCACTTTTCTATGTGAAGCTTGATTTTCTCTCTTGATAGGGATAAGGTCTGTATTAGGCTTGTCTATTGCTATGTAACAAACCATCCCCCAAACTGGTAGCTTAAAACAATATCAATATTTCATTTTCTCACATAGTTGCAATTTGGGCAGGACTCAGAGGGTCAGCTTGTCTTTGCTTTGTCACAGTGGCTTGAAAGCTGGGCTGGAGCCATCTGAGGGCTGCTGACTCACAGGTGTGGTAGTGATGTTTTCTGTTGTCTGGGAAGATGCAAATGCTTTGAGACAAAAATGTCTGGAGCTCCTCAGCATTTCTTTCTTTCTCTTGTGGTCTTTCCATGTGGTCTCTCCAGTATGACAGCTTCAGAGTAGTGAGACGTATTACACAGCAGCTAGGGCTCTTGAAGTGCATGTCCCAAGGGAGAGAATCAGTCAGAATCCCAATGACCTTTTCTAATCTAGCCTTGGAACTTGTACTTGCTCACTGCTGCCACATCCTATTCTTCAGAAGTAAATCACTTGGTGAATAAGACTTTTTGATTGGAGGAGTGTCAAATAATTTGCTAACATACATTAACACCCCGTACACTTTGTTCAAGTGTCACTGGTTGGGCTAGTGAAAGGCCAATGATATGGGTTGGGAGCCATCTAAGTAAATTTGGGCTTTAAGTTATGAGGCGGTTGTGAATCTGAGAAACTGAGCTGATCAGGAGGATCTCCAGGCTGAGTGGATTAAAACCACTTGTCTCATTTCCATTTCAGCCTCCTCACCCCATGTGGAGGTGAGGCTTTCCTCAGGTGGTCCCCTGCCAAAGTGGGGAAGTCAGCTGGATTCCTTATCCTACTCAGGTAGGCCTGAGAGCAAGGGGTTATGGATCGTCTCACCAAAATATCATGTATGTCAAAATGTCATAATGGGTGTGTGTTAATAAAAAAAATGTGTAAACCTTCCTTCAAAATGTCATGCCAACAACAGATATGTGTGGTAGTAAAAAATGTGTATATCTCCCATCAAAAGGTCATATCAATAATAGACGTATGTTCTAATAAAAATATTTACTTTTGCTATAAGCACTTTCCTACTTAAGTTAATTGGTGCTACTAAAACAAGAGTATAGCTACAGAACGTTCAAAATCAATTTCTTATTTGTGCCTCTTCAAACAGTTTAGGTAAATGAAGTAAATTTACAATGTATATTTTGAGTAAAAGCATTTTCTATAAATAATGAAACACGAGTAAAATAATGTACTGTTGGTTACCTATTCCACTGAGGGTAGTAGAACTAAATTGTTTAGATTTATGCAGGTTTCATTTAAGTCGTGATTTCTAAGAGTGTATCTATTCTTGAAATTATTCTGAAAGACTAATAACAACTTCCTTTGACATTTGATCAAGTACATTATTAAAATTCAGAAGCCAGAGAAGAATGCAGAACACTTGGAAGTTGTTCAGAGGAGAGCCTCAAAGATGATTAAAGGGATGAGAAATGAGACCCAAGGAAAGTATAATTTATTGAGATGATTCCATTTTGACAGGGCAGAGTTTGAGGTGATGACTCAGTTCATGTTCTGTTGACTAGAACTCGAACTCTGTGCTCTGCCATAAACTATATTGCTATGTCAAGTAATGTTCATAATTGGGACAATGAAAATTTAGTAATGAAAAATTTTATAATGATTTTGATTTCATTCCTTTTTCCCTGCAACCGAATTTAAGTTTCATTAAATGTAAGGTTAGTGCATTCTCCTACTTCGCAAATGGATAATACATAGGATTCTTATTTTCACACCACATCCAGAAATAGTTTCCACATTCTAAACTCTGAAACAGGAAAATGCCTTGGTGTTCATCTTCATCCAGATGAATCAGGTCTTAATTTTAGTTTTCTGGAAAGAAATAGCAGCGTGTACAAATCAAATTTTTTAAATTAATAATTGCAGCAGATTTTCAGGGCTGGCTGATAAGTCATTTTCTGTAGTGGTTGCTAATTGATTATTAACTCTCTAGAATGACTTAAATATGATGCTACCCTAAGACACTGAAAATAGAGCTGATCTACTTGGAGCCTAAGATCTTATGAATTTTCTTTTTTTTTTTTAAGCTTTAAAATTTTTTTTTTGTCAGAGGCTTTTCAGTGTTCTAGTAAAAAAAACCTCTTAGATTTGCAAGATTATAGATTGCCTATAAATATTCTGCAACTAATGCATTTATGTTTTAAGTCCGTAAAGGAACACTTAGTATTGCTATATCTGCAGGTAGTTTGTTGTACATTTATGTTTCTTAATTACTATGTTAGTAAACAGTCTCTCGGGTGCTTTTTCTATGATTGATGAACTTACTTTTTATTTTGATAAAGATGGCTGTTGCATTAGTGCTTAACCTCCATAGTGTAATCATTCTTGCCCCAGACAGATTTTCTTGACCTGAAAACCAAATGTCTCTGTGGTAAATGCATTACATAAAAAAAGACCCTACACTCTGCTTTTTCTTCTTGTAAATCAGTTTTCTTATGTTTCACTTTTATGAGTTTCTAGCTGTGATGTTATTACAATTGATTCAGCAATGGAAGAAATATTTAGTTGGATTTCAAAGGAATATTCTATGCAGTTGTGGTAGAAAGACATTCACTTAAGGTATTGTCTTAGTCCATTCATGTTACTACAACAAAAATGCCATAAACTGGGCAGCTTATAGACAATAAACATTTATCAGAGTTCTAGAGACTCGGAAGTCCAAATCAAGGCATTGAAGGGCACTAATCCCTTCATGAGGCCCTACCTGCTGATGTGATCACCCCAAAGGCCCTACCTCCTAATGCCATCACCTTGGGGATTAGGATTTCAATATATAAATTTTGGGGAGTACAAGTTGTGACACCATAGCAGGTATCTTGAATATATCTTGTAGTCCCAGATTTTCTAATTCTTAAGAATCATCAAATCTGATAAATTTCACACTTTACATGTCTTATGAATGCCCTACAAGTAGATGCAGGGGCTATACTCAGATTAAAAAAAAAGGGTGGATGTCTGCATTTGCTCGTGAGACTAATCTCAGCTGCAGGCAGACTATTTCGGAAAATTGTTAGAATTTCATGGGGTAACTTTTACTCCTTCCCAAGCTAATTATTTTTAATTTCTCTTTCCTTCTACTTTTTGTTTGTTTTCCATGAGTTTTTTTGTTTTATTTTATTTTAATCTGCAGACAATTTGCAGTGATTAGATTTGTTCAAAGTAGACCCAGATTCTTTAAGACTGGTGAATCCTCTCAAATTGAAACAAAACAAAATTACAGACACATACAGAGATGCACACACACATGCATACCCACATAAAAACAAAATATACAGAAAGAAAGTAAACTTTTCTGTTATACTACTATTCTTGGACCTCAAAATGATATTCATAAAAGCTTAAGGCAAAATGAGGGATGAAATCCAGATGAACTGGAACACTTGCTTTATGCCCTAAGAATTTATCTGAAAAGTTGTGGGCATATTGAATTTCACTTTAAAATTTTGGTATTAGAAGAGCTATCATTGAATGAAATTCTGCAGTGCTTCTTTTTGCAAAATGAAACATTCTTTTAGAGGGCAGAAGAGCCTCTTTAACAGATCTCTTTCCAATGAACCTATTTTTTCCTGTAGTCTCTTTGAGCATCAAATTTATAAACTGTAAAATAGATACTAGTTTGTACTTGATAGAGTGGTCAAGAGAATTAAATGAGAATTAGTTTTTTGAGTAATAAAGCCCTACATAAATGTCAGTAGGCTTATGTTTCAGACTGACACCTGTATTATATTAATAAGTCTTCATTTAGTTTGTGTAAAGGGGATGTAAGTTGGTGTCTACTCCTGCTCTGTTACCTGATTTCTAAAGTGTGAGTTTGTATAAATCCTTAAGTACTTTGAACACCAGTTTTTCATTCACGTATTCATTCAGTAAGAAGGTATCAAGTGCCTACAATGTACCAGGATGCCATTGGCTCTGGGGATATAGCAGTGCAAGACAGAAATGCAGCTCATGGAGCTGGCGTTCTGATGGTGAGATGCAAGCACCAAACAAAGGAAATACGTAGGTATGTTAGAAGGTGATAAGTAGTGTGCAAAAAATAAAACTGAAAGGGGATAGAAAATGCGGGGGATTGATTTTTTTAAGTTAATTAAGGTTGTCAGGGAAAGACCTCTCTGAGAAGGTAACTTTTGAGAGAAGACCTGAAAGTGATACAGGCATGAGTCATGTCGAAATGAGAGAGGAACAATTCCAGGTAGAGAGAACGGCAAACAGAAATCTCATGCAGTGAGCGTATGTCTTGGCAAGGAGGCCACTGTGCTGGAGGTAAGTCAATGCGAGAAAGTCACAGAAGCTGAGGCCAAAGGTGGTGAGTGGCAGGCAGAATAGGACTGTGTAGAGCATTTAAGGACTTTGCTTTTTACCCTGAGTAAGAAAATGAGACATTTGAAGATTTTGTGTGATTTAGATTTTAACGGAGTCCTTTGGCTGGAGAATATAAAATACAGGTTATCAGGTTTATCCTTTAAAATCTTTTCTAGCTCTAGGTCCAAGATTCTACATTGTTTGATAGTTTCTCTACCAATTTTCCTCCTATTATTCCGGGCAGAAGAAAATCCTCTTCAGGCTCTTCTTGGTCAACTCCTGGGACCAGCTATTTGACACACTGCAGGAGTTAATTCTCCATGGAAGTGGAGTCAATAAGGCCAATTGAACCTTCACTTTCTCATGGCTTTAAAAAAATAATTTAAAAGAAGATCGCCGTGTTTCAGAAGTACTAAAGAAATGTTGTTAGTATATATGAGGGTTCATGGTGTGTATATAAAGACCATATACTTTTGACCTCAGCACAAGTGAGCAGCTCAGTGCAAGTCAACTCATCTTGTGGACTTATAGGAAGACCCTCTCTCCTGTCCTTCTTCACAAACCTATGAAAGGCCATTCTCTAAATTTTAACAAAAGTCTCTTCCCTTACCAATAGGTGAAAGATTTGTCTCAATGTAATGTAATCCCATGAGATTCCAGAGTGAGGAACATGCTAGTAAATTCCAAAAGACTTTTAAGTTCTTCGAGAATGTTAAAGGAAGAAATTAGCTTCAAGTGTTAAAATTATTTGCAATGCCAGCTTTATAAATTTGTTTTTACATGCTGCCACTCTAAATACCCCAGTACATTGTTATTTGGGCAGTAGATACTTTATTTGTGTGATGACCTGTAGTATGTCAGATTTTAGGAGAGCAAACTCCAGTGTGAAACAGAACAGCTGTTGTTCTGTACATTCCAATGATGGCTGATGCTGTTGATTATTTAAAAAAAGAATAAGATAATTTTGCTTTTATTTATGGCATTATAATTAAGCCAAATTTTCTTTATTTGGATGTAAACTTTCTATATTTAGCAAATATACTGAGTTGGGTAGAGCAATAGAAACCTCAAATTCATTTGTATTCTGACAGAGAGAGAGATAGAGAGAGAACATCAATGTTCTCTGCAATGAATTTTATACTTATAAAATAAAACATTAACTGAAATAACCAACATCATAAAAAAAGATATGGGTGGCAGTTACCGAAGGGCATCTGGATCCTCTGTAAAAGACCTTGAAATTCCCAAGCACTAAGTTTAATAAGGAAAAGATGAGAAGATCATATTGAAATACATAAAATTAACTTGGCAGAATATTCACAATTCATTTTATGCATGTATATAAGACAATCCCCTGTGCATCACAGTGTATTAAAAAGGACATGTGGGTTGGTATTAAGGATTACATTGAGACAAAACACAAGCTAATTGTTATATGGTTAAAGGCACTATTAAAAGTGATAGGGTTTAATAAGGAGTATCATGGCCTGCTGTCCAAATACAGTGACTGTCTATGCTGCCGGCTTAAGGAGATCAGGAGAATACTTCAATGAAACTACTTAATACTTCAATGAGTATTAAGAAATTTATTCACCAGATTAGTTCCCAACTTTACTTCTCTTTAAAAATTTTTTTTTAAAAAAAGTTACACATGCATAATAATAACATGCAATGGGTAATAATTACATCATGGAAAATGAGGTATCCATCTCCTCAAGCATTTATCCTTTGTGTTACAAACAATCCAATTATACTATTTCAGTTATTTTAAAATGTACAGTTAAATTATTATTGACTATAGTCACCCTGTTGTGCTATCAAATACTAGGTCTTATTCATTCTTTCTAACTAATTTTTGGTACCCATTAACCATCTCTGCCTTCCCACCAACCCCCCAAAACATTTCCCAGCCTCTAGTAACCATCCTTCTTGCAGATTTACTTCTGAATCACTCACTTTGAGAGGTTACTTATATATGATTACTAAAAGTCAAGATAATAACCAGATTATTTGGAAGAATCATGAGTATCAAAATGATGACCAAATAGTTGACTTATCTGATCCTTTACTTTCTACATTTTAAATTTTCTTCCACCCAGCCAACTAGCGAATTTGGAGCTGCTTAGACAACCATTCTGCTCTAATACGAATTATTTGTATAGAAAGTTAAGATACCTCAGAAATCCAAGCCTGACTGCTGGATGTCGGGCACACAGCCACTGTGCCACTGTCCATCAAAAGCACACAAAACCAGCAAGAAGCCCCACAGGCTTTGATTTCGAGGTCCTTAGGCAAATGGTCTCAATTTTGAAATTATCTCTTCTTAATAGGAAGTACTCACATAGTGCTATTATATGTCAGGCATTTGAATTTATGTAATCCTCACATCAGTCCTATCTCATGTGTATCAGTTAGCTTTGTGCTGCATAAAAAAGGGCCTTAAAATTTAGTAGCTTCAAACTAACTAGATCATATGCCTAGAAGACAATAGCACTGCATATTATTCACTAGTCTGTGGGTCAGCTGGACAGTTCTGCTTATCCAGCTAGTGTATTTTCTGCCTGCTAATCTTGGCTGAGCTCTGTTATAATTTGTGGGGCCTTGGCTGGGACCAATGGACCGACTCACTGGTTCTGGTCCATGTGATTGCTCATCACCCAGCAACATGTTCCTATGATGGAAACATCATTTTCCTATGGGGAAGGCAGAGTCCTGGGAGAGAGTGGAAGAGAACAATGTCTCTTGAAGCCTGGGCTTGGAGATAATGCATTGTCACTTGCAATGGGTTTTTTTGACCAAAATAGTCGCAAGGCCAGCCTGTAGTCAAGGGAGGGGAAATAGATGGGAGGAACTACAATGGATGTGAATATAGGGAGAAGTAAAGGACTGTGTCCATTTTTAGAATCTACACAAGTGGGCACAATTATTTTCATTTTGAAGATGAGGGAACTGAGATACAGAGTTTAAATGACACAGTTTATATAGATTCTAAATGTCCAAATCAGAATTCAGACACCCAGGGAGAGACAGACTCCAGAATCCATGTTGTTTATCAATATGCTAAATATTTATTTTGTGTGTGTATTTCCTAGATGTCACTGCTACACGTGTTGAGAAAGAAGATCATGCTCCTTGAATCCTTTCTTGTGCAAGACCTTTGATTCCCTCGGTACCATCCGTTCTATCCCATTCCCTGGACCAAATGTTTGCAATATATAACACTTCTTTAAACTTTAGTATTTTCTCCTGGTCTTTACAGTTACCTAAAAAAAAAAATTAAGTTTTAAAGTTTTAAAAAGTGGTACATATGAATGTGTTTTTGTCTTTAGAATGCAAATAGCTGAGAATAGAAACTATATTTTATTTAATAGTTATGTTTTTAGCAAGTTGTAAAATATTTTTCAAAATTCCCAAACAAGCTCTTTCTTCTACTAGCAGGTAAATTCCATTAAGATAGGGACCTAAACTCCAGGCTATAGTTGTTTCCGCAACTGGTAGCAAATGGGAAGTATTCAGTAAGTATGGATTAAATGGAGGACTGAAGGAAGCCACAATTTCAATTAGTAGTAGTAAATATATTTAATCATTGATTTTTATCAAGTAGGTTATACTAACATTATATTCTTTAGTTTTCAAAATAACTTTCTATGTTTTTGTGTATTCAGTGCCATTTTTTCTCATTATGTCTTTGTATTTTATGTATATATATATATGTTTGCGTGTGGTACTATAATACTATATCCAGATTTTAAAGACTTTTTTTTTTGTAAAGGTTGAATTCGTTTCCTCTATAATTTCATACTATGACTCCCTGTCAACCTGAAAACATGGTAGTGTTTTGAGACTATGGAAACTTTCAGCCCATGTGGGGCCTTGAGAAAGTTGGAGCTCACAGCCCATCCCTTCCATTGCTCTGTTGCTCGTTTGAAATCTAATCCTTGGGCTCAACTAAGTACTCTGTATTATGAGTGTTGAAAACTCCTTGAAGTTCCTTTTTGGAAACTCTTCTCAGTTACCTGGTGGGTTGTTTGCAGTGCTTTTTTCACTTTACCAATGGGAATTAAGACACAGACTGGGTAAGCAGCTTGTCAAATTCAAAATCAAGGCCAAAGGATTAGGTAGCCTAGATAAGAACTGAAGGAACTCATTTTATAGCTCCCTGTTCAAGAGCCTAAGAAATGTAGTTTGTAAGGAAAGCATAATATGGAGAACAAATACCACCTCTCTTAATCATGAATTGTGTGTGTTTGTACGAAGTTTTTTGATTAGAACATACTAAAGGGTTGGTATGTTGTTAGTTTGTAGAATCGACAGTGGATTCACATGATTATTAATAGGAGAAATATTTCATGATTAATCTCGTTAGCATGTATAATTGCTATCAGGAGAAAGATCATATGCCTAGAAGACAAAGAGCAAAATAAACTTATATTGATTTCTTCCTCTAGAGATTAGAACACAAGTCATCAGAATGCACGAGTAGAGCCCCAAGTTAGAATGCTGCCTAAGTATGGGTTCTTCCTTTGTGATAAACCCCATTTTAACCCAGAATCACAGCAATTGGTCTCAGGATGTTTTCCATGAATATATTTTATTACAGTGATATTGTTTGTCAATGAAGATTCTGAGGTTTTATCCATTGAGAAGTAGAAATCCTGAGTAACCGGCTTAAAAGTCTGTGGTCTTTACAACACATGAAATTGCGTTCTTCTCTGACCATTATTTTAATGATTTTTATATAATTACATCTTTATATAGTTAATACTATGTGTTCATACAGTTGCTTATGTATTTTGCCCTTTTTTTTGGTCTTCACAGTAAGAAAAGAAGCTGCTTTAGAGTGAGGGCTTCAGACCTTTCATCATCCTGGCTCTGGTCCATCCATCCTTTCTCTGATCTGTAGCTCAGGAATGGGGTGAAGTAGACATGCCCCAGATGCATGTCACTGCCAGGCAGGTCCTTGGATGGGAAAGTACAAGATGTACTCACAGAAAGGTGAGAAAAGGCACACGTGGTGGGAGCAACTTCTGCTAAAAACTTAACTGACTTAGAATCATTTTCTTTTTTTAAACTATAATTCTATGTATCACATTAGTAAAGGCCTCATAGAAGGGAGTGAAGTATGTCTGAAGAACAGTTGACTGCTGCTTATATATAAAAGAAATGAAATTTAAATACAACAACAACAACAACACACACACACATCTGTGACAGTCTGTTATATTGTGGTCTGTGGTTGATAAGGGCTTTTATCTTGACTAGCAGGAGAGAGTGCAATATGGAGCACTCTACAGATCAGCAGTTCTCTATCATTTTTCAATTTGTGATTATCAAACTGCCTGACTGAGAGGCAGGATAACTAGTATCATCTTTCCCAGACTTATAAGAAGAATTACCTGGAGGCCTCATTAAACATACAAATTCCCAGCTCCACCCAGATCCTGGTAAATGAGAGCCTCCAGGGAAGGACTGTGGATATTCATATTTTTAGTAAGTTTGAAGGTAATTGTGTTAGCTGATGGTTTTGAGGATTTATAATTCAACTTTGCCATTGTCTGTGTTGAGATGACATGTTATTTCACCATGTCTAAACATGCTTACTTTTCTGTAAAAGCAAGGTGATGATAGTATCTCCTTCTGGGTACTATTGTGAACATTAAATGACAAAATGTGTGCAAAACAATTATCATGGTGCTTGGCGGAAATGCTGGATTTGCATCAGCTACTTCTGTACCTGCTACTGTTGTTGTCATTTTACCTAGTGAACGCTGATGCTCTGGGTCCTCCTAATTGGAGGAAATAATACATATAAATGATATAGAGAAGTTTCAAGGGAAAATAAGATAAAGGAAAGGAAACTCTGACAGGTTGGGAAAGGGCTGAGGCAGTCTAGGTTAGAGAGATGGGCTAGATTGATCCTATGTAGAGAGAGGACCTAAATAGATCCTAGGCAACAGAACAATCAATTCTGTTCACATACATGCTCCAAGTTTTTGTTTTGCCTTCCCGCTTACTCCCCTTATGGGAATAAGGGACTTGGCTCATTTGCCTTGATAAAAAATGTTTTTGTAGGAACTAAGACATGATGCGGTTTAACTGGTCAATAATATTATTTTCATTTTCTAAAATTTTCATTTTGGATGTGCTGATAAAGACGATGTTATTGCTTTGCATGAACAGGGCCATCAGAAAGGCAAATATGTGTAGTTCTCATAACATCAAATTTATTCATTTACTATTTATTGAGCACTAACTCTGTGGTAGGCACTGTTTTAAACACAAAGGATATATCAGTGAGTACAAGAGTAGGAGAGGGAAACGCTCCTGTCCTCATGGAGTTTTTATTCTTGTGTGTATGTAAATACATACAGAAGTAAGTTATGTAATGATGATGAGAAAAACAAGTGAGTGTGTGTGTATGTAAATACATACATAAGTAAATTATGTAATGATAATGAAAAAAACAAGCCAGACAGGAGGAATGGGAGTATAGGTTGTGTGTGTGTGCTGGAGGGAAGGACAGACAAAATGAAGCCAGGATTATGTAGGGCCCAGGTAAAGACTTTAACTATGACTTCAAGTTATATAGGAATTTTATAAAACATTTTGAACTAATAATATTTTCAGAGAATCTCTCTGGCTTCTGGACAATGAATTCCAGGGAGGCAAAGTCCCTCTTCAGGTAGGAGACTATTATAATAAACTAAGAGAGAGCTGATGACAGCCTGGGCTAGGGTAGTAGCAGTAGAGAAGATGAAGAGTGATCAGATTCTGGATATACTTTATGGGTAGAGACAACAGAACTTGTTAGATAGATTGGAATTGGGGATTGACAGAAAGATAAGAATCAAGAAGAACTCAATCTAAGCAACTGAAAGTTAGGAGTTGCCATCCCTCTGAGATGGAATAAAGTATAGACAGGCAAGTTTTTATGGGTAAAGTAGCAGTTAGATTTTAGGCCTAAGTCAGACGTCTTAGCCATCAATGTGGAGATGTTGAGAATGAGAAGCAGGCAGTTGTATATGTGAAGGTCTGAAATTCAGGGGAGGGATTTGAGCCAGAGACATAAATTTAATGCCAAGACCAAATGGGATCACCAATAGAACGTATAGGAGACTGGACCATGGAAAGAGTTCTGGGACTTGGAACATATATATAAGAGGGTAAGGAGATGAGAAAAAAAACATCTCAGAAGACTGAGAGGAGCAGCCAATGAGCTGGAGGAAAACGAGAACAGTGTGTGTCCTGCAGGTCAAGGGAAGACATTATGTCAAGAAGAGAGTGATCAACTGTGTCAAATGGTACTGAGAACAAGATGTGTATTTTATTCACCACTGGATTTAGCAAAGTGACAATCATTGGTGAAAACCATGAGAGCAATTTAAGTGGACTAGTGCTATAAATAGCAGGATTAGTGTAGATTCAGGAGAGAATGAGAGTGGTGAAATGAGAGAGAAAATGAATGTGTGTTGCAGGAGGCAGGGGGATCTTACTTTTGAGAACTTCTCTAACACACACCCAAACATTCATACTCTTCTGCAATCTCAGTTTCTATACCCCAGTCAATGAAGCAAAGGCCCAAGACTTTAGACAAACCAGACTACTGACAGCTCCCCAAAGCCCCATGGTTCTTAATGCATCTAGCCACAGATAAGATTTTTTTTGCTTTCATTTTTCATGTTAGAAAGGAAGGAGGAAAGGAGGGAGGGAAAGAAGGAAAAAACAAAGGAGGGAAGTAAGGAAGGAAGGAAGATAGGAAAGAAAGAAGATAGGAAGGAAGGAAGAAGAAAGAGAAATAATAACTATATATTTTTGGCAAATTTCTTTTTCACCTACTTCCTTCCTTAATCTCATTTAATGTTTATAACAGTCCTTTGAAATGGGTATTATTTCTTCTTTCCAGATGGGGAAACTGAAATTAGAGAGATTAAATAGTCTGTTCAAGATCTCAGAGCTCATAAGAGACTGAATCACTTCAAACTGAGATCTAGCAGACCTCAAAATACCAATTTTACAGATTTATCTGAAATAGGAAATTCTTGATAAGCCCATAGTTTGACTGAGCCTTGGAAACATGGCTTCAGGCCCTTTCTCATTTGCCTGGAAGATCTCATCACCTATTTGGCAACTCATTTCAATCATATGTGATTATTAAGTTCTCTTTGTTCCCTTTATGGTAAACATCCATTTCTCATATTTATATAGAACTTCAGAGTGAAATGTATTTTGCTATAAAATTGGCCATGATAATTATTCAAGAAAAAATAAATAATCTTATGTAGAATGCTATCTAAAGTTGTGTTAAATTTACTGGATGTATCAATAGATAGAAATAAGCCATTTTCTGAGACCCAGAAGGAGTCATGTAATTTTACCCTTAAGATGAGGTTAACAGAAGAGCTTCAGTCTGCACAAACATTTTTAATATACATGGGTCAGAAACTGCAACAGGTTGCGGCTGACAAAGGGCTCCTGGGACAAACATAACCTGTGTTTATATTTGTAAATGCTTAGATCTCCTCTTAGCTTAGCTTTGGGTTTCTTGACTCCTTCCATTTGGTATATCTTGTTTATTCATACTAAATGGCAAAGTGTTAGAAAAGTGAATTCCTCTGCCATATTTGGTTCCTTGAACCTCAAAGCTTCTTAGAGAAATGCTGATTCTGCTTTCTCAGGAGGAATAATTTTCCCAGCAGTATTTCCACCAACTTCTTCCTGGATAAAGAAAGATTTTTAGGGTTCTCCTTGAAATAAAAATGACTTGAACCAAAATTGATTGAATAGATTAGGGGAGTACAGGTATATCTTAACAATCAAACAGATATGTTAGCTACCAGTTCTTTACAAATGGTGTGGAAAAGAAAAAATGGCTGTGAAAAGTTAGGCTGTGAAAAGTTAGGTAGCTGAGCTAACAAAAGATAAATGCTCTGGAACACACGTGGTTCTTCATAGTCAAATAATCAGAGCCATTTAGACATGTTGTCTTTGGAAAATAAAGAAACACTCAACTAAAAATATGATCAACAAATATTTCTTGAGTATACACCAACCAAATAATAAGTTAGATGAGTTTCCTCATAGAATTCCCAGCCTAGTGGAGGAGATAAACTGGGTGATAACATAAAAGTCATAATTCCTCCCATGCGATCTTACAAAGTGATTATCTCCACCAATCTCACTCCTAAAGTCCAAGATGCTCCTGTTTAATAGTGTCATTACCAACATGAGATATGCTTTGAAGAAGGAAAGGCAAAATAAAATCATATTTACAGTTTCTTTTACCAAAATGGAAATCAGCTTGAAAGAGTTCAGTAAAACTAAACATGAAATTGAAAGTTATAGTTAATCCATAAATTTGGTAACTGAGAGGATAACAGTAGAGTAAGGAACATGGAAAGAGTATGCAAAAGTTGAATTAAGTAGACTTATTTATAGAACATTTGTGTAAAATAGAAATAAATTGTTCTTATCAGAGAGGGGAAAAAAATTCTTACCGTTGAAAGTCAGATCCATGACTCAATTTTTGTAGGTTTTTATTTCCCCTCTCAATCAGTTTTTTCCTTTCATTGTCTCCCTGAGGTTTGCTAAAAAGGTCATCCAAGACATATGGTTTTCTTTTCTTATTTCTTCCCTCATTTGGGGATGTTCACAACTAGGTTTATTGGGCAATATTCACTTATTCATAACCTACTAATCTTTCCTTTGTGGTATCCTCTTCCTTCAGAGGATTCATGATATTTTTATAAAGTTTAAAACACCATTTTTTTCCTAGACTCCTGAAAGAAATATTGTCAAAAAATAGGGGTTATTAGTAAAATAATTAATTACTTTTTCACCAAAGGTTCCATCCTATATTACCCAAGAATATATTTCACGTATTTTATGGTTAGACGATCATAGTCCTGATCACTATATCTTAAGTATTGACAAGTTTTTCTTATTCAAATAGACATTTACTTCCTCGTGATAATTGTTTTAAAGATGACTTCCTCCTTCACATTTGTAAAGAATGATTATCTAAATGTCATCTGTTTAGTAGTGCTAATATTATATTTTAGTGCTTCTTTTGAATGCTTAGCCTTTAGTATTTTATAAGCTGAAGACGGCTCTTATGCAATTGTTTTTACCTGTTAAGTCACTATTTCCACATTAATAATAGGGTAAAGATATCAGGCTTCAGTTTAGATTATGAAAGTTCCTAATGTCTTTTCCACATTGACTTCAAGCAAGGAGAAGACTTCCTCTCTTGTTTTCATGGGAATTTTATGAATTCCAATATGTATATTTTTCCAGCTGTAGTATTTTATTTGCAATTGGAAATTACCAGTTAAGATACCACTTTTCTTATGAAAAACTGTTGAATACCAAGTCCTAGCAGTCAAAGCTGATTTCAGCTACTCTAGTGGTATCATTTTTTTCATGTATAACTTAGAATTTTTAAAAATTCTCTTCAGTTATTTACATTGACACTTCAGGGTCAGGGAAACATTAGGTTATGTTTTTTTTTCTCATATTAACTACCTTTTTGTAAGTATAATTACCTTTTTTGTTATATGGCCTTAAGTAGATGAGTAAGACAAATGAAAACTCTTGACTAATATTATTAAAATGAAGCCATTTAATTTGATACCTGTCTTAGATTGCAAGTGAGATTCCTTGATTCAAAATGTTTTTGTGTCCAGAAAATACTCACTGGTAATTCATTATAGCAGCAAGTCTTTATCTTTGCTTCATCTCAGGAAAATTATTTCCCTATTATGCATTTGACAGACTAGCTCAAACTGACATGCAGGATGAAATGAAAGGTTGTGATGCTCACATGGATTTTTGGGGTCATGTGAGTTTATATTACTTCATGCTTACATTTTTATAAATTTTTGAAGGTGAGCCTGTATTTCTCAGATTTAAATGTTTGTCATGTTTCTCTCTCACATCCTTAGATATCTCCATTTGAAAAGTAGCACGTTACAGGTATCATGGAACAATAAGCTAAAAATAGGTATAGCTTTTTCTCAAACAACACCTTATTTTAGTTGTTGTTGAGGAATTTCTTTTTGTTTCCAAAAGAGGAGACAGTGTTTTTTTTAGTGGGGTGGGGCATGCTTAAGTAGGAGTCAGAATATTGGTATGGGTCAGCTCTGCCACTAATTAGTTAAGAGGGTCACACCACCTAATCCCTGAGCTCAAGTTCTTTGTCTGTAGAGTATGAGGCAGGATGAATGAATTCTGAAGTTTTTAGTGGGGTGGGAAATGACCTTCTTTTCTCTACCTTTATGTACGGTTATTCATTTATATGTTTTTTTCACTGACTTTGTGGTCAATAAAGTCTATTAGAGAAGCTTCCTGGAAATTAGGAGGGTTAGAGTATCTGCCACTCCAGAGAACCAAATTTTGAAATTCTCCCTATTCTGAGCATCCTCTTCTTTGAAGGAACCAATCAAAAAGTTCCAGGGACAGCTATTAGATTGTAAGCCAGCTTGCAGGAGTTTATGATAGACATTCCAATCTTCAACACTGGAAAGGAATAGCCTTTATGAATGTTTAGCAATAGCAATTTAATTGCACCCCAAAGGAAGTTGCATTTAGCATCTATACGCAATGACACGATGCTGACTGAAATGGAATTTTACTGTCTCATCACTTTAGTTTAATATAGTTTGTTTTCCCTGCCATGTCTTCTTATTTCAAGCTTCAAAATAAGGTGGGTAGACAGTTCTATAGGCAGTTTTCAATCATGTTGTCTAGGCCATCCATTTTCCATTTAACAGAGAACAGTTCATAGTACCACACATAGAATAGGCCACTATTAACTGTGCTTTCATTTAACTCTAAGATGTGAAGAGCCATGATGACTTCCTGAAGGGACATAGTGAGTCAGTGGCTCAGATAGAAGAGGCTCCCGGATGTCAGTGTTAGGTCATGAAGATGTCACTCTCTCTTAAGAAAAAGTTTTCATTTATTCTACAGAAACATCAAATGCACTTCTTTCTTTGTATGTCATGAAACAGTGAACTTTTTTTTAATCCATCTTTCTTAGTACATGGGTCACTTTAATGATGAGAGATTTTGCTTATTGTTCCATACCTATAACATGCTACTTTTCAAATGGAGATATCTAAGGATGTGAGAGAGAAACATAACAAACATTTAAATCTGAGAACTACAGGCTCCAATTCAAAAATTCACAAAAATGTAAGCGTGAAGTAATATGAACTCTTAAGAGTAGTCATAAGGAAAAGTTACATGGTTTTGTAACTTATATAGCTATAAAAGATTGATAATTTTGTGCCTCTGGTTACATGTCTGAGATACTGCAGGAATTAAATAACTGGTTTTTCTATTATGACAATTAGAAGAAAGGCATTAAGTTTGCATTTAGAAGTACTATTCTAATTATTCTACAGAGTTAATTTCAGGAGTATTTTACCAGGAATATATTAGTGTTTCAAAAGTTGTGAAGATAACTAAAAGAGGGAATTTACTCTCCTACTATTTTAATTTTGGCTCTGATTTTTCCTTATTTATATAACCACATCTCCTCCCTCAGATGAAACTGAAATATTGGATAGAAGAAGAATAAGTTATGTAAGGTCATAATAGAATTTACTGCAAAAAATTCTTTACTTTCCAACTTTAATTAAGGATGTTGTATAGTTTTAAGCTTATCAGGTATTAATATGGAGGTTTAAAAAATGTCTTGAGGAATATCCAGTCCAAAATGAAAATAATATTCTAAAACTCAGATCAGTTTTAGAAGTATGTATCACTCCTTGTTATTTGGAGATTTCGAGCCTTCCCTTATGCTGTCCTTGGCTTTACATCTCCCTGGTAAGCATCTCCTGAAAATCTGCTTGTGTCATTTCTGCTTCAAACATTATTATCAAAAAAACAGGTTTAGAGTCTGCAATTGCAGGTGATTATGTTTATAGAGTTGGGAGATTAGTGTAATAATCTAAAAAACAGCACATTTTGTGTATATGCATAGATTCTAACTTCCGTAGTGAATGGATTTTTATGCTCCTAGACTGTTATGTTACTGTCGTCAGACTCCAGTCACCCATTGATAATGACAATTGCATTGATTGCCTCAGCATCAGCTGGCCTCCTGTGACTAAACGTCTTCACATAGCAGACAGTTCATTCAAAAAATTGGACCTAGAATTGCTGATATGCCTTTCTCTTTCAATGCCCAAAGTCCCCTTAAATTTTTGACTGAAATGTTGTATTGAGATAGAGAAATGGATCTTTATTCCAGATGTTTAAACAGTCTTTTTAGGCCTTCATAGGGTTTTTCATAGACATTTATTGTTACTTTTATAAGTGCCATTTAGGCTGCTTATGATTGAGAATGTAAATTCTCCCAGCCCAAATTTAAGACCAAATATAAGGACTTTTATTGAAGAATTATTGATTCTTCTTGTTTCTGTCTCCAGCCCACTTCTCTGCCACCTCAAAATAGTTTTTATTTCAGAGAGTTAATCGTGAAATGTATTAATCATGAATTGAATCAAGCCATGTGATCTCCATGCTGATATGAAGGAGTATAAAAAGCCTATCGAACACAGTATTAAGTCAATCAAGGGACAGGGTAATAAAGTGTGTAAGAGGTGAAGCTGGAGAGTAAGACAAATGTGCGTTGGACTGAGTTGCAAATTGGTCACTTTTTAGTTGTGTGATCTTGATTAAGGTATTTCATTCCTTCAAGTCCATTTACCACACCTTTAAAATAGTGTTGATAATAATACCTCATCAGTAGAATTTGTGTTTATAAAGACTTAAGTTTTTTAGAGAAATTTTAGGTTCACAGCAAAATTGAAAGGAAGATACAGAGATTTCCCGTATACACCCAGCCTCCACACATGCACAGCCTCCTCTACTATCAACATCCCCCACCTCAGTGGTATGTTTGTTATAACTGATGAACCTTCATTGATACATCATTACTCAAAGTCTATACTTTATGTTAGAGTTCGCTCTTGATATTGTACATTCTATGGCTTTGGACAAATATATAATCACATACATACATCATTACAGTATCATACAGAATATTTTCACTACCCTAAAAATCCTCTCTGTTCTGCCTGTTCATGCCTCCCTCACTTCAACTCCTGGCAATCACTGATCTTTTTACTATCTGTGTAGTTTTTCCTCTTCCAGAAAGTCATGTACATGGAATTATGCAGTATGTAGCCTTTTCAGATTTGCTTATTTCATTTAGTAATATGCATTCAAGTTTCTTTCATGGCGTTTCATGGCTTGATAACTCTTTTTTTTTTTTTTTTTGGTGTTGAAGTCCATTGTCTGGATGTGCCACAGCTTATTTATCCATTCTGTTTCTGAAGAAAATCTTGGTTGCCTCCAAGTTTTGGCAATTATTAATAAAGCTGTTTGAATTTCATTTGAGTAAATACCAAGGAGCATGATTGCTGGATAATATGATAAGAGTTTGTTTTGTAACAAGATGCCAAACTGCCTTCCAAAGTGCCCGTACCATTTTGCATTCCTACCAGAAATAAACAGAGTTCCTATTGCTCCACATCTGGTATTGCCAGTTTAATGGAATTTGGCCCTCCAAAGATGTGCTTTGTAGTGTTTCTGTCATGACCAAATGACATATTTTTAAAAGGCACTTATCATAGTACTTGACACATTCTAAATATATTATTGTTGTTACCTGTTCTTATTCTATTATGCCAGTCAGTGAAAAAAAATCAGTCAAAATAGATTGTTAGACTTTTGTTTCTGGCCATTATGCACTTAGGAAAACAGACTTACCTTCCTTCCATAAACAACTGGAAACTAGGTAATGTGCTTGAAATGACTGTTGTTAAGTGTTGGACCACAGGCAGTGTAAGACTGCAATTCCTGAGAAGGAAACAGATGGAATAAATGCTACCCAACAATAACCTGGAAGCACATTCCTGGAATGAGGTTTAGGATTTCTGCCTGGAAGTACATTCTGGAATGAGGTTTAGGAAGGGGTTCCCAAGCAAGGCAGGTTGGTCTTAACTGAGTTGAGGAGACAGATATCAGAATTCAAGGAGGCTACATTAGTTGGCTGTTGCAAAGCAGAGTTCTGAACAGAAGAGAGCTAAGGAAAAAAAAAAAAAGCTTTGGAAATCTGCATAGGAGTTCACTTGAGCCTTTGCTGCATCCTAAGTTCACATATACTTCACAAGGTCAGGAAAAAAAAAAAACATGAGGGAGCTATAAGCTGAAGATAGCATGGAGATGTTTGAGCTATGCTTAGCCAGAATGGAGAGTCCTTTTGATCACTGAGAAATCATGGACAAACTCAGAATGGTCATGCCTTAGTAGTAGGGTTAAACTACACCTAGAATAAATAGAATAAATATTACTGTTACACAAAATAAAAGCATATCTTTTCATTTAAAAAATTTTATTTTACTTAATTTTTAAAAATTTAACTTTTATTTTAAGTTCAGGGTTTGCTCGTGCAGGTTTGTTATACAGGTAAACGTGTGTCTTGGGAGTTTGTTGTACAGATTATTTTATCACCTATGTATTAAGCCTAGTACCCATTAGTTATTTTTTCCTAATCCTCTCCCTCCTCCCACCTTCCACTCTCAGATAGGCTCCAGTGTGTGTTGTTCCCCTCTATGTGTCCATGTGTTCTGATCATTTAGCTCATACTCATAAGTGAGAATATGTGGTGTTTGGTTTTCTGTTCCTGTGTCAGTTTGCTAAGAATAATCGCCTCTAGCTCCATTCATCTTCCTGCAAAGGACATGATCTCATTCTTTTTTATGGCTGCATAGTATTCCATGGTGTACATGTACCACATTTTCTTTATCCAGTCTATAATTGATGGACATCTAGATTGATTCCATGTCTTTGCTATTGTGAATGGTGCTATAGTCAACATACGCGTGCATGTGTCTTGATAATAGAACAATTTATATTCCTTTGGGTATATATCCAGTAACCGGATTGCTAGATTTAATGGTATTTCTGTTTTTAGGTCTTTGAGATATTCCCACACTGTCTTCCACAATGGTTGACCTAATTTACACTCCTACCAACAGTGAGTAATCACTCCTTTATCTCTACAACCTCTGTGGCATCTGTTATTTTTTGACTTTTTAGTGATAGCCATTCCGACTGGTGTAAGATGTATCTCATTGTCGTTTTGATTTGAATTTTCTTTCTTTAAAATTTTTTTTTATTATACTTTAAGTTCTGTGGTACATGTGCAGAATGTGCAGGTTTGTTACATAGGTACACATGTCCCTTAGTGGTTTGCTGCACTCATCAACCCATTATCTACATTAGGTATTTCTCCTAATGCTATCCCTCCCCTATCTTCCCACCCCTCAACAAGCTGCAGTGTGTGATGTCCCCCTCCCTGTGTCCATGTGTTCTCATTGTTCAACTCCCACTTATGAGTGAGAACATGTGGTGTTTGGTTTTCTGTTCTTGTGTTAGTTTGCTGTGAATGACGGTTAGATACTGGATATTAGACCTTTTTTGCATGCATAGTTTGCAAAAATTTTCTCCCATTCTGTCGGTTGTCTGTTCACTCTTTTGACAGTTTCCTTTGCTATGCAGAAGCTCTTTAATTTTTCAATTTTTGCTTTTGTTGCAATTGCTTTTGGTGTCTTTGTCATGATATCTTTGCCCTTTCCTATGTCCTAAATGGTATTGCCTAGGTTGTCTTCTATCATTTTTGTAGTTTTGGGTTTTAAATTTGTCTTTAATCCATCTTGAGTTAATTTTTTATATGGTATAATCAATTCAATCTTCTTCACATGGCTAGACAGTTTTCCCAGCACCATTTGGTGAATAGGAAATCTTTTCCCCATTGCTTGTTATTGTCAGGTTTGTCAAGTACTAGATAGTTGTAGATGTGCAGCCTTATTCCTGGGTTCTTTTCCTGTTCCATTGTTCTGTGTATCTGTTTCGTACCCGTACCATGCTGTTTTTGTTACTGTAGCCCTGTAGTATTGTTTGAAGTTAGATAGTGTGACACCTCCAGCTTTGTTCTTTTTGCTTATAATTGCCTTGGCTACTTGTGCTCTTTTTTGGTTCCATATGGACTTTAAAATATTTTTTTCTAGTTCGGTGAAGAATGTCAATGGTAGTTTAATGGGAATAGCATTGAATCTATAAATTGCTTTGGGCAGTTATTTTAAGGGGCACAAGAGCAGTTTTTTTACATGGATATACTGTGTAAGTGAAGTCTGGGCTTTTAGTGTATCCATCACCTGAATAATGTACTTTGTACACATTAAGTAATTTCTCATGCTTCTCTCCCTCCTATCCTCCCACCTTTCCGAGTCTCCAATGTCTATTATTCCACTTTCTATGTTGATTATTTCACTGTCTATGTCTATATTATTTAGCTCCCACTTATAAATGAGAACATGCAGTATTTGACTTTCTGTTCCTGAGTTGTTTCACTTAAGATAATGGTCTCCAGTTTCATTCATGTTGCCCCATTAAAGGCGGGCAAATGACATGAATAGATATTTTTCAAAAGAAGACATATGAATGGCTAAAAAGCATATGAAAGAAAATGCTCAACATCATTAAGTACCAAAGAAATGCAATGAGGATTTCTCAGAGAACTAAAAATAGCACTACCATTTGACCCAGGAATCCCACTACTGGGTATCTACCCAAAGGAAAAGAAATCATATCAGAAAAAGATCTGCACTTGTATGTTTATCACAACACTATTTACAATAGCAAAGACAGAGAATCAACCTAAGTGTTTATTAACAGATGATTGTATAAAGAAAAATGTGAGATATATATATATATATATATACACACACCCACACACATATATATACACACATATATATACCTATATATACACACACATATATACATATATATATATACACATATATCACAGGATACTACTCAGCCATAAAAGTGAATGAAGTCATGCCTTTTGCAGCAACATGAATGGAATTGGAGGCCATTATTAAGTGAAAGAACTCAGAAACTGAAAGACAAACAGCACATGTTCTTCCTTATAATTGGGAGCTAAATAATGTGTACACATTGACATAGAAGGTGGAATAAGATATTGGAGACTTGGAAAGGTGGAAGGGTGGGAGGGGTCAAGGGATGAGAAATTACTTAATGGGTACAATGTATACTTCTTGGGTGATGGATATACTAAAATCTCAGATTTCACCATTATGCAATATATCAGTATAACAAAACTGCACTTGTACTCCTTAAATTTATAAAAAATATCTAAACATTGAAAAGTTACAGTAAGTATATAGTATTGTAATCTTACAGGGCCACAGTCATATATGTAGTCTGCTTTTGACCAAAATTAGGCAGTGCATGACTATACTGGCAAAAGGATAGACAGAGAAACAGAACTGAATAGAGTCTAGAAATAGACCTACACACATAAAATCAGTTAATTTTCAATAAAGAAGCCAAAGTAATTGAATAGGGAATGCCAAAATAATTGAATATCCATATAAAACATGTTAAGTCTTATATGATTACGATATGCATTTATCATATACATAAATTTACTCATAGATCTAAAGGTATAAAACTTGTTGAAGAAATTATATGGGGAAATCATCACCAAACTGTGACAGTAATGATTATCCAAAAAAGATGAACCAGAAAATAATTGGTAAATTAAACTTCATAAAAATTATAAACTTGCTGTTATAAAGATATCATTAAGAAAATAAAAGTCAAGTTATAAAATAGGTGAAAATATTCATAACACATATGTTTGACAAAACTTGTATCTAGGATGTGTAAAGAACTGTTACAACTCAGTAATAAGACAAATAGTCCAATCAAAAGTGGCAAAAGATTTGAGCAGACACTTCAAAAAAGAAGATATTTGAGTGGTCCATTAGCACATGAAAAGCTGTTAGGAAAATTCAAATTCAAATTATAAGATACCACTACACATCTACTAGAATGACTAAAATTAAAAAGACTGACAATACCATACCAAGTGCTGGTAAAAAGGTAGAGAAAGTGGAACTCATTGCTTGACGGAATATAAAATGGAATAACCATTTTGGAAAATAGTTTGGTAGTTTCTTATAAAATTAAACATTACACTTTAGCATAAAAATCAGCAATTATCCTCAATATTTATCCTTAGGGAATAAAAATTATATATCCACACAAAACTTTAAGTACATAATTATAGCAACTTTATTCATAGTAGTCCAAACTGGGAACAATATGTATGTCTCATCAACTGGTGAAAGGATTTTTAAAATTGTGGCAGAGACGTTTGAACCAGGGAGACTCTATCTTGAGTAGGGTCTGGGTAAAATAAGGATGAGAACTAATGGGCTGCATTCTCAGGAGGTTAGGCATTCTTAGTCACAGGAGGTCTGCACAAGATAGGGGTCACAATGATTCTCCTGATAAAACAGCATGCGGTAAAGAAGCCAGCCAAAATCCACCAAACAAAAGGTAGCTATGAAAGTGACCTCTGACTGCCCTCACTGCTCATTATATGCCAATTATAATGCATTAGCATGCTAAAAGACATTCCTGCCAGCACCGTGACAGTTTACAAATGCCATGGCAACATCTGGAAGTTACCCTATATAGTCTAAAAAGGGTAGGGAACGCTCAGTTCCAAGAAATCCCTTCCTCTTTTCTAGGAAACCATGAATAATCCACCCCTTGTTTAGCATATCATCAAGAAATAAGTATAAGTATACTCAATCTAGTGGCTCATGCTGCTACTCTGCCTATGGGTAGCCATTCTTTTATTTTTTTACTTTCTTAATAAACTTACTTTCTCTTTATGGATTCACCTCGAATTCTTTTTTGTGTGAGGTCCAAGAACCCTTTCTTGGGTCTGGATCAGGACCCCTTTCCGGGAACAGTATCTCCTATGATAGAAGGCTGTTCCTCAATAAAAAGGGAGAAACTACTGATTCTCACAGCATCATGGATGAATCTCAAAGGCATTATGTTGAGCAGAAGCCGAAGAATACATGCTCAGTTATGTGAAACTCTAGAAGGAACAAACCTAATCTGGAAAGAAGCAGATCACTGGTGGCCTGAGGCTTCAGTTGGTGAGGCTGTGTACAAGGGGGCATCAGAAGCTTTTGAGGAGTGGTGGCAATGTTTTGTATCTTGATTTATAGTGCAATATTGGTTACACAAATGTATCCATTTATCAAAACTCATCAGTTTGTCTATCCATTTTATCCATCTGAAATGAAGTTTTTTATTTTATGTAAATTAACCTCAATAAAGTTAATTACTAGAGAAAAACCAAAAAGCAAAATCATGTGAGCATTTGACTAAACTTTAACCTGCAGGCTAATTCGTTAGGATTAATGAAAAGTAGAAACTGTTTGGAATCTTAAAACTTTATAATATGCTTTCACTTAATCCCCATACTAAACCATAATTGTATATTTTATTTTTCTTATTTTATTAATAAATAAATCCTTGCTAAGCATAAGTAAATTGCCCAGTCTTCCACAATTATTAAGGTTTGAAACATCCGTCTTCTTTGTTCTTCCTACTGCTGTAATGTTAGCCTTCTGACCCATTCCTGGAAGGGAGAACAGAGGACTGTACAGTATGAACTAATTTTAAAAGTCATCCCCACTCCTCCTTGAGAGAAATCTATGGCTTTTGAAGGCCTGAACATTCTGCTTCTAATTTTAGATAAAGCAGACAAAGAGGGGTAAGAAAGAACATGTAGGTGAGGTAGCAACATAATAGGAAGAGACCCAAAAGAAGGGCCTTTGAGGTTCCTCCTTAAATTAGGGTGTTATGATTTAAGAAAACACTAATAACATTATTTGTCCTTGGGACTTAATTAAAATCTCAAGTAACTTTTACTTAGGAAGATGTCAGAGAAGAATAATTTTGGAAATGCCTTTATGGTTGAAGAGAAAGTAACATTAATTCTCTAATATTTATTTAACCAAGTGTTTATTTGGTGCCTCCTGATAGATCTTCTTTTTAAAGTTGAATATATAGTTGGATTGGAAGAAATATGATAATATTTTATTAGAAAAGTTCTAAAAATTGTTATGGACTATGTTCTTTACTCTTATTAGGTTAGCAGTGGTGGAATTCTAGGCTATTTATCTGTCTCTCCATCTACCATGTGTCTATCTATCTGTGCATCTATTTATCTTATTTAATCCCCACTAGATTAAATGTATATATACATTATTATCCTGAGCTTACACATGAAAAAATGAAACAATGTGAATACATGTACTACTTATATTGTTTAATTTTCTGTAATGAACACCTGCTGATTATATAATAAAAAAGTTGAACATACTTATTTAGTTTCTGCCATAAAGTTAGTTAAATCTAATTTTTAAATTTTATGAAATTTTAATGGAGCAATTTTTAATACTTGAAAGAACTTTAATGCTTCCATTTTGAACATATTTCACTTTAAAGGAGGGAATAATTTCTATAAAGTTGATTGTAAAACGACTTTTTATTAGTAGAATTCTATTTTTTCAGTTTTTAATATTAAGTTAGAAACTGTCTTTTAAAGTGTTTTGAGGTATGAAAAAAGAAAATTATTCTTAAGTTCTAACTTCTAAAACCATATTTTGCAAGGAAAAGCAGTAAAAAAATATAGTGTTAGTAGAGAAAGGAGTCTTCAATGTTATGAAGGACAGAGCTGGAATTTTACAGAGGTTAACTTCCTAATTCATACAGCAGGCTACTAATGGCAGAGCCTTTCCACTCTGCCACACCACCTTCGTGATACTAATAAAACCATCAAATTTGCAGAATGGGCATGCAATGTACCTTGTTTTCTTTATTTGTTCACAGTAGCATTCATGTCTAAAAGTACAACCGACAATAGTCAGGAATAAGATGCACATAATCTAAACACCTGATCTACTTTTTACCAACCACCATAACACTAGCCCCACCTCCAATAAACTGTTGCAAAACAGGATACAAGTCTACTTAGCTGGATCTGTTTTCACTTGTGATACTACTATCTTGTGGAAATAAACAGGTTGTTCTGGACTGAAGTAAGGAACAGGCATAAGTAAAGCAGCACCAAAAATTCAAATTGCTATAGTGAATTCACTAATTGAGGGAGTCATTCACTAGCATGGACAGAAGACTAAGTTAGATTTTCAGCAGATAAGATAGGGATGTGGAGCTAAATTACTAGAACTTCTTCCTGAGTGTCTCTGAAATACTGGATCTATTTTCTTCAAAAATGTATAAATTTGCTCCATGATAAATTTTGTCACTGTTATCACCTAGCTCTCATAAGATAAATATGGAATCTGAAACACAATATCTAAGATTATTTAGAGTTTACCTTTTGGAATAGGTAAGGCATTCCTCATTTGAGCAAGTTTCTAAAATAATACTGAAAATATTTCTGCCACTGAAAAATATTGCTAAAACTAGCTTTAGAAATTAGCTTCTCTTCTATCTCCAGCTAAGCCACTTTATCTTCAGAAACATACATTTCTGAATCCTAATTTGATGAAAACCATTCTAAAAATGTGAAATCACAACGAAGGTTTTCTCTGTTGGCTCGGCTACCTCATGAGAGTGTTTCTCATGCAATTACATATGGTGATTCAGGCTGACGCTTGAGTTGGACCACACTTTTCATCAGGATTTTCAATATTCTTGAAGGTTAGATAAATCTTAGGAAACCTGTAGTTGACATATCCAATTACTTCCTTGCTATAGTTTGTAGTGATCAAGGCTGATGTTAGTCTTTCCTCACAGGGAAGGGGGAATTTAACAATGATTAGATATACAAATAGGATGTAAAATTTAATGTTTGGTTTAGTTCCTATGAACTTATGAGTTACACCTAAATTATTGGGAGTAAAGAAGATATAACAGTATTTTGGAAAGTTTCTCTACTTCCTAAAGAAGCTCAAGGCAGGAAATCCCATTATTTGAGTTTGTATTTATTTAAATTATTCATCTGATGTTATCTGCATGTAAATGGAACAGAAAAACTGGCCTTTCTTCAATGCAATGAAATCCTTAATTAAACCAGAATTCAGATAAACATAACATTCAATTAATTTTCTCTCTTTTACTTCCTCCCTCCCTCTTGCTCTTCCTCCCTCCCTTTTTTCTCATTTCCTCCCTATTCTTTCCTCCCTACTCTTTCTTCCCTCCCTTCCTTCCTGCCTGCCTGTCTCCCTCCCTCCCTCTCTCCCTCCCTTCCTCTTTCCCTCCCTCCCTTCCTATATTTTTCCCTTCAATTTTTCTTATTTTTTTTTAAAGAAAATACTTGAATGAAGAGAAAGAACAAAATGATAATATGGGAAACTTAAACATAAAAATAATATAATCTTCGCACAAAGTCTTGGGGTTAGTAGCTTCTGACAGGGCCTGTTTATCTTGGCAACACCTTCAATGTTGTCCCAGGAAAAGCAACTTTATAATGAAAACTTCAGGGCCTGTAGGTTCCAGAACACATGTGATTCTTTGATCATCACAGATACTTACAAAATAGGAGTGTGTTTCCATATATAACATTTTTTAAATGAAAATGTATAATAGTTCTCATTATTCCCCAATTAAACAACAAATCACAGTTTTATTGCCTGTTTAAAATAAGTTTTTAGCTGTAATGCACTTTAGACCACGTCTCATGTGGATCTTTAGAGATAAACATACCTGCTTGGAAAAGGAAAGCCCACTGGTTTGAGAAAAATGCTCTTTAGAGACGATACTCTCTTCTGATATGAAGGGGAAATGAGCTTTACATTTATCTGATTTTTATGTCATATGTAACATTCCTAAGTCAAGTTGTTCCAACAGTGTTGTTAGGATCATATATTCAAATTGTCATTATAATTCGATTTGTGGGAAGACTTTAGAGAGGAATGACTCCAGGAGGAGTTAGAAGTATGGCAGTGCAGGTGAAGCTGGGGCATGGGGTTGCTAGATTAGGAATGTCAGGCTGAGAAGGAGATGCTTTGGCGAAGCTGCAGAAGAGCTTATCACCAAAGCAACTGCAGTGAGAAGATAGTGGATTATTGAAAGTGGCATTTTTGGAGGGTCATCCACATTTAGGAGGGTGCAGAAGAAGCCATCCAGAGTGCCTACCAAGGAATCCCAATGATAAACTTCCAATAACCGCAGAGTGACTGAAATGAAGTCAAGGTCCTCAACTCTTTTTCCCAGCCTCAATTCACCTGCAGTACATTCTTAATAATGAAGGGGCCTATTATGGTGGGGACTCTCGGCAGGGTAAGCCAGGGGTAGGATGTTTAGAGTGAATCAGAATCTAGGGGAAAGTCTTGTGTTGGTTTAATTATGTCCTGGCTTGGGAGTGGGAGTGGTGAGGGGGTGGCTGTCATTGAAGCCAGTGTTTAAATGAGAAGAGCTGTATCATCGTTGTGCTCCAAAAGAATATTGTATATTAAAGAGGCACTTTGATTAAGCCACTGCCTGAAGAGAGCATGCTTATGTACACTACCTGGTCACTAAAGTACCTTTAAAAAGTGTTGGTTGTTGTATTAGTCCGTTTTCATGCTGCTGATAAAGACATACCCTAGATTGGGAAGAAAAAGAGATTTAATTGGACTTAACAGTTCCACATGGCTGGGGAGGCCTCAGAATCATAGCAGAAGGTGAAAGGCACTTCTTACATGGCAGTGGCAAGAGAAAATGAGGAAGATGCAAAAGCAGAAACCCCTGATAAAACTATCAGATCTCGTGAGACTTACTCACTACCACAAGAACAGTATGGGGGAAACTGCCCCCCATGAGTCAAATGATCTCTTAATGGGTCCCTCCCACAACATGTAGGAATTATGGGAGTACAGTTCAAGAGGAGATTTGGGTGGGGACACAGAACCAAACCATATCAGTTGTTGTTCACCAAAATGAATTGTGTGTGGAAGTTTGGGGGCAGAGAAAAATTGCTCTGTGAAATAGAGGGTGGCTTAGGTGTCACATGTGAGGCAATGAGGGGAATCACGATTGGTGTCAATGGGAGAGCAAAACTGGAGAGAACAGGGTGAACAGAAAGTGATTTTTGAAGTAATTTTTAACTTTGTTGAGTATGTCCTACAAAATCTTTAATACATTATTCATTGTTCACTAATGATTTTGTTGCAATTGGGTCATTTTGGGGAAAATGGTAGGAGATGGGGACAATCATTTAATTTCTCTGGGCCTGTTGTCTCATTTGTAAAATTGAGATATCATTATTCTAATCACCCAATGGAGATAATGAAAATTTTAACTGTCTCTAAAGGAAATTTTTTCAATCCTTGAAATAATTTTCTGAGAATGCATAGCCAATGGGGAAAAATGCTGCCTTCAAAAGGCTCAAATTGAAGAAAGCAAATGGAAGAAAGGGATTTTTCTTTCCACAAAAAATTACTTTTATGGCATGAAAATTATTTGTCTGCCCTTTATAACCATTGTTATTCTTCTGTATATTTTCCCAGTATATGTTTGTATTTCGTACAATTGTAAATATGCTATATAAATAATAGTGTCTTCCTTTTTCACTTTCATGTGAAGCACTTATGATAGTATCTATATTTGCGTGTATCTCTGTATCTCTCTTTGCATCTTCATCTATCTATCTAATTGTCAATCTGTCAATAATTTTCTGTTATCTACCAATAATCTCTGTACTTAGCTTTCTAGTACTCTGAAAATTTGCTTTCCTGAAGTCCACTTTCTAGTTCTTATTTAATAACATTTTAATTTCTTTGGTTCTGATCCAGTTTAGTCTAAAGACCACAATAATTAGTGTATTTCCTGGTGCATAATCTTTATAACCATCATTTAAAAATGCTTTATATAAATCTGAAAAGATCCTCCAAAATGTACTCACATACTCCTCTGTTGTTGAATATAGAGGTGGTAGTAAATTTCACTATTTTAAATAACTCTGTAATCTATAACTTTATAACACAACTGTGTTTTTTGGATTATTTCCTTGGGAGACATGCATAAAGATGAAATCAATTGCTATAAAATTTTATGAGTTTTTATAACACATAGCATCAAACTGAGAAAGGCAAATATATTCTTGTTTTTATCCCACTATATCAAAGACATTGCTTATCTGTGCTGCAATTTTTCTTCAAATCCTAAAATTTATATGTACATTTTGAAGCTGAAGAAATCTTCATAGACATATATTTAGTGATAAAGAATGGTTTTGCTGCTCATTTTCTCTTCTTGATTTCCCCACAACTATCCAAAAAAGCAAAATGTGTTAAGGTTTATTCCAAATTAAGTACTCCAATACTCCAAATCTTATTTGGTCAATAAAAGTATAAATGAAAAGGCATTTTCCTATTCAATTGAATAACCAAACTCTGGTGGGATGATACTTAACCCTCGTGTTGCTTGACTGGCTATGTGACTGAATAAATGAATATCATCTACAAATATGACTGATTCTCTTCACTAAGGATAAAAAAGGAGTTGCAAAACTGACTTTGCTGCTTGCCATTTGAAGCCTCTCTTCCTCACCCCCACTAAATCCTCTTTCTGGGACCAACGTATCAGCCTAGAGGAATAAAGTTTCATAATGCCAAAAGGGCCAAGAGTGGCTGGCACAGAAATAATTGACTCAAGGGATTGTAAGTTACGTCTCATACATCTAAAGCAACAAATCAAAGAAGTTTTATCATTATTTTTGTCTTCCTTTTAGCTGCTAAATAAACATGATTATTTTACTGCATCTAAAGAGGAGCTGCAATGCTAAAACTATTGATTTTGAGGATTTAAAAGTTTTTACTGGATATAGACTCCTCTTTGAGAAAAAAAGCAGTGTCTTATTTTCCTAAACAGAGTAATATAAAATGAAACAAACAACCTTCTCCTCCCATTACTATCCCTAAACAGACTATAATCATGAATATAGCAATTATTTTCTTTGTAGCAAGAAAGATCAGTGTTGCAAATTTTAGGTCATAGCTGAACATGTAAAATATGTTTTGTAATCAGAAAATTATAAAGTTGAATATTAATACTTAAAATTTATTGAAATTCTGGCAATATAAAATTAGATGCATTAATGCAAATAGATTATAATTTCAAGAGTAAATTTTATTAAATGGTAATAATAAATGATAATAGTAGATGATAATAATAAAAGGAGGTAGATGATATAGAGCATATTTATGTTGATCTCATCCTATATTAAAGTGTATTTACAAAATTCAGATTGGATGTTTTAATAGTTCATCAACTTGCGATACAGCATATATTTTAGTGTCCTTTGAAACAGCAGATAGTTTTTTTTTCATGTGACTTTTGATTAATGTTCTTAAAAAAATAAGCTTGGTCTCACTCATGGCACTTGGATAAAGGTTGTATTTGATTTTCAGCCTGTGGAATTTGTGGTAGGAGCCCAGCCAAGCATATTGCAAACTTAGCTATAGGCTATTTAGAGAGAGAACAGCAGTTGGTGGCAGGAAGGCCTTGTACCCCACAATCTGCTACTTAATTTTTCAGTTGTTTGTATGTGGGCCCAAAACCATAATTCATATTCATTCCATCTTTAGGTTTGAGATAGTCAATTAGTTACAAAAATTCCTTAGTGATTAATCATTTGGAAGACAAGTGCTGTCTTTTCCATAAAAGTTTATTCTTCATATTACCATGGAAATAGTTCCTTGAAAAATTCACATTTTGAGATTAGGTAGACCTGTGCTGGACTGTCCAGTATCGTAGTCACTAGCCACATGTGGCTATTTATATTTTTATCTATATTAACTAAAATTAAAGAAAGTTAAACATTCAGTTTCTTTGTCTCACTCAGCACATTTTAAGCGCAAATAGTCACAAGTGGTGTGTGGCTACTGTATTAGACAATGCAGGTGTAGAGGTATAGGACATTTTGTCATTGCAGATACTATTAGATGGTGAGGAGCTAGACTAAATATTTTACAAAATATCCCTTTTATAATTATAATCTTATATCTTGCTTGATTTTTAAAATAACAAAGAGCAAATAAATGTGAACAAAAATAGTGTGTAATAAATAAAAATGAGTGAGTTACTCTAAAAACATGAAATTTCACTTTTTATTGTGGCCTATGTGAGTTTATACTAAGATGAAAACAGATTTTGTATGTATTGGTATAGCAATACCCAAAAGAAACTTGATGATGTTTACAAGCTGGGCCTAGAGGCAGCATTTGAGTAGGTGCGGACAATACTCACATAGTCACAGGGGCAGGACAATTTCAAGGTGATCTCTGAATTATTAGTCTAGTGAATTTTTTTCCTGTCATCTTAGAATTGTAGTTTTTTTCTACTTCAATTTTTCAAAAGTTATTAAAGAATTAAAAGGAAAAATGTGGTGCTCTACCTGAATAATGATAATATTTTGCTCTTCTTTATCCAGTTTATTTTTTTTTTTAGACAAAGTGGTAGTTACATCATAGTTTCTATATTACAGAAAGATGCTTTCTTAGTCCAGATACTACACAACTGTGTCCTGTCTAGACTTTACTTGGATTATTTCTTTTAAATTTTGGGAATATACATCAAAAAGAAAAAGAAGTCAATACAATTTTAACTTAGTTATGAATAGCAGGTCACAATATATCTTTATTATTACCTCTCCACACACAAAAATCATTGTAAACATAAAAGATAAAATAAAATAGATTTTGGAAGAAAGCATGAAATAATATCTTTATAACTCTAAGGGTGGGCAAATATTTCTGAATGTAAAGGAAAAAAATGGTGAATGTTTTTATGTTGAGATTAAGAACTTCTGTTTATCAAGACACCATGAAGAGAGTGAAAAGGCAAGACAGAATGGGAAAAAATTTGTAATACATGTAACACACAAAGGATTTGTATCCAGAATATACAAATCAATAAAAAAGGCCAAAATCCCAATAGAAACATGTGCAAAAGTCACAGACATAAACCTCAAAAAGAGGATGTCTAATGCATATAATCAATAAATAGGAAAAGTTGTTCAGCCTAATTAATTGCCAAGGAAATGCAAATTAAAACTGATTTCATAATACATACATCAAAATGGCAGTGATGAGAAACACTGCAAATGCCAACACTTGCACTTGCTGATTGGAATATAAATTTGATCAAACTCCTTGGAAAGCTATTTGACATTAAAGTTGAAAATATGTGGCATTAAAGTTGAATATATTTGGCATTAAAGTTGCAAGGGTATATATATATATATATATACCCTTTCACCAGCATTTCCACTCCCAGATTTATACCCAATAGAAATGCATACAAATGTGCACTAAAGGCATGCACAAGAATCTTCAAAGCAGCATTATTTACAAGAGCACCAAACTGGAAACAATCCATGTGTTCATCAAGAGTAAAATTGATTCATCTTGATCTATTTCTACAGAGGAATACTACACAACAGTGACAATGAATAAACTCTAGAGTTTTTGGCAGCATGGATGAATCTCATAAAAATAGTATTAGGTAAAATAAACAAGTCACAGGGTACATAATTTATGAATCTATTTATATAAAATTCAAAAATCATGTGAACCAATCTATGGTGTTAGCTAACTAGGATGGCTGGTACTCTTGGAGGAATAGTGATTAAAAAGAGAGCAGATACATGGGTGTTAACTCTGTGTACAATTATGATGAACACTTTTCTGTGGGTATGTAGTTTTTAAAATAAAGACAATAGAAAGTTTATTTACAAAATTAATGAAAAGGGATCATTAATGTATGATTTTGTCACAGAGATTTGCACCTGTGCAAAGGCCTTTGACAAAAGTCCTGTGGTTAAGTGCATCCAAAAAGATAAAGGTAGAAAGCCTAATTATTAATGTCCACTTTTCTCTTGTGAGAGGATCTACAGAAAATAAGACCACCCTACATAAATATGAACAAAAAATCTTCCTGGGGCTTCAGAAGAATCTAATTGGTTCTCAGAAAACATAAAGGAAAATCTAATTGGTTCTCAGAAAACATAAAGGAAAATCTAATTGGTTCTCAGAAAACATAAAGGAAAATCTAATGCACCCCTCAGCAGGGCTTGGGTTTTCCAAGTCCTATGAGAGGGTAACAGAGTCTTCTGGTCATCTCAATTCCAAGGACAAGGCACTCGGGTGACCCCGAAATCAACAGTATAGGCAGGAGGAGAAAGACAGACCTGATTTGAGAATGTTTTCTTTTAATACGTACTGACCTCAGTGACCTTTGAGGGCTGTCAGAATGATGGCCAGAGGAAGCATTGGAGCATATGCTTACTCATTATACATGAATGTTAGTCCGGAGAACTCACAGGGGTGGTTATAAAATGTCCTCAGATCACTGTGGGCCTCTTTCCAATGACATGTCAAGCAGCATGGGCCTGAGCATTTCGTACTTACATATGTATACACATGTATACATGCAGTTTGTGAATGTATTCAATGAACGATTAAGGGGGGTCTGTTTTGTGCAAGTCATTTGTAGAGAAGGCAAAATGGGCCTAATGCTGCTGTTGGCAATTAAATATATTTTGAATTCTCTTGGGATAAAATCTTGCTACCAATATTTTTTTTAGTGCCAAAAATCTGCTAGTGAAAAACTGTATGGTCAGTTAAGTCCGGAAAACTAGACTAGAGCTCCTCGACTGCACTCCTCACAGTTTATGTACTTTATGCCAAGAGAAGTTAAGTTCATTATCTTCTAGGATATTTCTAAGTATTAATGTACACAAGCAGAAACAAACACTGCTTAATTTTCTCTGAAACTAGCTGATGTGCATTTACAATAGGAAGTCTTCCTCCTAGAAGAAATTAGAAAAAAAAAAGTTTTAAACAAGAATTTTTATTTTGAAAAGGTAAATTGCAGAAAGGTTTAAGAAGAATCACTGAAGTGCATGAGGAAAGTATTTGAAATAATTCCAAATTATTAAAAGAACAGAGTACTTTTTATTACTTTGCCAAAAGAAAGATTATTTTGTTGTTTGAACGACTTGACTCATTAAAATCTACTTATATAGGTGATGAATTTTTTTGGGTGAAAAGTTCTCAACTTTTAGATAGAGAAATATGATAATTCTTTGAATCCATCTGTCCATGAGGTAGGAGTCCGTGAAGAAGAAATTTTAGCCTGAGTAATATGTTTCATCTATGAATATTGAAAACGAACCCTATGAGGCCCACATTTAATCTACATTCACTGAAAACACTTGTACCTTTTACACTCTGCTTATTCATGCAACTGGATTAACTAAATACATAAGCTGCTGCTTTCAGCTCTGGTCCTCCTGTTTTCTGCTGGTAAAGGTCACACTGACTCATACATGAAACCTTTTGTTTATATCTCAGAGGTAGCTGACCCCGTTGCACCTGCTTTTGAATATCTGGCAAGAGACAGGCTTGCAAATGAATATGGCTCTTTCAAGAGGTTGCTTATTTTAAAATGAAATTAGCATTTCCATAGGTGCCAAACCACTGGCAGAGGAGAATGGAGACCTCTGTGTAAGTGAAGACAGGTATATTGTGGAATTGTGGCAGCATCTGCATGTTCATCTTACCCTATAAATAATGCCTCTAAACGATTGCTGAATGAATGAACAAATGAACAAAATAGTTATCTTTGACCCTTTTTACCTAATTACTAACATTTTATTTTGTTTATACAGACCTATTCTATAACTATGTAAAGGAGGAAATGTGATTTAAGCACTTCCCTTTTTTTCATAATACCCCTTACCCTTCCCCAAATATCAACCATGTATGTTACATGGACTAAAGTCATTACTGTGACAGTAACTGATATTCAATCAGTATAATTAGCTTCCTTTTGTGGTAACTAGTGCTCAGATCTTTCAAATGATATGGAAAAAATCAGAAGGGTATACCAGATTGAACGAGGAGGTGGGGAGGCACTGAATGCAATACTATGAGGTTAGATTTCATTCTGTGATCCAGTGAAGAACGAGTGGATATCTGGGAAAGAATACCATCAACAGATGTGTACACTAGGAAGAAAGTTGTGGTGACCATAAGTGTAACTGATTGGGAGAGATTCTAGAGGCAGGATGTTCAGTTCAGAAGTCATCTCAGTAATACCAGCAAAAAGACAATCTCTGTTATTAGCTGTTAGGATAATGGTTACCCTTATGGGCAGTAGAGACTGAGAGAGATTACAAAGGGAGTCCTAGAGTGCTGGTGAAATTCAGCTTCCTGATCTTGGTTTTGGATATTTGGATTTATTCACTTGCATATATCCATTGCAAATAAAGATGTATATTTTGTGTGTCTTTCTGTATGTATACTTAATAAAAAAAAGTGTAAAGAAAAATAATGACACCTGAATCACTGCAGTGGGAGTGAATAGCATAAGGTCATTTGCAGAGACAGAATACCACAAAGATTTGCACAATTACTGAAAGAGGAAAATAAAGGAGAGAAGAAAATCAAAGGTGACTTTGAGATGTCTTAGAAATAGAAGATATTTCATTTATACTATTAGAAATCTCATGAGGAAGAACTTCTTTTTGGAAGGAAGTTAATGAGTTCAATATTGGATATTTGAGATGCCAATGAGATAGTTAGATAGGACTAACAAATAAGCAAATGTGAATGTTGCTTGGAGCTCAAATGAGAGTTAAAAATGGAGGTTATTGGAAGTTATACAGACAGAAAAATCAGTTGAAATAGTAAAAATAAGGAGATCCCTAAGAAAGTAAGGAACAAAAGAAAATTGAGCACTAAACCTAGAAAACCGTTTCTGTTTCAAAATTTTACTTTATTATAGCCTAGTTCATGACATAGTAATTCTGGAATAAAATGTGTAAAAATATAGTTTTTTTTTGTTTTGTTTTGTTTTTTTACTGTGTTGAGGTTTTTAAGTCTTTTTATTCTTTGTATTTTTCAAATTGTCTTTAGTGAAAACATATTGTTTTTGTAGTTACATAAGAAAGTTACACAATGAAAAAATATTTCATCTGGAATGACAGGATACTGAGATAGCAGAGTTGTCTGGATAATATCTGACAACAACAATTACCCTATGATTTATGACTATGTTTTTTTCTAGAGAAATATATATATTTTAAACTTTAATGTTTAAATTTTTTCCTGAAAAAAATTTTAACTAAATTAGGTTAGTGACTTTTGGACATACCAGATTAACCTCACGATTTGCACCTTCTTTGTGGTCATTTTTATCAATTTATATATGTTTAAGTAAGGGAAATATATTCTCAGTGCATAATCTATAAAGAGTAAGAGACATAATACTAACAAAGTATTATTACAATAAAATAAATTGGAATACATGTTTTATTTTAAAATTCAGATATGTTATTTTTTGATTTAGTCCTATTTCAAATGTATTAATTAGTTTATTAATTGAAAGAGGTCTTATAAAGGATTAATGGAAAAGTCACATTATTAAAATAAATTTTATAAACTGTTTTAAAAGGTTTCACTTATCAATATAAACTTTCTGTAAATTGTTGCTATTATATAATATACACAAATCTACTCTGTGAACACTGTAAATTTAACGTGACAGTCATAATTTCTTTTAAGTTGATATATGTGCTGTGATGACACCATTTAAAACCATGTGACACTTGTGTTGACAAGGGTTTGTTTTAGCTGTCACATGCTAGAGATCAGTGACATACACCTACCTTGACAAAGAGCTTTGTGGAGACGCTAAATCTGCTATCTTTATCTAAATAAAACATAGAAAGGCTGGTTTTCTGCAGCCATTCAGCCCTAGAAAGGAAGGTTAGTTCATCACTTGGTGTATGTTTGAGGTGTGGAGAATATTTTCTTTGAGATCACATGGTAATATGTGTGATTTGTAATAAAAAATATTTGTTTAGATTATTGGTTCTTGGAGAGCAAGATTTATTTTATATTCTTTAATATCACCTGATACAACATGCTGTTACATTCCCTGAAAGACATGCTCATTACTTGTTATAACAAGGGAAAGTGATTAATATTTGCAACATTTTACTTCTTTAAGAAAAGTGTTTTTATATTTTTATTCTTCCACAAATATATATAACCTTTGAAACTAGGGGACCAGAAAAATTTATTTGTTGTACCAAGAAATATTAATAATCTTGGATTAATATAGATGATGACTATTTAAAAGACAAATTGAGTTTTCCCTTTAATTGGGTAAAATGATTTTTTATATTCTTAGAAGGATAAGATTATAATATGCATTTCTCTCATGGTCTGTTCCTTTCAGTGCCTAATATTCCATAATGTTCATTATGGAATTCCTACATATGGAAAGAATATTCTAATTTCAACCCCCTATTCATTCTCACCCTTGTCCCTGTTTTTTTGAAACCCTTCGATATAATGAACACATTCATTCCTGGCCCCTCTTTGTTTCTGAGGCAGTTGATGGACTCTTCTTCAGGCAATGACGATTCAAGATGTCGGGAGAAACAAAGCCAGGACTGTCACTAGCCTGCCTTTCAAAATGTTCCAATCACATATTAATGCTTTTCCAAATAGATGTTGGACAAATCCGTTTTGACCCAGAACCAGAACAATGAAGCCAAATCTAGAATCATCCATTCTGGCTAAGGTTGAACCACTGGCAAATACATTTTTCAAAATTTCGTTTTGTAAGGAATTAAATCCAATTCCTTTCCACATGGAGAAAAGCCAATAATGAAAGCTGATGATTGTAAAAGTGAGACCAAAGAGCCACAGGACATATTTATTTTGGAAAGAAAGTTAAAAGACTAAGAAGTTAGGCCATAAAATATTTTACACCGGTTTAGATTAAACTAACAGTATAAAAAAATAAATATTTTGCATTTTTATGCAGATGTCCAGATAAAAACAGCTGTTGTACTAAGAGAAAACTTAAGATTTCTGGAGAAAAGCATCCATAAATGGCTCCTGCATAAATGGTTCCTGAAGTATATGCAAAATGGGAAGTGGCAGCACTTACAAGATTTTTTAAAAAGCTTTATTCGAAGAAAATATATTCTCAAAACCACTCAGTCAGGTTGATGTCTAAAATAGAGGTCGGCAGTCTCTCAAATGTGGTAGGTAATTGCTTTCTGGATTCCAAGGGAATGGTGGTTAGGGATAGAAGTGACTGGAGCAAAGAAATTTGCTGTCAGTTGTTTTTGTCTCTAGGTGGTGCATAATAATAAAGTCAGCGTAGTTTCTAACAAAGAGCAGAGAAGAGGATGTGGTAGCCTCATCTGGCTCTCATGCTACCTCATGTGCTATCACAGGAACCCCATACCCGTCAGATTCCAACAGGAAATAGATGGCACATCCAAAGTAAGAAAATTAGACAGGTATTTACTTAAAAATGAGTGATTTATCCTCTGTAGCTGTAGGAAAAATTCATGGGATACTGCAGTAACCTGGGCTGATTGTAGCTGCACTATTATCACACCTAGGTGGGAAGGGATGTGCGGAGGGATGGTTTCTTGGAATCTGAAAGGACAGACTCATGTGAATTACGAGGCCTTGAGAGAAGCAGTGGCTTTCAGTGGGGTGACACAATTATCTCCAAGATAACTTACGAGATAGGGCCAAGGGAATAAATTCCATGGCCTTGCTTTGCCCTCTCCCTCTGATCTCCTGCTGAGGCTCCACATTGCCTGAGTTGAAATCTAACTGGAAGCCAGAGGGTAGAGGTGTTGAGATGGGGAGAAAGGGGAGTGTTGATGGAGTCCATTGGAGATCCATCTCCAAGGTAGATTGTAGGTGAACCAGGTGCGGTGGCTCATGCCTATAATCCCAGCACTGTGGGAGGCCAAAATGGGCAAATTGCTTGAGCCTAAGAGTTTGAGACCAACCTGCATGACATGGCAAAACCCCGTCTCTACAAAAAATACAAAAATTAGCAGGGCATGGTGGTGCGTGCCTGTAGTCCCAGCTACTTGGGAGGCTAAGGTGGGAGGAACACCTGAGCCTGGGGAAGTTGAGGCTGCAGTGAGACATGATCACCACTGCACTCCAACCTGGGCAACAGAGCAAGAGCCTGTCTCCAAATAAATAAATAAAGTAGAGGGTAGAGAGCAGGTGGAGAAGGGTAGAGAGTAAAACTTGAGGGGTTAATTGAAGACAACTGGCACTGAACACTAGCTGCCAATGATTCTGCTTCCCAACCTCACCTCAGGGATCTACTTATTTTTTTCCTTTTCCCCTTGTGCCTTAATTAAACCAGCTTATTTCCACTTATTCTCTTATGATTTTTATTCATAATATAACCCTTTTTGAATTTGAAGATAACAATTTCTTCTACTTTTCTTGTTAGTATCTTGAACTTAATTTATATCCCAAACATCTATTTTCTTTCTCTCTGACTGCCCTCTGGACTCTGAAAAATTTTCATCTGTTAAAAGTAATGTTTGCTATTACACATACTTCAATTATTATACGTGTTTTCCCACACACTTGTGTGTGTATTACTCAAATTCTAACACATGTCCCCAACACATGTAAATACAAGAAGCTCTTTCTCGTCAAGACCATTTTGAATTGTAGTTCAAGAATTAACAGTCTAACCTAGTTTAGTAACACTTGTAAATTTGAGAGCATTTTCCTCATTCATTTTCTGGATTATCAAATAGGAAGACTGAAAAAGCTCGGCCTCATGGCTGACACTTCTGAGTCTTCAGGTGATATTATATGGTGTGGAACTCTTTTTTAGATATGATCTTGAAACTAGACATTGACTGTATCAATATTAGAATGGTCAAGATTATCTCATTCTAGTTAGAGATGATAAGTCTTTAGGGCTGGGACCAAAGTTTGTTTCTTAGAATAACACTAATTCTGATTACTTACCCACCCTAGGCTACCTACTTTGTGACTACTATAGAGTGGAATAGTTATAATATGGTTTCCTGTTCACCATATTATATTCTTTTTAATAAAATTTTTAAGTAGAATTTTCTAGGATGGACCTAGTCCTAGAAAAACTTTATTTTTTTTTTTTAAGAGACAGCATCTGTCTCTGTCACCCAGGCTGGAGTGCAGTGGCATGATCATGGCCCACTGCAGCTTTCAAACCACTAAGCTCACACAATCCTTCTGTCTCGGTCTCCTGGGTAGGAGATTCTACAGGCACATGCCACCATGCCCAACAACTTAAAATTTTTTTAAAAAAACATTTTTTGTAGAGACGGGTGTCTCGCGTTTTTGCCCAGACTGGCCTCGAAATCCTGGCTTCAAGCATTCCTCCCACCTCGGCCTCCCAAAATGCAAGTGTGAGCTGCCATGCATGCCCAGACTCTGGAAAACATTTTTTTCAAGACTTTGGTTAATGTACAGACTTGACTCATCAATTTTCACATGATTCAAAAGTTGTGTAACAGACACGGTTAATGCCCCTTGGATCCCTTTCACCAGGTCTGTCTCTCAGCTTCTCTGTGCATTGCTGCTAAATGCTTGTACCTGTCATCTCCAGGGGCTTTCTTTTAAGCACTGGAGACTTCTTGCCCACACACACAGCCAAAAGGCTGCAGAGTTTAGTAAAATATCATTATTCAATTTAAATATGTATAAGTAAATTGTGATAATTTCTGTGTAATAGAAGTACAGAGTTTGAGTCCTGGTACATAATAGTCTAATTTGTATTTATGAAAAACAGTGTCTAGTGAAGAAAACAGAAGATATATTATGCATTTTAAGCAGAAAATGATTTACATACAGTCAAGTATAATGGTAATTGTTAGATGAGCTGGGGAAATGGAAGCCGCCCTGGTCTCCTAGGAGTGACTCATAGAATACCATGGACTCACCTGTTGGAGGAGCTATTATCTCTCCTTTAATCAAGAAAGATGGGGAATAAGGAGGTTGTCATTGAAAAGAGTGAATTCAAGAATATGCTACTGCAGCTGCAGTCAGGATCCAGAAGGAACAATTACTGCAACTGCCTGAACACTCTATGTGGAGCCCAGCTGCCTCAGTTATAAGTGTGTCTCTCAATACTCATGAGGTTGGTGATTGGATGCTGGAATCTCTGTAAACATTCCTGGCAACAGAACACAGAAGCGATAGGAAGGTGGCCTCCACTTCATTTATGCATTCCAAATATCTCATGATTGCTTTTAATTGATAGATCTGTTTTTCAGCTAAAATTCTAACTGCAAGAATATCTGAGAAATGAAGTTTTAAGATTTCTACTCCTTGGAGTACTGGACAACATACTTGAAGGAGGTGGGAATAATTGCTGAGTGCCAACCAGGGCCGTTATGCTGTATAACTCCAAGTGGCATCATTCATAATGCAAGTGGTGGCCTGGCAGTGCCAATTGACTGTATCATTCACAATACCAATTAAAGATCATCTAGAGTCAAGTGTTTAATTTCAAGTATCACATTTAAAAATACATGTTAAAAATAGTGTGTGTTCAAGGCTAGCTATCAAGACGGTACGGGATTTTAAAATCACATCAAAAGATGAAAGAAGTGGAAATGGAAATTAAAATAGCAATCTATAAGCATTTGAGGAAGCAGGTGTAGACTTGTTATGAGTTTCACTGTGTGGCAGAAAGATCAGTACAGATACGTTAACAATGAAGCAGGTTTTAGGTTGAGATTTTCATTTGAAATTTCATCTAATATTCCTTTAAATATAAGATTCTATGACTGAGCTTTTCTAGATATTCGCAGATAGATCTAGAGTCTCTGGACACTATTTGGAAGATTCAACGTATGATTTTAACAACTCCTTCATTTTTATCATTTTTTAAAATTAATTCTATCACCAGTTCTTAAAAAAGGGTATGTAATATTTTCATCTCTTTTACATCATTACTTGTATTTTATTCAAAAATTCAGTTTTCCTTCTCTTGTACTTAAATAGTGGCTTTAGATCCTACAAGGTTTCAAGGGGAATATGCTCTAAAATTAATAAGGCTTTATTCATTAATATTTTTATGTTTTTTTGAAAATAAGTGTTAGGAAACAAATATTACAGATGAATTTGGAAAAAAATAAGTGAGCATGGATTGGCAGTTTGGGAAATCGACAATGAAAATGAATTTTTACAGGAAAAAATGCAAAATAGATTAATAATTGGAGAAATAATAATCCCAAACTCAAATATTTTATGAGCAGAAGACTACTGTATTGCCAAAAGAGACATAGATGAAACCAGAGGGCAAATGATTTTGCCATGTGTGGTGTCAATAAATTAAGACTGATGTAACTGTCGCCTGCTAAGGAAGGATCCTCATAGACAGGGTGGAGATGGTTTTACACTTTCAACAGTTCAATTGTCAGCTTTGAGCAACTGAATTCTAGAAATAAATGACAGAAAAGTGAGAAGGTTTAAGGAGGCCTGAAGATAGAGACAAAGGAACAATAGAGAAATTGTATACTTCAATAGGTTATATTTAAAGTAACTTTTTTGGATGAAAACTCATGGGTTGGGCAACAACTAAAATTAATTCCCATCCTTTAGAGGAGAAATAGGAAAATAAACATTCATACCAAGTCAATAATTGCTTAAATAAATTACATATCTCATAAATTCTAATATACATTACATGTGAATGGAAGAAAACTATAAATAATATCTTAAAACTATGCATGCAAAATAGGACAAAATTTAAATGACTAGTATGTAGACAAAGTTGAGATTCAAATACAGCAGCTCTAATTTTGGTAATCTGTGCAATTTGAATACAATAATTTTTTTTCTTGAAAATTAAGGGCACTTTTCATGGTATACTTTACTCTCATTTCGCCAGTTGACAACTCTCAACCATCATACCATAAATTGTGCACTGTGTTCCTAAGTACCAGCATTTTTCATATGTTGAACAGAGCCTGTTCGTTGATTGTTGTGTGATCCTGAAAGTAATTAGCTTAACTACTTACCCTTAGGCTGTATCTCTTCTTGATGGCAAAACATTAGAAACATAGTGAATGTTTTGATTAGAATGTTTTGATGGGCCAATGTATTTTCCCACACAACAGTTGTTTAAATAGACAATGGTGACCAGCACAGATGAAGAAGGAGAGGTGGGCAGCTCTCCATTAGGCCAGAGTTTATCAGCTTGTTGATGTGACTTTGGGATATGAGATTTTCCCCGTGGAAAAAGCAGAGGAGACCTACTCTGAGGGAGGTTGGCTAGTGCACTGCAAAGTCAATAGCCACGTGGCCATGTACCTATGTATACATCACTTACCATGTGCCAGGCACTATTCTATATGCTATACATATGTCATGATTAATTTTCTCAGATTTTTGAAGTAGATATTATTATATCATCTTCATTGTACAGCGAATGAAATTGAAGTGCAAAGGGGTCAAGCAACTCACACAAGATACAATAATCAAACCCAGGCTTTTAACCATTGATTGAACTCTATTACCTCTATTACCTGGCATGAAAAAGAGATCAAGTAGTATTATTACTTTATCATTGTAAACAGAAATGTCTGCTTATATTTAAAATAGAAAAAAAAATTCTGGATCTTGTTGCTTCACAGGTGATTTGTTATTTCAATTTTTAACTGATAGACTATAGAGATTTTTCCCAATGAATTGATGTGAGGAGACATAAGGTAGGTTGGAGTTATTGACGCTTCCTTCTTATTTGAAGATGTGGCTATAGCAGAAAATAGCAGGGAGCCCATCGCCATTTTCTTGCTGGCAGAGACATACTTGTCATTCAGTTTCATCCAAGAATCCATCTGGTACCATCAATAGAAGAAATAACTTGATCAATAAAAAAAATCCTCTGTGGTAGGGTAACTAGGTCCTTGAGCCAGACTTGGGCTTTACTGATTTGTCCACCTTATTGAAAATTTTAAAAATATATATTTTTAATAGCATGTAGACCCAGCTGGCATAAGGGAATCTCATTTGTAATAATAGCAAGTTTTAGAGTTCTTTACTGTTCCAAGTAGTGCCAGGAGAGGTACAATGGCAAAAAATAAATTTATTTTAATGTTCGACTCTGTGCACTTGTAGACATTAAAAAGGGGCATTTTTTTATATATTGACTTAAAATTGATTTTATTATAAGTACTGAAGTTCTAACAATACCTGTTACATCTCCAGGAACCATCATGGTAACTAAATTAATTGTTTACCGTATTCTTTCTGGAATGTTTTACATCATTGCTTTCCACATTGTAGCATTTGAAGTTTCCAATTACCTAAGTTACTCAGCTGAAAATTATGGCAGTTAAAGCTTTCTCTTGCTAGAAATTTTGTATGTTTCTGTTTCTAGTGAATGCTTTACAAAAATAAGTAACAGGCAACTGACTTGTATCTTCATTCATGCCCCATTTGGAGCAGTAGTTCTTAACTTTGGAAACATAGCAGAATTATTCAAAGAGATTGTAAAAATGTAACTATTCTTTGGCTTCATCCAAAGAGATTTTGATTTAATTGATCGGGAGTAGAGCCCTAGTATCAGAATTTTTTTAAAGCACCCCCCCGCCGGCCCTGCCCCCTCCATGGGACTTAGAAACAATGTTTTATTCTTCAGTTCACAAGTGTTTGAGATGTCTATTCTCAAATACACATTTTTCAAAAGAAAGATGATTTATCTGAACCATGAATACGATATTATAATCAACTTGTAATGAATTATTGACTTTATTTTTTCTTCTTGCAAAAAGTTTCTGGTCATGATTTCTAAAAACCTAGGTCCTGAACAAACATGTAAACGTTGTATAGCTTTTGGGTTTTACTTGGTGGAACAAAAAGCCACAGGGAAGATTTTAGCATAAGGCATAATGTGATTTTAATTTTCGTACAATCACTTGGGCTGCTGGGTGAGACTTGACTATTGTGGACAAGGTAAAAGAGATACTGTTTGGGAGACTATAACAATGATGTGGATGAGAAATGGTGGTAGCTTGGGCCAGGGCAGTAACAATGAGGGTGGTCAGAAGTTGCTGGATCCTAGACACATTCTATCAGTGAATTCTGCAAGATTTACTTTTAGATTGGATGTCTGCAAAAAGGGAGAGGAGTCAAAAATGATTTCAAAGGGAAGTTAACTTGCTGTTAATCAACAGGTGGAAGACTGTGAGGAAAGAGGTTTTGGGAAGTAAAAACAGGATTTTAGCTCAGTGTTAAGTTTGAGAAATCTCTTAGACATTAACAAGAACAGCAATTTAGCTTTAATATCTTGAACATTTCCCTGTTGCTGGAATATATAGATTGTGATCTTTTATTCAGTTTCCTTTCATACAGGGATGATATTTTACATTCATTCCTTATCCTCCACGTTGTCAAGCAAAATTGTGAAGTCTGCAGTTTCTCTGTAAGTCTGTTGATTTATTATGTAAAGAGACAGGAATGTATAATAAATCAGACATATGAATTTGGTTTCATATAGTCTATCTTTAAAAATTCAGTTTAGTATTATTTATACTCTATGTGTTAGTAGGTTCATGTGCCTTATTATCCAAAAAGCACAAGAAAAAAAAATATTTGGTAGATAGAAGACAAAAGCTCTCTAGCAATTAAATTCTGCATGGAAAATGTTACTGGAAGTTATCCTGTACAATACACACATTTACAGGAAGAATATCACTTGTATTTAGTCTATGTTTTAACTCATTCAGAATGAAAACTTACGTCTTAGGAGGTATAGCCAGGAAATATGATAAAGACTTGGACTGAGGACCAGTTAGGTGTGACAATGGCAGGAGCAAGCATATAAGAGCAATCTTGTCGGCATCTTACTAAGTTGATGATGGTATGTTATTACCAAGCCAAGAGTTCAAAACCAAATTACAATGACATAAAATAGCTAGGTAAATGATTATTTTTAAAGGAAGGCTCTCATGTGTTTTCTAACAAGAAGGACTGTATGTTATTGTGTTTTTGTTCTTGCTATCTTTGAATAGAGTATTTCAGCAAAGTAGCTTGATTCAGGCATAACATAATCTGTTACTTTGTGAACCTAAAGGTAAAGACTGCTAGTGGATGCCAAATTAAAGCACTTTCTAACTGTCTCATTCTCTGATACTAGTTGCCTGACAAAATATATACTTAGTATATACTAGTTCACTTGAATTAGCTTGGTACAAAAAGCAAAGAAAAGCAGAAAAATGAGACTATTATTTTTCACTTTTCTATGGGTCAGAACAACTAAGGAAGAATACTCAGAGAAACTAAAAAGGAAAAAAATGTGATATGAAAGGAAGATTCTACTTCTTATGAAAAATCAGAAAATGAAATGCACAAGGTATCATTAAATTCAAAATACAGCGAATTTTAGCTGGAAGACATCAATTATATTCAAATGAAGCAGTTCATTATTAGCCTATTAATTCAATTTCAGGTATTAGGTTTATGCAGAGATGATGATTAAATCCAAAGATATGACCTATCGTAGATATACTTGGTTATTCCACATGTTGATATATGTCTCCTCAAACATAATATATGACTAAGAACTGGTATAAGAGCATGTGTTCATGCTTTCTTTCAATAATGACATTATAGAAAGTTCTCATGCATTTGGGTAGGATAAAATTTTTCTAGTCTACATACTATTCCCTTAGTTGTATAGTTTGTTTTATTTTAAGATTAGTTGGCTTTGCCACTTTATGATTAATCATAAAATGATAAATAATAACTCAAGCTTTCTGTTGTTATTTGAGTTTTTCTTTTCTGTTTCAAATTGGGATGAAGAATTCATTTAGAGTCCTGGGCTTGTGGGTGTGGGGAGGGTAGTGGGTAGTGTCTATCAGAGAACATAATTCTGCATTTTGTGATACATTGCAATTCTGGAGCCACTTATATTCTAAGGCAGAACCTCGCCAAGAGGTCAGTGTTAACAAAGCTACCTTCTGCTGAATTTTGTTGTCTTTGTGCTAATAAAATAACAGTTGGGAAAAGGGTGAACGTCCTGCAAAAGCAATTATAATCAAAATGAGTCATAGTGCTGAAAGGTTAAGCTGCACGTCTACATTTACAGTACATACGTCATTCCAGTGATTCTTAACTAATTAGCAATATCACCAGGATCTTTTGTTACTGTCACAAATCTCTTAGACTTATGCAGGAGAATATTTTTATTTCAAATTTAATGTTTGAGCTGATGAGACAAGGCTAGAGCTTTTAAAGTTAAAAAAGTACTTCACATTATCATTCGTTTTTTATGAACTTTGAAAATATTTCTAAAATGTATTGGTGTAAAATTGTGTATAGTTACATTGCATAATTTTTGCATGTGCAGAACTTTGCCTATTCTCTTGCCTGAGGCCAAATATATTCACTTTTTGTGATAACATTCTGGTCATTAAATCCAACTAAACTTCCTAATATAGAAGACTTTTTTACAGGAGATATATTTCCAAATTGTCAATGAATATCATACTTTTCCATGTTGGTTTAGCAATAAACAGGCAGGGATTAAATAGGATTTCAATATAAATTCTTCACTGAAATAATCATTATTTTGAGTTAATCACATTAAAAATGCAGCTTTCAAACACCAAAAGATCAGATCACTATTAGAATGCAAAATAAATAAAAGTACATCACTCCTGGCATCTATAATTATAATTCTCCTAAATCCACATCGCCCCATTACCAGCCAACCTTAGATTAAAACCCTTAAGTGCTTATTTGATACCAGTTGAGATTATATTAATAGCTATTTGCCAGCGAGTCAAGATTTCTCCCTCTGCATTGGGACTCTAATGAGGTTTGGACCCAGATGACTTTGGGAAAGTTGAGCCCTATAGGTCCACTCCTTTATTTGCGTGGGGAAATATCCTCAAACTTTGACTTCACTGTCCATCTGCTCTCTGGAACTTAAAGGCACAGGCTTCTAGATCTGTTACCATGCAGAAATCATGCTGTTCCAGTTGCCTGTTTCTTACAGAAACAATATGGAAAGCATCTGTACTGCTGCAAAATAGTACCTCTTGGAGAAAGTCCTGTTATGTTGGGAATAACTATTTTGATATGCTTACCGGTACCACACTAAGGGGATGCCTGAATGAAACTAGGGTTGTTATGGTTGAGTGTTAACAGAGTAACTTCTTCTGCTATCTTCCAATAAATTGTGTTGCCGTTTACAAAATTTCTTTCTTCCCTTCTTCTCTCCCTCTGTCTTTCCCCCCCTTCCCCCTCCCTTCCCCTCCCCTCCCTCCCTCCCTCCCTCCCTCCCTCCCTCCCTCCCTCCCTTCCTTCCTTCCTTCCTTCCTTCCTTCCTTCCTTCCTTCCTTCCTTCCTTCCTTCCCTCCCTCTACATGGAAATGAGTGAAATATGAGTTTAGGGGCAGAGTTTGTTTTGACAAAGTTGAGGAGAGGGCAGACAGACAGGTTGAGTATAACTGCTGTTAAAGTAGTGGAGTCTTTGGAGAAAAGGGGGATTTAAGGTTGTTTGCCATGAAATGTGCTGTATAAATTCTTCTTTTCATTTTTTTGTTGACATCTTTAACAAATTTAATACTTCTCAACAATACTGCATGTGAGTGGGCCACTCCAAACAGAAGTTGAGAGTACAAGAGGAGTACTGACTTCAGCACCATACCAGAGGAAAACCTTTTGGCAAAAGCAAATGTGTAAGACAGACTAACCAGAATCTATTTTTGTTTGCCATGTAATTACAATTGGAAATGCAAGCAAAGATATACTGCCTCCCCAGTTAATCAGCAGGAATGACTCCCAGACATGAAAACAGAGTGCCATTTTAAGAAGTGATAAGCCTGGCAAACTCTGTCTAGCTGGACACATCCAGAATATTCTACTCTATTCATTCAGTGTGAACATGAGCATTTTCCTGGAATTAATGAGACACATGGTAAGATTCCAATCTTAAGGGAATAAATTTAGACCTGTTTTCAGAAAAAAAAATGCTGAAATTAGAAACACTTCAAGCTAGTTTGGTTGAAAAAAAAGAGTCTACATTAGTATAAAGTTCTTCCCCCAGAATGGTCTTGGAGAATCAGTGTGGAATATTGACCAACACTCAATACTTCATGTTTAGATCAAATTGACATGTTAGACTCAATTTTCATGTTTAGATTCAAAATGACACATGTAAAGTGCCCCTCAATTTTGAAATCTTTATCATCTGCACCAATTTTGGGTCACTAGACTAACCTGTAAGCCACTAAAGTTTCTCAAATGCTTTGTTCACAATCCACATGTAGACTCCATGAAATTCTTACTTCCTACTAGAATTAGATGCTAGCATGACTTGTGTAGTCCACCTTATATGTGTGAATGGTTCAACAAATCTGTGTTTAAATATTTTAGTGACTTTTCTGTTATTTCTCTTCAATGGGAAAATAAATGTCAATCTTTCAGGTGAATAAATTTAATAACTGATTGGATGCTGGTTACCAGATAAATTTCAAATCAACTAAACTAATATTAAATGCTGCATATATTTTAGGCTCTGCGCTAAGTGCTGAAATGATTTAGGAAAACTAATAAAAATGTCTCATATTTCAGCTATTGTTTTGCGTTTGATTCAGACTCGTACAAATCTTCTTTTATTCAAAAGGCTTTTGTAGCATATAACCTGGAAGATTCTTCATGAAGATTCTTTATAGTACATTCGTCCCACAGACTTTAGCCTTATCAACCTTGGTGGTCTAGCAACAGTAGGAGAAGATGTTATTTGATTTTTATTTAAAAAATGTTTAGCAACAGTGCCTTTGACTTCTCTAGTATTCATGGTCATTTATGTGGATATTGCAGAATATTAAGGCAATTTATCTTGGCACTTTTGATATATCTTAGTTCCTGAACTTTATCGTTAGAATCAAAGTTATCTCTTACTGTGTAGTACCACTGCAGTTTTTGGTCATTAACAGAAAGTATTTTAAACGGTACATGCTCTTTCAAAAGATAGTTTTGAGTGTTTCTTTTAGAAACACTACATTGTATGTCCATTATCCTGTTGGAAGAGCAATGATTTGATGTAACTTGGCCTTGCGCAGGACATGGTTAGTCAGAATTGAGACTGCATTACCTATATGAATTTGACCCTATGGCAAGAGCTTGCATTGCATATCACAGCAGCCTTTCTGTTAGGTATTTCTCCTTAACTCCTGTGATTCAAAGAACAGTACAGTCCTACTAGCTAAGTAACTTTCATGAGCTATTTAGTGGAAAAATATTAAAATTGACTTCAACCAATAGACCTTTGAAAGACTTCCCTGAGAATTTCACTTACAGGTGAATTTCACATTATATCATCACAAAAATTTCCAGTGTTGCAGATATTCATTGCCTTCATGGACCTTTTTTACTTTTTTAGAAAAATACTTTTATTTTAGTTTCAGGGGGTACATGTGTACGTTTGTTGCCTGGATATATTGTGTGATGCTGAGATTCAGGGAACAAATAATACCGTCAACCAGGTACAGAGCGTAGTTTGTTTTTCAGCCTTTCTTTTCCTTCCTCCCTCTGTCCTCTAGCATTCCCCAGTTTCTATTATTGCCATCTTTATGTCTATGAGTGCCCATTGTTTAGATCCTAGTTATTAGTGAGAACACATGGTATTTGGTTTTCTGTTTCCTGCATTAATTTGCTTTGGATAATGGCCTCCAGGTACACCCATGTCCCTGCAAAGGACATTATTTCATTCCTTATTATGGCTGCATAGTATTCCATGGTGTATATGCACAACATTTTCTTCATCCAATCCACCATCGATGGGCACTTAGGTTGATTCCATGTCTTTGCTGTTGTGAATACTGCTGCCATAAACATGCAAGTGCATGCATCTCCTTTCCTCCTTTCTTCCTTTCTTTCTTTCTTTCTCTTTCTTTCTTTCTTTCTTTCTTTCTTTCTTTCTTTCTTTCTTTCTTTCTTTCTTTCTTTCTCTTTCTTTCTTTCTCTCTTTCTCTCTCTCTCTTTTCTTTTCTTTCCTTTCCTTTCCTTTTCTTTTCATTTTTGAGAGGGTCTCACTTTATTACCCCAGGCTGGAATGCAGTGATACAATCACGGCTCACTGCAGCCTTGACTTCTTAGGTTCAAGCAATCCTCCTACCTCAGCCTCCCAAGTAGCTGAGACTACAGGCGTGTGCCATGATGCTTGGCTAATTTTTGTTAATTTTTTTGTAGAGACTGGGTCTATCTTTGCCAGGCTAGTCTCAAACTCCTGGGCTCAAGCAATCCTCCCACCTCAGCCTCTCAAAGTGCCAGGATTACAGGCATGAGCCACTGTGCCTAGCAAAGGATTTGTTTTCTTTTGGATATATACCCAATAATGGGATTGCTGGGTTACATGGTAGTTCTGTTTTAAGTTGTTTGAGAAATATCCAAACTGCTTTCCACAGTGGCTGAACTAATTTACACTACCATCAACAGTGTATAAACATTCTCTTTTATACACAGCCTCATCAGCATAAGTTTTTTTACATTTTAATAACAGCTATTCTGACTGGTGTGAGATGGTATTTCATTTTTTTTTTTTGTAAGTTCAATAGGTTTGGGGTGAACAGGTGTTGTTTGGTTACGTTAATACGTTATTTAGTGGTGATTTCTGAGATTTTGATGCACCCATCACCCGAGCGGTATACTCTACCTAATGTGTAATGGTTTTGGTTTGCATTTCTCTGATGATTGGTGATATGGAGCATTGTATTCATATGTTTGTTAACTGCTTGTATGCCTTTTTTTTGCGAAATTTCTGTTCATGTTTTTGTACATTTTTTAATGGGGTTGTTTTTGCCTATTGAATTAAGTTCCTTATAGATTCTGGATATTAGACCTTTGTCAGATGCATAGTTTGTGAATATTTTCTCCCATTCTGTAGGTTAATTGTTTACTCTGTTGATAGTTTCTTTCGCTGTGCAGAAGCTCTTTAGTTTAATTAGGTCCCACTTGGATGTTTTTGTTTTTGTTACAATTGCTTTTGAGGACTTAGTCATAAATTCTTTCCCAAAGCTGATGTCCAGACTGATTTCTCTTAGGTTTTCTTCTAGGATTTTTATAGTTTGAAGTTTTACATTTAAATCTTTAATCTATCTTGAGTTAATTTTTGTGTAAGGTAAAATGTAGCAGTGCAGTTTCATTCTTCTGCATATGGGTAGTCAGCTATCCCAGTATGATTTATTGAATAGGGAATCCTTTCCCCACTGCTTATTTTTGTTGACTTTGTCAAAGGTCAGATGGCTGGAGGTGTGTGGCTTTATTTCTGGGTATTCTATGCTGTTCCACTGGTCTATGTGACTGGTTTTCTACAGTACCATGCTGTTTTGGTTACTGTATCCTGATGGTACAGTTTGAAGTTGGGTAATGTGATGCCTCCAGCTTTGTTCTTTTTGCTTAGGATTGCTTTGGCTATTTGGGTTCTTTTTGGTTCCATACGAATTTTAGAATGTTTCTTCTAGTTCTGTAAAAAAATGATGTTGATAGTTTGATAGGAATACTGTTGAATCTGTAGATTGCTTTGGGCAGCATGGCCATTTTAATGATATTGGTTCTTTTAATCCATAAACACGGAATGTTTTTCCATTTGTTTATGTTATCTGTGATTACTTTTAGCAGTGTTTTGTAGTTCTCCTTGTAGAGACATTTCACTTCCTTGATTACATGTATTACTAGGTATTTTATTTTGTTTTTTTAGCTATTGTAAATGAGATTGCATTCTTGATTTGGCTCTCAAACATTACTGATGTATAGAAGTATTACTAATATTACTGATTTTTTACATAGATTTTATATCCTGAAATTTTACGAAGTTATCGGTTCCTGGAGCCTTTTGATAGAGTCTTTAGGGTTTTCTTGATATAGGATCATATTGTCTGCAAAGAGAGACAGTTTGACTTTTTCTTTTCCTATTTGAATGTCCTTTATTTCTTTCTCTTACCTGATTGCTCTGACTAGCACTTCCAGTACTATGCTTAATAGGAATGGTGAGAGTGGGCATCTATTTCTTGTTGCAGACCTCAAGGGGAATTGTTCCAGCTTTTGCCCACTCAGTATGATGTTGGCTGTGGGTTTGATGTAGATGGCTTTTATTATTTTGAGGTATGTTCCTTTGATGCCTAGTTTCTTGAAGGTTTTTTTTTATCATGCATGGATGTTGAATTTCATCAAAAGCTTTTTCTGCATATATTGAGATGATTATATATATTTTAATTCTGTTCATGTGGTTTATTGTATTTATTGATTTGCATATGTTGAACCAACCTTCCATATTAGGAATGAAGCCTACTTGATTGTGGTGAAGTAACTTTTCGATATGTTTTTTGAATTTGGTTTGCTAGTATTTTGTTGGAGATTTTTGTGTATATGTTCTTCAGGGATATTGGCCTGTAGTTTCCTTTTTTGTTGCTGTGTCTTTGCCAGGTTTTGGTATCAGGTTGATGGTGGTTTCATAGAATGAGTTAGGGAGGAGTTTCTCCTTCTTGATTTTTCGGAATAGTTTTATTAAAATTGGTACCAGGTCTTCTTTGTACTTCTGGTAGAATTCAGCTATGAATCTATCTAGTAGGAAACTTTTATTGGTTGATAGGTTTTTTATTAGTGATTCAATTTTGTAACTCGATATTGGTCTGTTCAGTGTTTCAATTTCTTCCTGATTCAATCTTGGAAGATTGTGTTGTCCTAATTGTATTAATGATTCAATCTTGGGAGATTATGTGTTTTCTCTAAATTTCCTCTAAATTTTCTAGTTTGTGTGCATGCAGGTGTTCTTAATAGTCTTTTGTGATATTCTGTATTTCTGTGGGATTGGTTATATTGTCACCTTAGTCATTTCTGATTGTGCTTATTTGGAACTTCTCTCTTCTTTTCTTTGTCAATCTAGTTATTTTTTCTGTTATCCTTTAGCCAACTTTTACTTTCATTGTTTCTTTTTTCTTTTTTTTTTTTTTTTGAGACAGGGTCTCACTGTCACCAGGCTGGAGTTTAGTGGCACAATCTCAGCTCACTGCAACCTCCGCCTCCCAGGTTCAAGCAATTCTCCTGCCTCAGCCTCCCGAATAGCTGGGACTACAGGTGCTTGCCACCACACCCAGATAATTTTTGTAGTTTTAGTAGAGACGGGGTTTCACCATGTTGGCCAGGATGGTCTTGATCTCTTGACCTCGTGATCTGCCTGCCTCAGCCTCCCAAAGTGCTGGGATTACAGGCGTGAGCCACTGCGTCTGGCCATTTCGTATGTATTTTTGCATCTCAATTTGATTCAGTTTCACTCTGATTTCAGTTATTTCTTCTGCTAGTCTTGGGGTTTAGTTTGTTCTTGTTTTTGTAGTTCCTCTAGGTATAATAATACATTATTAATTCAAGATATTTCTAGCTTTTTGAGGAAGGCATTTTTGAGGAAGGCATAAACTTTCATCTTAGCAGTGCTTTTACTGCATCCCAGAAATTTCAGTATGTTGTGTCTTTGTTTTCATTTATTTTAAATAATTTTCTGATTTCTGCCTTAATTTTATTGTTTACCCAAAAGTCATTCCGGAACAAGTTGTTTAAATTCCATATAATTGTGTGGTTTTGAGATATCTTCTTGGTATTGATTTTGATTTTAATTCCACTGTTCAAGAGTATGGTTAGTATAATTTTGATTTTTTTTGAGTTTATTGAGATGCACTTTATGGCTGAGCATGTGGTCAGTCTTGGAATATGTTCTGTGTGCTGATGAGAAACTTTTATTATATTATCTGCAATACCAAATGGTATGAGTATTCATTTTTAATACTGTCACAAATTTATCAAATATGTGCATTCTAGGAGGGATCTTATGATGAAATATCTTGAGATAAACTAAATAGAGTCCTCTTGATTTTTTGGGTGGGGGGGATGGGATCTCGCTGTCTTGCCCATTCTGAAGTTCAACAGCTATTCATGGGTATGATCATAGCTCACTGCAGCCTCAAACTTCTGGCCTTAAGCAATCTTCCCACCTCAGCCTCCCAAGTAACTGGGACACAATTACATGCCACCACACCCAACTCTCTTGATTGTGTTTAACATGGAATAATCTTTTCAGCATATGCGTTCTGGGGATTTAGCTCACTGCAAGCTTTTTATTTCCTCCTGGGTATTTATTTTATTAGAGAATCAGCCTAAGTTTTCGGTAGCAACTGCAAGACTGCTTATCAGTTGTTTACCAGTTTAGATTGAGCTTGCAATTATACTATTTTCAGTTTATTAGGACCCTACCAGTTTATTTTTTGATAAGAGGCCACCCTGGTCACCAGGTGTTGAGATAGCAGAAAATAGGCAAGGAATAAGCAAAATTTCAACAGTGTCAAGAACTACTTTGAAGCAATCTTATCCTCATCGTTCAATCCCATTATTCAAAATTATGATCTCAAGAGGAATAAAACATAATACAAATAATATTGAACTATGGATATTGAACTATATACTAACTCTAGTTATGAACAGTTTAAGTTTATCTGGTAGAAATACATTTATTGTATAAGGTATTAGTAACAAAAGAAAATGTTGAAGAAACAGAATACGAGCACACTTTGCATTATTGCTGTTTGCTTTATTGTGCTTCACAGATACTGTGTTTCAAATGAATTGAGGGTTTGTGGCAACTCTGCTTACAGTAAGTCTGTTGACACCATTTTTCCAACAGCATGTGGTCACTTCATGTCTGTTACATATTGGTAATTCTTACAATATTTCTAATTGTATTATTATTATTATATTGTTGTAGTGATCTGTGATCAGTAATCTTTGCTGTTTGTGTTATAATTGCTTGGGGGAGACTTGATCCATGCCCATGGAGGCAAGTCCCTCTACCAGCAAAAAGATTACAACCTTCTGAATCCTTCTTTTTAGTAATAAAGTATTTTTAAATTAAGGCATGCATTTTTTTGATTTTTAAATTTTGTGGGTACATAGGTGTATGGTATGTATGTACATATGTACATGAGATATTTTGATACAGGAATACAATATGTAATCACATCAGAGTAAATGGGGTATTCATCACCTCAAGCATTTTTTTTTGTTACAAACAACCCAATTACACTCTTTTAGTTATTTAAAAATGTACAATTAAATTAATGTTTACTATAGTCACCTGTTGTGCTATCAAATAGTAGGTCTTATTCTTCCTATTTTTTTTTTGTGCCCATTAACCATCTCTACTTTTCTGCCAACTCCCACTACCCTTCCCAGCCTTTGGTAGCTATCCTTCTTCTGTCTATCTCCATGAGTGCAATTGTTTTAATTTTTAGTTCCCACAAATAAGTGAGAACACTTGAAGTTTGTCTTTCTGTGCCTAGCTTATTTTACTTAACATAATGACCTCCAGTTCCATTCATATTGTTGCAAATGACAGGATCTCATTCTTTTTTTCTGGCGGAATAGTACTCTATTGTCATATGTACCACATTTTCTTCATTCGTTATCTGTTGGACACTTAGGTTGCTTCCAAATCTTGGGTATTGTGAATAGTTGTTCAATAAACATGGAAATTCAGATATCTCTTTGATATACTGATTTCCTTTCTTTTGGGTATACACCTAGGAGTGGGATTGCTGGATCATATGGTCACTCTATTTTTTGTTTTTTGAGGAACCTCCAAACTGTTCTCCATAATGGTTTCACTAATGCACATTCTCAACAACGGTGCACAAGGGTTCCAGTATTTGTTATTGCCTGGCTTTTGGATATAAGCTATTTTAACTGGGGTGAGATGATACCACATTATAGCTTTGATTTGTGTTTCTCAGATGATCAATGATATTGATATGTTTTGGCGGTGTCCCCATTCAAATCTGATCTTGAACTCCCATGTGTTGTGGGAGGGACCTCGTGGGAGATAATTGAATCATGGGAACAAATCTTTCCTGTGCTCTTCTCATGATAGCGAGTAAGTCTCACAAGATCTGATGGTTTTAAAAAGAGGAATTCCCCTGCACAAGCTCTCTCTCTGTCTTTGCCTGCTGCCATCCATGTAAGATGGGACTTGCTCTTCCTTGCCTTCTGCCATGATTGTGAGGCTTCCCCAGCCACATGGAACTGGAAGTCCAATTAACCCTCTTTCTTTTGTAAATTGCCCAGTCTCAGATATGTCTTTATCAGCAGGATGAAAATGGACTAATACAGTAAATTGGTATCAGCAGAGTGGGGTGCTGCTGAAAAGATCCAAAAATGTGGAAGCGACTTTTGAACTGGGTAACAGGCAGAGGTTGGAACAATTTGGAGGGCTCCGAAGAAGACAGGAAAATGTGGGAATGTTTGGAACTTCCTAGAGACTTGTTGAATGACTTTGAACAAAAGCCTGATAGCAATATGGACAATAACATCCAGGCTGAGGTGGTCTCAGATGGAAATGAGGAACTTGTTGGGAACTGGAATAAAGGTGACTCTCGTTATATTTTAGCAAAAAGATGGTGGCATTTTGCCCCTGCCCTAGAGATCTGTGGAACTTTGAACTTGAGAGAGATGATTTAGGGTATCTGGCAGAAGAAATTTTGAAGTGGCAAAGCATTCAAGGGGTGACTGGGGTGCTGTTAAAGGTATTCAGTTTTATAAGGAAAGTAGAACATTTGCAGCCTGACAATGTGATAGAAAGAAAAATCACATTTTCTGAGGAGAAATTCAAGTCAGCCAGCTGCAGAAATTTGCTTGAGTAATGAGGAGCCAAATGTTAATCCCCAAGACAATGGAGAAAATGTCTCCAGGGCATGTCAGAGACCTTTGTGGCAGCCCCTGCCATCACAGGCCTAGGAGAAAAAAGTGGTTTTGTGGGCCGGGCCCAGGGTCCCCTAACTGTGTGCAGCCTAGGGACTTGGTGCCCTGTGTCGCAGCCACTCCAGCCATGGCTGAAAGGTGCCAATGTAGAGCTCAGGCCATGGCTTCAGAAAACACAAGCCTCAAGCCTTGGCAGCTTCCATGTGGTGTTGAGCCTGTGAATGCACAGAAGTCAGGAACTGAGGTTTGGGAACCTTTGCCTAGATTTCAGAGGATTTGTGGAAATGCCTGGATGCCCAGGCAGAAGTTTGCTGTAGGGGCAGGGGCTGTGTGGAAGGGAAATGTGGGGTGGGAGCCCCCACACAGAGTGCCTACTGGGACATCACCTAGTGGAGCTTTGAGAAGAGGGCCACCTTCCTCCAGACCCCAGAATGGTAGATCCTCTGACAGCTTGCATAGTGCACTTGGAAAAGCTGCAGACACTCAGTGCCAGCCTGTGAAAGCAGCTGTAAGGGAGGCTGTACCCTGCAAAGCCACAGGGGCAGCGTTACTCAAGACCATGGGAACCCACCCTTTGCATCACTGTGACCTGGATGTGAGACATGGAGTCAAAGGAGATCATTTTGGAGCTTTAAGATTTGACTGCCCTGCTGGATTTTGGACTTGCATGGGGTCTGTAGACCCTCTGTTTTGGCCAATTTCTCCCATTTGGAATGGCTGTATTTACCCAATGCCTGTGACCCCACTGTATCTAGGAAGTAACTAACCTGCTTTTGATTTTGCAGACTCAAAAGTGGAAGGGACTTGCCTTGTCTCAGATGAGACTTCTAACTGTGGGCTTTTGAGTCAATGCCGAAATGAGTTCAGACCTTGGAGGACTGTTGGGAAGGCATAATTGGCTTTGAAATGTGAGGACATGAGATTTGGGAGGGGTCAGGGGTGGAATGATATGGTTTGGCTGTGTCCCCACCCAAACCTCATCTTGAATTCTCACATATTGTGTGAGGGACCTGGTGGGAGGTAATTGAATCATGGTGGCAAGTCTTTCCCTTGCTGTTCTTGTGTTAGTGAATATGTCTCACAAGATTTGATGGTTTTAAAAAGAGGAGTTCCCCTGCAGAAGCTCTCTTTCTTTGCCTAATGCCATCCATGTAAGAGGTGACATGCTTCTCCTTGCCTTCTGCCATGACCGTGAAGCTTCTCCAGCCACATGGAACTGTAAGTCCAATTAAACCTGTTTCTTTTGTAAATTGCCCAGTCTCGGGTATGTCTTTATCAGCAGCATGAAAATGGACTAACACAGATGTTGTGCACCTTTTCATATTTCTGTTTGCCATTTGTGTGTCTTCTTTTTAGAAAAATCTATTCAGTTTGTACCCATTTTTAATAGGATTATTAGATTTTTTCCTCTGGAGTTTTTTAAGTTTCTAACATAATCTGGTTGTTAATCTCTTGTCAGATGATAGTTTGCAAATATTTTGTGGCATTCTGTGAGTTGTCTCTTCACTTTGCTGATTGTTTCCTTTGCTGTGTAGGACCTTTTTAACTTGATGTCATCTCATTTGTCCAGTTTTGCTTTGGTTGCCTGTGCTTGTGGGGTATTACTCAAGAAATCTTTGCCTAGTCCAATGTCCTGGAGAATTTCTCCAATGTTTTCTTTTAGTAGTTTAATAGTTTAAGGTCTTAGATGTAAGTCTTTTGTCCATTTTGATTTGATTTTTGTATATGGTGAAGATAGGGCTCTAGTTTTATTCTTCTGTATATGGATATCCAACTTTCCCAGCAACACTTATTGAAGAGACTGTTCTTTCCCCAGTATGTGTTCTTGGCATCTCTGTCAAAAATGAGTTCACTGTAGATGTATGGGTTTATCTGTGGGTTCTCTATTCTGTTCCACTGATCTATGGCTGTTTTTATGTAAGTACCAAGGGCATGTACATTTTTTTTAGACATAATGTGAATGCATACTGAATTCGCCACAGCATAGTATAAACATAACTTTTATGTGCACTGGAAAACCAAAAAATTTGCATGACTTGCTAACTTTATTGCAACATTCACTTTATTGCGGTTGTCTAGAACCAAACCTGAAATATCTCCAAGGTATTCTGTATGTCGTGTTTTCATCTCATACAACTGACTCTAAGATCTCATTTGATGGTATATTAAATGGGAAGGCACAAGTGTTATATACATTATTAGGCACCAACTTATCAGAGTAACTCCTGAAAGTACCAGGAAAGCCTTTTACATTGTTACTATGTGGATAAAAAAAATTCAGCTCAAAAATATTAAGCACTAATTAATTATATGTTAGATACTTGAAATACAACATTGAATAAGACAGAAGCCCTTTTCGAGGAGCTCAAAACTGCATGGGGGCAATTGATCTCATTCTGACTAAACAGACTGAGAAGGTAAGGCTGACTTAGCCATCCATTGCTTCAACTTGCTGGAAGAAAGTCTGGCATTGCAACACTTACAAAAAATACCTATGATCATATTTTCTTTTTGGAGTTGGTTAGAAAAACATATAAATCAGGCACCTGAAGTATGCACACAAACTTCTTGGGGCCATAAAAACAAGGATTTTTCTTAGTTTGCATCTAATAAAATAGAAAAGCAACCCACTTGACAGAAAGTGGGCTTCCTAAAAGCAGTGGTGGGGCCAAGCTCTGCTGTACACAGTACTTTACATTCAGAGTAACTGGGCTGTGTTGACACATTGCAATAAATAGGGCTCTGCTGTTGCTACTGCTGCCACTATCAACTGAAGGGAGAATTTCAAAGATACATTTTCCAGGACTAAGATTTTAATGACTTTTCTTAGTTTTAGTCGTTCACCCTAGGAAAGTACAGATACCTTCTGGAAGGACATCTGGAAGGATCATCCACTGACACTTGAATGTTACTGTGGGAATGCCAAGGATGTGTGCAAAAGTGTTTTTTTATAATCTCAAAACTGATGCATTGGTTGAAAGATGGATATTGTTAATCATTTTCCTTGATGAAGTTAATTCTTGATGTCCTATGTTTTGCTTTGTCTCAGTTCATAGTTTTTAAGGAAGGCTCTCTTGATACTCAAGGACCCTCTATTTATAATATGCATTTAGCCTCTTATATGCATGAAGAGACACAGCAATAAGGAATACATCTTAGTCACTTCATTTTAATCAATTAGTTTTTTCCATTTTCATTTTAGGGATTTAGTTGTTTTTCTGCTTTGTTGATAGAGCACAACATATTAAGAAACAAAATGGAAAAATCTTTTGAGAAAATCAGTAAGGATGGATTTAGTTCTCAAATGTATAATCAGAAAATTTGTGGAGCACTTTGATAACAATGTTACAATAATTATGGATATATGCATGTTACTAATAGCATTTAATTTACTCCACTATCCACCACCTGGAACCACCTGATCTATTTAACCTCTGAGGGGGTGTGTAGGTGGGTATTTTATGCTGTAGTGATGTACTATCAGGAAAAAAATGGGAAAGACAAAAAGGGTCACTTGGGATAGGACTCGAGTAGAATGAGCTGGAAAATCTTTAAGGAAAGTTGATAGGCAACTTTGATGGGAGGAAAGTAGATTGCTTAGAGAAGGACTTTATGTAGTGTTCAGGCTTATACATTCCTTGTATGCTATTTGGAAGATTGCACATTTAAAATTTGAGTAATTTTGAAATTATTTGTTTCTGGATTGAGTTCCCTCAATTATAGCACCATTCCAAGAGGCTAGAGGATTACATTAATAACAGCTTGACTGAGTCATCTATCTGAAGATAACATGGCTTAGTTTTTTAGTTTAATATCTTTTGTGTGTATTTCACCTGATAACATTTTTCTTTAATTTTTGTGGCATGCCTTAGGTGAGTTCCTTAGAAACAGAGCCTGACTAACCAGGGATTCAGGTGCACTTGATTTATGAAAGGAGTGCTCTTTGGGAAAAGTTCTAAGAAAGGGAGTGGGCCGGGCACGGTGGCTCATGCCTGTAATCCCAGCACTTTGGGAGGCCAAGGCAGGCGGATCAACTGAGGTCAGGAGTTCAAGAGCAATTTGGCCAACATGGCAAAACCCCGTTCTGTACTAAAAATACAAAAAAATTAGCCAGGCATGGTGGTGCGCACCTGTAGTCCCGGCTCCTTGGGAGTCTGAGAATCGCTTGAACTCAGGAGGCAGAGGTTGTGGTGTGTCGAGATCATGCCAGTGCACTTCAGCCTGGGTGACAGAAAGAGACTCTGTCTTAAAAAAAAAAAAAAAGAAGAAGAAGAAAAAGAAAAAAGAAAAGAAAGGGAGTGAAGCCGAGTAAGGAAGAAGAAAGAGGCAATTGAAAATGTGGTCTTAGATCAATCAAGTCTAGTCTTGGTCTGATGCAGGGAGGCTCTTGAGTCTAAACTACACTGCAAGGGCATTCTGCTATATTATAAGGGTGCTGAATATCCTTCCTGGGTGGAGTGGCTTCCAGTAACCCAGGGACATTTTCTGGAGGAAGGGTGCAGCTGTGAACTCTTAGCTGCCAACACTTGCAGCAGCCAAGGGATGGGTGGGTACATCAGATCCACCCATCTGGATAAAAAGGTAACCTGGTGTTATGCTGAAGCAGGATTTGGACTTAGAAAAGCTGGCTCAGAGCTCAGAGCTGGCTCTTCATGCTGCAGATAAGGTTGGCATCTTTGTTAAGCAATTTGAAGAGGCATAATATTTCTTTCTTATGCCAGTTAGACCACATGATATCTGTAGTCCTTAACAAGGACCTTTAACACTTAGGGCATCAGCTTTATTTTAGGACACTCTATACTACTCATGCTACCATTACCGTCTATCATTCTTTCTCTCATCCATACCCAAGTCTTTTTTTTTCTTTTGAGATGGAGTCTCACTCTGCCGCCCCAGCTGGAGTGCAGTGGCGGCATGATCTTGACTCACCGCAACCCCTTCACCTCCTGGGTTCAAGCAATTCTCCTGCTTCAGCCTCTCGAGTAGCTGGGATTACAGGCATGCGCCATCATGCCCAGCTAATTTTTTTTTTGTATTTTTAGTAGAGATAGGGTTTCACCATGTTAGCTAGGCTGGTCTTGAATTCCTGACCTCAAATGATCCACCCGCCTTGACCTCCCAAAATGTTAGAATTACAGGCGTGAGCTACTGCGCCCAGCCTATTTTAAGGCACTCTATACTTCACACTCTTACCATTACCATCTACCAAGATTCTTTGATTCCCTAAATCCACCATCCTTTCTCTCATCCACACTCTTGTCTTTCTTGATCCTTACTGATACCTTCATTTGACTGTTTCCTGTCATTCTTCTTAACATAGATTAGACATTTCCTGCTGGAGGCCTTTCTTGATGATGTGAATTAGGTATTTCATTTCAGCCACATAGGCACTTTGTACTGCTTTTCAAAGTACTTTGTAGTATGTATTTTAATTGATGTTTGGCTTCCTCATCTATTCATCCCAGCAGACTACAAACTCTATGAGGGCAGACATTATTATTGTATTCACTATTGTATTTCTGTACCTCGCATATAGTGAATACACACATCACGGATTTATATGTGAATATATAGAGATTAAATTGAAGGATCTCTGAAATTTAAGTTTTTATGAGAATAGAGGTTTTACATTTCTGTTAAAATGTATAATAATATAAACTATAGATTAACTTACCCACCAAAAATAGAACTTTCTAAGTTAAACGTAAGTTTTGCCAGTGTCAGGAAAGAGCTAGATAGTGAATCCCAATGGATGGCTGCAGATTTCTGAGAAGGGTGGCTGTGGAATTATTAAAAGCGTTATCCAGAGTACACGAAACACTGTCTAGATTGCCAGTATGTCTTCTACACAATAGTAAATCTAATTTTCTAATCTGTATAGCTGCTGTCATGCCTAATAACAAGCAAATTCATATGAAAGCATATCTGCAGTAAAGATAACATTTATCCTTATGCAAACTCCCAGAGAAAATTAAAAGTGCAAGTATAACTGGGGAGGGGTGTAATAGAGGGTTATACAATTTTTATCTTTGTAAAGAAGCTATTCAGGAAAAGGTTGGAAAGTGCTTGCTTAGAGCAAAAACTACTCCATCAGGACAGACCTGGATACAGGTACTAGTACTGTGAGATGAGGAAGGGCATGTGCTTTGGGGTCAGAAAGATTTGGGTTTAGTACCGGCTCTGTTACAGCCAGGGTTACCAGAGGTGATACCATCACCATCCTCATTCCTCAGGTTTTTCATTTGTAATACTTTCAACCTCAAAGTTTCTTGTGGAGAGTCATTGAGAGCCTGTATGTGATAGACTGAGCACAGTGCCTAGCACACAGCAAATCCTAAATGACTTTTAGCTATGACACCACAACACATCATACTGGGAGAGCACAGGATGGGTTTGGGGGTTATTTTATCCAACAGAATTGAGAATACTGCACATCTGCATGAGAGGGAATATTGTTATATGGAAATGGTTTGAAATATTGTTATATAGAACTGGTGTGGCACTATCACAGACTCCACTCATTGATCCATGTGCCTAGGGTCAGACCTGATTTGCTATGTGCCAGCACTTTAACATACACTATTTCTAGTTTTCATGTTATATGCAAGTTAAGTACTCTTATGTCAGTTTCACATATGAGAGAAACAGGCTCAGAGACATCCAAGGATTTGCCCAGGAAAATATAGCCAATTTAGTGACAGGGCCTGATTTGGATCCAGATTTATCTAGCTGAAGGCAAATGCTGAGGTAAATTTGGAACAAAAAAATATAGGGAAAAAGGAAACCCAGGATCTTGGCACTGCATTTTTTCCCCCTTCTGCTCTGTTACCAAGCTATTAGCACTCAAAGCAAGTGTTTTTTCTCAGGAACATAGGGATGAGATGGCGGCTAATTGTAATCTAACTGAAAAGTAATTTGTTATGATTTCCCTTGACTCTAGTCTCCACAGTGATTCTACACCATTTCTTATTCCAGCTTCTCTAAGTCCTGGAGAATGAATGTGCTTTGGTTTCCTTTCAAACCATTCTATCTTCTCTGCAATTTACCCTGAACCATTAATTCATCTACTAGATATACAGCAACCATGCAAACACAGATGTCTAAGAATTGGAAGCATTGATTAAAAATTTTTTTATGGCTTTTCATTTTACATTATACAAATGATAAAGGTATTTTTTTGCAAAAGAGAAAGGGCACCATTTGTTATGGTTTGGTTCTATGTCCCCACCCAAATCTCATCTCGAATTGTAATCCCCATAATCTCCACGTGTTGAGGGAGGGACCTGGTGAGAGGTGATTGAATTATGGAGGTGATTCCCCCCATGCTGTTCTCATAATAGTGAGTGACTTTTCATGAGATCTAATGGTTTTATAAGTGTTTGACAGTTCCTCCTTCACATGCTCACTCTCTCACTTGCCACATTGTAAGATGTGTCTGCTTCCCGTTCTGCCATGATTGTAAGTTTCCTGATGCCTCCTCAGACATGTGGAACTGTGAGTCGATTAAACCTCTTTCCTTCATAAATTATCCAGTCTTGGGTATTTCTTTATAGCAGTGTGAAAATGGACTAATACACCATTGTATAAAGACTCCTTGTTATCAAAGCTTATTTTGACTGGGCATGGTGGTACATGCCTGTATTACTCTGGAGGCTGAAGTGGTAGGACTGCTTGAGCCCAGGACTTTGAGGCTATAGTGAGCTATGATTGTACCACTGGATTCCAGCCTCAGTAACAGAATGAGACCCCATCTCTTAAAAAATGCAAAAATAGTTTGAAGTCAGGTAGTGTGATTCCTCCAGCTTTGTTCTTTTGGCTTAGTATTGACTTGGCAATGCGGGCTCTTTTTTGGTTCCATATGAACTTTAAAGTAGTTTTTTCCAATTCTGTGAAGAAAGTCATTGGTAGCTTGATGGGGATGGCATTGAATCTGTAAATTACCTTGGGCAGTATGGCCATTTTCACGATATTGATTCTTCCTACCCATGAGCATGGAATGTTCTTCCATTTGTTTGTATCCTCGTTTATTTCCTTGAGCAGTGGTTTGTAGTTCTCCTTGAAGAGGTCCTTCACGTCCCTTGTAAGTTGGATTCCTAGGTATTTTATTCTCTTTGAAGCAATTGTGAATGGGAGTTCACTCATGATTTGGCTCTCTGTTTGTCTGTTGTCGGTGTATAAGAATGCTTGTGATTTTTGTACATTGATTTTGTATCCTGAGACTTTGCTAAAGTTGCTTATCAGCTTAAGGAGATTTTGGGTTGAGACAATGGGGTTTTCTAGATATACAATCATGTCGTCTGCAAACAGGGACAATTTGACTTCCTCTTTTCCTAATTGAATACCCTTTATTTCCTTCTCCTGCCTAATTGCCCTGGCCAGAACTTCCAACACTATGTTGAATAGGAGTGGTGAGAGAGGGCATCCCTGTTTTGTGCCAGTTTTCAAAGGGAATGCTTCCAGTTTTTGCCCATTCAGTATGATATTGGCTGTGGGTTTGTCATAGATAGCTCTTATTATTTTGAAATACGTCCCATCAATACCTAATTTATTGAGAGTTTTTAGCATGAAGGGTTGTTGAATTTTGTCAAAGACTTTTTCTGCATCTATTGAGATAATCATGTGGTTTTTGTCTTTGGCTCTGTTTATATGCTGGATTACATTTATTGATTTGCGTATATTGAACCAGCCTTGCATCCCAGGGATGAAGCCCACTTGATCATGGTGGATAAGCTTTTTGATGTGCTGCTGGATTCGTTTTGCCAGTATTTTATTGAGGATTTTTGCATCAATGTTCATCAAGGATATTGGTCTAAAATTCTCTTTTTTGGTTGTGTCTCTGCCCGGCTTTGGTATCAGAATGATGCTGGCCTCATAAAATGAGTTAGGGAGGATTCCCTCTTTTTCTATTGATTGGAATAGTTTCAGAAGGAATGGTACCAGTTCCTCCTCTACCGAATTCCTCTGGTAGAATTCGGCTGTGAATCCATCTGGTCCTGGACTCTTTTTGGTTGGTAAACTATTGATTATTGCCACAATTTCAGCTCCTGTTATTGGTCTATTCAGAGATTCAACTTCTTCCTGGTTAAGCATGGTACTGGTACCAAAACAGAGATATAGATCAATGGAACAGAACAGAGTCCTCAGAAATAATGCCACATACCTACAACTATCTGATCTTTGACAAACCTGAGAAAAACAAGCAATGGGGAAAGGATTCCCTATTTAATAAATGGTGCTGGGAAAACTGGCTAGCCATAAGTAGGAAGCTGAAACTGGATCCCTTCCTTACACCTTATACAAAAATCAATTCAAGATGGATTAAAGATTTAAACGTTAGACCTAAAACCATAAAAACCCTAGAAGAAAACCTAGGCATTACCATTCAGGACATAGGCATGGGCAAGGACTTCATGTCCAAAACACCAAAAGCAATGGCAACAAAAGACAAAATTGACAAATGGGATCTAATTAAACTAAAGAGCTTCTGCACAGCAAAAGAAACTACCATCAGAGTGAACAGTCAACCTACAAAATAGGAGAAAATTTTCGCAACCTACTCATCTGACAAAGGGCTAATATCCAGAATCTACAATGAACTCAAACAAATTTACAAGAAAAAAACAAACAACCCCATCAAAAAGTGGGCAAAGGACATGAACAGACACTTCTCAAAAGAAGACATTTATGCAGCCAAAAAACACATGAAAAAATGCTCACCATCACTGGCCATCAGAGAAATGCAAATCAAAACCACTATGAGATACCATCTCACACCAGTTAGAATGGCAATCATTAAAAAGTCAGGAAACAACAGGTGCTGGAGAGGATGTGGAGAAATAGGAACACTTTGACACTGTTGGTGGGACTGTAAACTAGTTCAACCATTGTGGAAGTCAGTGTGGCGATTCCTCAGGGATCTAGAACTAGAAATACCATTTGACCCAGCCATCCCATTACTGGGTATATACCCAAATGACTGTAAATCATGCTGCTATAAAGACACATGCACACGTATGTTTATTGCGGCATTATTCACAATAGCAAAGACTTGGAACCAACCCAAATGTCCAACAATGATAGACTGGATTAAGAAAATGTGGCACATATACACCATGGAATACTATGCAGCCATAAAAATGATGAGTTCATGTCCTTTGTAGGGACATGGATGAAATTGGAAATCATCATTCTCAGTAAACTCTCGCAAGAACAAAAAACCAAACACCGCACATTCTCACTCATAGGTGGGAGTTGAACAATGAGATCACATGGACACAGGAAGGGGAATATCACACTCTGGGGACTGTGGTGGGGTGGGGGGAGGGGGGAGGGATAGCATTGGGAGATATACCTAATGCTAGATGATGAGTTAGTGGGTGCAGCGCACCAGCATGGCACATGTATACATATGTAACTAACCTGCACAATGTGCACATGTACCCTAAAACTTAAAGTATAATAATAAAAAAAAAAAAGTGTGAGGCACCTTCCACCTCAATCTCTCTTCTTCCTGCTCTGGCCGTGTGAAGTGCCTGCTCCCGTTTCCGCTTCTACCATGACTGTAAGTTTCCTGACGCCTTCCCAGAAGCCAAGCAGTGTTGCCATGCTTCCTGTACAGCCTGCAGAACCATGAGCCAATTAAACCTCTTTTCTTTATAAATTAAAAAAAAATGCAAAAATAAATATAAAAATTAGCTGGGTGTGGTGGTGCATGCCTGTAGTCCTAGCTACTCTGGAGGCTGAGGTGGGAGGATTACCTAAGCCCAGAAGTTCAAGGCTGCAATATGTATCACTGCATTCCAGCCTGAACGACATAGTGAGACCTCATCTCTAAAAATGTAAAATAAAATGTAAACAAAAACTTATTTTGAATATGAAACAGTAATCTTTAATGCTTGATAATCTTATATCTCTTCCATTTTCACCTAGATTTATGCTGCTGTTAGGCAACTCTTCATGGTATGAAATATCAAAAAAAGGATATTTGGCATTAATCATTTTTAGTGGGGACTTTATTAGTTTTTAATTTATTTGTTACCATATAGTAAGGTTTTCTGACATAATTGTCTTATAAGCAGGATACATTTTACTACTCTTTTGTTGACCAACATAATATCAGAAAGTTTTAGTGCTAAAAGGAATGCTATTAATTATAAAATCTACTTTCTCAAATTGTTTTCCAGTGTTCTGGAGTCTCACTGTCTCTACTTTCTCTCTAAAATACAGAATGATTGCATGCTTACATACACTATGGAAACAGTGATTTAGGGTGAATTACAAAGGTTTCTTCTAAGTATCTACTTGGCTCATCCCCATTATGATTCCCTTAACAAGTAATACAGGATACAGCCTTTCTTAAATTCACCATGTTAATGATCCCCTCATCCCACCCCACCCCAATCTGTCTTTCATATACCATCAGGTAGGACCACTATGCTCCAAAATATGCCTTTGGAAAATGTATTTATTCAAATATCTCTGTTTGTAAATGATGAAACTAAAAGACCCCAGAGAAACTAAATAGCTCCCACTGTGAGGGCATGGACCATGCAATCTTGACTTGCATTGTTCACTGATAATCTGGGTCTGCGGATAGCAGTTAGACTACAGTGGGCTCATTCTGCAGGCTGTAAAACTCTTGGTATAACAGGAACTAATACTGAATAAGATCAAGTGTTGTTGTTGTTTTTGCTTAAAAAAAAAAAAAACCCTCCAAATGCATTACAGAAGATGAAATCAAAACAGTTGACTCCGAAAGAGGTTGGCTATATTGAAAGCAATTTGAAACAGAATGTTTACGGATTTGAGACTTTTAAGGATTTCTGAAATTGTAATTTAAAATGAGTGATGGTTTTTGATAATGGAGTTTGACCCAGCGTCTTAGATCATAAAAGCATTTTATAATCACTGACAAAAATAAAGAGGTTTTGATGCCTAGCATAAAATACGATTTTTGAGCTATCAAAAGAGTTTAATACATCTAAATGTGTTAAATGATCTAGTCGAGATTATATTATGAAAAAAAAAAGTGACACGTTTTCATATCACATTAATATAGTATTAATTATATACTAATTATATATTAATTAATTATAAGTGTTATTTTTATTTATGGAAGAGTTCTTTTATTAGGGGAGTTAACTGATTTTTAAAATCTAGTTTATTTTGAAGCCAATGGATTACACAATTGACAACATGAAATCTATTTTGGTGAAGAATTTATTGTGGTGTAGTGTAATAAAGAAATGTAGGAAAAAAGGATAAGGCTAAATTGGGAAACTACTTAACAACTGTTGTCTTTCATCATGTAATCAGGTAAGAGGAATATCCAGCAATCTGAAGAGCTCTTAGCATCTGATCATAATGGCTTTTAGGGGTGCATAACACAGCATTAAGTTAATTTTCTTTTGGTGTAAGTGATAATTATGAAAAATCTGTAGGCAGATTTTTTTTTCTCTTACTTTTATAGCTCCTTCTCCACTTCACCCCTATTCTTTTTTCCCTCCCTCTCAGCATCCTTTAAGTGTAGCTTGCCAAATAATACCTGGGTGTCTGCTAAGGAGTGGAAGAAACTGTAGTTATCTTTCCTCCCTTCTCTTTACTTAGCCATATAGTTAAATCACTGGTCATAATGACATCGTATATTTATATGGAATGTTTTAATTTGTATACTACTTTCACAAGCATTTTAATTTAATTCTTATAAAAAATGCATCTGTTAGGCAGAGCTGATGTTGTTAATCATCATTATGCATGATGAAAATGAGGACTAGGGTGATCAAATGGTTCATCCAAGTTCACAGCTAAGGAATAGCAGATTGGAATCAATGCCAGGTATACTTTTTATTTTAATAAAATGTAGAATTTATATTTTTTCTATTATAAAATGAATTCCTATTTACTATGAAATTTTTAACAAAATAAAAAATAAGAAAAGGAGAAAAACTTACTCATATCTCCAACATTCAAGGATAGTTATTATTTGGATTTTTCTGTTCAGATTTTTAATATACATCGAGATTTTAAAAATATAATTTTGGTCAACTGAACAGAAACTCATATCCTCTTTTTTTTCCTGGTTGATCTTTGCAGGTAGGCATTTAAAAATGTTATTAGGTTGGTGCAAAAGCCATTGCAGTTTATGCCATGACTTTTAGGGGCAAAAACAGCAATTACTTTTGCACCAACCTAATGCTATAAAATATTGTTACTTGAATGTTCAAAATGCAAAAGTTAAATTGCTAATTTTAACAAGAGAAGCAACATAAAAGGCAATCATTTCCAACTCCTGGGATCCATATTAATAGCCCAGATATTTAGCCTGACAACATTACAAGTCATCACATATAAATTAAACTCTATTTTTTTCCAATTTGTGTGTCAGCATGTATGACATATTATATATAAATGAGAACTGAACATACCTATTATCAGGCTGGGATTTTTTTAAAGTGTACTATATCTTTCTTTTAAAGGTTGCGATCTTTCTAGCTTTCTTTTTTTTTCTCCTTCCTTCACATCACAAATACATCAATAGGTATGTGAGTAGTACCAACATTCATTAAATATATAAATGTTCTAAAGTAGAGGATGGAAAAAGTAAATTATGATACTTCCAAAATGTTGAAAAATTCTTACAACCTTTAAAGATGTTTACGATAAGTGTGCTATCCTATTGGAAAGCACCTATTTTTATATTAAATAGAAGAAAATGAGATCCAAACTTGTACACAATGTTTAACCAAGTCTGTAAAATATTCATAGAAATAAATTGGGAAGGAAATACGCCAAAATATTGATGACAGTTTTTCCCAGGTGATGTTGTAAAAATCCAATAAATATTCATTATTTTCAGTAATCCCAATGATTAACAATAAAGAAAAACAAGTTTTGAGAGAGATGGGGCCCTCACCTGCATATTTGCTCTTGGTTTTTTCCTAGACTATCCTACTCAGTGAAGTTTCTTTTCATTTAAGTGACCCTCTCCCAGTCTATGTTAACAATTCCAATGTACACCAGTACACATTTTCTCATATAGCTTCCCTAAAGTTGACCTTTCTACTTTAGTCTTCTTAATCTATCAGTAGATTAAGAAGCCTGTGTTTTAGAAGATTGGCCTTCTAATCCTCCTTTTGATTAAATGGACTCTGCAGAACAAAAAAGCATACAAGGAAAAACATTTACTTTATAGTCTAGATTAGTGTATTTGTGATATGTTACAGAGTAGTAATAATAGACATGTTGATAATTATTAGCTAGGTCTATGTTAGTGAATCATTTGGGCAATTAGGAATACAACTAGGTGACACTAAATTTTTCAAAAACACATACATAAAATCACTGAAATTTAAAAACTTTTCTTAAAATCGTTGTGGTTGTCAGTAAATTTCAAAACACTTTAGGAAGGCTTTTAGCAGATCAAGAAATATAAAATAGCATAAGGTATCCTTTGCTCAAGCCAGGGCGTTCTTTAAACAGCAAAAAAATTGATGTTTGATCCAGTTTATTTTTAATTTTTGTATTTCTCTACAATGAATATAGTATATTGAAAGCATTTTACATATCCTTTTTGTGAGATATGCATCTCTTTGGACAATTTGTCACCAAGGCAACCAAACCTTTGCTTAATGTCCTATACTTTAGTGAAATAAAATGCATGCCATTTTAAATATAGTTTCTTTATTTAATTTTTATTTTTTCACTAGAGAAGGTTTGAGATTTTACTTTGAATGAAAATGGAACTGTTTATAAATCTATTTTCCATAAAACACATCTTTCTAAGTGTTTTGAGTGATTATTCTCAGAAATATGTGTGTTTCAGATCTGAGGAGACATTCTTCTCTCCTTCTGCCTTCTAAACTTGACATATACCAATCATAATCAGATTTAACTCATCTATGCAAATTGAACTACTTCAATCCCATTTGAAACACAACTGAGTATAAATAAGTAAAACTTTCAAATCTGATAGGGAGGTGGAGCTATTCACAGGATCCAGCCTGTAGAGATAGGCTAAACAGTCTCCCCACCCCCATTGGCTTCAATTTCTCTAGGTAGTATCAAAATTAACATTTATGCTTCTGAAGATCATGCCAGATATATGCAACCTCCAAGAACTCAGCTCTTTCAGGATTCCAGAGCCTGATTTTTTCTTTGTATACTATTTTCATCTGTCAAGAGCAGTTGTTGCTGCTATTTGTTCATGAGACTGTTTGTGATGGAGAGTGACTTTTCTAAGACATATTCAAAGCCTTCAGTATGAATCTACTTTCCTCAGGTGGAGTTGCTTTGTTCGGTTTTACACCACTAACAATACACTCTGTTGGTTGATTGGCTCATTTATTCAAGAGAATATCTATGTCTAGGAATGTGAGGAAGAAATCTGGGAGCAGAGTTTTCATCAACTCTATTTTGTGTATCTGGAGTAGAGAATCAAACACACAAGGCCTTGTTAACTTCTCAAGGGGAAGTCAGCAGCTATCAACCAGAAATGACTGTAAGAACTTTGTGAGATTCTCAAACTGGTATACAGTGAGTTCTTATTTTAATTATGGTTTATTTTTTGTTACCCCAAACAGAGTGGCTTTTAACAGATTAAACACCGAATCTGTGAGCTGATCTTTAGGAGCTGTGAAAGTTGGTGAGATCGGGAAGGGAATGGTAAGAGAGGAGACCCCATCCAACCCTTCAACAATATGAGAGAGATGAAGACAATCTCCAAGAACTGAGGGAGTGACAGCAGCATTAAGAAGAGCCCACTGCATTCCTGAAGTCTGTACCGTGGCAGAAAGAAGGATGAACACTGGAAATGAACCTGAGCTTGAGACAGGCCAGCATGAACAATAGAAAGCCTGCATGATTCTGGCATCTCATTTCCGTGGGTCGGCTTCCCTAGGATGTTCCTGCTTTTCTCAGATGCTTCCCTTCTTCAATAAGATGTCCAAGATTTTCACAGTGGCTCTCTTTTGACTTGACAAGATGTTGGTACTGAAGAAACCGAAGTCTCAGTTCTTCACATGTAGTGAGTCAGGATGCATAGTGTTTACGAGCAGGGGAGACTTCTTTGAGCCTTAGTTTTTTGTCTATAAAGGGTAAATACTATCTCCCTAATAATGTCTACCAGAAATCAAATTTAATAATTCATGACAGACACTTTGCACCTTAGCTGCTCCTCCTTGTATTGCTGTTTATCTACTCTACCACATTTCTTGTATTCTTAGTTGGTTTGTAATATTGTTAAATACCAAGACCATGTCTTAAATCTCCTGTAGCTCTAGTGTCTAGTTCTAAGCACTGTAGATACTGGGACTCAGTAAATCTCTTTTTATGAATGTTGTGTGCCCTTGCCTGGTGAAAAATAATAGCTTAAAACTTATAAGAGAACTTACTATATGCTACGTCTTAAGTGATTTACTTAGATCAAATCAGGTACTTTTAAAACTCTAAACGAAATTGATCATTGCCATTTTACAGACAAGGAAACAAAGACCCAGAGTTGAAGTAGTTTCACCATGTTGTCCAACCAGGATTTGAACACAGGCAGTTTGGCTCTAGAGACCACTCCTTTTATCACAATGCTCTATTGAGAAACACTTGGGATCCCTCACTAGATCAATCACTTCCCTCATTTAGGGAAAGAAGAGAAAATATTCATGTCTGTACAAAATGGGCAAGTGGCGACCACTACTTCTGAGACTGAGGTGATTTTTGTATGTGTTTTATGCCCAGTACAAGAGCATGTTCTTCCTTTTCCAGGAAAGTATGAGAAGTAATCTCAGAGTGCAGAGAACAACTTCAGGAGCAAGAGTGTAGGTCAGATGCTGCTGCTCTAGCAGTTAACTCTTGTTCAAGAATGCTCTTTTTGCTTCACTGAGAAAGTTCCATGAAGAAACATCCTGGCTCTATACAACTAAACAGTAATAACAATTACAGCAGTAACGTAATCATACTGAAAACGTGGATCCACCTGTATGTCATCACTGTTCAACTAATGTGTTTTTTAATGGAGGGAGCTTACTGACGTCATATACACATGAAGATTTATTTGAAATGATGAATTTTCCCCAGAAGGCACTTCAACTATGCTGGGCAGAAAGTGGTGCCGTAATGCAAATACCATAGGCCATAGGGACAGACAGACTTGTGTTTAAGCCTAGCTATACTATATAGTCACTACATGAATTTGGTCAAGTTGCTTAACTTCACTTAGCCATAGCAGATAATAATGAAAGACTCAGAGGGTTATTATGAAGGTCACAGTTTGAATTCCAAATGGTGTATAAGAAAAACAAGAATTATTCAGCTGCCCCAAAGTGAGCTCTGTTTGCTTTAGCAGTATGGCTATCCCTGGTTACCCAGATTCAGCAGACAATTACACAATTACATATTTCCTTTTGGCTTCACAAACCTGAGCTTAGATTTCTTTCAGGTTCTTAGAAAATTCAAATAGCAACAATAATTCCTTGTCTTGGGTACTGAAACATAGCACCTTAGCTCCGGGTGCTAAGAAATCCACTCACATGCTATTCTGTGAATCATCATAATTATATTAAGCAGAATAGAAAAATATGATTATGTTGAGTCAGTGGCTTCGTAAGAAGTTGTGGGTTCTATGCACATGCTATTCTATTAATCATCATGATTATCTTATATGAAGCAGAATAGAAAAATATGATTATGTTGAGTCAATGGCTTAATAAGTTGTTGGGTTCTAATGTTAATCTGAAATATGCCCCATGTATCCTACATGCTGACGTAAATGTTAGATGAATGGATTAATATGTAATCAATGAAGTTACAGCAGTTGTTTGGCTTCTCAGTATTGATGTGTTCCACACAGCTGTGTGACCAACCATCCTAGTTTCCTGAGAACTAGGACTTTCAGTGCTAAGATCAGGAACGTCTTTCACACACTGAGGCAAGTTAGTTACCCTACACACAGAGGTAAGTGGGATCTGTATTAAAATCAGTTATACAAATTTATCTTCTGTTCATTAAACTATTAGAATTTAAAATAAACATCTTTATTAAGTTGCTCCTAAATGAAGTGACTGCATTTTATTTTCAAATTAAATTCTTAAGACTTTATATTATACGGACCTTTATATCAAGGTAGATATAAATTAACTCTCAATTCACATTGAGAGTCAGAATAGATGCATCTTTTATTAAAATTACCTAAAGAGAAAATTGTAGCTTTGAATGGTTCAATACCTAATCAGAAGATATTTTTTCAGATTTTATAATTGGATTTCTTTCCAGATTTGTCTGCATCCTGAAAATGGCCACCTTTGCACATTAGTCTATAATATTATATTAATGTATGATTTTCAGCTGGAGTCCCTTTCTGGAAGATTTTGAGCCAAATCTAAATTTTAGAGAAATTTTAGAAAAACCCATGTAAAAAAAGATATACCTTTCATAAAACTTCCATAATTATCAAAATTAAGAAAAATTAGAAAATCTCAGAAAGACAATGAGATTCCCAGCACAAAAGTCATTTTTTTCCCCCAGGAGTGAATGGGTAGTATAATCCTCATTTTGTGATAAAAGTGCACAAAGAATCAAGGATTGGTGCAAAATCACTTTTTTTTTTTCAAGTGGGTCTTTGAAGCTTCTAGTGTGCCTCTGCTACTCTTGGCAAATTCAGTTCCAAATTATCATCTCCTAAGCTTCATCATAGTACTTCTCTCTTCTGCTTACCCAAAGGAAAATTGTTTCTCAGGAGACAGCTCAATATTAGTTTACATTGCTATGTAATAATGTAGAACTTAAATAACTATCCATATGCCAGACAATGACGAATGTCTTGGTCTAAGAAACAACCTTCTAAGGTGCAATTCCAGATACTAGGAATTCCAAGCAGTAGGAGTGAGATGATGAACTTCACTGTTGTTAAGTTATTCCATAGGATAATCATTTTCCTGAGTTAAAATCTAAGAGACATTGCTTGATCATGACTAAAGATCTATGTCTGAGGCCAGGTATAACTTGTGACTGTTTATCAACTACTTATTAACTTTACTTTCTTAAGTTTGATTTGCAGGGCTGGGCATGGTGGCTCACACCTCTAATCCCAGCAGTTTTGGAAGTCTGAGATGGGCAGATCACCTGAGGTCAGGAGTTTGAAATCGGCTTGACCAACATAGTGAAACCCTATCTCTACAAAAAATACAAAAATTAGTCGAGTGTGGTGGAGGGAGCCTGTAGTCCCAGCTACTCAGGAGGCTGAGGCAAGAGAATCACTTGAACCTGGGAGGCAGAGGTTGCAGTAAGCCATGATGAATTAAGCCACTGCACTCTAGCCTGAGCAACAGAGCAAGACTCTGTCTCAAAATAAATAAATAAATAAATAAAAGTAAATTAAAAAATAAAAAGCTTTGATTTGCAAGTATATGAAATACATTGCCACCTTGGATTCCTAGGGACCAGACTAATTTTTACACTTAATTTTTCTAGGTTGACTAAAAATGCACATATCCATGGCTGAGACAAGAATCTGTAACTGACAAAGCAGAGAATAATAGCACCCGGGAATGTGTTGGTGGGAAGTTTTAGTTCTTACATGTTGCCATAAACCCCCAGGAGCTGTGTTGCAGCCCCTGCTTTTTCCCTGTGCATAGAAGCACAGCTGTGTCTAGATAACAGATAGAAATCTCTTGTTTTTGGGAAGGTAAGCCCCTCAGTCATCTCTATGGCATAATTCCTGATCAAGCTGGGCCAGTCATGGCAATTCTAGCCCACTTTGCTTCTGATTGGCCTACAGGTGGATATGACCCAGTTCTGGTCAATGAGACGTAAAAAGGAAGTATTACAGGGATTCTTAGGACAGATTTTCTCCTCAATTAAAAAAACAAAAAAGTTAATGCCTCAAAGAAGGTTCTTTCCTTCCTAATTGAATACTATTGTATAAGATTGTGATATTTGGTGCTTCGACAGATACCTTGAGACCATAAGCTAGCATACCTAAGGACAAAAATATAATACTTTAAGGCTGATAGAGCAGATGATACTGTTGAATTTCTCTATCAAATATAGAAAGATTTGCCCCTTGATTTCTTATTTTTTAAGGTGATTAAAGTCTTTATTGTCTAACATCTAGCCAAATATTCTGTTACTTGTAGCCAAAAGCATTCCTAGGTATAAGTTCATAAAAATAAAATAATATTTTAATATGACTTATAGTATTTTAAAATATTATACAAAATATTAATAAAAGCCTCATTAGAAAAGCTTGTTACGTCTTTCTATAACTTCATTTATGGATAAACAATGTAACATATAAAAATATAGTTTCATTATAAATCTCTTGGTCTTCTTTTTTAACCTGATTGCTTCCCTTAACGTCTTTCCTATAGATAAGTACTGGAATTACCACAGATGAGAGAATATGGACAACTTGAGATTTCCATATTTCAGATATATCACAGACTAAATTGGATATTTTGGAATGTACATGGCCACATGGATTCATGTCTCATCACATGAATTAGTTAACATCTTCATTTACCCACTTTCCTCCACACAAACATAGCACAATTTATCTGCTGGTCTTTTCTTCTTTCCCATGCTCACGTTTTTTTTTTTTTTTCTGCAGCTTTAGTTTTTCTTTTGTATTCTCTCTAGTTTTCCTCATTGACTATGTGTCCTTAATATTCTAGATTTAGCTTTGATTCCAACCTTGCCCTTTCTCTTGATTTCACCTCCACATCATCTACTTCTGCTTCATGTTTGAAGCCATTTTTTTTTATTTTGTCACCAAAGCAACCATCTGTCTTTTACACAACCCCAGTAAATTAGGAACTCCCAATAACTGGAGTTACAGTGTGATTTAGTATCTTTCATAATTGCTGAAGTACCTATATTTGTGTTGCCCTTCAGCTCCTGACAAGGTGACATGTAGTAGAAAACAAATTTTCTACTCTTTCACAAAAGTGCCATTGGTCAAAAACACGGAGTTGTAGAATAATACTATACTAGAGGTTGTCTCATATATATTTCCATATGTTACATAATCTTAGTAATGACACTGTTCGCAGGCTAGAGTAATGTAGCACTTTGAATTTAAAGACACATGCATGCATATGTTCATTGCAGCACTATTCACAATAGCAAAGACATGGAATCAACCTAAATGCCCATCAATGACAGACTGGATAAAGAAAATGTGGTACATATACACCATGGAATACTATGCAGCCATAACAAAAAATGAGATCATGTCCTTTGCAGGGATAGAGTTAGAGGCCACTATCCTTAGCAAAGTAACACAGGAACAGAAAACCGAATACCACATGTTCTCACTTATAAGTGGGTGCTGAATGATCAGAACACATGGACACCTAGAGGAGAACAACACACACTGGAGCCTCTTGGGGGATGGAGGGTGGGAGGAGGGAGAGGATCAGGAAAAACAACTAATGTGTACTAGGCTTAATACCTGGGTGGTAAAATAATCTGTACAACAAACCCCCCGACACGAGTTTACCTATGTAGCAAACCTGCACTTGTACCCCTGAACTTAAAAGTAAAAAAAAAGTTTCTATCTATGTTCTAAATTTCTAAAACTTCAACTATCCATGACTACTAATAAGGTTCAATCATTTATTATGACCAAATTAGCTCTGGTTGGCTTAATTGCTAGAAATCAGCTTTCTTCTAAATGTGTTCTCCAGCAATTTTTGAGACTCCTCATGAAGCAGCATTTTTAGAACTTTTCTGTTTCAGCCATGAAGAAATGCAGTTATGTGACATGAAGTTTTTTTTAGCTTTCTCTTTATACTTTAATTTATAAGCAGTAAAATTCACTTTTTGTTGTACAATTTTGTGAATTTTGACAAATTCATAGTTGTTTAACCACCACCAACAACAACTAAAAACAAAACTGTTGTTCTGATATTTCATAAAGAAATACCTAAAGTAAAGCCTTGATTGTGAAGTGAAGGGTGGGGTAGGCCTGCTTTCAGAAAGAGGATGTGTATGGAATGCTTCACTAACCGTTGCTTGCATTACAAGTTCTGAGCTTGTCTTTGCTCAGTGCCAATAAATTCTTTGTTGCATGAATCGTTAAAGTTACCTGCTAGCTTTTAAGGAACCAACATCATAGAAATATTATGGGAAACTACAGGAGAAAGAAGAATTACTAAATAATAAGTGGAGAAATAGCATCATATAGAGCCATGTCACTGAAAAAATTAAAATAAAAAATTAAATTAAATTAAATGTACCACTAAAAGCAAAGCCCAAGGGAATTTTATAGTACAATGATAATAAAATGTAATTGTATATTTCACCATTAGTCATATGTAAAAAATCCCACCGTATATTTGTCACAGTGTGAAAAGTATTGTTTCCTCAGTCATGTTTATTGTTTATTATTTTATTCAAAGTATATTTATTGAATGTCTATTATTTGTCATTTACTGTTTTAGTTACTAGGGATACAAATGTGGATAAAAGAATTGTGTTTCTACCTTATAGAATTACATTCAAGTTGGAGAGAATTATAATAAATATGTAAATTAATATATGTTATAACTTCAGATAGTGGTAAGTGCTATGGAGAAAAATAGACTAGAGTAGGAGGCTAGGTAGTTTAGGTAGTGAGTGAGGGTGAGAGTTATTTTATAAAGGATGGCTGGAGAGGTTCTCTCTGAGGAACTAGTATATGAGCACAGGGAGCTAGCGAAGGGCATAGGAGAATCTAGAAGAAATATTTTCCAAGCAGAGAGACTGGCAAATGCAAGGTGTATTAGTCAGAGTTCTCCAGAGAAACAATAGGATATACACAGATATATAAAAAGAGATTTATTAAGGGAGTTGACTCACACAATTATGGAGGCTGAGAACATCATGATTTGCCATCTGCAGGATGGAGAACCAGCAAAGCTGGTGGTGTCATTCAGTCAAAGTTTGAAGGACTGAGAATCAGAAGCACCAGTGTCTGAGGGTAGGAGAAGATGGATGTCCCAGCTCAAGCAGAGAGCAAATTTGCCCTTTCTCTGCCTTTTTGTTCTATTCAGGCCCTCAATGGATTGGATGATGCCCACCCACATTGGTGAAGGCACAGCTTCTTTACTCAGTTTACCTATTTCAATGCTAATCTCTTCCAGAAACACACTCACAGAAACACTCAGAGATAATGTTTACCAGCTATCTGGGCATCCTTTAGCTCAGTCAAGTTGACACCTGAAATTAACTTCCACACGAGGACCCTGAAGTGGGACTGAACATGATAGGCCCAAGGAATGGCATTACTGCCCAAGGGGCTGGAGTAGAGGGGACAGGAACAGAATGGTCAGTGTGAGAAGGCTAGAGAGATAAGTGGTGCCAGATGTTTTATGGCCTTATGTGTTACAAACAGGAGTTTGGCTTCATGCCCAAGTGTGATGGACAAGAAGCCATTAGAGGGTTTCAAGCATGAGATTAACATAATGTAATTTGTGTTTTCAAAAAAAAAATGCCTTTGGCATCTTGGTGGAGAAGTGACTGCAGGGAACAAGAGGAAAGACAGAGGAACCAACTAGCTAAGTTCAGATAAGAGATTTCCTTTTGTCTCCCTCCACACTGAGGGCCTGTTAGTAGCACCTTCACTGAGAAGAGGAAGAATGTCAGAGTTTTAAATGGCCATCCACATAGAGATATCAAGTACCTACTGTATCAATCAGCAACTTAGAAAGTATTGGAACTAGAGATATAAATTTGGATGTAATTGGCATATGATGTTGTCTAAAGCCCTAGGACTTCGTAAGGCTTCCAGGGAGTGTATGTAGATAGAGCCTGAGACATAGTAAAGAAAAGGAAGAGAAAAGGCGAAGGGAGAGAAGACTCATCAAGACCAGCCAGAGAAGGGCTAAGAAAGCTAGGAGGGAGTGATATATTATTAGGAGGTGAGTGAAGATAATGTTGCAAGGAGGAGAGAGTAATCTATTGTGTAAATGCAGCTGGGAGGTCCAGTAAGATGAAGACCATTAATTGAACATTGGATGTGTTATAATGCATATCACTGCTCCATTTAACCAGATTGCTTTCACTGGGGTTGTGCCCTGGGAAGGAAAGCCTTCTCGGGAGTTGATTCAGGAGAGAATGGAAGGGAAATAGTGGAAGGCCCAGGGGGAGTATTTTTATAGGAGATTTTAAAGCTGGTATAGGGCATTTGTGTGGTTATGGGAATGATCCAGAAGACAGGGAAAAGTTGATAGTGCAGGAGAGACAGGGAAACACTTGCAGAAGCCAAGTCCTTAAGAACGAATGAAATCTCTAATACAAGGAGAAAGGTCAGGCTTCAGGCAGGAGAAGGGGTTGTCTCTCAGATTTTTATTTAAGCAAGTGATCTCTATTCAGAGATCTGATATACAGCTTATTCTGTAAAGCATACTGTCTCTCGCTGCTCACTCAGGTATCTGTGATGATATATAGGTAGTCTGTGAATAAGAATAATGTGTTAATTGGCAAACTTGCAAGTATTGTTTGAATCACCGACTAGTACCTTAATTGCAAAAGTAAAAACAAAAACAAAAAATCCTTCAAACCAACTTTTTAAATACAACTTGTCTTGTCCAGCTGATCCTTCTAGGTATCTGTTTAATATTTAGTATACATTTCCCCACACGCAGTGCACTTTTTTGTTTTACACTTGTTCTATACTTGAATGTATAACTGAACTGTAGGCGAAAGTCACAAACAACATATGGGAGCATTTCATGGAAAGTCCCAGGCTTAGAGTTACTAACCTCTGTGGGCATCAGCCATGTATCCCTGGAGACTAAGTACCAGGGGAGCCCTTTGGCACTGGCAGCACTGATTTGAAAGCATAGCATTTCTGTTTTTAATGAGCAATTTTTTTTGCCATAACAAATGTTTATCTATATTTACTTTTTTAACTGACAAAAATTATATATATTTATGATGTACAACATGATTTTTTGAAATACATACATACATATATATCTTGTGGAATGGCTAATTCCAACAAATTAACATATGTATCACCTCACATATGCATCACCTCACATTAAAATCCACTCTCTTAGCAATTTTCAATTGTACAACATATTGTTATTAACTATAGTCACCATGATGTACAGTGGATCTCTTGAGCTTATTCTTCCTGTCTAACTAAAATTGTGTGTCCTTTGACTAGCATCTCTCCTATCCCTTCGCTCTTGAGCCTCTAGGCTCAAGTAGAATGGTAATCACCATTCTACTTTCTGCTTCTATGAATTTGACTATTTTAGAGTCCACATATAAGTGAGATTGGGTGGCATTTGTCTTTCTGTACCTGGCCTAGTTCACTTAACATAATGTCCTCCAGGTTCATCTATGTTGTCATAAATGATAGGATTTTGGCTTTTTTAAGGTTGAATAGTATTCCACTGTGTCCATGTACCATTCTATATTCATTCATCCATTGATGGACACTTAGGTTGATTCCATGTCTTGACTATTGTAAGTAGTGCTGCAATGAACATGGGAATGCAGATATTTCCTTGACACACTGATTTCATTTCCTTTGATATATACCCTGTAGTAGGATTGCTGGACCACATGGTAGTGCTATTTTTAATTTTTTGAGAATCAACCATACTGTTTTCCATAATGGCTACACTAATTTACATTCTCACCAACAATGTGCAAGGGCTTTCTTTTCTTCACATCTTCATCAACACTTGTTATCCTTTTTGATAATAGCCATTCTAACAGGTATGAGATGATATCTCACTGTGGTTTTAATTTGCCTGATTTTTTTATCATGAATTATTTTTTTGATAGTTAGTGATATTGAGCATTTTTCACATACCTGTTGGCCTTCAATGAGCATATTCTTAAAAAATGAAAATTACCAGAGATTTTGTACATATATTAGCATTTCCTGCTTATAGTGGGCCTTGGCCTACAAGAGTTAAATGGCAGGTAAGGGACCAGAATAGAGTTAATAATAGTATAGTGTTTTCATCATTAAAGTAGGTTGGCATTGAATTTGAAACCAGGTAATCTATATTGAATTCTGATAATGTGAGTCCTCTATAATATTAATAATTTTCAAAAATTTTATCAGCAAAATTAATTTGCTTTATGTGTATCTTTTAATCTCCCTAACACATTTTTCTCATTATTAAAAGAAGGGTAAATGAAAATGATACTTTATTTGCTTTTTATTTCACTTCTTGTGCTGTCTTCTGAGGCCAATGGAATTATTATCAATCAGGTTTAGGCTAATCTTTTAGTTGCTATCATGGGGATTGATGGCAAGTGTAAAAGAGAACATTTAGCAAATCCTAACCTCTCAACTAGTTCTTCTTTGTATAAATGGTCAGAATTGCTTTGTGACTGTGACCATCTCAACAGGTTCTTGGTACCAAATGTATCCATGCACAGAGTCTCTTGGATGATTGTGTCCACTGTTGTCCAGCAGAGCCAGAGCTTTCCAGGGCTTCACTGCTCTGAGAACTGTAGATAATCATTGAAAAGATGAAATCCATGCCCATAAAAGAGTCAAAATATCAACAGAAAATTAGGAAATGCAAATTTGTTACAGGAATATAAAAGCCTCTTAAGATTTTGGAATCTCAAAATGACTTTCATCATTTATTTTTAGCTATTTTTTTCCTGAGGACAACTCTGAAGTCATATGCACAGGGCTATATATTCTGTCTTTGATACATCAATTTTTATTATTATTATCTCTGTTGAGATGGTGCCAGTGGCTGTATCAGTAGATCATGCCTGACCTATTGCCAAAAAACACCAATTAGAAAACTATTAGCCATGAGTGGTAACCTTGAGCCTGGATACCAATACCAAATGACACTTAAGATAACTCGCACATAATTCCAAATAGAATTATAGACACGTGTCACTTAACGATGGGAGTATTATTGTGAGAAATGCATCATTAGGTTATTTTATCATTGTGCCAATACCATAGAGTGTGCTTCCACAAACCTAGATGGTATAGCCTACTACACATCTAGGCTATCTGGTAGTCTATTGTTCCTAAGCTGAAAACCTGTACAGCATGTTACTGTACTGAGCACTGTAGGCAGTTGTCATACAATGGTATTTGTGTTTCTAAACATATCTAAATATAGAAAAAAACAGTAAAAATATATTATAATCTTATGGGACCAGAATTGTACTTGCAGTCCAAAACATCATTATGTGGTGCATGGCTATATATGATTTAAAGGGATTGTGTTTTTGACACAGTTGCAGGCAATGAGAATTAACATTTTTTGAGAAAATATTGGCATAATGCCTGAACTTCATATGTGTTCTTTCATTTCATTCTCCCAATAACTTCTTCAAACATATTAATTATCTGTCTTATGCCAGGTGTTGCATAAGGCCCTTGAATGTATCAATGAGCAAGACGGACATATTGCCTGCATGCTCAGAATCAAACGAGACAATGATGGTTGAATTAATACCACTGATTGACTGATTATTATTTTATAGCCATTGCACTAAACATTTCATTCATCATAATTTAACAAATGAAGGGATGAAGGTTTATGGAAATGAAGTAATTTCCACTAAGATTTGAATTTTGGTCTTTCTGTCCCTTCTGTGGACAATATGAATCCCAGTTCTGCTATGTGATTCTGACAAAGTTACTTCATCTTTCCATCTGAGTTTCCTGATACAAAGAATGAGACCAACTAGATGCTGCCCAGCCTTACCCTTTTTGTGGATTTAGATACTTCCTGTCCTTTGAGTCTCAGTTTAGTCATTACCTCTCAGGAAAGGCTTCCCTGCTCACCTTTCTCTATTCTTCAAGAATTTTTTGAGTGAATGTGTTCTATAGCACCTATGTGGCATTCCTTTCTCATGGTACTTACTCATTGCAAGCTAATTACCTGTTCACTTTCCTTAAGGCAAAAGTTGAGGATAGTGGACTGAGAGATGAACTGTTTCATCAAGCATTGTTGTATATAAATAATAAACTCAACACACCCCCTTGCTACATCCCCACATTGTGCCACATCTACTTGAGTCTACCATATTTGTGAGGATAAAGAAGTGGTTCTGTTTTACACTGGTAGTGGGTGAAATGGCCTTCGAATGAAAGCTTAGAGAAGAAATGTCATTAGCATGAAGCCAGAGCAGTGGCTGAGAGGAAAGGCAGGCACGGTTGCCAGTGGCGGGCAGGAATTGACAGGGAGGCGCAAAGAGCTCGCCACTCTTGCCCAACGCTTCACACCTACTGGCACATTCATTCAACACCTCAGTCCGCAGACTGATATATTTTTGATGAGGGAAAAGTTAGGGAAATCCTGGAGAGTCAAAACAGACAGAAGACACAGTTCCTCTATCCTGAATCAATGGGACCATTTGGGCCATAGCTTTGCCTTCCTGCAACCAGGGTCCAATCTGGTGCAAATCAATATTTGTTGATGCATAATTTCATGGAGCAGGCTTGTGTTTTCTATAGCAAGGTTGTCTTTTAATAAGATGACTAAGCACGACTTTATAAGGCAAACAAATGAAATAAAATCTTCCAGACTACTACTGGAAATGTTTCATTTTTTTTAAAAAAAACTCCAATACAGACCTTTCAGTGAAATGCCTGACAGTTTTATGTGTTCCTTCCTGTTTAGCATGGCAGTGAAAGATGGAATTTGGGCTTGTTCTGTCTGAATTCAGGCCCACCATAACCTGTTGAAGTCACTTTCTCAAAAGACAGCCTTAAATAATAACCTTTCAAAAGTCATTCTAAATTAGGGCTTTATAGCATTTTTCCCTTCACCTGTGACTTTTTAAATTTAAAAATAAAAATAAAAAAACTAATGAATTATAACTGCTAAGCTTTTCAGAACATAGATTATCTTAGAAAGATGTTTAAGAATGTGTTACAAACTATTGGAGCTAGGACAATATTGGGAGAAAAATCATAGAGCCTCCAGAGGAATTAGGATCACTTAAGATAAAGTTCTTTCTATTACTCGGCTGAAGAAAAAGTCAAATAAGAATGTTTTAGAGTAGACACAATAAGCCCTATATGTGAAAGAGATCTAGGGGGTCTCAGCTAATCCGATAAATACTTATTGAAAGGATTACTTTTTGTCCAAATTTTTAACAGACTGTGTTTTTAAAACCAGTTTTAGTTTCACAGCAAAATTGAGCAGAAAGTACAGAGAGTTCCCAAATACACCCTGTCTTGGTACATGCACAGCCTCTCTCATGATCAAAATCCAAAACACATTGGTACATTTGTTGCAGTTGATGCACCTATACATCATTTGACAATGTGTCAATGATGTGTCACTCAAAGTCTATAGTTTACATTAGGGTTCACTTTTGGTGTTGTACATTCTATGGGTTTGGATAAATGAATAGCATGTATCTGCCATTATAGTATCATACAGAACAGTTTCACTGCCCTAAAAGTCCTCTGTCCTCTGCTATTTATCCCGCCCTCCCCATTAACCACTGATCTTTTTACTGATTCTTTTACTGTATCAATAATTTTGCCTTTTCTAGAATGTCATATATTTGAAATCAAATAGTATGTAGCTTTTTAAGATTAGCTTCTTTCACTTAGTAATATACCTTTATGTTTCTTTCACGCCTTTTTTGTGGGTTGATAGCTCATTTCTTTCTATTGCCAAATAATATTCTATTATAAGGATGAATCATAATTTGTTTATCCATATGTCTATTAAAGGAAATCTTGGCTGATTCCAATTTTGGGCAATTATGAATAAAATGGCTTATTTCCTTTGGTAATATGCATTTATGGTTTCATCGTGTTGTTTTATGACTTTATAAGCTCATTTCTTTTTAGCCCTGAATAATATATCATTATCTGTATGTACCACAGTTTATTTATCTATTCACATACTAAAGGACATCTTGGTTGCTTCCGAGTTTTGGTAATTATTAATGAAGCTTCTATAAACATCTGTGTGCAGGTTTTGGTATGGATGTAAGTTTGTAATTCATTTGGGCAAATACCAAAGACTGTGATTGCTCAGTTGTATTGTAGGAGTATATTCAGTTTTGCAAGAAATTGACAAAATGTTTTCCAAAGTGGATGTTCCATGTGCAAAATGTTTGCCAAAGTGGATGTACCATGTGCATTCCCACAAGCAAGGAATGGTAGTTCCTGTTGCTCCACATTCTTGTCAGCATTTGGTGTTGTCAGTGTTTTAGATTTGGGCCATTATAACAGATGTGTAGTGGTATCTAATTTTTGTTTTTTCCCATCCAATTTGAGACTTACCCCTCACTTTGGGAAAGGCACATGAGCCTTAAGCACTGAACACAGCTGAGACTAGAGAAGTAGGAACTGACTGCAGTGATGGAGGAGAGGAAGTGGGTAATTTCTTTCTAGAAGATGTTCCTGGACTTGATGAGTTTTCCCTAAAATGCAGTTTGGAACACCAAGTGGCTAAAAGAAAGGTCAATTCCAATTTAAGGGCCAAGTAGGAGAAACTATGAATAATTGATAAATATACTCATTCCCTCAGCTAAATAAGGTTATGTACGACTTCATTTAGTTTGTAAACTCTGTGGGTGTTAGTTTAGAACCAGCATTGCAAAGTATGCATCAGCTGTCTACAGCTTTATAGCTGCATACCCAGTGGTCTTTTGCTCACCAGGCTCTCAAGCTGTGCCTTGCCTCGCATTTTGGAGGTGGATTGTTTTTACAGGTGTCTCAGCTGAGCCCTTACTACACCATTTTAGTCATCAAGTATAATCAGATTCAGAAACAAAGGTCAGGGCCAATCTATAACATGAAATGATCTGCTCCTCTCTGTCTCTACTAATTATTCTGAAGGGCAGAGTCCCTAGGTTGTCCTTTCACTGTGAGTGTGACAATGGCCCTTGAACAAAGTAAAAGTTACAATGAAAAGAAAGAGGAATGCCGCTAGCCCCCTGTAGAAAGACTACTTTCTACAAAGCAGATAGCAGTCTATTCTTTTTGGTCAAGGCCAGTTAGGCTCAGCTTTGACAGAAAGTTCATTTTTCCTTATGCTAGAGTATATTTTTAGATATTGCAATCTTTGTTGCCACTATGACTATTTATATGTTTATATAGACAGTCCTCATATTGCACAGTACCTTGTTACAGGAACTCCTACATACTGAAACTTTGTCCTAATTTTACATGGTTTCATGTATCTGAGATTTGATCTAAGAGCCTCATTTTTTGAAAAAATTATTGCCATGAGATGTAAACTCCCTCTTCTTTTCATCTCTAAACCAACCCATCCTTGCATCTATCTCCCATGGAGGAAGTGTCCCTCTCCTCCTATGGGCCACAGCATTACCTTCATCCCATCCTAGGGGAAGAAAGAGTTAATATTTCAAGATATCATCTGTTTAACATAGTAATTCACCACTTTTAAAATCCTCTATGCCTGTGCCATAGTAGGGCTTTACTCTCTTGGTTTGAAAACACCACTGTCTCCGACTTTCCTTCCTTCTTCAGTTCATTCTTTTTTTGTGTTTTTTTTTTGTTTGTTTTTTTTTTGTTTTTTTTTTTTTTTTTTTTGAGACGGAGTCTTGCTCTGTCGCCCAGGCCGGACTGCGGACTGCAGTGGCGCAATCTCGGCTCACTGCAAGCTCCGCTTCCCGGGTTCACGCCATTCTCCTGCCTCAGCCTCCCGAGTAGCTGGGACTACAGGCGCCCGCCACCGCGCCCGGCTAATTTTTTGTATTTTTAGTAGAGACGGGGTTTCACCTTGTTAGCCAGGATGGTCTCGATCTCCTGACCTCATGATCCACCCGCCTCGGCCTCCCAAAGTGCTGGGATTACAGGCGTGAGCCACCGCGCCCGGCCGTGTTTTGGTTTTTTGTTTGTTTGTTTTGTTTGCTGGCTCCTTCTCTGACCTCTTCATTAGGTAACTCAGAATTTGGCCTCAGGCTATTATCTTTTCCGTCTCTAACCTCTGTCCCTAAGTGATCTCATTAGCTGCCATGGTTGTGAGCTCTGTGCCGCTAATGGCTTCCACATTTCCATTGGAGCCCACATCTTTCTGCTGAGTTCTTCACTCTCATGTCCAAACGTCTGCTTGACATCCTTCTTTGGATGTGGCTCAGGTTCTCCAACTTAACAGATCCACAATGAAATTCTGGATTTTTCCCCTTCCATGTCCATCTTCTCCAATCCCTGTTCTTCTCCTTTTATGTAAAAAACATAGGGTTTTATCAAGTTACTCAAGCTAACCTTCTGGGAGCCTTCCTTTCTGATAAATTAGACATCCCATACATTGGCAAGCCTTATTGATACTACCTTGAAAATAATATCTGAACTTCTCCTCACCTCATGTCATAGACCACCCTCTTAGTCCAGGCCTCTGCCTTCTCTTGCCTCAGTGGACACGTCAGCCTCTAACTGGTTTCTCTACTTTTGCTTCTCACCCCATTGCCCCTATTCATTCTTCAAATAGCAGCAATAGAGATCTTCTCAATGATACTGTGATGATGCACTTCCCTTGCTTAGGATCCTCAAGTGGCTCCCCTTATTTAACATAAAATTCCACCTTCCTCCCATGGTATATCATGCCCTTCATAATTGTGTTTAGCTCCCCAATCTCATCTTTTTCTACTCCTCTCTTCACTCAGTTTGCTCAAATATCACTGATTTTATATGGAAGAAAGAAAGGAAAAAAGGTAGGAAGGAAGGGAGGGAGATAAGGATGGAGGAAGGAAGGGAGGGAGGATCCCATCTTATAATAAGGAGCTAAGGCCCAAGGTAACAATAGCAGAGTCAAAATTTACCCTCAGCTCTGCTTTATTTTCCAGAGCACTACTCTATTTAGTAAACTATAAGGCAAGTACAAATAAAACAAGCAAACAACAATAAACTCTAGTATAAAATCAAGAGTCTATTGAAAAAATTAATGTTATTTGACAAAGAAGAGTAACTTTAGTTAATTCTGAATTCAGATAGACCTATCATTTACTTACTGTGGAACTGTTAGCATACTGTGAACCTCAGTCTCATCACCTGTAAAACTGACATAATAAGACTACCTTCTACCACGGTTGTAAGAATTCAATGATAATGCATTTGCATGCCTAACAAGTTGTGGCACATATGTCTGCTAGAACCCTTCTGTCTCTCCTCTTCTATTTTCAGAAGCACTTTACATGTGTTTAGAGTATGAGCCAGCCATCATAAAACTATGGCTTTCCTTGCGCAGTGATAACAGCAACAAGAATTCCATGACTGTTCCCACAGCTACTAATACCTTTCAGTGAGCGTCTGCTCTGTGCCAGGCACCGTAATGGATGCTTTGTATACATGATTTCTTTTAGGCTCCCAACACCTTAATCTGTTTCTTGGAAACTTTGGCAAAGTAATTCTTCATGAAAATGTTTCCATGGTCAAGCACATTTCATAAATACTGAAAAATTATATGCTCTTCCTGGAAAGTCATACTATCTAATTAGAAAACAAAAGATCTTGAGAAATCTTATATTAAACAGTGTTTCATTAGCCTATATATTGCTATGAAAATCATCGCTCCATGACTAGCTTATTTATTTATTTATTTCATGTTTGTGCTTGGCATCCTTTTATATTCTGCAGCCCTAATGTTCTTTGGGACACATATTTTGACTCTATGTACTGAACGCTACTTAAGGTCAAATAAAAGTGTGGTAAAAGTTTTGCATTCCAGACATTATGTTCTTTACTGCTTTCCCTTTTGGATATTATTCATTATTATGTCCTTGATTCATTTGTACTGTGATGGGTTGGATTTCCTCTCTCATCACCGATAATTCTGCTGCTCATTATAAAAGCCATAATTTCTACAGTATACATATATATATACACATGTATATTTATAACCATATATATGTGTATATTTATAACTATATATACACGTGTATATTTAAAACCATATATACACGTATGTATATACACACACACACACACAGAGAGAGAGAGAGGAAAGAGAGAGAGAGGAAAGAGAGAGAGAGAGAAGTGTTAATATGTATAGAATTTGGAGTAAATACTTTGGCAGACATGATGGCTTTTAGTCTAAAGTATCGTGTTGGATTAGTTAGATTTAATTTTTGTTAGAATTTTAAGCTATTGAATGAAGTGTAAAAATAACAATAATCAATATAATATCATGTTTTGTTTAAAGCTTACTTTTCCTTATAACTTAAATTTTTTTTCAAAATGGGTACAAGTTTGTCTAATCATTCCTCAAGGCGGGAATTGCTAGGATTAAAATCGAATGGAATAATAAAATAGCATTTTAAAGAGCTCCTTAGAACTGGGATATTTTTCTATTTTTGTTTGAATAAAGCAAAGTCATAACAGTGTCTGGCACAGAGAAGGTATTCAATAAATACTTAATAAATGAATTAACTTCTATACCATAAAAAGAAAATTGTAAGTTCTAAAACCACAGCTGACACATAAATCTCTTGCCTAACCTCCTTAATAAATACTCTAATGCTCTAGTTTCTTCTCTGTGTTAGAACTGGGCTTGGGTTCTTTTAGAGTCGCTTATTGCCATTAAGAGTGTCTGAAGGTAGTCATCTAACTTATTCTTTTTACCTTTTTTTTAAACAAAGTCAGAATTTTCTTCTGAAAATTTTTGGAATGATGGCTGTCGTTAGGCAGATTTTAATTACTCTTATGTTTGTACTAACTGTTAAAGAAATAGTTATTCACTGACGTGTGTTACATCATAAGGCTGACTTTATTCATGACCATCGCAATAGGTACAGGTACCTTGGCAGTAGAGTTTTGCAGTTGGGAGAGTGAGTGAGCTCAACTCTGAATACAGCATGAGCAAGTGGGAATTTATAGCCAAGGAGCAGGGTGGGAGTCAGTGGATGGAAAATTACTAAGAGGAAACATCAGGGGTGAGAGGGATTCTGGCTAGACCAACCTAACAAGATTCTCGCTGTAGACACCCCAGGCGATCAGTCATCACTGCAGGGCAGGCAGAGGATAAGGAGCCAAATATCAAGGGTGAAGCTTCTTGTTAAACTGACTTAGCAAGGCTCTCTGCTAAAACTAGATTTAACAAGGAAATGCGCAGATGAACTTAGGAGAAGATTCAGAAGGTTGATAAATTTTCATCAAGCAGAGACTCTTTGTCAAAACCTCAAGATATTATAAAATAGACCTTTTGGTTTTTTTCTTTTTTGTCATTAAAGCCAAAACTCTTTCCTATTTCTTTTATGTTTCCTTTTTAAAGCTCTTTATCAAATTCTTTCTTTCTTAGGATTTCTTTGTCTAGTATCATAATTATATAGAACACTAAGATTTCTTTTGTCTATACTTTCCAGGAGCTACTAAAAAGAATGGTTGAATTAAGAAATTACTAGACAACATAATATTCAAAGAAGAAGATTTAATTCCTTAGGAAAATCATGTGAATTAAGTTACTTTTATAATTGTATGAAATAATAGGTTTTTGAGAATTGTGGAAAGCCTAGGTAAAGGTATTATTCAGACACATTGTGCAGTGATCTTACTTTCTCCCCAAGTTATGCCTTTCTGATGCCGAATTTAGTTCAAGAATTGGATGTGGGAGTTGATGTTGTAAACAAAATAATATAACTGTTAATGCAAAAGTTCTTCCAAGATGGTGGTGTAAGTGCAAATATAACAGGGAAAGATATGACAGTATTCTGATAGAAAATATAAATAACAATTGCTTGCCCCCTTCAGAAGCAATAGGGGCAAAGGAAAGTGTGTAGAGATTTGCAACATCTGCCTTTGCAGGTGGAGCCACCTGACTCTGACAAGCCTTCATGTCTTCAATTAAATAAATTGGAAACTTCATCTAATGTGTACACATGGTGGGAGGTAGGGGTTGCCTGTGTGTTTACCTATGTGTGGTCTCCTCTCACCAATTTGTGACTCATGAAACACCTCAAAATGCAACATGAGCATTGTTTAAGCAGCTAATTTTTTAGGGCAATCTGTTACTATATTTACAAGTAATATTAACAAAGTTATTGCAAGTCATTATAAGAGACCTATATCATGCTAAAAATTCAACAATTTTGATGAAGCTGAATAGTCACAGAGTTCAAGGGATGCTTAAGTCATTCCTTGTCAAGCATGAGCTGTTCACCCTAGCATGTGAGTTGAAACTTGATCATCTCTGGCAGAAGTTCCATTCATTGCTGGGAGGTTGCACATGTTAAAATCTTCTTTATGTTGAGTTGCCATCTATACCTCTATCTCTGTAACTCCCATCACCCTCTGCCCTTTAGGGACACAAAGAACAAATAGAATTTCTATTCCGTCTGACAGCTGGCCATTCAATTATTTATTCATTTATTCAACAGACCTTTATTGAGTAACAACCATATGTAGGCGCTGAGGACTCAAAGGTCAAAAATACCAAACCATGTCCTTAGGAATGTCACGGTCTATTACGTCATCCCCTTGTAATAGCTCTTTTACAGGGCAAACACTCCTTGTTCTTTTTGTCATTCCTCATGTGTGATAGTACCAGGCTTCCTTACCATTCTCTTCGAATTAGCTGCAGTTTATGAAAGTTCTCAAATAATGGAGTCCTGGCTGAACACAACTCTATAGGTATTTCTTGACCAGAGCGGAAAATACAAACTCTTACAACTCACATTCTGAATGCTCTGATACTATTATGCAATCAAATTGCTTATTTATTTGTCAGTCACATCACACATGACAGCAGTGATTTTGTTTCCAATTTATTAAATTAAATCTGAAATAATTACCCTGCCTTTAAGCCCCTGCCTAATCTACTTGTAATTTATCCACCAGTACTCTCCTATATGAATGAATTCATTGTGTATTTTCTTTCTTACACATCTTTGTCATGTTCTTCTCTCTTAGAACAACCCAGAATGTCTCGTGGTGGCCTGTTTTACAGGTAAATGTTTTAAAAGGATCATCTTTGATGACTTTTTGTTCCTGAAACATCCTCAGTTTCTCTCTGTCATGTGGTAGGTGTGGAGGAATGTCTGTCAAATTAGTTGGAAGTGTGCTGTGAATCAGATATGGCTAGATATTGAATAGCATATGTTGTATTAGGATATAACTCAGAGTTCATACGCTCAATCAGTTTATCCTCATGGTAACTGTGAAAAGAGAGATAAATTTTATTAATACAGGCAATAAAGCTGAGGCCTCCATTGCTTTCTCCTCTGCAACTGCTGCTGCTGACACTGCATTAGTTTTGGAGGAATGACCATGCTATATCATACATGTTGCTAGGGAGAAGTTTGTTACTTTAACACTTGATCCAAGAGCTCCTTTTATGGAGGCATCTGTCTCCGTTTAGGAAAGTATGCTAACAGATTACTTTTGGGGAAGATTATGAGGTTATTAAGGCATACTCTAGAAGAAGCAGTGAAATAAAGAATTACTCAAAGAGGTTAAGGAGAATTGGGCTTGAGTGGTAAGCAGGAGAAAGAAGAAAGGGACGAAGGGCAGAATGTGATGGGAAAGTGGGAAACTGGAGCAAAATGGCCAGAAAAAAGTGGCTAGAGAACTTATGAGCCCAGGGATCTCTTCAATTCCATGGTCAAGTTCTGTGGTGTGTGATTTTATGATATAATGGTCCTTCTCCCATTGCCACAGACCCTCAGTAACGTCTGTCTTATGCAAATGCCTTGTATGAGTGATGTTTCAGTTGAACTCAAGGACAAGAGACTCTTCAAAATCTGGTCAGAGCAGGGCGGAAGGATGGCGGTGAGACAGTTCAGCAAGAACAAGATAGCAGAATGAGAAACCCTCTGAAAAGGAGTCCCCTGAAATTAATCCTGCTTTGTAGAAATTCTGAAAGGACAGAGTGACCCCAGCAAACATACGGGTTACATTTACATTTCTGCCTGTCAACTACACATGAGGCAACTTGAGTGTAAAGACTGTGGATTCAATTTTGGAGTCCCTTGTGCCTAGCCCTCAGATTTCTTCATTGCCTGGTTTATTTTCTGTTTCCAGTTCCATTCTCAGTAACTTTTGAGTTGTTATTCAAATATTTATCATTTCCAGGGCAATTTCTCATTTGCTACATGTCTAAAGTATAAGGCCACTTTTTTGACATATTGTTTACACAAATACAGTATGCTTTCCATTAGTAAATGTGAAAAACACTCAAATATGCCATTTCCAATCAATTCTGATTTTCTAGGTATTTTATGTCATTTAGGTTAACATCTGTATTATTTCCCCTTTTTCAGTCCTGGAATTTAGACACATTTTATTTGGAGGCTAACCTGAAATTTCTTCCCATTTTGACCTTTTTAGAAGTAATACTAACCTATGAAAAATAGTAGTAATAAAAATCTACTGCATAAGTCAAGCATTTATGAATGTACATTGTAAGATGACAGCACATAATTTTATGCTCTGTGATCTATGTCATTGTCAACCTGAATTTATTAAGATTATTATTATTATTATTATTATTATTATTATTATTATTATTTTTGAGATGGACTTTTCACTCTTGTTACCCAGGCTGGAGTGCAATGGCGCCATCTCGGCTCACCACAACCTCCGGCTCCCAGGTTCAAGTGATTCTCCTGCCTCAGCCTCCCGAGTAGCTGGGATTACAGGCATGCGTCACAACACCCAGCTAATTTTGTATTTTTAGTAGAGACAGGGTTTCTCCATGTTGGTCAGGCTGGTCTTACACTGCTGACCTTTGGTGATCTGCCTGCCTCGGCCTCTCAAAGTGCTGGGATTCCAGGTGTGAGACACCGCGCCCAGCCTAAGATTAATTTTGAGCATTAGTTTACTATTTACTTTTTGCAGCAGGTGGAATGGCTGTAGTAGTTCTGCTGACAATGTAAAAACAGAATTAATTTATTTCTGTATTTTTTTATGGTCAGAGGTTTTGACTTAAATGTTTGAATAGAAAACTAAAATATAGTGAAGGCACTGAATTGATAAAAATCAGTTTATGGTAAGATAAACTTATCTGCACTTGCCTCTGTTAGAATGAGAAAATTTGCCATTCACAAATTTACACTCAGCCTTACAGAAATAATTTAAAAATTATATCTGCACAAATTATTATTATATTTATTTTCCACTTAGCAGAATACTGAGTGGTAAGCAGGTGGTCAGAACAGTAGGGCTAGGATCAGGGACACATATCTACTGGCTGTGACCCTGTCACTAAGCAGCTGAGTAAACTTGAACACCTTTCTAGGTTACAGTTTGCTTACTTTTATTTAACATGAGAAGGGATTTTGTGGTGTCACTCAATGCTAATAATATTTATAATTCTCATTTATAACTCTTCATGGGAATTAGATTTATTTCCCAAATTTAAAAGCAAAAGCTCATAACAGCAAGGATTTCACTTAGAGGAAATACTTCTGAACATGTTGTTAAAATATTGAAGAACTAAGCCAAGATGTTCTGTTCATTATAAAAGTGGACTTCACTAGTTCCAATGGTATATTATTTTCAGTGGATCAAATATATCTCATATGCTGGACTTTTAATGCCTGGACACCATATCTTCTGGAAGGGCATTTATTTATTTTTATTGTGGTTATTTTCATTTTATACTAACACACAAGACTATAACTCCAAGCAGAATCGCAGAGAGAATGAGAGAAAGCTCCTGGTCCTCAGAGGGCATCGTTAAGTAGGACAGGCCAAGACATCATTTTTTTGACTTGTGCTTTGGTACTTGACCACTCCCTTCCCTGTGTGGGGAAATTCTTTTTGGCACCTATCCTTTTTTTATTCCCAAGTCTCTTATTCTCCTCTTTAGGGTTTAAAAGAAAATTATTCAATTTCATGCTGTCTGGCCAACTCACAGGGAGCATTTTCCTCAAATAATTGCCTGTGCAGTCACTTCATTGTGGTGTAGTTCCTCTGGAAAAATCCTTTTAGCAGCTTCCAGTGGGAAGAAGCCCATTTCTCAAAGACAAAGGACTAAAACAGCCAGTGAGGAGATCTCCCAGATGATTTGTAGTTTCCAAAGAAACAAATAGACACATTCTGAAGTTTAAGAAAGGAAATGAGAAGTTAATGGGTTAGGAATGGGGACTCTCTTCTTGAAATACATAATCTATGATTTAAATAAAAATGTTATTGTGTAAAAAATAAAAAGATAAATCAAAATGTTGCATCCTGGCTCTCATATTTTTTCCTTCCTTTTCTTTCTTTTCTATTTGATATGGTTTGGCTATGTCCCCACCCAAATCTCATCTTGACTTGTAGCTCCCATAATTCCCACATGTCATGGGAGGGTAGGTTGAATTGAATCATGGGGGTGGGTCTTTCCAGTGCTGTTCTCATGATAGTGAATAAGTCTCATGAGATCTGATGGTTTTATAAAGTAGAGTTCCCCTGCACACACTCTCTTGCCTGCTACCATGTAATTTGTGACTTTACTCCTCCTTTGCCTTCAGCCATGATTTTGAGGCCTGCCCAGCCATGTGGAACTTGAGTCCATTAAACCTCCTTTCCTTTATAAATTACCCAGTCTCGGGTATGTCTTTATTAGCAGCATGAGAACAGACTAACACACTATTCAAAATTTAGTGGCATTAAAATATAATTCTATTAAATTTACATAAGTATATTTATATGGGACATAAGCCTTGGTGTTAATATTTGGAGTGATGGTAAGAGTATATATGACTACTAGACAAGGATGCCTTTTAAATATTAGGGTTTGAGCATGGAGAGAAGTAATGAAAATGAGGCCTTTATTTTACTTGTTCAGTATTTGACAGCCAACCTCCAAGACAGCATAAAGATTTAATTTCTATACCCTAAGATCCATTCTGATTGGCCTGCTTCATTGATTTTGTGTATCCAAAATGTGAGGAGCAGTGCCAAAGATTTGATCACTAATGACAAGCAACATGGCTGACTTGAGGCACAAAGGTATTTTTATACAGTAGCACATTTTGATATGCATTACCAATCAATTGCTTCAGACCTCCGTTCCTGTTTGCTTGTGTACACTTAGTCACTAATTTTGAAATGTGATCTTTTTTCTATGTTTTAGAATCATGACTATAAAACCTTTCCTTTCCAAGGACTGGAGGAAAATTTTCAATATTCAGACAATTCAGATTAGTACTTCAGCATGTATTTTATTGCACAGGGTTGATTCTCAAGGGTCCTTAAAGCATGTGAGTTTTGTGGTGCAAGGAAGGATCATTTTCTGCCCACCTTGGGGTGGGTGATACTATTTGAGTCAGTATTCAGGATGCTTCTTTCTTTTGGTCCTCATTATTGGAACATTTTAAAAGCACTGACTGGAAGTAGTCTGGGACCAAACAAAAAGTTAAGTTTCAGGTCTCAGTAGAACTACTGTGATTATCTTATTTAAGTCAATTTAATTTAACAACTATCAGTTGTCATGTAATGCATAGGCTTTGCAGGATATGAAAAAGAGAAAGATGTGTAAAACAAAATACTTGTGTATTAGTCAGGAGTCCTTTTATTGCAAAGCTCAGAGACATAATCTCAACTAGTTTATGCCAAAGCGTTTCTCAGCAATTAAAGGAAAGGTAAAGTTAACTAATCATGGGATGGACAGAGACACAACTGGATCATCTAAGATTCAAGAACAAGTAGAAGCAACAAATTGCCAGAACACTTTGTCACTACTTCTTATTTCTGCTTCATTCTATACCTAGGTCTTATTCTTCCTTTCAAAAGATTGGTTTAATCCACAAAAAGCAAAAATGGGCACCAATAGCTCCAAAACATCACAATTTACTGCTGCTATCACTAGAGTACACTGATTCTTATTTCCAGGTCAAAAATAACCCATAGAAGAACTCCCAGCATGGACTGTGTACCCTCTAGGTGTATACAGGGTCGTGTATGAAGGTGGTAGTTGATACTGAATCTGCAACTGACCTTAGGTCATTTGCCCCCTTATAAGTTTGTATTTTAATAGCCACAAAAGGGCAGGCAACACAGACCTGGTCCTGTGTGAAACGTGGGCTGTGGAACTGAGACTCATGCTGAGTGAAAGGATAGCAGGGCAGGAAAAAAAATACCTTTTGGAAAAGAGACGGAGAATGAACTGAATTTAAGCCTCAGTGTTGGTGATTGAATTTGTACTTCCTGCATGGTATAGAACACTCAGACCTAAAAACTAACCTAAAATTAATGCCTGGGTTTCTAGCATTCTGAATACCTTGACATAAGCAAAAACAAATATTCTGTTGCTGAATACACAAACCAGATATTTCAGGATTCCTACAGATAGAGTCTAGCTAAACATGAGCCCATTATCCAAAATTACAAATAGCCTGAGTAAACAAATTATACAAACCCGAGTCAGGAGAATAAAAGGAAAAGAAAAACAAATAGCAGAAATTAACCTTGTAGATCCTCAGGTGTTGAGGATAGGGTATAGAATATAAAATAAATTTGTTTTAAAATGCTTAAATAAATAGAAAAGGAAATAAAAATATTAATGAAGGACAAGATTTACAAAAATGGGTAGGCAGATCTAAGAAAAAATCCAGATAAAACTTCTAGTAACATATATCTTTGGTATTAAAAGCTAAATGGGTGGGTTAACAGAATATTAGACACAGGTGAAGAGATAATTAGCAAAGTGGAAAATATAGCTAAAGAAATTACCCAGATTTCAACCCAGAGAGACCACAAGATGAAAAATAAAGAAGGAAGATAAAAGACATGGAGAATAATCTAAGAAACCATATCATAAGTCTAATTGTTATTTTAGAAAGAGGGAAGAGTGAGCATGGGAAAACCCAGTTTTTCAGAATTGATGGAAGACGTATGTCCTCAGATTCAGGAAACTGAAAACATTGCATGGAAACTGCTAAACAATGAAGACAAAGGAAAGACCTTAAAAGAAAGGAAAGTTGAATTAGTTTTAAAGAAAAGATAATTAGTATCACATCAAACTTCTCATCAGTAACAATACAGACTGAAGACATTGAAATAATATTGCAAAATTTTACAATATTTTACCATAAAAATGTTGAGAAAATAAATGTCAAACCTTATTTACATATCAAGCTGAACCACAACTCAAGAGGATTGTCTTCATGAAAGAAGAAAGAAAGTTATCTCAAAGAAAGGTCTGAGACTCAAGCAAGGATGATGGACAAATGGGCAAATATATAAATCAAAATTAATAAACTATTATAATAATTGTGTCTGTATATACACATATATGACTATACATAAATGCATAAAACAATAAAATGTCTCATAAGAGATATAAAATAAATATATAGTTAAAAGGCTGGATGGGAATAATATAAGTTGGGAGGGTGTTAATACAAATTTAGACTTTCTAAAGCCCTATATTATGTAAGAGGAGGTTAGAAATACAGTGTACATTACACTTTGTTTTATATTTATCTTAAGTAGTAAGATTAACTACTAAAGGAATAGAAATAGAGTGCATCTCTTTCAATTCATTAGAGAAAACTCCAGAGGAGGGCAGGAAAAAAGAAAGAAAAAGTGTAAATAAAATAAGTAATATGAAATACAATTATATAATTCTAAAAATTAATCTAAGAGTACCAACAATCTCAATAAATATAAATTAGCAATTAAATGCAGAGATTTTTCAGATTAAACAAAAATAGATTTCTGCTATTTATTACTTATAAGTGTCACAAATAAAATATAGAATATAGAAACACTGGCTACAAAAAGTGGAATACTAATCAAAAGGTCGATACAGCTGGTGTAACATTAAACAAAATAGTCACTAAAACAAAAGCATACTCATAGTTTTAATTTACCAGAAAGGTGTAACAACCAAACTTGTATGTATCTAATAGTATTGATTTCACCTAAAGCAAAAAGTAACAGACCTAGAGAAAGATATTGACACACTCACGGTCATAATGGGAGATTTTAATACATCTCCCTACATAAGCAATATATAAAAAAGACCAAAAATTAAAAAGAATGGAGAATATTTGAATAATAATAAGCTTCCTTAAAGAGTGTTTATAGAACTCTGCACCCGTCAACAATATAATTTCTTCTTATATATAGATAACAGTTATAAAAATTGACTGCATATTAGGCTATAAATGTCTCAGTATCAAAGAACAAAGATGAATGTATCATTATTATACAGTCTTGACATCATATAGTCTTATACATTTGAAACAAAAAGTCTAAATACTTAAAAATTAAAGGAAAGTATGTAATAAAAACTAGAGAATACTAAGATGTAAATGGTAATAAAATTATTATGTATCAAAACTTGTGGGATATAGTTGAAGTTAGAGGAAAATTCATAGCCTTAAATACCTACATTACAAAATGATAACATCGAAGTTTTGAAAAGCTAAGGATATATCTCAGAATTTGAGAAAATAAAATGGAAATAACCCCCCATAAAAGTGGACAGAAGAAAATAATAAGAAGCAAGAATTTATAAACTAGAAGAAAAGATAGGAGATAAAGAATCAACAAAGCAAAAAACATAGTTTATTTTAAAATGTAATAATATCAATTAAACACAACCTTGGCCAGTTTGTTTAGCACAAAAGCATTAAACAATATTTGGAATGAAAAATAGGAAACAGATAAATATATTGGCTGTATTATAAAATATACAACTTATGTTGAAAATTTGAAAACTTAGATAAAACCAATACTTTTCTAGAATGATAAAATGTGTCATTTCCCAGTGCCAGCCCTCCCCAAGGACCTCTGTGAGGCAAGGCAGAAATCACCACTAAAGAACTTACTCATGTAACCAAACAGCACCTGTTTCCCAATAACCTATGGAAATATATATATATTTTAAAGGGGAGCCATGTAGCTAAAGACAGAAAGAGGGAGAGAAACAGAGAGAGAGAGTGGGGGGAGGGGCTCTCTATGATAAGAAGGAAACCAAACCAATATTGAAATCTTACGGTGACTTGTGAGGTCAAAAATCATTAGAAAGTCACTCTGTCTTGCAACTATTCATTGATTTCCTATTGCTAATGTGGAGTGTACATGTATGTGGTATTTTAAGAATATGGTAAAATCTAGCTATAAAGAAACACATTTGTATGTACCCTGGGGAAATGACAGGCCTAGTCACAATTCCTTTAATGTAATTTTCTATGACAGTACATGTTATACAGATATTTATTCTGGCAACAACATAATAAATGATTCAAATTAAAAAAGAAAGATAAAATGTGTCAAAATTGACTCAAGAAGAAATATAAAATCAAAATAATCTTATGATCATTAAATAAAAGGGAATCAATAGTTGACAGTATTGTGGGATATTATGTGTCACTTTTTTGTTTGTACAGAACTCCATACTTTTCCACGGAGAACCTAGTGCAAGGTGGAGGTGGTGTCATATGTGGTTTCTTAGCTCTACTTTGTTTAGGGTAACAGCTCAGGAGAGACTAGTGAGGAGATTTTACTTCACACAATTGGGGAAAATATAATTTGAATTCTATGTTAAAGGATTAAATTTGGCATACATTCTTGAGAGAAGATTTCTCAATGCAGCTCTGTTGCTTTTCCTGGTAGTTCCCGTCAAGACAATAAATACTATAGCATACGTAAGATTTCAATACCTTAACAAAATCATGGACTGGAAAAAGAGAGAAAAGATCTCTCCTCACATCATATATAATTTTTCCTGGCTAGGCTGCTGTTGACCCTGATCTTTTCTCCAAAACATTGTACCTAACCAGAATGGAAAGAAGAACAGAATCAACTTTTGTGGAAACAGGTAATTTGCAATTCTTCTTCTCTGATAGGTTTGTTCATATTTTTTGGCCATTTACTCATGGATTTATTATTTCTTAATTTATAGGATAATGTTTTTTATTTCTGTCAGTTATGTTGCAAATATTTTTCCAGTCTACTATTTGTAAACACTTGTCGCATCATAAATATATAAATATGTCAACGTTTTCTCCTTTGTGGTTTTGGAATTTCTGTTTTTCTTTGTGTGTGTGTGTGTGTGTGTGTGTGTGTGTGAAATGGAGTCTCACTCTTGTCGCCCAGGCTGGAGTGCAATGGCGCGATCTCGGCTCACTGCAACCTCCATCTCCTGGGTTCAAGTGATTCTCCTGCCCCAGCCTACCTAGTAGCTGGGATTACAGGCACCGGCCCATGCCTGGCTAATTTTTTGTATTTTTAGTAGAGATGGGGTTTCACCCCAGGCTGGTCTCGAGCTCCTGACCTCATGATCCGCCCGCCTTGGCCTCCCAAAGTGCTGGGATTACAGTTGTGAGCCACCGCATCCAGCCTGGAATTTCTGTTTTAAAAAGTTATCCTTTACCCCAAGGAGAAAGAAAATGGTAACACAGACTGATGTCAAGATGATCTCATGGCCAGTGCGTTCTTTGGCCTGCTGCTGGGCAAGATATTTCTAGGCAGGGGATGTTTTAGCAGACTTGCCAAATCATACCCAACATACTCCTATCTACCTAAACCAAGATTAGCCACGTACTGACCATAGCCATGGACTTAATATCAACAAAGCTTTTTTGACTTCTTCACTTTAAATCATATAACCATGAGCAACAGTTGAAAGAGTAATTCTAAATTTTTAACTTGCTTTCAGTCATGGTGGAGTAGCTTTTAAAGTAGTTCTTAAATAATCTCTTTAAATTTACAGACATTTTCTTGGTTTAAAATTTTTTAAACTGCATGTTAATTTTCTTTTTCATATAGTCTCCAGATAAACTATAAGACCAATCTACTTGTCACCTTTATGTTGTAAGTACTAAGAACATACAATGGGCAATAACCCCTGTGAAACAGTTTTAAAGACAGAAATGTTAAAGTAGAGGTAGAGTGGCATTAATGTAAAGGTTAGTGCTGTAAAATAAGATCTTTTTATTTTGCCTTTATCTTTTTAAAAATTTGTCCTTATCTTTAGAGGCCTTGAGATATGTAACTGTGACTTGTTAAAATTCATCTGATTGTATCTGAGCATACAGCTGGGTAGCCTCCATATGAAGACATTTATTAAATGGTTATTGATTTATATGAGAAGATGATATTTAATTTTAAGAAAAATGCATTATAGCTACTAAATATGAGTATTTTTAAAAAGTATACTTTTGACTATGAAAAAATTCAGACTAACTTCAATATAGTATACACATTGGAAGTTCTCGTATGTCACAGTTAGAGTTGAATTATTTTTACCTCAAATTAGTCTCTCCCAGTTTTCAGATTTGGTGACAACTCCTTTGATTCTTGAAACTGGACCCAAAGAGTTTTTTCTTATCCACATTTTCTATCTCCTTCTGCCTCTTCTCTTCTTCCTCATCTTCCTCTTCCACATCCAAAAAGTTTCTTTGGACATTGCTGCTTCTCCTCCACTGAACATAATAGTACTAGTTTTCTCTTTGGAAATGTAGAAATGCTCCTGGGCAGAAATATGTCAATCTGTTTGTCTTTCTGATTTGAAATGGCAAGCAGAAGCTGTAGAGTTTGAACTCATTTATCTTTACATGGCTTACCTGCATTTGTGGAGCCAATCTCCTTTCCTCCAAAGGGGTTGCCCTGAAACTGCTGTGGGTTTCAGCTGGAACATAAGCACTGGCAAGGAAGCCTCTGCCTCAGGGAGCACCCTGCTTAGCCTCATAAGCCAAATGAAGGGTACCTAGGCTGTGACCCAGGATCCCAGGTTTGAATTTGATAGTTTCCGGAAAGGTGATCCATTGTGATTGATATGATTCTCTGAAAATAAATTATTTGACTCATGGAATTTCTTTTATTTTTAAATGCAAGTTGAGTTTAGCTTTATGGAATGTAACAGTAGAGCTAATTAAAAGGTTTTCTTCCAAACGTCCTTAATTCCACAGCATAGTTTTTCAAATAATGTGTGTAGTCCATATTTTGAAACTGTAACCACTTTAGAGATCTTACTTTTTATTTCTTTGGTTTAAAGTTTGCTTATGCTCATTCCTTTCAATAATTTAGGAGGGTATGATATTTAAGCATAGGCAAGGAACATAATGCTTACCATATTTTCCTAAGTTGGAATGGATAGAGGGGAGCTATGTCAAGAGGAGTGTTGTAATACTGTATGTCATGTTCCTCACATTTTAGTTCAAGTTAACTATGCCTTTGCTTATCTATCTGAACATTTTTGGACATAAACAACATTACATCCTCTGGTGTTTGGGAATGGTCCAGCTGGGTGTCATGTCTCATTTGGTTATTGGTCTTTTAGCAGCATGATATGGGGCTAAGTGCATACCCCAGGAGAGATGGTGCCTAAAGTTTCAGAATATACAGTATTCAGAATATGCGGTATTCAGAAGATGCAGATATGCAGTAGTTCTTGGATACTCTTTCAGACTCAAGTTAATAAAATATAATTTTATGTTCTATCTTCTTCTCATGGAAGTTTAGTGAGTTGACTTCCAACTGTTCATAGTTGTCCCAATATTCATTCTTTCCTTCTTTGTTAGAAACCAGAATCCTGGTTTTTAGCTAGATGTGTGTTCTCTTTGATAAAGAACTTCATCTCCTAGCCTCCCTTGAATCTGGTTGTAGGCCATGTAACTAATGTTTAGTCAATGAGATATAAGCAGAAATGTTACCTGTGAATTCCTGTAAGCCTCTTTTAAGAGAGGATTGCTTTTTTTTTTTAATGTCCTGTTCTTTTATCTACTATCTAAAAGAGAAGGATATGACTGAAACTCTTGCATATTGCTTGGACCATGAGAATGAAGGCTGTACTTTCAGTTTGTTGGACCTGAGAATTGAAAGAAGCCTGGACCTCATATGTTTTGTGTTGCATGAAAGATGAATAAACTTCTATATTGTTTAAGGCATTTTTTTTCTATCATACGCAGGCAAGCATTTCAACTATGTGGTAGAATTTTGTAATGGAAGTGGAATGCTGCAAGAATAAAAACTAAAATGTGATGTTGCCATAGTAGAGGCAGTTGGATAATGAGTGGTGCAGATACTCTAGTCTAGAGAATGGGTGACCATTGTTATGTAATAGTAAAATGGCCAAGTATGAGAACACAGTATGGACTGAGCCATAACATGCAGGAAAAGTACAACACATTCAGAATATGGAAGAGTGTTGACTGCTGCTTGATGGTTTTAAAGAACTCTTAAAGTAGAGAGAGGCACTGAAGCTAAATGTAGATAGTTTTCAAGTAGAAATAGAAAGACAAACTATTTTCTTCGTTGCTGAAGGATAAATTATCTATATATGGCTCCAAACTGCACTTACTGGGAGTCCCACAATTTACACCCTCACAGGAGTGAAAAAGTCAATCACCCCTGTGTCCATACTGAAACACCAGTGACAAAACTAAAGCTTTAGCAGGTGGTGGTAAGACTATGACCCTTTTTTTTTTTTTTTTTTTTGAGACGGAGTCTTGCTCTGTTGCCCAGGCTGGAGTGCAGTGGCACAATCTTGGCTCACTGTAACCTCTGCCTCCTGGGTTCAAGAAATTCTCCTGCCTCAGCCTCCCAAGTAGCTGAGACTACAGGCGCGCACCACCATGCCCAGCTAATTTTTGTGTTTTTAGTAGAGATGGGGTTTCACCATGTTGGCCAGGATCGTGTCGATCTCTTGACTTCGTGATCCACCCGCCTCGGCCTCCCAAAGTGTGACTACGGCCCTTTTAAACGTCTTTGACCAGACAATAGAGTCATGCCTGTGGAAAAAGGTCAAATGAAGGTATAGTCACACATATTCAACAAATAGTTAAGGAGCACCTACAATGCTCCCAAGTGCTATTGAAACAGAAATTAAAAAAAAAAAAAAAGGCAAGGGGGAGTAAAATGGTGCCACTGTAAATAGAATGGGTGAGATAGTTCTCATTGATTCATTTATCCCAACACTTGCAAGAGTTGAGGGAGTAAGCCCTATGGCTCTCTGGGCAGGGAGCATTTCAGGAGGAGGGACTGCCCAGTGTGAAAGAACTTTAGGTATGTCAGACAAGTCTGTAGAAAGGGAGAGGCCAGTGTGACTGAAGAGAGTATGTAAATTCAGAGAGTTAATGGAGTAGGAAGAGAAGCTATATAATCTTATAGACCTCTGTGACAATGTTGGCCTTTGCTCAGATTGGGATCCTTTGAAGAGATGGAGCAGAGTAAATTGATCTGATTTAAGATATCATTGTTATCTCTTGTAGCTGTTTTGAGAGTAGTTAGTAAAGGGACTAGGATAAAAGGAGAAGGATTAGCTAGGGGAATATTGCAGTATCTAGGAGGGAGATAATGGTGACTCACCTCAAAATGTATCAGTGAAGGGATAAGACATGGTTGGAGCCTGCATGTTTTTTGAAGGGAAAGCCAATAGGATTTTTTAGAAGTCATTTTCTCACTCAAATTCACTTTTTCCAGAACACTTGAGGCCATGGCCATTTGTGTGAAATAAGAAGGAATAAATAGAACATAGAGATCAGAAATTAAAAGACTAGACTCTTTGAGGGCATGAAATTCCCACAGAAACCTTGAGTATCCTGCAGCAGGTTGTGGCTTAGTGCCTTTAACAACTTGTTCTCCTGAAACTACATCAGCAGGAGTATGCTGAAAAGCTGGGTGGCCTCCAGGAAGGGCAAGATCTCTAGGCCCTCACAACCAAAGTTCCAGGCTCCCACGGCCAGAGTTCCAGGCCCACATAATTTAATCTCTGTCTTTTTTTTTTAGTTTTCTTCATGTAAAACAGGATAATAACCACACCTATCTCAAAGTGTTTTTGCCAAGGTTCAAAACTCTTTTTAATTCCTCACATGTGAATATTCAATCCGTTGGTGTTACTTGGGGTTCTCTAGAGAAACAGAACCAATAGGATATATATATAGAGAGAGAGCAATAGAGAGATTTATTTTAAGAAATTGTGTCATGTGGTTATGAAGGGTGGTAAGTTCAAAATCTGTGGGTTGGGCCAATAGGCTGGAGACTTGGAGAAAAGCCAATGCTGCAGTTCAAATTCAAAGGACATCAGCTGGAGACACGGGTTGATACTGCAGTTCAAGTTCAAAGGCCATGAGATGCAGAATTCTGCCTTGTTCAGGGAGGTCATTCTTTTATTTTACTTGGGGCTTCAACTCATTGGTGAGGTCACTCACATTGTGATCGACTACCAGTTTTACTCAAAGTCCATAAGTTTAAATGTTAATCCCGTCCAAAAATATCCTCAGAGAGACATCTAGAATAATGTTTGATCACATACCCGATCACTGTGGCTCAGCCAAGTTGACACATAAAATTAACCACCACATGTCCCAAACTCATGCAGACATTTCATCCAAGTACTAACCAGGCCCAGCTCTACTTGGTTTCTGAGATCAGATAAGATCAGCCACCTACAGGGAGATATGGCTGTAGATGTCATGCCAGCATTTCTAATACTTTATGTCACTCTTTCCTGAGCTCAGGTGTAAATTCAGGATTCTTCTCAATGTAGTACTTTAGGCAGGCAAAATTAGAGTTGACATAAGGATTCAAACATATTTTCTATCTCTGATTCATAAGCTGAGACATACATTCTCAATTCTACATGCAATACCCCAAATTCCTATTTCCTGGGAACACTCTCTGTTGCTGTTCCTCTCTGATCACTTGCTGCTTCCCAGGATCTCTCTCCTGTATGTCTCTGTCTTCTCCCTTCCCTCCCTCTTTTCATCTCCGTCTCTCTCTCTCTCTCTCTCTCTGTCACACACACATAACAGCCTTTTCTCTAGACATAACTAATAATGCATTTTTAAACTAATCATGAACATTCACAGCTGTACAATCCATACATTTGTAAACCCTACATTATCTATAATGGTTTTCCTCTTTTATTTACAAAGTCTATCGAGTCTCAATACAAATATTGCTTCCTCACAAAGCTTTATAAAACCTTGACAGGATTAATTGTTTTATTCCTTGTATTACCCTGGCACACCACATATTTTCTATAATAATATTATTATAAAAATTACCATTAAGGGTTTTATGTGTGTATACATTTATGTATTTCCCTATAGGCTGTGGACTTCCTGAGGACAGCATCACATCACCATGATACCTGTCACAGTACATGATAGGTAGTAGATGCTTAATAAATATTGGTTCAACGATACATGAATACATAGCCTTTGATGGTTTCTCAATTATAATTAGGTTTGCTACGTATAATTAAAAAAATTCCAAAATGATCATGACTTAACTGGGTCTCCAGCCATCCCCACTGTGTTCCAGGTTACCAGCAACAGGAAGAGCAAAACAAGAATGCATTCCCTAACCAATTAAGACATTTTCCAGATTCATACAACACTTTTGCTTCCATATTACTATCCAGAGTTAAGACACATGGCAATAAAAACATGCAAGGGAGGTTGGGACATGTCATCATTTAGTTCTGAAGCAATGTGTCCAGATAAAAGTTGATCTTCTGTTGTGCACAATGCATAAGAATGGATATTGTATGGCAACCAGAAGTCTTTAAATATAAAGAGAAGTATGAAGATAAATCTCTGTGGAAAACCAACTTTTAAGGTATAGATAGTTAGAGAAAAAAGTAAGATGGTGAAGTAGACTGAAGAAGAATTACAGAGGTAAAAGGAGAACAAAGCCAAGTTTCTAGAAGTGGATAGCAATGCCAAATGTCAGGGGACATTACTGAAATAAAGGACAACTTAATTTGACTTGTAGGAGGACATTGGTAACATTCAAGTACTACTTCCATTAGCTGATGCCTGTCAATGAAGAGCTCCCCAAACACTACAGGGAATGGGAAGCAAAGCTCATCACTTGTGCTAACTCACATGGAGAATTTCCACCACCTGGATTCATTTTTTTCTCCCTTCAGTCTTTCACTTTATCAGTAACATTTGAGACAAGATAGAGGGGTAGAGTCCAAAAATAAACCCTTACAATTCTGGTAAATTGCTTTTGACAAGAGTGCCAGGACAATTCAACAGGGAGAGAACAGTCTTCAACAAATGGTGCAGGAACATCTAGATATCAGATAAAAGCAAAAGAATGAAGTCAGACACCTCCCTCACACCATATACAAAAATTAACTTAACGATAGATTAGAGTTCTAAATGTAGGAGTTAAAGCTATAAAACTCTTAGAGGTGTGGATGGGTGGAGAAGAAGATAAGATAGTTAAGTAGACTGAAGAAGAGCAGGTAGAGAGGTGGAAGAACAAAGCCAAGTTTGTTCTCCTTATAGGAAAACACAGGAAAAATTTTTACAACTTTGGATTAGGCAATGATCTCTTAGACATGAAACCAAAAGCATAAGTCAAAGGAAAAAAACAGATAAGTTAAAAATAGTCAAAATTGAATACTTTTATATTTAAAAGACATTATTAAGAAAGTGAAAAGACCACATAAAGAATGGGAGAAAATATTTATATGTCATATATTTGATGAAGGACTTGTATCAATATAAGTCCTTTTATAAAATAACTTGCAACTTGACAAACAAATTGAAAAAAGGGAAAAAGTTTTGAATAGACAGTTATTCATGGAAGACATACAAATGGCCAATATGTACATAAAATATTTCAACATCATTGTCATTAGAGAAATAAAATTAAAACCACAATGAGAGACTACATCAAACACACTAGGATGGCTATAATGAAAAAAAGACAGACAATAACAAGCATTGGTGAAGATGTGGAGACACTGGAACCCTCATACATTGCTGGTGTGAATGCAAATTCATGCAACTCCTTTAGAAAACAGTTTGGCAATGCCCCAAAATTAATCATGGAGTTACCATATGACCAAGCAACCTCAATCCTAGGCATGCTCCCAAGAAAAATGTCCACATAAAAATTTATATATGAATGTTTATAGCAATATTATTCACAGTATCCAATAAATGGAAACAACCCAAATATCCAAGTGATGAGCAGATAAACAAAAGTGGTGTATCCATACAATGAAATATTATTTAGCCATAACAAGGAATGAAATGCTGATATATGCTCTGACATGGATGAACCTTAAAAAATTATGCTAAGCAAAATAAGCCAGTCACAAAAGGCCACATATATATTAATCTATTTATATAAAAATCCAGAATAAGCAAATTCATTGAGATAGATTAGTGGTTGCCAGGGGCTATAGGGAGTGATTGCTAACAGTTGCATGATTTCTTTTCAGGTAATGAAACTTTCTGGAATTAGATAGTGGTGGCGATTTCACAATTCTGGGAATATATTAAAACCACTGAATTGTCTACTTTTTTTAAAAGGTGAATTTAAAGGCGGGTGGATTATATCTCAATAAAGCTGTTAAAAAGAGCAACAACAAAAAAGAGAGAGGAGCGGAGAGTTCAGACTGAGGTTTTCTGATTGACAGTGACCGACAGATACAACTGGCTATTAACATATGTGGCAGTGCCAAGGAATGTGTAATTCCAGTGCCTGCTGTTTGTGAGCTGCTGTGCGTGGACATCTTTTACATCCTGTCAAGGGTGATCATAGACTTTCTCCCATCATCAGCATGGTGGCTCAATCTTACACTATCCCCCAGCTCCTTTATCCCATGCAGCACCTTGGAACAACTATTTGCTTAGACCCCCGGGAGTGCCAAAATATCTCTGCTTACCCACACAATCTCCTTCCTCTACTCTGCTTTCAGTTCAACAATTCCTTCCTAGTTAGAAGGACTGAGGTAAGGTGAGAAATATATGAGTGACCGGCTTGAATGTGCTACTTACTGCCTCTAGTGGTTTTCATTCATCTTTGAGATTGTCATTTGGCCTTATAAATGAAAAGGGACTTGAAAAAAACAAAACAAAACAAAACAAAACACTGAACCCACTGGCTAATTGAACTGGAATTGAAACCCCTTGCATTTCATTTACAATTCCTTGTGCTTAAAAGAAGTGAAAATGATTGAGACCATCCTGGCCAACATGGTGAAACCCTGTCTCTAATAAAAATACAAAAATTAGCTGGGCGTGGTGGTGTGCACTTGTAATCCCAGCTACTTGGGAAGCTGAGGCAGGATAATCGCTTGAACCTGGTAGGCGGAGGTTGCAGTGGGCCGAGATCGTGCCACTGTACTCCAGACTGGCAACAGAGCGAGGAGACTCTGTCTCAAAAAAAAAAAAAAAAAAAGAAAAGAAAAAAGTGAAAATGGTTGTAGCAAGGAATTAAAATAGAGGCTCTATGGGCAAAGCATTCACTGTGTTGACTGTAATAACAGTGCCAACTTGTGGAGCACTGACTATGTCCCATGACTTGTTCTAATTGCTTTATGCGTAACCCAATTAATCCACATTGCGTCCTAATGAAGTAGGTAGGATTACTATTTTTGTTTTACAGATGAAGATGATTGACACTAGAATAAGTTGGCTAATTTACCCAACCTCTCACCATAACTTGGTTAGCAACTCTAACCAAGTACAATTCCTAACCATTGTACTTCCCTGTTACACAGACTCTTGAGCACATACCTCACAAACATTTAGTGCTTGTGCATGTATGTTTGCCAGTCATATTACTAATAATAATTAGTACTATTGCAGAAAATATTCATTTTCTTCTTACTGCAATATAACCAAAAATTTAGAATTTTAGTTCAAAAGATATTTATAGTTTTTGTTTTCTTTCTTTCCAAACTTGATGAGCCAGAGATCCAAATCTGATGTCTGTTGCTTCAGACACATAGTTCAGTGTATTCCCCAGTCTCTTTTGCATTAGTTGCGGACTCAATTATAATGAATAGAATCTGGGTTCCACGGCTGGTCTGTAAAAATCTCCCATGTGCTTCTCTATTCTCTTTTCTCTTCCAGTCAGCTGGAATAGCAGCTGTTAGGGTGATCTTAACAGCCATGTATGAAGATGGTATAACTGCTGACAACCTGGATTCTGAAAGACTGTGTAGAGAAGTTGCCTCACTTTTCTGAATGAACAGGTCTATAACAAGCAAGAAATAAAAGTCTGTTGTTTTCAGCTACTGAAATATTGGGGTCTATTTTTTTTTTATTGCAGCATCACATCCTAACTAATATAACAAATTATATTAATTATAATTAGAAAAACTAATTTATTATTCTCAATTGCATATTATCTAATTATTAAGGAATAAGTGAATGAATGAATGAATGTAGCATTTTGGAGTTTAGGTAAGTATTTCTTGAGTTCTTAGTATTTGCTAGAATCTTCCGTGCTGTTGCAAATCCTCACAATCCCTGAAGTAAATAATTGATACAAAGACTCATATAAAACCTATACTTTCCACTACTCCAGGTTATCTCAAATGACAACTTATTTTTCTTCTCTATATGTGAGTAAGTAGAGGAGGAAACACACTGAAGTCAGGTTACTGTGTACCACCTGCCTTTGTTAAAGGATAGGTGGGTTGGTGAATTCCTTTTGGTTCTCATATTCCTGAGCAAAGATTGCAAAGACTTTTGGGTCATTTTCAGGTTATTGCCTTAGGGTTCAGTTATTTTATTTCTTTCTCTGTTAATAGAAAGAATGTCACTTTGCCTTCAGATGTGGCCATGTTTCTTAGAATGTGTTAAATCTAGACTTTTATCCTTAGACAATGATCAAATTTACTTTCTGTTTTTTGACTTTATTTTGGTGTGTGTGTGGCATGTTTGTATGTAAAAGAAAATAGTTTTCTAAATGAAAGTTTTCCCAAGTATCTAAGTCCTATTCGGTATTATATAAACAATTTATTAATGTGAAAAGTGTAATATATTATGTTATTTGTGACATACATATTAACATAGATTTTTTAAATAAAACATTATATTACTTATCTTTTTTAAGAACTGAGGAAATTCATTTCTGTGCTTAGGAAAGCTCTATGTCTTGGAATTGTATGACAGTAATTAATATTAGTCATGATTTATTTGTTTTTTTTTTTTTTAATTTTATTTTAGCTACAGTGTCTTGCTCTGTCACCCAAGCTAGAGTGCAGTGGCACAATTAAAGCTCACTGCAGCCTCCAACTCCTGGGCTCAAGTGATCCTCCCACCTCAGCCTCCCAAATAGCTAGGTCCGTGCCACCATGTATAGCTATTTTTTAAAAAACTAAGTGTAAAGACAGGGTCATGCTATGTTGCTCAGGCTGGTCTCAAACCCCTGATCTCAAGCAATCCTCTGGCCTCAGCTTCCCAAAGCCTTGGGATTACAGAAGTGAGCCACCGTGTCTGACCAATAATTTCTTTTGTAGCAGCTGAAAAATAGCGAAGTGGCTCTTTGAAGAAACATGGTAGAACACGAGTCTGCTCTTAATCGAAACTGAAATGTTGGGACCATGGTGACAAAATCTGGGCTCTGCCCAATTTGGACATAATTTGGAGTTGATTTAAGCTTGTCATATGCAAACAGATTTTTTGTTTTAATTTCAAGTTGACAACTACAGATGCTTTTAGCACTATTTGTGCCATAAAAAGAAAAAACTCATTTTTTTCTTTCTTACCCCAAGTGAACATAGATATTTATTGGAAATTTGGAACTGAGAAACAGTATTCTTCAAGGCATAATCTAAACCCACTTAGCAAAACATGTGAAATCTCTTACAGCATGTAAAAGTTTTCTTTATGTACAAAGCACTGGAGAGTTTTAAACAACACCTGCATTCATGGCCTGGACTGTTATTCTCTTATTTTTGCCTTACTGTGGACTTAAAGTTCTCATCCATAAATCATTTTTATGAAATGAATAAACGACTTCTTTCATTGATGAACTACAAACTGACTGCACTGGTTACATTATAGCTAAGAGTAACATATTGATAGAGTTCTGCAAAAAAGAAATGAATGAGGCTTTTTGCCTGAGAGGAGCGAAAGTCAAATTGGATTTGGAATGATAACAAAGAGCAAAACTCAGGCTCAGTAAAGTTTAAGCCTATTGACATTTTATTAATAGTTATTTTTAAAGGCCACTAATGAATTTTTGTAGGGAATTTTAGACAGTGGCTGTTTATTAGGGAACTTGAAGCACATGGCTTAAATATTTAATAGCGGTCATCAAAGCCAGAGGAAATGACCTGATGAAAATAGAACTAGAGATGCTAATTTCTACCCAATATTTAATATGAAAATAATTTTATGTTATAGTAATTAACACACCACGTTTTTAATGCTTAGTAAACACCACCATATCCATTGTATATAGTGAAAGAAATAGAGACTGGATCTACAGAATAAAGTAAAATGTAGAGTCATGTATGCATTAAAAGCCAAATAATTTAAAGTCCCCGAATACATTTCTATGCAGAAAAATATGGTTAAGAAATTTTTATCATGTAGATATATGACACTGAAGTTAAATAAATAATCAGAATTTATATGTCTTAAAGAACCTAATCATTTTCAAAAGGGATCAATTATTTGGTCAAATTGTATGTTTGATGCCATGCCAAACATCTGGATTAATGGTTGAAAATTTAAATGAGGTACTTATACTGAACCGTTTTTCTGACACATCTGGCAGAATGTATATTGATGCTAATGTCTTATATCATTTTCTTATTTTAAATTAAACCATGCCTTCAATGTGAAATAGATTCAAGGTAATTTTCAAACCTAAGTTATACTGCATTGCCTATTATCCAATAATTTAATATAGAATCTGTGAAATAATGAAGTGATTCCAGAAATTTCAGAAGATCATGCAATCCCTTTGAATGCACAATTAAAACGTATACACTAATCATGAGCTCTATATTGTTGAAATCTGTAAATAACAAAAACAACAAACTTCTAAAATTGAAGACTTTACCTACATAACATTATTTGTAAGTTTAACATTTAAGATAGTACGGTCCTGACTACAGAGCCACAGAGCATTTGTTAATTTTTTCCACTTTTACACACTTTATTTTCTAATAAATATAAAATATTGAGATCCCATGATCAACATCAAAATCATTTACAAAATTTCCTTTTGTACATAAACACTTCCTATTGTACCTCCTAATTCCACCCTGGAGATCCCTAACATCATTCTTTGATTGTTGACTTTCCACTGTTTGCATATCTTTGTGCTTTCCAAGCCACCCCAGCTGCAGTGAGCAGGCTTTGCTCATAAAGCCTTTCCCTCAGAGATAAGACCTGCCTTCATGTAATCTTAGCACATCCCTTCATTTCCTCTTGTGCTTGAGTCCCTTTAAATGCAGCTTTTCCGGTTTTAAAAGTGCCATAAACATCTTCCTAGCTCATTACAGACCATTATCATACTTTCTTTTTGCTTATATGCTAGATAGAGAAATCCACTGCTATGCCACAATGGAATAAAATCATTTTGGAGCATCAGGAAGTGTAGATGCCTTAAATATCACACTGGATACCTTCCAAAAGCAAATCACAGTGCAAAATTATGGTGATCAAACCTCACATTGGCATCTGTCAGCTATCTCACTATTAACTGGATTTCTAATTAGGAAAATATTGGAAATAGAATGAGAAGTTGGGCATATTTTCAAAGACAGCAGAAACGTTTAGTGAAGAAAACATAAAGCTGAAGCCTGATCTTGAGGAAGGAATTGGTTGTTTTTTGGGGGGTGGTGGGGTAGGTGGTGGTAACCTGTGAAGTCCTCATGATCTGATCCTAGCCTTCTTTTTAATTCTTTCCCATCTACATTACCTGAAAGCAAAGTTTTCCCAAGACTTCATGCTTTCGTGGATTCCCTCTCTTTCTGCTTTCCTTCTTCCCTTCCTTCTTCCCTGTTCCAGGAAGAGTTGGATATTTCTTTTTTTTTTTCCCTAGGGAAACTTTTACATAATTGTGGTTAACAATTTCTGCTTCTGAGGAGACAGTCACTTCCTGAGTAGACTACTTCCTGTTGGATGATTCTGATAAACAGTCTTTCAGAAGCAACTCAGAATCCATCCAGTGACTGTTCAGCAGGAAAGCCCTTCACATATTTGAAACTCATTTACATATTCTTCTTTCTGCTCATCTACACCAGAAACAAACTCTCTAGTCCTATAATGCAATCCTTATATAGTCAGGGTCCCCAGGGGATCCTTATTTAGTTAAGACTCTTCTGAATGAATTACTTTGCCAATATACCTTTGAAATGATGGTGCCCAGAGCTAGACCCAAAATTTCAAATATAATCTAATGTTATCTAGACATATGTCACTACTAATGCAAAGGTAGGGAAACATTAGCTTTTCAAGCAGACACTGTAATTTTCTTGAACCTTTTAAACCTGGAATTAACTAAAATGTTTAGACCTTTTTATATGAAAATGCTTTCATGTCAAGTTTTTACCATCAATACACCGCACTTCACATAGTTACTCAAATTGTGTTTTATCAATATGTCACAGGAAAAATGTACTCAAAGTTTTGGGTTTTCTTCACATTTCACCTTTGGGGTCTCTAATGTGAAGAAACAAGGTGCTAAACAACTAAGTTTGGCCCGAGACGGTGGAGAATTAAAGAAACCCTTCTTGTTAAAAAAAAAAAAAAATGAAAAATGTAACATTCGGGTGCAGGTGTTTACGAGATGAAACCAGAAATGTATACATATTTGGACGTACATTCATGAAATATTTCTGAAAGTATGCACAATAACTGGTATACAAATTGACTCAAGGATAAGAATATATCTAAGGAACACGGCGAATGAGAAATTTTCACTCTCTTCTTGTTTGTATCTTTTACATTTTGAACCATGTAAATATATTACCTATTCAAAAAATAATCATGTTTTAAAGAAAGGAATAAATTACTCTCTATATATTTGTGTGTGGTTAGGATTTGTTTTCTGGAAGGAGACACAAAAGTAGTTAAAGATTATTTTGGGTTGGGGGTATTTTGAATTACTTGTTAACTCTATTGTTTAAATCATCTCACAATAAGTATATATTTAAATGCTAGCTGGGATTTTCTGCCACAGGTATTTTCTTCATTAAGATTTTTCTTTAAAAAATATTTTTCAAGATAGTTATAAGAGCAGAAAGATAGCTTAAAAATCAAAACTCAAGGTGACAGTAAATCATTTTAGAAGTAGCAATCATTTTAGGTTGTTCATAAATACCGTTTTAAGAATCAATCATTTATTCCTATACATGATAATTTTTTACTCTGAACTCCTTTCTTTGCAGAGCTTGGTAAACACATGTCTGATGATGTAACTTGGTGTTTTTCTTGTGTTCTTTTTTTCTAATTTATTACTGTTCACCTGTTTTCCATGTTGCTCTATTTAGATTATTTTAAACCAAAGTTAAGCCCTAGGAAATAGCCAGAGAATAGCCCAAAGGCAGTGACTACATCATTTGAGTCTGCCAAATCTCCTAACAGTACTATCACATAGGAGATGATTAATAAATACTTGATGATTTGAAAACATAAAAGAGCAAGTGGCCTGTTGGATCATTCTAAAAGGCATTCTCGGCGTTGATCTCTAGAAGTGGTGTAGCGTGAATTGATGCGAAGCCTTTTCCAAATTCAGGGTTAATTTAGAGATTCAGTAAGGATTTCAATTCTAAGGACTTTTTTTTGTCCATTGGGACAACAAAATTCTCATTAAAATAAATCCTTTCCTCTATTTGTTTTGAAGAAAAATGCATTGCACAGGTGGCATAAGCTTTCTGGAAATGAAGATGAGGAAAGAGGCATAGACACGCATAGTGCTCAGCCAGCAGACGTTACTAAGAAATAATACTAAACCAGTCATCAGAAGACATGCAAGGCCCCATTTATTATGGATTGGGACATTTAGGTTCTTACTTAGGCAAGTAAACTATCCTTCTTAAGACAATTTTTTTCTGTAACAAACAGTTCTATTGTAAAAATAATATTTTGTGATGTCTAAAAAGATACTAGAAGGATTTATGTAGCCATATAATTTCATAATATATTTGTACTTTTAAATGATTTGTTACTCTTAATATGTAAAAACAATTAATACATTTTTAAAATTGTTAAATATAAAATAGATGTTCAAATGCATTGTGCAGAGTACATGAAACTTACATATCTCTAACCAAGCTCCTTTATTGAAAGAGCCACTTAAACCAGACTCCAAATTTCCAATTTGTTCTTTCTCCTCAGAGACACAATGAAGACTTGGTAGAGGTTGCATTCTTTGCTGCAATAAGCAATAAACTCAGCTTTGGGTTATGCATGTATGTGTGTGTATATATACATACATATGTAGTATAAAATCTATATAAATTGTATATAAAATATATACCACTATATATACTACTAGTACATATACTGTATATAGCAAAACTAAAATTATAAAGCAACTGCTTGTAAATAATAATAGCTAATGTTTTGAATTTGTCTTCAAATTTTTCATGAGAAGAAAATTGTAGGTTATAGAGTCTTTTAAAGTTCATCTTTTTGGTATGATGAGAAATACACTCCTCAATAAATTTTTTATTTAAATTCAATGTGACAGATCCCAACTAGTAGTAAATATGACCCATGATGTCTTCTTTGAACTTGATAAAGACAATGTTTTTACTTTTTCATAAAACAACTCCCCAACAATTTTAATCCTTGTATTCTGGCCCACAGTTCCTTGTGATTCCATAGAGTTATACTCATCACCACCTCTCTGGGTTTACTTTTCCAGGAGTCTGGTAAGATTTAACATTAGGCTCAGATATAAGATTTTCCCTAAATATAGTAGCTAATGCAAACAGGCCTGCAGCAATGAATTTGACATAGTGTTCTGGGGTGTTTTAGAAATTTTTGAAAATTTAGAAAATATAGTAAGCAACCTAATTTTCATAGGTTATCTATACTCTGGTTATTCACAAGGAAAATTACCCAATATTTTAAAAGAGAGTTTATTTCCTTTGTATTTTTCTCACTTAACTTGGCAATCTTTCTAAAATTTAATTTTATTTATTTATTTATTTTTGAGACAAGGTCTCACTCTATTGTCCAAGCTGGAGTGCAGTGGTGCAATCACAGCTCACTGCAGCCTCAACCTCCTGGGCTCAGGTGATCCTCACACTTCAGCCTCCCGACTAGCTGGGACTACAGGTATGCACCACCATGCCTGGCTAGTTTTTGTAGTTTTTGTAGAGATGGAGTTTCGTCACATTGCCCAGGCTGGTCTTGAATTCCTGGGCTAAACTAATACACCCACCTCAGCCTCCCAAAATGTTGAGGTTACAAGTGTGAGCCACGGTGCTTGACCAAATTTAATTTTTTTAACTGACAAATAATAATTGTATATATTCATACAGTACATAGTGGTGTTTGGATATACATATAATGTATAGTGATCAGATTAGGGTGATTAGCATAACCATTATCTCAAACATTTATCATTTCTTTGTGTTGGGAACATTCAATATCTTCCTTCTAGTTATTTTAAACTATATTTTATTATTAACTATAGTCATCCTATAGTGGTATGGAACACGAGAACTTGTTTCTCCTCTCTAGCTACAATTTTGTATTTTTCAGAGATTACATAGGCGTAGAATACTGAGTTAGGGGTGTTTATTTCACAAAATTTTCATTTCAGAGAGAGCAAATAAGTTCTAGAAGAGATATGATTTTATTTTCTGCTAAATAACAAGCAGATTTCACTCATTTAAATTTATGACATTGGAACAGCATTGGCAGATTACAAGTTCTTTGGTGACATCAGTGAAAACAGATTTACATGGTTTTGGTTAATGCCCCAAAGTTTATGAATGCATTCTTTGCCAGTGAGATCCACATGTGAAGCACATGAGCAGGTGAAAGTGTGATTACATGGTTGTCTCTTTCTTTGCAACCATAATTTATTCCTTCCATGATGCATTTGAACATCTGTTTTATATTTGAAGATTTTTCAAAATGAATTTATTAATTTTACATGTTACTAAGTAGAGCTAATCATCTAAATTACAAAAACATTACAAAATGATATAGCTACACAAACCAATTCTTCTAATATCTTTCTAGACAACCTAAAATATTAGTTTTTTTCCATAACAACACTAATTGTTAGAGAAAAATGTGCCTTAAGAAAGTACTTTACTTGCGTACATAATAACCTAAATGTTCATCTATAATAAATTGGGCATTTTATGTCTGCCTATGACTGGCTTAGACTTAGTAAGTAATGCTCTGCTAGATGGTCACCATGAATATCTATGCTACATTACCCCCTCCCCTGCCATTCCCAGAAAGCTTGCGCCATCTGCAATGCATTTTTCTTCAAAACAGATAGATAGAGGACAGGGAAGATTTTACATTTTACATGGAAGACTTTTTTTTTCTGATGGCAAAACTGAGGCTGTTGTTGAATCTCTAAATTATTCTCAAATTTGGACAACATGTCAAGTCCACATTTCTTCAAGACCACCACTGTTCTGAAGATGTCATTGGAACCATTAAAATGGCCACTTTCCTTTCAAAATTTTCAGAACAACAAATATTTATTAACCTTCTTTTGTTTTCTAAGTGTTCCAGGAAGTTTCAAAGAAAATGAAAGGTCTGTCACTACTTATGGTAGACATATCCTAAGGAGGACACATTCTCAATGAGCTACATCTTTGTTTAAATGTCTCCTATTCAGTACAAGCAGAATTGCTGACTTACTTGCTTCTAAACAAGAGAATATGGCTAAACGGATGGCACATCACTCCCTTGACTAGATTACACATAGGGCAAATGTAAAGGGATTTTGCATGTGTTAAGTACAACTGGTATTGTATGACTCATAAGGTAGATTAACCTTGGTGGGCCTGATATATGACAACTCTTAAAAGACAGACTCAGCCCTTTTGTGAGACTCTCTTTCAATGGTTTTAAAAAAGTAAGTTGTTACATTGCGAGAGGGCCTTTAAGAGGCCATCAGTTATCAATGAGAAAAAACTTGAAAAATAAAAATTGCCTGTGGTAGCATGTATTTTATCCTTTTTGGAGGAATTAAGAGTATGGGTATAACTAGGTGATCATAAAATTTATCATTCAACAAGGACACATTGAATATGAAAAGAGAGGAAAGTAGAAAAATTAAGTTGGAACAACAGGAGGGTACCAGGACTATTCTTGGCAAACCAGATTTTTTGGTCACTCCTGTTATATAGCATCTCCCAGACAATAGGTACAATGCTATCCTATGTTCATCTGCTATCTCTAGAGATTGGTTATTTAAAATCAGACTGTTCTACCCCCATCAAAAAGTTTTAACCTAAAAAATTGTCATTTGTCATTCTAAATCTATTTAAATTTCACCTGAGCAAACCAGTGTTTCATGCTCTAATTTTAGATGTCTTATTATAACTGTATAGTATCTCCTCTTTTTACACGCACAGTCTGACTTTATTTTCCTTGCTCCTTTACCAGTTGCTTTAAACATACTCTTGTTCGCTCATTGTAACCTCTCTTCTATTTTCCTTTTTATTTCTTTCTATTCGGGAGATAATGTGGTGTAGGAATTAAAAGCACAGTGCTAGATTCTGACTGCCTTGGATCAAATTTTGTCTCTACTATTTATGATCATTGACAACTTAATTCATCTTGCTGTGCCGTAATGTTCTAACTTGTAGTTAAGAATAAAAAGGGAGATTTAAGAAGTATCTGCATCATGGCTTGTAGAAAGATAGTGTTGGGCATGTAGTTAAGCACTCAATAAATACTAATTCTCATTATTATTTCTCTTTTAATAAAGCTTCCAAGCAGGCCAATTCACTTAGGTTTTGTAGTGTAACATAACTTGTTTATAACTAAGAAAATAAAATTAATGCTTTCTAAAAATTAGCTCGCTAGCTTAAAAAGAAACCTGCTTGGTATCTGCTGACAAATGGGTTCTCTTTAGGCTTTGTTTGGCTCAAAGAAGAATGTGGTAATATGCTATTAATAATGATATCACTAAAGAAACATTGGTCATCATTCAGAATAGGTTTGATAAAATAATTCAAATGTGAGAATATCACTGCATTGAATAACTTAAGCTATAAACTGGTATTCTTTTTCCTTTACATGAAGTAACTATCTGATGATTTTATCAGTCATTGAATAGAAACATTAGTTAAGTAGATACAGATTAAAAAGTCCCGAAGTCCTTAACCAGTTCTCAAGGAAATGATTTTAAAACAAAGAACTATGGCAATGGAAAAATGTCTGCATATTAAAGCCAAAACATACTTCCGTGACTTTTGTCTTTAGAGACTAAGATTCCAGCAGGATTAACTGACTGAAGTTCTAAGCATGTTTGATAGTTCTGAATCAAGTTCAAATATTCACATTTACCATCAGTGCCCTAGAATTAGATATGGTTAATCTGACAATCAAGTTCAATGGAAAAACCATTTCCATGAGAACTGCAGCACTGTTGAGTATGGCATATCGCCTTTGGAAGGTGGATACATTTCCCATGAAATATACTTTAGATGACTCTATAGTAAAAATTTAATAAGCCTGGCTAGAGAATGTTCACTGTGATTCATTTTGCTAATTTGGTACATTTGCTCAAATTTCCATTAAACTAAACAATGATCCAGTTACTCAATTACTAAAATATTCAGTTTTATGTTTCTAGAAAAAAAATGCAAGGGAAAAAGGAAGGTGATTCTTCAGATGTGAGTCAAACATCTCTCAATATTTTGGAAAGCTGAGTCATCTCTTGGATATATTGTTTTTGCTTCCATCATTTAGTTTAGAAAAAAACGATGACATAAAACAGAAGCAAAGTAATCTTCGAAGGAAAAAGTTAAATTTTCTTTCTTTCTTTCTTGCATTTATTGGTGAACTTCAATAACTCCCAATATGAAGATATTACATATAAAAAATAAGTTGAGAAATGGCTCTTGGATTCAAGCTTCATATCTACTGGACAAAGTGAACTAGAGAATGGAGCAATTTTCCAAAGAATCTACAGAATGTGAATAAATAGAAAATTCAGACCCTAGCCCTCCTTCTGAGATGGGCAAATGATTCTTCTCTCTTTTATTTGAATAGCATAGGCATAAATTTCATATATATTACTTATAATTAGTTCTTGAATTAAATATTATTTGATATTAATTTTCAGTTTTTTTTCTGTGTTGCCTTGTATGAGATTTAAAGGTTTTTTTAAACTCTCTTTTGGGTAGCTCTACCCAGTATTCTCCATAGGCACTTCAAAGTTTACATGTCAATTTAATTCGTTATTTCCTGTCTGGTCACACTTAATCTGCCTTCTATATTCGAAACTATGGTCAACAGTGTCACCATCCACTCAATAGCATGAGCCCTATACTTTTACACCTTTTTGTACAAACACAGTGCTTATTAACAAGATAAAGACTATGAAAAATTCTAGAGAGAAGAAACTTATTTAGCTTCACTTAATCCATTGTTTTTCAATCACAGTTTTTTTCATAGAACACTTATTAAGACTTTACCAGAGTAAAAATTAAAACTCTTACAAATAACTGTAAGATCCTACACAATCTGACTTCTGTCATATCTCTAATTCATCTCCTACATCTCTCTGTCCTCACTCACACATCTTCAGTCCCACTGGATTCTTTGCCATGGATTGGTTTGAATTTACTTTAAGACTGCATGTTTAACCTGTTGGTAGATGACCCTGAGACAATAATTTGAAGAGAAGACAGCTTCATGTTTACTTCAAAAATGTGAGGTGAGCAAAACTTCCAGAGCAATAGGTAACCTTAGTAAAATAGTTGTAATCCCTTTGGATTTTTTTTTCCCTATAAACCACAACTCACTGATTCTACAAACCATGATTATTTCTTAAAGTGGCCTCAAGGGCCTCTCTTTGTTATTTTGTAGATGCCATTAGCATGTAGATTTCATTATTTTTTAGATAAAATGAATGTAAATATTTGAAGGGAGTAATGAATTGCAGAGTTATAAAACTCTTGTAACTGAAATCTAATCATTTCAATTTAGATTTTCCAATGACGTCAGTTTACTACAGCATAAGCAATGGTGATAGCAAAATGCATCCAGATTGCAACACCCAAATTTTGGTTCTGTTGCTTTACTCATTGTATGATTTTTGTCAAGTTATCTTTGAGTTACAATGTCCTTACATGAAAACTGTGAATAATAATTGACCTTTCCTGCTAGGAACATTGTATTAGTGAAGGTAGACTAGGTCAGTATTCTAAAACTATAGCATGTGTGAGAATCACCTGGAGGTGTTAAAACTGGTGTTTGACATTTTCATTCCCACCAACAGTGTAAAAGCATTCCTATTTTTCCACAGCCTCGATAGCATCTGTTGTTTCTTGACTTTTTAATAATCACCATTCTAACTGGTGTGAGACGGTATTTCATTGTGGTTTTGATTTGCAATTCTCTAATGACCAGTGATGTTGAGACTTTTTTCATATGTTCATTGGCCATGTAAATGTCTTCTTTTGAGAAGTGTCTGTTCATATCCTTTGCCCACTTTTTGATGGGTTTTTTTTCTTGTAAATTTGTTAAAGTTCCTTGAAGATTCTGGATATTGGACCTTTGTCAGATGGGTAGATTGCAAAAACTTCCTCCTATTTTGTAGGTTGCCTGTTCACTCTGATGATAGTTTCTTTTGCTGTGCAGAAGCCCTTTAGTTTAATTAGATCCCATTTGTCAATTTTGGCTTTTGTTGCAATTGCTTTTGGTCTTTTTGTCATGAAGTCTTTGCCCATGCCTACGTCCTGAATGGTATTCCCTAGGTTTTCTTCTAGGTTTTTTATGGTTTGGGTTTTACATTTAAGTTTTTAATCCATCTTGAGTTAATTTTGTATAAGGTGTAAGGAAAGGGTTCAGTTTCAGTTTTCTACATATGGCTAGCCAGTTTTCCCAGCACCAATTATTGAACAGGAAATGCTTTCTCCATTGCTTGTTTTTGTCAGATTTGTCAAAGATCAGATGGTTGTAGATGTCTGGTGTTATTTCTGAGCTCCCTTTTCTGTTCCATTGGTCTATATGTCTGTTTTGGTATCAGTACCATGCTGATTTGCTTACTGTAGCCTTGTAGTATAGTTTGAAGTCAGGTAGCATGATGGCCTCCAGCTTTGTTCTTTATGCTTAGGACTGTTTTGGCTATACGGGCTCTTCTTTGGTTCCATGTGAAATTTAAAGTAGTTTTTTCTAATTATGTGAAGAATGTCAATGGTAGTTTAATGGGAATAGCATGGAATCTATAAATTATTTTGGGAGGTATGGCCATTTTCATGATATTGATTGTTCCTATCCATGAGGATGGAATGTTTTTCTATTTGTTTGTGTTCTCTCTTATTTCCTTGAACAGTGGTTTGAAGTTCTCCTTGAAGAAGTCCTTCACATCCCTTGTTAGCTGTATTCCTAGGTATTTTATTATCTTTGTAGCAATTGTGAATGGGAGTTCATTTATGATTTGGATCTCTGCTTGTCAATTGTTGGTGTATATGAATGCTTGTGATTTTTGCACATTGACTTTGTATCCTGAGACTTTGCTGAAGTTGTTTATCAGCTTAAGTTTTGGGCTGATACGATGAGGTTTTCTAAATATAGAATCATGTCGTCTGCAAACAAAGACAATTTCACTTCTTCTCTTTCTATTTGAATACTCTTGATTTCTTTCTCTTGCCTGACTGCCCTGGCCAGAACTTCCAATACTACGTTGAATAGGAGTGGTGAGAAAGGGCATCCTTGTCTTGTACTGGTTTTCAAAGGGAATGCTTCCAGCTTTTGCCGATTCAATGTGATATTGGCTGTGGATTTGTCATAAACAGCTCATATGTTTCATCACTACCCAGTATATTGAGGTTTTTTTTTGTTTGTTTTTTTGTTTTTTTTTTTTTTTTTTTTTTGAGACAGAATCTTGCTCTGTCTCCCAGGCTGGAGTGCAGTGGCACGATCTCGGCTCACTGCAAACTCTGCCTCCCAGGTTCATGCCATTCTCCTGCCTCAGCCTACTGAGTAGCTGGGACTACAGGAGCCTGCCACCATGTCTAGATCATTTCTTTTTGTTTTTGTATTTTTAGTAGAGTCAGGGTTTCACCATGTTAGCCAGGATGGTCTTGATCTCCTGACCTTGTCATCTGCCCGCCTGGGCCTCCCAAAATGCTGGGATTACAGGCATGACCCACCATGCCCAAATACCCAGTTTATTGAGTTTTTAACATGAAGGGATGTTGAATTTTATCAAAGGCCTTTTCTGCATCTGTTGAGATAATCATGTGGTTTTTGTCTTCTGTTTATGTTATGGATTATGTTTATTGATTTGCATATGTTGAACCAGCCTTGCTTCCAAGGGATGGAGCCCGCTTGATTGTGGTGAATAAGTTCTTTGATGTGCTGCTGGATTTGGTTTGCCAGTATTTTATTGAAGATTTTTGCATAGATGTTCATCAGGGATATTGGCCTGAAGTTTTCTTTTTTTGTTGTGTCTCTGCCAGGTTTTGGTATCAGGATGATGCTGGCCTCATAAAATGAGTTAGGGAGGAGTCCCTCCTTTTCAATTGCTTGGAATGATTTCAGACGGAATGGTACCAGCTCCTCTTTGTGCCTCTGTTAGAATTCAGCTGTGAATCCATCTGGTCCTGGGAGTTTTTTGGTTGGTAGGCTATTAATTACTGCCTCAATTTCAGACCTTGTTATTGGTCTAATCAGGGATTCGATTTCTTCCTGGTTTAGTCTTGAGAGGGTGTATGTGTCCAGGAATTTATCCATTTCTTCTAGATTTTCTAGTTTATTTGCATAGAGGTGTTTATAGCATTCTCTGATGGTGGTTTGTATTTCTGTGGTGTCAGTGGGACAGCGTGGTGATTCCTCAAGGATCTAGAACCAGAAAAACATTTGACCCAGCAGTTCCATTACTGGGTATATACCCAAAGGAATATAAATTATTCTACTATTAAGACACATGCACATGTATGTTTATTTACATTCACTATAACAAAGACATGAAACCAGCCCAAATGCCCATCAATGATAGACTGGATAAAGAAAATGTGATGCCTATAAACCATGGAATACTATGCAGCCATAAAAAGGAATGAGATCATATCCCTTGCAGGGACATGGATGAAGCTAGAAGCCACCATTCTCAGCAAACTAACACAGGAACAGAAAACCAGACACTTCATGGTCTCACTTATAAGTGGGAGTTGAACAATGAGAACACACGGACACAGGGAGGGGAACAACACATACTGGGGCCTGTTGAGGGGTAGGGGGCACAGGGAGGGAACCTAGATGACAGGTCAATAGATGCAGCAAACCACTATGGCACACATATACCTATGTAACAAATCTGCACATTCTGCACATGTATCCTGGAAGTTAAAGTAAGATAAAAATAAAAATAAAAAAAATAAAAAAACACAGGTATCTGACAGATGGGATTGCACTAAACTCAAAAGCTTTTGCACATCAGGGGAAACAACTGAGTGAAGAAGTGATTCACATATTGGGAGAACATATTTGCAAATCATACATTGAAAAAGTGGTTAATATTCAAAATGTACAAGAAATTCAACTCTAGCAAAAACCAAAATAAGACAAAACAAAACAAAAATTATGCAATTAAAAATGGACAAAAAAACCCTGAATAGACATTTTTCAAAAAAAATGGCCAACAGGTGTATGAAAAGGTGCTCAACATTTCTAATCATCAGATAAATGCAAATTAAAAGCACAATGAGGTAACACATCATACCTGTTAGATTAGCTACGAACAAAAAGAATAAAGAAAGCAAGTGCTGGTGAGAATGTGGAGAAATAGGAACCATTGTGCACCGTTGGCAGTGTTGCGAATTAATATCACCATTTTGGAAAATGATGTGGAGCTTCCTCAAAAAACTAAAAATAGAGTTAACATATAATCCGGCAATCTCCCTTTTGAGAATATATCCAAAGAAATAAAGCCAATATGTTAAAGAGTTGACTACATTTGTATATTCATTGTAACACTATTCACAATAGCCAAATGAAGATAACTAAAGTGCCCATTAACAGATGAATCAATTAAAAAAAGTGATGTGTACATATACAATAGAATATTACTCAACCTTTAAAAAGCAGAAAATCCTGTCATTCAGGAAGGTAGGGGTGAAACTAGAGGATATTATGCTAAGTGAAATAAGCCAGGCACAAAGAGACAAATACTATATGATTTTATATATATATGTGAAATTTTAATAAATCAAACTCATAGAAGTAGAGAGTAAAATGGTGGTTACCAGGAGCTTGGGGAAAAGAGGAGATATTGATCAAAGGATACAAAGGTTCAATTAGATACAAGGAATAAGTTCTGGTGATTTATTGCAAAGTATGGTGACTATAGTTAATGTATATTTCAAAATAGCTAAAATAGAAGACCTTATTTTATGATTTTCTCATGTAAGATAGGTTTTACTATTTATTTTTTTTAACTTTTATTTTATGTTCAGGGGTACATGTGAAGGCTTGTTACACAGGTAAACTCATGTCACAGGTGTTTGTTGTACAGATTATTTCATCACCCAGGAATTAAGCCCAATACCCAATAGTTACCTTTTCTCCTCCCCTCCCTCCTCTCACCTTCCACCCTCAAGTATACCCCAGTGTTTGTCATTCCCTTCTTGGTGTTCATAAGTTGTCATCATTTAGCTCCTGCTTATAAGTAAGAACACATGGTATTTGGTTTTCTCTTCCTGAATTAGTTTGCTGAGGATGATAGCCTCCAGCTCCATCTATGTTCCTGCATGAGAAATGATCTTGTTCTTTTTTATGGCATATAGTATTCCATGATGTACATGTACCACATTTTCTTTATCCAATCTCTCATCAGTGGGCATTTAGGTTGATTCCAAGTCTTTGCTATTGTTAATAGTGCTGTAACGAACATTCGCATGCATGTGTCTTTACGGTAGAGTGATTTACATTCCTCTGGGTATATACCCAGTAATGGGATTGCTGGGTCAAATGATAGTTCTGCTTTTGACTCTTTGGGGAATTGCCATACTGCTTTCCACAAGGGTTGAACTAATTTACACTCCCACCAATAGTGTATAAGTGTTCCCTTTTCTCTGCAACCTCACCAGCATCTGTTATTTTTTTGACATTTTAATAGTAACCATTCTGATTCATGTGAAATGGCATCTCATTGTGGTTTTGATTTGCATTTCTCTAATGAACAGTGATATTAAGTGAACAGTGATTTTTTTCATATGTTTGTTGGCCACATGTATGTCGTCTTTTAAAAAGTGTCCGTTCATGTCCTTTGTCCACATTTTTATGGGGTTGTTTAGAAGCTCTTAAGTTCAATTAAATCCTACTTGTCAATTTTTGGTTTTGTTGTGATTGCTTTTGGTGTCTTTGTCATGAAATCTTTGCCCATTCCTGTGTCCAGGATGGTATTGCCTAGGTTGTCTTCCGGGATTTTATAGATTTGAGTTTTACATTTAAGTCTTTTAATCCATCTTGAGTTGATTTTTGTATATGGTATAAAGAAGAAGCTTCAATCTTCTAAAACAGAGGATTTTAAATGTTCTCATCACAATTAAATGACAAATATTTGAAATGATGAATATGCTAATTATTCCTGATTTGATCATTTTACAATGTATACGTTTCAAACATTGCACTGTATCTCATAAATATACACAAGTATTATTTGTTAGTTAAAAATTAAGTAAAACTTTGAAAAATCAGGTGTCTGAGCCCCATCCCCAGACTTTCTGATTCAGTACTTCTAAGGTGAAATCCAAGAACTGGCCTTTCTAGTAAGTTTTCCAGTGATGCCGATGCTGCTGGTTCAGGACCACATTTTGAGAATCCCTCCACTAGAATATTCTACAGTAATAAGCAATCCCACATTTAAGTGGTTTATAACAACAGAAGCTTATTTCTCAGTGTATGTGGCATGAATGTTGCAGTCTGCAGGGGGACTCTGCACATCATGGCCACTCAAGGGCCCAGGCTTATGGGGGCTCCACTGCCATACGTGCATCCATGGTCATCAGAGAGAGGAAGAGAACCTGGTCAGTTATGAGCTGACTCTTAAAATTTCTGTTTGGAACAACTCACTCAGTGTTAGCTATTATGGGTAAAATTTTAGTGTAATTTCTGTTAATAGCACTGATTAGGGTTAGGCAACTTATCAAGGGAGTGATGCTACTTCTGAAGCTTGCTTGGATATGCATGGGGAGGAGAGTCAGAATGACAGGGATAAAGACTGCTCTCATCTTTTGCACTGACATTGCAAAGTAATGCTGTTTTTCTTTTTCTCTGTCATCTTGAACTGCCTTTTCAGTCTTGTGCCTTTACACAAATCCTGTTTCTGAGATTTTCTAGCCTTGACTTCTGAATTCCATTTATTAAACCTTGCCTGTTCTGTGTCAATGTAATAGCTAAGAATTATTGATCAGGTCATTATTTTATGTGTTTTACATACAGTCTTTCTTTTAATCACTAAATCTCTTATCATCTTCATGTCACAGATAAGGAAACTGAGGTCCAGAGTCCCTTTGGCTTTAATCTGATAGTTGTCTTCCATCTACTTCCCTTTGGACTTGATGCTTTGGACTTTCCCTTGCTTTAAGTACCCCCTTCACCTGGTTCATGGACTTCATCTGCAGAGCCTTGAGCTCACACTGGGCACTTCTCTGCCTTGCTTGGCTCCTAGAGAAGAGGCTACACTTGGATGATAAAAAACCTGCTCACATGTTCATCTCAAGGGTATTGGAGAACTACAACATATTACAGGTACTTTCATGTGAGTACTTCAAATTCTACAAAAACATATAGCAAGAGAGGAATTATTTTTTTCTCATTTCAGCTTCATGCAGCCATTATTTCTTTGGTGAAGTTTTTGTGCTCAATAAATTATAGCAATAGCACAGGTCAGTTTTACCTGAATCCCCACCACTTATTTTAAATTTTATTCTAGGAAGACAGAAAAGTACAGTGGGAAAAAGACAGGTTTTGAAGCCAGGTAAACCTAGGGCCGAGTCCCTGTTATACTATTCTACTAGCTGGGGGACTTTGATGAGGACATTTGATTTCTCTTATTTGTAAAATGAGAACAACCTCAAAGAAATGTATTTTTTAGGTAAAGCATCACTTTTCTGTACTGCAAGGGCCTGCAGGAAAATTAAACAGGAGGTGGTTGGACCAATAAAAGCTTATGCAACTGTAATTAATTAATGAGATATGTGGGCCTGTTCTTTACAATTTTTTCAGCTTATTTGCGCTGCCAAAAGATGAATTCTCAGTCTCCAGAGAATGGGATTAGCAGTATGAAGAATTTGAAGTGATCTTTCTCTTCTAGAATGACTGTTTGTTTTTCATCTCTGTTCAAATAGCTAAGTTGATTTATTTCATAGTTCTAGCTTTGCTTTTATATTATCTCATATTACTTCATCAGAATTATGATTATTTGTTTTTCAGTTTAAAAACATATATCATGCATTATGTGTGTCTTAACATTCTGTTAAGCATTATTATGGATACCAGAAAATTAAAAGGCATCGTTCCTGCTGGTAGGAAGGTTATATGTTAATTGAGACAAAGTTAATACTTCAGTAACAACTCTAGGAAAATTCCAGATTATGTATTATACAGTATCATATTGTGGGGATAGGTGAACATCTATAGTATATGGCCAGGGCTTTCCTTTCCCCTAAATTTTGGGAGAAATTTATTACATGGATACTTTACAAGGGGTATTGTGTTATCTGGTAGATGGTAACTTGGAGTATGGTTATAGAAAATATAGAAGGGGTGGATTTCTGTCATGTCACCCCTCAGACACATGCCAGGTGGGTCTTAGCAGAAAACTAGATTAAGACCAAGAGGAAATAATAATACTTCAGAAGCTAAAACCCCCAGCGTTAAACAAAGTTTTTCAAAATACATTGGTTTCTCCAATTCATTCTCCACCATGCTATCAGAGTAACCTTTTAAAAATGCGAATTTGATCATGTCAATCAACTGCTTTACATTTTTGTTGGCTTCCATTGTATTCTTCTAGGAGAAAGACCCAAACCTTTAACATTGCTTAAGGCCCACTGTGGGCTGGCTGGCCCCTACCTTTGTGCCCTCTCATTTATGCTAATGACATTCTTTAAACAGAAGCCACGAGGTTCTGCTGTCAGTACTCATTGAGACCAAAAAATACATTTCTTGCTGTTGGTCAAAAAGTCTTGTCCAAGTAAATTATAGGTGTGGGAAAAAATCCGTAACAGAATGAGAACATGAGTAAGAAGTGAACTGAAAGACAAAATTAGTAAACATTCTTCTCAACTCTTATTAAGTACAATTCCATGTTTACATTCTTAAGATGAGCCTAAGTTAAGGTCTGAGAGCTAGACAGCTATTTTTTGATTGTTATGTTTTCAAAAACTTCAGTCCTAGTAATGGTAGTGTATTGCTTATCCTTATGGATGGATAATGTTCCAAGAGATTGTCCTCAAGCAATTCTACTTGATGGTTCTTTTAAGCTTCTTTTTTTTTCTTCAAATTTTCATTTTTTAACTCCCTCATTGAAAAACAAACAAACAAACAAAAACAAAAAACAAAAAAAAATGTGCTGAATGTCTCTATGAGATCAACCACTTTGTTGGATATGAAGGCTAAAGTAAATAATAAAAGTAGTGCTTGTTTGCCCTTTAGAAACCTCTATTCTAAGTAGGAGGCACCTGAGCAGACAGAAATATGTAGTGTGGTATAATATAGAGGCCTACAGAGGAGAGGTCCCTAACCCAGACTTAGGATATTAACAGAGGTTTTGCAGAGAGTGTGATGCTAGAGTTAATTCAGAAGTACCAACATGAGTTGGTTAGATGAAAGATGTGTATAGGGAAGGCATAAGTTGCTTTAGAAGAAGGGAGCAGCAAATTCTACTGTAGCATTAGAGATAAGAGAGAGCTCATGTGTTATGGACATTTCACATGGGTCTTGAGGTAGGCAGAGGAAAAACTGAGGCTACATAATAAAGACCTTGTATGTCTTGGTAAGACTTTTATTCTAAAACCTACTGGAAACCATTGGGGGTTTCAAGTAAGGAATCTCTGTGTTATTTAACACTTTTATATGTGACCTGGCCAGCTACCAATTATTCTCTTTTGCTTTAGAGTCTCTCTGCTTAACCCAGCTGGTTTGTTGGTATTATAGAACACTGTCTCTCTGGCCATGTCTGATTAGCTGTTCTATCACATTGAGGCAATCATATGCTTTCTCTTTTGAATTTGATCTAAAGACCACCCAAATGTAGAAATTAAAATATTTACTTGCGAGCTGTAGAATTACATATTCTGTCAAATAGGTTTGAAAGTAGAGAAGGAAAAAGGAAGCAGTTATCGAGAGAAAAACAGAGGCCTAAAACAAAGTGAGGTTATTTCCCTGAAATTATTATTATCATCTACTAGTTGTAGTCTTAGTTCCTATCAAGGCCTAAGCGATTTCTTAGCCTTGGGTCCTATAGACAACAAACATTCTTGTCATAGTTTGGCTTTCTCAAATGTAGACCTTCAGATATGGATTCATAAGTAAAAGATTTTTTTAAGAAATGTTCCCAGGAAAATAAAGAAGTAGAGTAAGTAGGTCCAGGAAGGGAAGAATGGTGCAATATCAAGCCAAGCCTAGTGAAGGGCAACTCTGGTTCAATACCTCAGAGGAATTCCAGAGGCAGTGTAGGTCACGCCTTTGAAGTTTTTACAATCAGGGATGCAGGGAGCCAGGGTATTGCTACCCCTGCACCTGTCAGTCACTGATTAAGAACTGCCCCTCAGAGATCCCAAATTCCAAGGGAACCCTACCTCTCTGTTCCAATAGCTGAGAGAAGCTCTTGAACATCGATTTAAGTACTGGCTGTTAAGAGTCGGACCATGCCAGGATCCATGTGCTGGACTATATTGTGTGGATCCAAGGGGTTGTGGCAGAGCACAGAGAATATCAGCAATACTCCTTCAAGTAAAGTCCCCTTTTAAATTTATTTTTAGCTGAAGTTCCTTTTATGTAACCTTTAACCAAAATTGTTTAAAATAACAACATGATGTTATTAAATTGTGTTTTAAAACAAGCACTCTCGTTGCAGTACAGAGAGTGGATGGAAGGGGTATTAAGTTAGGAAGACCAGTTAGAAAGCTATTGAAACAATCCATTGACTATTTTATTTTATCTAGTTAGCAACAAAGGTTTATTAAGCATCTATTGTATATGCATGGATGGGGATAAAGCAATGACTAAGACTAAAAAGGTACTAACTAGTCTTGGAAGATATTTTATCTAATCGGGGAAACAAGACATGTTGACAAAAAATTATAATTGAGTCTTTATTGTCTTAGGCAGTTCAGGTTGCTATAAAAATTACCATAGTTTGGGTGGCTCATAAAAAACAAAAAATTATTTCTCCTTGTATTCATGTCAGGATACACGGAGAAGTCGGCAGTCTGCGGCCTGGAAGATGGCCCTTAGCAGAACCTGACCATAGTAAATATATTAGCCAGGAGTGGTGGTACACGCCTGCAACCTCAGCTACTTGGGAGACTGAAGCACAAGAATCACTTGAACCCAAGGGGCAGAGGTTGCACTCCAGCCGGGGTCACACCTGGGTCATACTACTGCACTCCAGTCTGGGTGACAGAGTAAGACTCTGTCTCAAAAAAATAAAAAAATGCCTTCAAATATTTCCCTAAAACACATTTCTCATAACAATAGAGAGTGAGTCCACCACCTCTACCTTCTTAACTCTTACTTAGAAATCCTGCCTTTCTTAGAACTCCTACCTGTCTGCTGGTAATTTGAAATAAGGGTGCCTGTATGGTCAGGTTCTGATGGAATTTTGAAATAAGGGTGCCTGTATGGTCAGGTTCTGCTGAGGGCCCTCTTCTGGGCTGCAGACTGCTGACTTCTCCTTGTATCCTGACTTGGCAAAGAACAGAGAGAAGCAAGCTCTCCCTGGACTGTTATAAGGGTACTAATCTCATTCCAGAGGCTTCTACCTTCGTGACCTCATCTAATCCTAATTACCTCCCACAGGCCCCACCTCCTAATACTATTACACTGGTAGATAGAGTTTCAACATACGAATTTTAGTGGGACAAACATTCAGCCTCACTGAAGGTCAAGGTTTAAATATTACTTAATCCTTGAGCTTCATTCCATTCATTCCCAGTTGCAGACAGGTAGGCTTTCTAAGAAAGGTAGGATTTCTAAGAAAGAGTTAAGAGGGTAGAGGTGATGGACTCGCTCTCTGTGATTGATGTTATGAGAAATAGGTGTTTTAGGGAAATAATTGAAGGCACTCCAACCTGTATCTGAGTGTAAGGGAAGGTTCCTTGGAGAAAGTGAAATAGAAATTGGGTCCTAAAATAGGAAAGGAATAATAATGGCCTAGAAATCTGTAATAATGATGAGTAAAAGTTATTTCATTTGTATGATATTAAAGAGGTAGAAGTAATAGGCCATGGTGATTGTTGGGATATGAGAGATTTTCGTCTTGGTCAGTTAAAGATATCAACTTGGAAAAAATATTCAAAAAGTAGATTTGAGAGTTAAATACTTGTTTACCTTGGCAATAGTGTACAGAAAATATTGTGAGACATCCAGGTAGATTTGTATTCTTTGCGGATGGCTAGGTTATAAGAACAGAGTTCTTACAAAGAATCCCAAACTTCTAGCCATTACCTAACTTTGAAGGAAAGTTTGATTCAGAAGATCGAGTTAGGCTTAAGACTTGCTAGACACAATACTAAGGCTATTCAGCTTCTCTTTGACTTTTATTTCCCTTGATGGCTCTGTTAAGTTAGATTTATTTATTTTTAATTTTTTGCTTTTATTATTAGTTTTAATTGACATATAATAATTGTACATATTTATGGGGTATAGGGTAATATTTCAATACATGCATAAAATGTGTAATAATTAAATCAGGATAATTAGCATATCTATAACTGAATATTTTTCATTTCTTTGTGCTGGGAACTTTCAGATTCTGTGCTTCTAGCTATTAGAAAATATACAATACATTGTTGTTAAAATTATAGTTACCCTCTAGTGCTGTAGAACGCTATAACTTTTCTCTCCTCTCCAGCTGTACTTTTATATTTATTAATCACCTTCTGGCTATTCTTCACTCACCTTACTTTTTCTGGCCTCTAGTAACCAGTATTATACTCTCTACTTCTATGAAACCAACTTTTTTAGCTTCCACATATGAGTGAGAACATGCAGTATTTATCTTTCTGTGACTGGCTTATTTCACTTAAAATAATGTCTCCAAGCTCATCCATGTTGTTACAAATGACAGAATTTGATTCTTTTTTATGTCTAACTAGTATTCCATTGTGTATATGTACCACAGCTTTTTTTTTTTTTTTGGTTGTTTTTTTTGAGACAAAGTCTCATTCTGCTGCCCAGGCTGGAGTGCAATAGTGTGATCTTGGCTTACTGCAACCTCTACCCCTTGGGTTCAAGTGATTTTCATGCCTCAGCCTCCTGAGTAGCTGAGATTACAGGTGTGCACCACACCTGGCTGATTTTTTTGTATTTTTAACAGAGATAGGGTTTCACCATGTTGGCCAGGCTGGTTCACAATTTTTAACTTACTCATCAGATAATAGACACATAGGTTTATTTCATATCTTGCTTATTGTGAATAGTGCTGTGATGAACATAGCAGTGCAGATATCTCTTTGGTATACTGATTTCATTTTGGAGGTTGGCAGTGAGGGGGGCGATATAAACACAGTAGTGAGATTGCTGGGTCATACTCACCATAGTACTGGAAGTCCTAGTCAGAGCAATTAGGCAACAGAAAAAATAAAGTGCATCCAAATACAAAAGGAGAAAGGCAAACTGTCCCAGGTTGCAGACAACATAATCTCATATATAGACGTAAAACTCCACCAAAAAATTTTACAACTGAAAAACAAATTCAGCAAAGTTGCAGGATACACAATCAACATACAAAAGTCAGTAGCATGTCTATACACCCACAACAAAATAGCAGAAAAAGATATCCAATAAATCCAAGAAAGAAATTCCATTTATAATAGCTACAAAAATAAAATACATAGAGGAAATAACCAAGAAGGTAAAAAAGATAAAATATTTCTATAAAGAAAATTATAAAATGCTGATGAAAAAATAAGAAAAGGACACCAAAACAAGACATCCCATATTAATGAAAAGGAAGATTAATATTGTGAAAATGACCATAATAACGAAAGCAATCTACAGATTCAATGCAATGACTATCAAACCAACAATTATATTCTTCACAGCAATAAACAAAAAAATCTTAAAATGTATATTTAACCACAAAAGACCCTCAATAACCAAAGTAATCCTGAGCAAAAAGAACGAAGTTGGAGGCAACCTACCACCTGACTTCAAAATATACTACAATGCTATGAAAACCAAAACAGCATGGTCTTGGCATAAAAGCAGACACATTTACCAATGGGACAGAATAGAGAACCTGGAAATCCACATATTTACAGCTACCTGATTTTCAACAAAGACACAAGAACATTCAGTGGGGAAAAAACAGTCTCTTTAAAAAATAATGTTGGGAAAACTGAATATTCATATGCAGAAGAATGAAACTAGACCCCTACCTCTCACTACATATAAAAATAAACTTGAAATTTATTACAGAATTAAATGTAAGATCCAGAACTATTAAATTACTAGAAGAAAACTTAGGGAAAACACTTTTGGACATTCTGGGTGAAGATTTTATGAAGAAGCCCTCAAAAGTACAGGCAACAAAAGCAAAAATAAACAAATGGGGTTATATCAAACTAAAAAGCTTCTGCACAGCAATGGGAGAAAATATTTGCAAACTATTCATCTGACAAGGAATTAATACCCAGAATACACAAGGAACTCAAATAACTCAACAGCAATAAAAAAGAAACAAAGAAAACCCACACAATTCTGATTTTAAAAAGGGCAAATTAGTAGAATATATCTCTATCAGAAGAAAACAAACAAATGACCAATAGGAAAATGAAAAAGTGCTCAACATCACAAATCATCAGGGAAATGCAAATTAAAACCACAATGAGATATAATCTCACCTAGGTTAGAATGAGCAAAAAGACAAAAACTAACAAATGCTGGGAGGATGTGGAGAAAGGGGAACTCTTATATAGTGTTGGTGGGAATGTAAATAGTACAGTCTTTATGGAAAACAGTATGGAAGTTCCTCAAAAAACTAAAATAGAACTCCCATTTATTTGTTAAGAAAGCCAAAGAATCAGTTATTACAGTAACTTATTAGAAAAATTTAATGTGCCTCTTTCGTTTGTTGAAAGCTATGTTTCCCAGACTTTGTCATTTGATTTTTCTCTCTATGGGTTTGCCATAACCAGTTGCCAACTATACAATTTTTCTCTAAAAATACTCTTCTACTCTTCCTAAGGAATAATGTCCATCAAATCACAGATTTGATGTGCGATTATATTTTTATAATGTCAAATAAAATAAATGCATAACTCATGTACCACTGCTATTTATGTATCACATCAAATCTCATCTACCAATACTATCTTTTGGGAAATGTTGGTTAAGGAAATTAAACCCATGAAAGGATTAGCTTCTAGGTCTCCTCAGGTATGGCTAGTTACATAGTTAATTTTCCACAAGAAAAGAAAAATTTTGCTGATGGCAAAAATGAATGTAGGTCAGAGACTACACATGTTGTTGTTTAGAGAGACCGAATGATAGAGAGCTAACATGGCAACTCTGTTCTCTTGGCTTTGCAGAGTTTCTTTAGGGGATGGCACTGCTTTCTTAAGGAAAGGATAAAAGTGGAGCATGCGACAAGAGCTTTTAGCCACCCCCAGAACACTGCCTTGGAGTCACACATCATCAAAGTATGTTAGCAGCAGCAAATCTGTACAGGTCTGCAGAAACCTCAATTCTTGCCTCCCCAGAAGAAATAACTTTACAGAGGGGCATAAGGCAGAGGGAAAGATGTATGTCAGTTTTAGAGCTGGAATGAACGTTTATTAAAGTTTTAGAGGAAGAACAAAAGTAAAGTACCCTTGGAAGAAGGCCAAGGGGGCAACTTGAGAGATTCAAGTGCCCAGTTAACCTTTGACTTGGGGTTTTAAACGTTGGCATGCTTTCTGTGGGTTGTGTCCCTTCTTCCCTGATTCTTCCCTGGGCTCAGGTCATCCACACGTGCAGCAGCCTACCTGCACTTGGGAGGGGCTGCAAGCACAGTGTGTTTACTGAAATTTTAGGCATGCTCACTTGAGACATTTTTCCCATACTAGTCAAGACGTGTTGAAATTCCAACATTTTGCCTCTTAGTGACTTGAGGTGTTTTTCCTTTACTAGTCACGTGTTCCTAGAGGAAGGTCACGTACCAGTTAAACTCTACCATTTTGCCTCTTAGTGTGCATGCTTGAGCCTACTCACCCAACTCCTGAAATCTTATCGGGAAGCTGCTGACCACCAGTTTCAGGTGTTTCTATTCATTGGGAGATGGCCGTTCCCTGTTGCCAGCTGCAGCCAATTATTATTTTAGAGACGCAGTTTAACAACCTCCTGACCATGACCTGATGGTTGCCTGACATTCCTGGTGTGCGTGGGGGCCCTCTGCTGCCCTGCTCATGTCAGACTACCTACCTACTGTAACAACAGTAGTTCTATTGTGGTACATTGCATTTATTCAACCATATTTCTTAGATTGCTAAGTTTACAAACAATAAAAGATTAAATGATAAGCTATTATTAAAGATAAATAAAATGAACTAGAGCAAATAGGATTGAAAGTTGAGCATATGAAAGAGCAAACATTCTGCAGTAGGAAAGAACAAGGGTTGTTATCTGAACTGAAATGTCTAAAGCTGTTCACAAATTCCTTTTGTGCCTGAAGTAATGAAGAGGATTTCTTCTTGGGAAAGATATATTCTAGGCTTAAATTAGGAGAATGAAACCCTTAACAAATTTCTGAAGTCAGAGAAGTTATATGTTAAACACATACAGGCCTTCAGGCAGACAGTCTGCAAAACAAGGAGAAAACAAAAGGGTGCTCATGGTTTTCCCCAGTGCCATTGCCCTGGAGGCCATCTGGTGGAGCATAACATGAGCATAGCTGGACTCCAGCACCAGCTTTGAGACTTTACACGGTTTACTTGCCACTATGGGACTGATACCCAGGCCTTACTACCCAGCAAAATTAAATCCCTTTTGGGACAAGATTAGAAGGTAAATTTAATAAACAAAAGTGCTTCTGCACATATTACCCTGAGGTTCTATGGAAAGTCTCAGTGGCAGTGTCTAACAGCATCTAAGTGTGAAGCACATAAACTTTGTTTTATTTTGTTTTAAATTAAGACTATTTTTTCAGAGCAGTTTTAGGTTTATAGAAAAACTGAGCACGAAGTACAGAGAATACTCATATACTCCATCTATCCCACCCACAGTTGCCCGTTTTTAACATTTTGCGTAGTTATGGCACATTTGTTACAATTGATAAACCACTACTGATATATTATTATTAACTAATAATAATTTACATTAGGGTTCACCCTTTGTGTTTTACAGTCCTATGGGTGTTTTTGTTTGTTTTGTTTTGTTTTTGACGGAATCTCATTCTGTCGCCCAGGCTGGATTGCAGTGGCGCAATTTCAGCTCACTGCAACTTCTGCCTACCAGGTTCAAGCGAGTCTCCTTCCTCAGCCTCCCGAGTGGCTGGGACTACAGGTGCGTGCCACCACACCCGGCTAACTTTTTGTGTTTTTTTAGTAGAGACGGAGTTTCACTGTGTTAGCCAGGATGGTCTCGATCTCCTGACCTCGTGATCTGCCCACCTCGGCGTCCCAAAGTGCTGGGATTATAGGAGTGAGCCCAGCCCAGTCCTATGGCTTTTGATTATTTCATATATCCACCATTGCAACACCATACAGAATAGTTTCACCATCCTAAAAATTCCCTGTATTCTACCTATTCATCCTGCTCCTTTCCCCTTAATCCCTGGCAACCACAGATCTTTACTGTCTCCATAGTTTTACCTTTTCTAAAATGTCATATAGCTGGAATCAGAAAGAATGTAACATTTTCAGATTGGCTTCTTTCACTTAGTAATATACATTTAAGTTTCTTTCATGCCTTTCTGTGGCTTGATAACTCACTTCTGTCTATTGCTGAGTAATATTTTATGTAAGGATGTAGCACAGTTTGTTTATCTATTTGCCTATTAAAGAACATCTTGTGTGATTCCAATTTTGGACAATTATAAATACAGCTGCTATAAACATCTGTGTGCAGATTTTTGTGTGTGTGTGGGTATAGGCGTTCAACTCATCTGCTTACCTAGGAGCATGATTGTTAGATCAAATGGTAAGACTACATTTGGCTTTGTAAAAAATGCCAAACTTTCTTGGCCAAAATGCCAAAAAGCTGAACAGTACCCAGTATCTCACCCCAGCTCCCTTTCCAAAAGCACATGCAGGTCTCATTTCTTTAGGACCCTAACCCAAACTAATGACAGATAACACAGATATGAATTCAGGTACTGTTCTTTGTACAATTAACTTCCACAGATTTTTTTTCCATTCAATCTTAAACACTTATCTGATGAGAGTTTATTTTCCCCAATTTGAAGATGAGGAAACTGAGTTTTAGCCAAAGTTTGTGCAGTTAATTAGTGGTATAGATAAACTAGACACACCTCAATCATTTAAAGTCTCATCTGGAATAAGGAGAAATACAAGTTAAATAAGCATACAAGTAAACCAGCTACTTCTCCCAATTCAACCTGGAAGTTGTAATGACAAACTTGGCTGACATGTGGCTCTTCCAGATAACATCACCATTTAAAAAGTTGATGGTTCTCATGTGGAGCGATAGGAACGCTTTTACACTGTTGGGAGTGTAAATTAGTTCAACCATTGTGGAAGACAGTGTGGTGATTTCTCAAGGATCTAGAACCAGAAATATCGTTTGACCCAGCAATCCCATTACTGGGTATATACCCAAAGGATTATAAATCATTCTACTATAAAGATACATGCACACATGTTTATTGCAGCACTATTCACAATAGCAAAGACTTGGAACCAACCCAAATGCCCATCAATGACAGACTGGATTAAGAAAATATGGCACATATACACCATAGAATACTATGCAACGATAAAGAAGGATGAGTTCATGTCCTTTGAAGGGACATGGATGAAGCTGGAAACCATCATTCTCAGCAAACTAACACAGGAACAGAAAACCAAACATTTTCTCACCCATAAGTGGGAGTTGAACAATGAAAACACATGGACACAGGGAGGGGAACATCACACACCAGGGCCCGTTGGGAGGTGGGGGCTAGGGAAGGGATAGCATTAGGAGAAATACCTAATGTAGATGACGGGTTGATGGGTGCCACAAACCACCATGGCACGTGTATACCTATGTAACAAACTTGCACGTTCTGCACATGTATCTCAGAACTTAAAGTATAATAAAAAAAACAACAGTAGATGGCATTTTATCATATGTTTTAAATGTGTAATAAAGAAAGCCTTTGAGTGGCCAAAAGAAATAGTAAAAAAAAATGATATTTCTCATGCCATCACCTGAAGGAATGAATAATTAACAATGGTATTTTAATCCCTAGAGGATACTTTTATTACCAAGTTGACCTAACATGCAACTAGTCAGACAACATGTCATTCAAAAATTCCTTTCACTATTCTTGAAGTAGAACAATGAAGTAGTGATGATCCTTTCTGAAACTAGAGAAAGCTGGTAAGGGGGTGATATGGTTTGGCTGTGACTCCACCCAAATCTCACTTGAATTATAATAATCCCCACATGTGAAGGGCAGGGCCAGGTGGAGATAATTGAATCATGAAGGCAGTTTCCCCCATACTGTTCTTGTGGTAGTGGATGAGTCTCACGAGATCTGATGGTTTTATAAATGGGAGTGTCCATGCACAAGCTCTTTGCCTGCCGCCATTAAGATGTGACTTTTCTTCATATTCTCCTTCTGCCACGATGGTGAGGCCTCCCAGCCATGTGGAACAGTAGGTCAATTAAACCTCTTTCCTTTATAAATTGCCCAGTCTTGGATGTGTCTTTATTAGCAGCGTGAGAACAGACTAACACAGTAAATTGTTATTGGTAGAGTGGGCTGCTGCTCTAAAGATACCCAAAAATGTGGAAGCAACTTTGGAACTGGGTAACAGGCAGAGGTTGGAACAGTTTGGAGGGCTCAGAAGACAGGAAGATGTGGGAAAGTTTGGAACTTCCTAGAGACCTGTTGAATGGTTTTGACCAATGTGCTGATAGTGATATGGACAATGAAGTCCAGGCTGAGGTGGTCTCAGATGGAGATGGGGGACTTGTTAGGAACTGGAGTAAAGGTGGCCCTTGCTATGTTTTAGCAAAGAGACTGGTGGCATTTTTTCCCTGCCCTGGATATTTGTGGAACTTTTGAACGTGAGAGAGATGATTTAGGGTATCTGTTGGAAGAAATTTCTAAGCAGCAAAGTATTCAAGAGGTAACTAATTTGCTTTTGATTTTACAGGCTCATAGGCGTAAGGGACTTGCCTTGTCTCAGATGAGACTTCAGACTGTGGACTTTTGAATTAATGCCTAAATGAGTTAAAACTTTGGGCAGCTGTTGGGAAGGCATAATTGGTTTTGAAATGTGAGGATGTGAGGTTTGGGAGGGGCCAGTGGTGGAATGATATGGTTTGGCTGCGTCCCCACCCAAATCTCACCTTGAATTGTAATAATTCCCACATGTCAATGATGGGACCAGGTGGAAGTATTTAAATCATGGGGGTGGTTTCCCCCATACTGTTCTTGTGTTAGTGAAAAAGTCTCATGAGACTGATGGCTTTATCAGTGGGAGTTCCCCTGCACAAGCTCTTTGCCTGCTGCCATGTAAGATATGACTTTTCTCCTAATTCACCTTCTGCCATGATTTTGAGGTCTCCTCAGGCATGTGGAACTGTGAATCAATTAAACTTCTTTCCTTTATAAATTACCCAGTCTCAGGTATGTCTTTATTAGCAGTTTGAGAACAGACTAATATAGGGGGATATGTTTTATAAAGCGTGTACATTTTATAGAATTGTTTGCTAAGCCTAAAAAGGAAATTTTTAATGTAGAAGTTAATTCTGCACATAAAAATGCTACGTAAATGTTTAAATCATTTTTTGATTACATCTATAACAAGAGCAGATCCTGGGAGTTACTGAAATGAGAGTGAATATTTGAAACAGAAAATGATTGAGAATCCTTCAGTACAATTTAGCCATTATGTTTTAATTAAAAGGGTCTATATTGACATTCCTCAGTCATTCATCTTGGTTCCTTGAAATGTCCAAAACACACCAAGTGGTTTCTAGCCATTGTGTAGAATTCTAAACACATATAAAATATCACACCCAAATAATAAATCATTTGGAAATGATGAGCTGGGTTCACTTGCCTTTCTGTGCTCCTCCCATACAACTCTGTTCTCCAGATATCAGTAAAGTGGAAATTTACAAATTTCTCCATTCAGCACCTGTATTAGTTTCCTAAGATTGCCATAACAAAGTACCACAAATTGGGTGTGGCTTAGAACAACAGGACTTTATTGTCTCACAGTCTGGGGGATAGAAGTGTAAAATCAAGGTGTCAGCAGAGCCATGCTCCCTTTGAACCAAGGATCCTTCCTTGACTATTCCTAGCTTTTGGTGTCTGTCAGCAATATTTAGTGATCACTGGCTTACAGCTGCTTAGCTCCAATCTCCGCATTCATCATGGCTTTCTGTTTGTGTGTCTTTCTGTCTTCACATGGTTGTTTTGTTATAAGGACATCAGTCATATTTGATTATGGGCCCACACTACTCCAGTATGACCTCATTTGAACTAATTACATTCAACACAATCATATTTTCATATAGCATCACATTCTGAGGTACTGTGGGTTAGAACTTCAACATCCCTTTTTCTGATGGGTGGTGCAATTCAACCTATAACAGTACACTTTTCTTTTGGTCTGGAAGCACAATGTTCTTATGGAAAACTGCTCTTTCTTTTTTTGTAGTTATACTTTAAGTTTCAGGGTACATGTGCACAATGTGCAGGTTTGTTACATATATATACATGTGCCATGTTGGTGTGCTGCACCCATTAACTCGTCATTTACATTAGGTATATCTCCTAATGCTGTCCCTCCCCTCTCCTCCCACCCCACAATAGACCCTGGAGTGTGGTGTTCCCCTTTCTGTGTCCAAGTGTTCTCATTGTTCAATTCCCACCTATGAGTGAGAACATGTGGTGTTTAGTTTTTTGTCCTTGTGATAGTTTGCTGAGAATGATGATTTCCAGCTTCATTCATGTCCCTACAAAAGACATGAACTCATCCTTTTTTATGGCTGCATAGTATTCCATGGTGTATATGTGCCACATTTACTTAATCCAGTCTATCATTGTTGGACGTTTGGGTTAGTTCCAAGTCTTTGCTATTGTGAATAGTGCTGCAATAAACATATGTGTGCATGTGTCTTTATAGCAGCATGATTTATACTCCTTTGCGTATATACCCAGTAATGGGACTGCTGGGTCAAATGGTATTTCTAGTTCTAGATCCCTGAGGAATCACCACACTGACTTCCACAATGGTTGAACTAGTTTACAGTCCCACCAAGAGTGTAAAAGTGTTCCTATTTCTTCACATCCTCTCCAGCACCTGTTGTTTCCTGACTTTTTAATGATCGCCATTCTAAGTGGTGTGAGATGGTATCTCATTGTGGTTTTGGTTTGCATTTCTCTGATGACCAGTGATGATGAGCATTTTTTCATGTGTCTTTTGGCTGCATAAATGTCTTCTTTTGAGAAGTGTCTATTCATATCCTTCGCCCACTTTTTGATGGGGCTGTTTTTTTCTTGTAAATTTGTTTGAGTTCTTTGTAGATTCTGGATATTAGCCCTTTGTCAGATGAGTAGATAGCAAAAATTTTCTCCGATTCTGTAGGTTGCCTGTTCAATCTGATGGTAGTTTCTTTTGCTGTGCAGAAGCTCTTTAGTTGAATTAGATCCCATTTGTCAATTTTGGCTTTTGTTGCCATTGCTTTTGGTGTTTTAGACATGAAGTCCTTTCCCATGCCTATGTCCTGAATTGTATTGCCTAGGTTTTCTTCTATGGTTTTTATGGTTTTAGGTCTAACATGTCAGTCTTTAATACATCTTGAATTAATTTTCATATAAGGTGTAAGGAAGGGATCCAGTTTCAGCTTTCTACATATGGTGAGCCAGTTTTCCCAGCACCATTTATTAAATAGGGAATCGTTTCTCCATTTCTTGTTTTTGTCAGGTTTTTCAAAGATCAGATAGTTGTAGATATGTGTCATTATTTCTGAGGGCTCTGTTCTGTTCCATTGGTCTATATCTCTGTTTTGGTACCAGTACCATGCTGTTTTGGTTACAGTAGCCTTGTAGTATAGTTTGAAGTCAGGTAGCGTGATGCCTCCAGCTTTGTTCTTTTGGCTTAAGATTGACTTGGCAATGAGGGCTCTTTTTTGGTTCCATATGAACTTTAAAGTAGTTTTTTCCAATTCTGTGAAGAAAGTCATTGGTAGCTTGATGGGGATGGCATTGAATCTATAAATTACCTTGGGCAGTTTGGCCATTTTCATGATTTTGATTTTTCCTATCCATGAGCATGGAATGTTCTTCTCTTTGTTTGTATCCTCTTTTATTTCATTGAGCAGTGGTTTGTAGTTCTCCTTGAAGAGGTCCTTCACATCCCTTGTAAGTTGGATTCCTAGGTATTTTATTCTCTTTGCAGCAATTGTGAATGAGTTCACTCATGATTTGGCTCTGTGTTTGTCTGTTATTGGTGTATAAGAATGCTTGTGATTTTTGTACATTGATTTTGTATCCTGAGACTTGCTGAAGTTGTTTATCAGCTTAAAGAGATTTTGGGCTGAGACGATGGGGTTTTCTAAATATACAATCATGTCATCTGCAAACAGGGACAATTTGACTTCCTCTTTTCCTAATTGAATACCCTTTATTTCCTTCTCCTGCCTGATTGCCCTGGCCAGAACTTCCAACACTATGTTGAATAGGAGTGGTGAGAGAGGGCATCCCTGTCTTGTGCCAGTTTTCAAAGGGAATGCTTCCAGTTTTTGCCCATTCAGTATGATATTGGCTGTGGGTTTGTCATAAATAGCTCTTATTATTTTGAGATACGTCCCATCAATACCTAATTTATTGAGAGTTTTTAGCATGAAGCATTGTTGAATTTTGTCAAAGGCCTTTTCTGCATCTATTGATATAATCATGTGGTTTTTGTCATTGGTTCTGTTTATATGCTGGATTACATTTATTGATTTGCATATGTTGAACCAGCCTTGCATCCCAGGGATGAAGCCCACTTGATCACGGTGGATAAGCTTTTTGATGTGTTGCTGGATTCGGTTTGCCAACATTTTATTGAGAATTTTTGCATCAGTGTTCATCAGGGATATTGGTCTAAAATTCCCTTTTTTTGTTGTGTCTCTGCCAGGCTTTGGTAGCAGGATGATGATGGCCTCATAAAATGAGTTAGGGAGGATTCCATCTTTTTCTATTGATTGGAATAGTTTCAGAAGGAATGGTACCAGCTCCTGCTTGTACCTCTGGGAGAAGTTGGCTGTGGATCCGTCTGGTCCTGGACTTTTTTTGGTTGGTAAGCTATTAATTATTGCTTCAATTTCAGAGCCTGTTATTGGTCTATTCAGAGATTCAACTTCTTCCTGGTTTAGTCTTGGGAGGGTGTATGTGTCGAGGAATTTATCCATTTCTTCTAGATTTTCTAGTTTATTTGCGCAGAGGTGTTTACAGTATTCTCTGATGGTAGTTTGTATTTCTGTGGGATTTGTGGTGATATCCCCTTTATCATTTTTTATTGCGTCTATTTGATTCTTCTCTCTTTTCTTCTTTATTAATCTTGCTAGTGGTCTATCAATTTTTTTGATCTTTTCAAAAAACCAGCTCCTGGATTCATTGATTTTTTTGAAGGGTTTTTTGTGTCTCTATCTCCTTCAGTTCTTCTCTGATCTTAGTTATTTCTTGCCTTCTTCTAGCTTTTGAATGTGTTTGCTCTTGCCTCTCTAGTTCTTTTAATTGTGATGTTAGGGTGTCAATTTTAGATCTTTCCTGCTTTCTCTTGTGGGCATTTAGTGCTATAAATTTCCCTCTCCACACTGCTTTAAATGTGTCCCAGAGATTCTGGTATGTTGTATCTTTGTTCTCATTGGTTTCAAAGAACATCTTTATGTCTGCCTTCATTTCATTATGTACCCAGTAGTCACTCAGGAGCAGTTTGTTCAGTTTCCATGTAGTTGAGTGGTTTTCAGTGAGTTTCTTAATACTGAGTCCTAGTTTGATTGCACTGTGGTCTGAGAGACAGTTTGCTATAATTTCTGTTCTTTTACATTTGCTGAGGAGTGCTTTACTTCCAACTATGTGGTCAATTTTGGAATAAGTGTGGTGTGGTGCTGAGAAGAATGTATATTCTGTTGATTTGTGGTGGAGAGTTCTGTAGATGTCTCTTAGGTCCACTTGGTGCAGACATGAGTTCAATTCCAGGATATCCTTGTTAACTTTCTGTCTCCTGGATCTGTCTAATGTTGACAGTGGGGTGTTAAAGTCTCCCATTATTATTGTGTGGGAGTTTAAGTCTCTTTGTAGGTCTCTAAGGATTTGCTTTATGAATCTGGGTGCTCCTGTATTGGGTGCATATATATTTAGGATAGTTAGCTCTTCTTGTTGAATTGATCCCTTTACCATTATGTAATGGCCTTCTTTGTCTCTTTTGATCTTTGTTGGTTTAAAGTCTGTTTTATCAGAGGCTAGGATTGCAACCCCTGCCTTTTTTTGTTTTCCATTTGCTTGGTAGATCTTCCTCCATCCCTTTATTTTGAGCCTATGTGTGTCACTGCACGTGAGGTGGGTTTCCTGAATACAGCACACTGATGGGTCTTGACTCTTTATCCAATTTGCCAGTCTGTGTGTTTTGATTGGAGCCTTTAGTCCATTTACATTTAAAGTTAATATTGTTATGTGTGAATTTGATCCTGTCATTATGATGTTAGCTGGTTATTTTGCTCGTTAGTTGATGCAGTTTCTTCCCAATCTCGATGGTCTTTACGTTTTGGCAGGATTTTGCAGTGGCTGGTATCAGTTGTTCCTTTCCATGTTTAGTGCTTCCTTCAGGAGATCTTTTAGGGCAGGCCTGGTGGTGACAAAATCTCTCAGCATTTGCTTGTCTGTAAAGTATTTTATTTCTCCTTCACTTATGAACTTAGTTTGGCTGGATATGAAATTCTGGGTTGAAAATTCTTTTCTTTAAGAATGTTGAATATCGGCCCCCACTCTCTTCTGGCTTGTAGAGTTTCTGCCGAGAGATCAGCTGTTAGTCTGATGTGCTTCCCTTTGTGGGTAACCCGACCTTTCTCTCTGGCTGCCCTTACCATTTTTTCCTTCATTTCAACTTTGGTGAATCTGACAATTATGTGTCTTGGAGTTGCTCTTCTCGAGGAGTGTCTTTGTGGCATTCTCTGTATTTCCTGAATTTGAATGTTGGCCTGCCTTGCTAGGTTGGGGAAGTTCTCCTGCATAATATCCTGCAGTGTTTTCCAACTTGGTTCCATTCTCCCCATCACTTTCAGGTACACAAATCAGACGTAGATTTGGTCTTTTCACATAGTCCCATATTTCTTGGAGGCTTTGTTCATTTCTTTTATTCTTTTTTCTCTAAACTTCTCTTCTCACTTCATTTTATTCATTTTATCTTCCATCACTGATACCCTTTCTTCCAGTTGATCAAATTGGCTACTGAGGCTTGTGCACTTGTCAGGTAGTTCTCATGCTGTGGTTTTCAGCTCCATCAGGTCCTTTAAGGACTTCTCTGCATTGGTTATTCTAGTTAGCCATTCGTCTAATCTTTTTTCAAGGTTTTTAACTTCTTTGCCATGGGTTCGAACTTCCTCCTTTAGCTCAGAGAAATCTGATCGTCTGAAGCCTTCTTCTCTCAACTCGTCAAAGTCATTCTCCGTCCAGCTTCATTCCATTGCTGGTGAGGAGATGCATTCCTTTGGAGGAGGAGAGGAGCTCTGATTTTTAGAATTTTCAGTTTTTCTGCTCTGTTTTTTTTCCCATCTTTGTGATTTTATCTACCTTTGGTCTTTGATGATGGTGACATACAGATGGGGTTTTGGTGTGGATGCCCTTTCTGTTTGTTAGTTTTCCTTCTAACAGTCAGGACCCTCAGCTGCAGGTCTGTTGGAGTTTGCTGGAGGGCCACGCCAGACCCTGTTTGCCTGGGTATTAGCAGCGGAGGCTGCAGAACAGCGAATATTGGTGAAAGGCAAATGTTGCTGCCTGATTGTTCCTCTGGAAGTTTTGTCTCAGAGGGGTACCTGACCGTTTGAGGTGTCAGTCTGCCCCTACTGGGGGGTGCCTCTCAGTTAGGCTACTCGGGCGTCAGGGACCCACTTGAGGAGGCAGTCTGTCCATTCTCACATCTCAAGCTGTGTGCTGGGAGAACCACTAGTGTCTTTAATCTGTCAGACAGGGACATTTAAGTCTGCAGAGGTTTCTGCTGCCTTTTGTTTGGCTGTGCCCTGCCCCCAGAGGTGGAGTCTACAGAGGCAGGCAGGCCTCCTTGAGCTGTGGTGGGTTCCACCCAGTTCGAGCTTCCAGGCCGCTTTGTTTACCTACTCAAGCCTGAGCAATGGCAGGCAACCCTCCCCCAGACTCGCTGCCACCTTGCAGTTTGATCTCAGACTGCTGTGCTAGCAATGAGTGAGGCTCTGTGGGCGTAGGACCCTCCGAGCCAGTCGCAGGATATAATCTCCTGGTGTGCTGTTTGCTAAGACTGTCGGAAAAGCGCAGTATTAGGGTGGGAATGACCCGATTTTCCAGGTGCCCTCTGTCACTCCTTTCCTTGGCTAGAAAAGGGAATTCCCTGACCCCTGGCACTTCCCATGTGCAGCGATGCCTCACCCTGCTTCTGCTCATGCTCGGTGTGCTGCACCCACTATCCTGCACCTACTGTCTGACAGTCCCCAGTGAGATGAACCCGGTACCTCAGTTGGAAATGCAGAAATCATCTGTCTTCTGCGTTGCTCACGTTGGGAGCTGTAGACTGGAGCTGTTCCTATTCGGCCATCTTGGAACCGCCGCTCAGAAAACTGCTCTTTATTTCAGTGATCTAATTCTAGTGTGTGAATCTGCAGCTTCAGTACAGATACTGAGTATTCAGTAATCAGCTATAGGTTGGTCCAGAGGTTGAAATATAACCTAATCTACATCTATCCCAGTCCTTTCTTAGGATTTGAAAAACTGCATCTAGAAAAAAAGATTTGGATATCTTTGTGATGAAAGACATGTGAAATGTGGGACATGCTGATACCTGTTTTTAGACTCATGAAAAAAATCAGTCTCCAATAAATAGCAGCAAAGGAGAGAAAAGTGATAAAAGAGAGCCCCTTGGCTACAATTATATAAAGTCTCATTTTGCTTCAGATAATTTAAAGAGTTAGTTTCCTTTGTTTACAAAACAAAATGTGAGTGTATTTATGTGTGTGTATGTCTGAGTCTTTTGTCAGATGTATATATTTTAAATATATTTTCCCACTCTGGCTTATCTTTTTACTATCTTAATGTTTTCTTTTGAAGAATTGTGGTTATTCAATGTAAAGTAGTCTAATATATCTTCTTTTAAAGTATCTGTTGAGGCTATGATATATGGCACATACATATTGAGAATCATTACATCTTTCTGTTGTGTGGAGCCTTCTATCATTATAAATGGCTCCCTTTTTCTAATAATGCCTCATATTTTAAACACGACTGTGTATGCTTTAGTATACCTATACCAGCTATCTTTCAATTAGTCTTTAGATGTTTCTTTTTCCACTCTTTTACTTTCTATCATTCTATGTTCTCATATTTAAGTTGTCTCTCTTATGAGGTCCATATAATTATTATTTTAGTTTCTTACTTATGAATATTAGCCTTCTTTTAGTTTAATGTTATTGTCGATACATTTAACATTTGTAACATTACTATTTTTTTAATCAGTGTCACACCTAATACATGTTATCTTTTTTTTCCTGTCCTCTTTTGGATTGATCAAATATCTTTTATCATTCCATATATTGTTCCTTATTATCCTGTTATTTATGTATTCCTTGCTCTTCTTTTGTTGGCTACTCTAAATATTATACTATTCCACATTGAATGATTAGAGTTTAATATAAGTTTGTACTTGTACTACTTCCTGAAAAATCTAATTATTTTAGAACATCTAACTCCATTTATTGTGAAGGTAAAACAAAGTACCGGATTGGTATTGTAATCCAACCTCCCTTTAGGATCAAGTAAAAGTTTGTTAGTAGCATGAAGAAAGTTTCAGTTTTTATAATACAAAGGCTTGATACTGTTTAAAAAGAAAAAGTAAACTGAGCTGAAAAGGCAACTGGATGAAATGAAAAGTACATAGTTGACATAAGTAATCCTAAGAAACTAAGATTGTCATGGTAGAATTAAAGTTCACAATGGAAAAGCTAAAGAACAAAACTGTGTGGAAAAAGAAATAAGTGAGATGGAAGACATATTTTAAAAGTGTTCTCAGGAGAAAAATGAAAGAGAAATGATTTTAAAATAATAGGGAGGATAATGAATATGGAAAACAAAATAAATATCCAATGTTTTGAATAACTTTCATTTCTTGGATAGAAACAAAAACAGAAAAGAAGCAAAATCAGATAAATTTTTTTAGCTATGGTTCAAATAAAATTATTATGAAAAATAGTGTTAGAAGAAAATTGGAAGTATGTATTCTACTTAGACTGAAGCTGAGACTTAAAATCTACCAGTGGGTTAAGATAGGCTGCATGTTTTCATGTGTCTTTTTTTCCTAACATATATTTGTATGGAAGTTAAAGTACTTCTAGGGTTTGTGAAGATAAAGAGGTACAGGAATCCTTTCTATAATCATGTTCAGATGACTGTTGGAAGAAAGCAGATATAGTAGTGGCCAATGGATATTTTGCATGATTAACCTCACTCTATAACATTGGAGGATACTTCCCAGTTTCCTGTGGAGGTCATTACCAGAAATCATCCAAGCTAGTCAACCAGGAGTTGTGTGTGCACCTAGCAGTGAGTTGTAAGAGACATATCATAGAATTTTCTAACACTTCTGCTCAAACACATCCCTCTCTGTTTTAGCATAATCTACTTTGTAAGAATTAGAACATGGATTTCTAGTAACAAGGCATGGTTGAGTCCTAGCTGTATTGTTACGATATAGTGAGATTTCAAATCACGGCATTGTGTTGCAGTAGATTTGCAGCATTGTAAGATCAACACATTTTAGGTCAAAGTCATCAAGGCAAAAATAGTTTATGTATTTATTTTGTTAATTTTCCTCAGCACCTAGGAAATGGCAACTGGAATGCCTTGAGTACTATAAATGGAGTTCTAGCTCAGAGTGACATCTCTGTGACACAAATGAGTCCTAGGGCTGAGAATTATTGCCTCTGCTAATCCAGACAAACAATGCTTCATTCAAGCACATAAACACACTGAAGAATTCTGGAAGTACTTGGGAGATAGGAAATCTGTGAAAAATTATAACACTTGTGATCATGCATTGTGAGGTTGGTTCAGCTGAGATATTAGTATTAACGAGACCCTATCTAAAACCATAAGATAATGAAGTCCACTATTCTCAGATTGTACAAAATTAGTAATAACAACAACAAAACCAACTTCTACAAACATCTGAGAAGCATATCAGTCAGGATTCAGTTGCAAGAAACAAAAAAGCATTGCAACTATGTTAAACCAGAAAAGGATTGAATTCAGGATTATCTTTGGAAGGTCTGGAAGAGTAGGCTTTCTGCTAGCCTTCTAAATAAAAACTTCCTAAACAACACTACTAACTGGCCAAGAAAAGGAGCTAGTAGTGGTGTCATAATCAGGAAGGGGGAGAATCAGCTGGTTACCACTTGAAGGCTTCTAAACTTGTAAACATTTCTGTAGCTGCAATACAGGGATCAGAAAGCTCCCACAACTGCTACTAAACACTCATACAGCTGGCCACTGAATCCTGGAATTCTGCTTCATAAAAACCCAGCATATTTTTCTGTGAATGTGTTTGCTCATAGCAACAGCCAAAACAGAAGTAAAATGACCTCCTCCTTACTTCCACCATCTAAATATTATGTAAGTACATCTAATTGGTGAATTATAACTCACATCCAGATCCCTAGATGCAAAAGTGTTGGGAAAATATAATTTGTAGATTTTCTAGCCTTTGCAGTACTAAAAGTTGCACTAAAGAAAGCTGTAGTAGGTTTTGAATATCAATTTAGCATGTCTGCCACAGCAGGCTTAACAAATTATTTAAAAAACAATAAAAATTTTGTTGTTTTTTATAAAACAAAATGCTAGTAAAAAGTGGAGATTTCTTCACAGAATTTTGAAAGGAGAGGTTAGTGACACAAGAATTATACTTAGCTAATTTTCTTTCCTTTGGGAAAAATATTCTTGGATGTACAAGGATTCAGAAAATGTTACACTAATGTGTGTTTCTATAAAGAAAAGACTTAAATTTGGCCAAATGGAAGATAAACTGAAATGAAAATCTCAAAAAAAGAAAGACTGTGGTATAAAGGACTTATGGATTGTTTAAGGATTTATGGATCCCAGTCCCAGGGATCCAGTTGGATCATGTATTTTCAGGTGAATTTGAAGCCCAGAGTAGAATTTGTCTCTTAATGTTTCCTTCAACTATTTTTGCTTCAACTATTTCTGCATCTGCTCCTTTGATAATATCAGGAAGAATATTTCTCATTGTTCGTCCCACAGTATAGATGAGGACCACTTAAAACCATAATATTTATCATTCTCTACTTGTTCTTGCTAACAATAACTAAACTACTTACAAAGTTTGGAAGTTGGGATAGAATCTTTTACTTCTATCGAAAAAGCAAAACTGTACATAAAGCCATTTAAATGCCAAGGAATTTCTGATGTTTTTCTGTACCTTTAAAGCTCTTATTGAAAGATCTGAGTTTTTGTGGGCTATATTTTATATTGGAAAAGATCAACAAACCATCCATGGTAGATATTAACTGTCATCAAGCCTCTCTTTATATTACCTCCTTCCTCTCTTGTCTCTGTATTTTCCTAAAAATCAGTGCCTGCAGTATTATCAGCAACATGGACAGTGAAATGGCATAAAATGCACTAATATAAAATAATACCTTTATAAAAACCATGCGTATGAATGATTGAGTGATGTTTTTCTTCTGTTTTTCTGTATTTACCAAGTTTTCCATAATGAAATCATTTTTATATGGAATTCATTAAATTTTTAAATGGTACTATACCATTTACTATCATGCCAGTGTTATTCCTTCTATCACTGTGTAAAAGGCTGTATGATTGTTCATATACATTAAGAATGATTATGAGGCCGGGCGCAGTGGCTCATGCCTGTAATCCCAAGACTTTGGGAGGTGGAAGTGGGCGGATCACCTGAGGTTAGGAGTTCGAGACCAGCCTGGCCAACATGGTGAAACCCCGTCTCTACTAAAAATACAAAAATTATTCAGGTGCGGTGGTGTGCACCTCTAGTCCCAGCTACTCAGGAGGCTGAGGCAGGAGAATCGCTTGAACTCGGGAGGCAGAGGTTGCAGTGAGCAGAGATAGTGTCACTGCACTGCAGCCTGGGCAACAGTGCGAGACACTGTCTCTAAAAAAGAAAAAATGATTATGAATACTGGGATTATGGGCAATGGGTACTTTTCTATACTTTTAAAATTTTTTCAATAAACGTGTATTAACTTTTAAATCTTAACAATATCTTTAAAAGCCAATTGTACTATTCTATAAATGAACTTTGATGAAAGTTTTGGCTCAAAGCAACATAGGAGGACTCTTAATTTTAGAATTTGATTTTTTTTTTTTTTTTTTTTTTGCTGAATTAGGGAGTGGATCTCCGATGCTAAGCTTTCCAGGGCACATCCTATGTCATTCAATATAAAAGTAACATTTCTGGAAAATAAAGTGCGTAAAACATTTGCTTAAACAATATGCATTTTTTTATTTGAAGTAAAACAACCTAATGATTCAGTTTTTAAAATATACATTCAATCAGCTTTACTTTAATTTGAATCTGAGTGACACAGCCATGGTTCATGTAGAAAACTAGTGAATTCAGATTTTTGAATGATCGTTTTTGTTTTCAAATGTTTAATGTGAAATGAAAGCCAAACAGGTTTTTTATGGATTTATGAAACTTAATGGACACACACACATCAATAATCTTATATATAAATATATAATATTAAAAGCATTCTTACTAAGAGATGCAATAGGGCTATTGGTTGGAATGTGCTGTATAGATACATACGTACACACATACACACACACACATACACACACATATATATCTCATAAAAAACTTTTGGAAAATCAAGCAGAATCTTGCCTTCATGAAGATATGTATAAAGTTGAGTAAATTTTCTTCAACTTTATCATTTACTTCTGTCACATTTAACATTTCCAACATAAAGTCAACTGAACCTGGTTAAAAAATATAAAATAGATGGATTTTCTTCAGCTGTCTCAGACCTCCTTGTTAATTGGTCTTCTTTACCCACTCCTAGTACATTCTATTCCAGGGGGCCTTTTCTATATCTACTTCCTCAAAACCTGCTGTTTTCTAGCTTTAATGCTAGAAAATATCTGGTAATTTAATTCCTACTTAATTATAGATCATTTAAACAGATCAGATATAGAATGCCTGATATACTTGAAATTTAAAAGCTGAGTTTATTGGGCACAGTAAAAAAATAACAGTATCAACAAGAAATGGGCATAGATTGAAGAGATCTCAGTTTTCAGTTGGATCTTCTTATTTTTTAACTTTCTGAGCTTGAAAAGTCACTAACTCTCCAAGCTTTAGTTCCCTCTTTCATCAAATGATAATAAAACTTACCTCGTAGAGCTAGTATGAAAAATCACTCACTATTGAGTCAGGAAACACATGGGAGTAGAGTTCTAAGGATAGCTGTTCAGATGTTACTTGTAACTAGCAGAGAATAATATTTTGTACTTTTAATCTGGTAAGAAGGATTGACTAGAGATAATGGTGAGTAAACAGCCTTGGGATGCTCTTCTAGGCTTTTTTCTAGAACTCTGTATTTATATTCATTTGAATGATCTAACGACCATATCTAGTTCTGCAATCTTTTCTATTTCATGCTTATTTATGTCCTAAAGTTATTTCTCATGGAAGACAAAACCATGGGATGTAAGGACAGTGTAATAGCATTACCAGAGATTGTTTATGGATAGCTGTCTAGTTTGGTTATTCCCATGCTTGGTAATCTCTCCAGTGCATAATTGTGACCAGCAATGATGTTTGGGTGCTGCAGAATACAGCTAATGAACACACTTCCTAAGCCTCCCTGTTGCTGAACTCAGCCAAAAAGCTGCACATGAGTCTAAACAGATGTTTCTGTTGTTTAGTCCGATGAAGTTTATAGAGTGCATGTTTATCTTTCAAAAGAGAACGTGGAAAGTTCATTCTGTTTTGAGATCCAATCTTTCCAGAGGCTGGACTGCCTAGTAAAGTTGCAACAAAACTGGATGAGCATATCAAGCCATTCTGGGGCTTTCAGAAAAGATGGTCCTTTACTAGTTGGTAGGAAAGAAATGAGATACATGGAAATTGATTTGCCTTAACAAGGTTGATATTTTAAAAGTTAGAGCCTGGACAATTGTTTTCATCTTAATAAAGGTACTGACTTTTCAATATATATGATAATTAGAAAATGCTCTTGGCCAGGCATGGTGGCTCACAACTGTAATCCCAGCACTTTGAGAGGCGCAGTGGTGCAGATCTCTTGAGGTCAGGAGTTTGAGACCGGCCTGGCCAACATGATGAAACCCCATCTCTACTAAAAATACAAAAATTAGCCTGGGGTGGTGGTGTGTGCCTGTAATCCCAGTTACACAGGAGGCTGAGGCAGGAAAATCACTTGAACCCGGGAGGTGGAGGTTTCAGTGAGCCAATATCATGCCACTTCACTCTGTCTCAAAAGAAAAAAAAAAGACACAGAGAAAGAAAATTCTCTCCGTGTCAAGTTAGTAGAACTGAAATAAGCACAAAGCATCAAAATTTCCTATCCATATTTCCTATGATTAGAATAAAATTATCCACATAAGGAGAAAACTATCAAGGAAATGAAAATTCCGTATATCATTTATGTGAGTCATCTCTGATTTAAAGTGTTGGCCACAAGAAAAGAACATTACTTGTTCAATTCAGCATTTGTCTTCTAACAGTTTAGCAGAGAAGATAGATATGAAAGTGGTCAATTGCAATGCAGTGCTATGAAATATTTATAAGCTCTGCCCTAAAACATTTGTCATTTGGTTACCAAACATCAGATCACTTTATTTTAAAGGAATGAAAAATAAGTGGGAGGGAGGGCCCTGTTGTCCATTATAAAGATGGAAAGCAGTGGACAATACTTCTGTGAACTTTGTCAGTGCCAAGCATCAGTATGTCATGGAGCACGACTAAAAGCCAGGGCTAGCATCATGGCTGTGTGACCCATGCTTAGAAGAGTTCAACAGTTGGTTTAATGCTCCTAATTTAATGGTTAAATATTAAAACTATTAATAATTTTTGGACAAGGAGCCCAATGTTTTCAGTTTGCACTGGGGCCCTCAAATTATGTAGCTGGGCCTGCTAGGAGCACTGCTATCATCAAACTAGAGAGAGTGAGACAGAGTCACATGGGGAGTTGAAAGGGTTGATGGTGTCTGAGGCTGAGCTGAGGATCTAGTGGTGAGCAGTAAATGTTGATAAGTAAAGGAGTCCAGTTATACAAAGAGTGTCCATAGAATGCTGACAGGGCTGTCGAGTGTCAAGAGACAACTTTCTAAGCAAATTGTTTTCAGGGCAGGGTTTTAACTGTGCTTTGACTCAGTAGCCACAGCACATATTTTAATCCTTTGTATTGATTATACGGGCTACTGTAGTAGTTTCCTAGGGCTACCATAGCAAACATCCATACATTGGGTGGCTAAAATCAGAGAAATTTACTTTCTCACAGTTCAGGAAGCTGGAATTCCAAAATCAAGGTGTTGTCAGGGTTGGTTCCTTCTGGAGGCTCAGAAGAAGAATCAGTTTCATGCCTCTCTCCTTGGCTTCTGGCACTTGCTGGCAATCCTTAAAGTTCCTTGGCTTGCAGGTGCATCACTCTAATTTCTGCCTATTTTTACAAAAACATAGCATGACATTCTTCCCTGTCCATTTGTGTATCTGTATCCAAATTTCCTTCTTATAAGGACACTAGTCATATGTGACTTAGGGCCTACCTTAACCAAGTATGATCTTATCATAACTTGATTTACTCTTGCAGCAACCCTATTTCCAAATAAGGTCTCATTCACAAGTCCAGGGTTGACATGTTTTGGGAGAAATGATTCAACTCAATATAGCCACTGAAAACTTTTAAATAAATTCATTTTCTATTCAAGTTATCCAGAATCTTATTCTGCTATTTTCAACCATGAATCTTGATGAATATAGGTATTCTTTGCAGATCTGGGTTTGTTAGGAAAAGAAGACAAAGTTATAGATGACCTGTGGCTTGAATAACAGGTATAAACTAACCAGAAAAAAAAAGAATAAAGAGATGGCTGATATACAAAGACACACAAGCTGAAGGATAGCAAGAATTCCTCTAGATCTTCAGGTAACTTAGCGTGTATGGAGGGTTTGGGGAACCGGAAGCTGAGATTGGGGAGTTTGTAGATAAGGAACTAAACAGGTATAAAGGGGCTGGACAAGAACTATATCATCAGTCTGAATGTTATCCATAGGCAGCAGAAGCGATTGATGGTTTTTACATAAGAGTAACATGAATAGATTTGTATTTTGGCAAGATCTTTCAAGCAGCAGTAAGAAGCCTGATGTGGAGGGATATTAAAGAGAGATTTAATAAGAGGGATGATGTAGTCTAGGAGACAGTATGAACTAAAGTCATGGTAGAACGGGTGGCAATTTAGGGGTCGATTGTGTCTAGAATCCATGGGATTGGTGACCATCTAGAAGAGGGAAGTGAGAGAGAGAAAGAAAATAGGGATAACTTCAAGGATGGATGGTGGTATCTTTCTTCTCTGAGATATTAAACTAGTAACTATCAATTAACCATCATGTTAACCATTTTGAAAATTAATCTCTCCTCAAACTTAGCCCTACTGACATTTTGCCCCAGCAAATTCTTTGTTGTGTTTGTGGGAAGGAGTGTCCTGTAAATTGTAGAATGTGTAGCAGCATGTTAGGATCTCCCATCGTATGCCAGTAGTGCCCCTCTAACACCAAACATGATGATCACAAATGTCTCAACAGATTGCCAAATGTCTCTTGGGGCAAAATCATCTCTGGTTGAAAACCACTGGGTTAACAGGATGTGGAATAGGTTTGAGGTTGAGGGAAATGAATCCACTTTTGTAACTTCTAAGTTTGTGGTGCCTGGGAGACATGTGCTTGGAGATGTTCACTATGCAGTTGGAGGTAGAAACCTGGAGCTCACAGAAAGGATCTGAGCTGTAGGTATAGATTTGAGAATGCCAGGTCTACGTGTGATAATTGAGATTTAGGTAAAGACAAGATTACCCAAAAGGTTTAAGAAGAACAAAAGACCAGAACAGGCACTTAGGATCCCCAACATTCAGAGGTGATGTTGGAGGACACTGAGCTCATCAAAAAGACCAAGAAGTACAGTCTGAGAGTCTTCTTTCTCTTTTTCCTCTGTGCCTCTTAACAAATGCACATTTATACAACCCTTCCAATCACATTTATTAGACTATAGAAAGGGGGAAAATAAAGAAATGGTTTTAGAACCCAAAGCCAAGATTTAGTCTACTTGGAGAGTTTGGTAGGTGGCTGTGGAAAAGGGGTTATATCTCATAAGTAACTTAGTTACAATATCTTTAAAACAGTTTTTTAATATCTTCACCTACAAAGAGCATTAGAAGAAAATTTGTAAGAGGTTGTCTTTAAATTTTTGGTAGTATATTCTTATCTTCTGGAAAGATCATATGTAATACTGCTGAAAGCTAAAACTTCCAATACACTTAAGAGCTGTTAATATTTTCAATTTTTTAAGGCAAATTTTTGAAAAGTGATGAAAATCTCCTACACAAATAAACTACTGAGTAATAGGTGCAAACAAAAATTTGCCTTAGAAACTAAGACCACTAAGTGACTTCACAAAAATTAACTTTTAACCAACATTGTGAGTAAAAAGCACTATTTCTCATTGTCTGAATGAAGCATTTATTTCATCATCCTTTTAAAATTACACGAGTCCTGCATGAATATGTTATTGTTGTGAGCTAGACATGGAGCTAGACATGGAGCTCACACCAGAAAATGTGAAACATTCTTTGTTCTTCAACTTGCTTTTTCCCCTTTCCAGATCTTGAAGGTATGAAATAATCTTTAGACCATATAAACAAAAAAAGATTTTTTCCATAATGATAGAATGAGCTAATATAATTAAATCAATCCAACATTTATCACAGAGAATCATAATGATCATTCAGCTAGCTGACATCTGCAGGATGAATTCAGTGAAAAACATGTTGAATTTTAAAGTCTCAATATTTAGATTTGATAGCTGTGGAGACAAAATACTGTCCTTCATCTCACAGCAACAAGACAGTGACAATATCCTATTTTGCTAAAATAATCTCTTCATTATGAATCAGACATGTTTAGATGTAACATAATGCAATTGCCTGAAAAAATCAGAGAAATAAGGGGAAATAATTATTTTCTTTTTAGCAAAAGATACTTAGCCGATTTCTTACTCTTGTTATTTCTGTGCCTGACCCTCAGGAGGAAAGGCCTAGGAATATTTTCTAATGAGGAATTAACTTGGCCTAGGAGGAGACTACAGCCTTGACTGGATAATTTCTATATTTGCTCTGTAATTCCGATTCAACCCTTACATGACAAATGATGCAAATGAGGGTATCTACAAGAAAGCTAATACTTTACTAATCCTATGGTGCAACTTTCTCCAAGAACATTAACATTAAGCCTATATGTTGGGGTGCAGTGGCTCATACCTATAATCCCAGCACTTTAGGAGCCTGAGGCAGGAGGATTACTTGAGTGCAGAAATTCTAGTCCAGCCTGCAAAATGTAGTAGGACTCCCTATCTACAAAAGTAAAAAAATTACCCAGGCATGGTGGTGTGTGTCTATGGTCACAGCTACTCTGTGAAGCTGAGGTGAGAGGATCACTTGAGTCAGGAAGGTCAAGGCTCTAGCCTGGGTGACAGAGTGAGAACCCATCTCAAACTAAACTAAACTAAACTAAACTAAAAGCAGATAAGAAAGATAAGATAAAACAAAATAAAATAAAAATAAAAATAAGCCTTTTTGTTCACCACTGATTTTCATCTCTAAGCAAATGGTATCTTGATGCCATGTTCATATATTGTTACAAATGTAGAATATTTTCAAATCATCACAGAAAATTGATCTGTTTATTCCACATGGAGTGATTCTTTCCTAAATTAGACGAACAAAGTCTATTTTGTTCTTCACTGTCATTTATTAGATAAATCTCATCAATAAATTTGGTGCTTCCTTCTGAATAAATCCCCTCTCTGTTATCATTTTCATTCTATAGCTAGTAAAATCTTTCATCTGGACCCTATTACTCACCTCCTTGGACATTAAATTCCTCTTTTTCAATGGAATAAGCTACCCTTAGTGTCTTTTACCCAAGTTAGTGCTGAATACTCACATCATAGTCTCAATTGGAAGAGGACTGGCTGGGGATTAAAAAGTCCTGGGTCAGAGTTCTAGTTCTACGCTTACTTTCCGTGCTGCTTTTGGGCAAGGCATTTGTCTGCTTGAGTGTTTCCTCATCTATAAAAATTAGGGAAAACACTATCTGTACCACGTGGATTCTTGTGCTTGTTTTGAGGATTAAAAAAGAGACAAGTCTATGTAAAAGACCTTTATAAAGCATACACATTATACAAGTGAGAATTATTAAAGTGCCAGGTGCAGCCTGGGCACACAAAAAAATGCTTTAAAATGTTAGTTGAATCAATAGCTCCCACTCATTATTTGCCTCTACCAGGTGCTTCACATGGGAAAGGAGACAAGAGTTGGAGTGAACTTCCTGGCTTATAACTGTGTTCCTGTCCCTTCCCTCCAACTTCCTCCATCTTTGAGACCAACCAGTACATGCAGATGGGTCTGCAGTGAATATGTCTGAATCTTGAGATTCTGCCACTATGGGCAGAGCTGATATGGGAGACGTCTTTCCCTGCCTGATCCTGAGCCAGAGTTTCTGGTGTGGCTATTTGGTCTTTGAGAGGGGAGACAAATTCTCCATGTTATCGAAGCGGGGTCCATTAATGACAGTGCTTTAGAGAAAAGCCTGTCAAATTGCTGTTGCTAACATTCTCAGCCTCTTGGCTTTACCTTGGTTCCTTTGCTTCCCAAGGTCCATTGTTAAGTACCTGCTCAGATTTTGTGAGATAAATAGTAAATAATACTCACTTCCTAGGGTTTATGGTGTGTTTACAACATTGCTTGGGACTCAGTAAGCATTCAGTAAGTATTAGTTATCATTATTATTAAATGACTTTGAACAATCCGTAGCATACATAATGAGTATTCAGTAATGTTAGTTATTATTTATGATACTCAACTTACATAGCTGTTGCAAGGAATAAAATAATGTATGTAATTCACTTAATATAGTGCCAAACATGTAGTAAGTGCTTAATATCTGTTTGCTATTATTTGTATCCTATGAATGCTATAATAAATAATATAGTATTTGTATTGTTTTGACAAGATTTTTTTCCAACATATTTTAAATATTTCACTCTAATACATGGAGAAGTATTTTGTTTTCTAGAAACTGCTAAATGCTATTAATTAGTTTTATTTTTATTGATGGACATTTAGGTAGGTTTAATTTTTCAAAAAGCTGCAACAAATCCCTTTATAATCTGCCCTTGGGCGTGTATTTGTTTCTTTTTATAGGGTAGAGATCTGAAATTACAGTAGTTAAGCCATAAGGCACATTTAATATTAATAGTTAGGAAAAACTGCCGATTCAAGGAGCTGTGCCTATTAACTATTACAGCTACATGCTTCTCTATTCTTTTACCAATGTGTCGTGTTACCAAAGTTTGAAATATCTGCCAATAGGCTAAGTTACAAGCTCATTACTTTAATTTGCATATCCCTAATTGCTACTGAGAAACATTTTTCATGCACTTATTGACAATTAATATTTCCTCTTTTGTAAACTGCCTGTTTTCTATTTTCTTATTCAGTATCTGATTTAGAGACTGTTTTCCTCCCAGGCACAATGGAGGATTCTTGAGAATCCTGTGGAATGTGTCACCGTTTTTCCTAGATCCACCACTCCTGGTAATAAGAGAGTGAGAATGAATTATTTTAGAACAATATTTCAAATTAGAATGATAATGAGCTCCTAATTATTAATTTTAAGCAGCGCTATTAAAAGTGAGGTCAGTAGCATCATCCTCACTGTGATGTTTTTAGATAAGTGGATCAGTTCTCAGGGCCTCCAGACTACTTCATCAGAAACACTATGGGTGGGCTCAGCAAGCTGTGCTTTAGTTTAACAAGCCTCCTAGGTGACTGAGAAACACTAAACTGGACCATTCAAAGAAGAAAAAACTTAGTTAGTGATCCTAAAAATGTATTAAGATTATGATCACATTTGTCTTCCAATATTACTTAATAGACTCCACATTTTAAAATTATATTGGTACATTCAACTTGGATGAGTCTCAAGAGAATTATTGCAGGTAGACAAAGCCATTATCATACATAAGGCATGATTCCATTTGCATTACATTCTTGAAATGACAAAATTAAAGAGGGTGAAGCATGGTGAGGGGCCCGAAGGTGAATGTGGTAATGAAAGGGCACAATGAGGAATCCCTATGCTAATGGAGCTGTTCTGTATCCTGACTGTGGTATTAAATACACAAATCTACACATGTGATAGAATTGCACAGAACTGAATACACACACACACATATGCAAGCAAGAACAAGTTAAACTGGGGAAATCTGAATAAATCAATCGATTGCACTGACATCTATATTCTGCTTGAGATATACTACACTTCTGTGTTTTTTTTTTTTCCATTGGGGAAAATTGTATAAAGTTTACAGGGAACCTCTCTATTTTATTGCTTACAACCAGAAGTGAATCTACAATTATCTTAAAATGAAAAGTTCAATTACATAACAACAATAATAATTTAAATTTTATTAGGTTTAATTGTCATCAGTTTCCACAAATACTGATAGGAAACTGGGAAAATGGCTCATGGTCACTTGCACTCTGAATTTGGCAAAATGTTTCAATTCTCTTAGTTATAAGTGTAAATAAGGAAAAATATAATAATCATGCTAGATCAAGGGCATTTAATTTCCTATTAAAAAAAAGATAAAAAGACCAGGTTTAGAAATAGCTCTTATTCTCTTCAAAGAGTATTGTCTCCCATATTTCAGTCTTATTTAATATTGTATTAACTATTTCTAGGCTGGGTGCAGTGGCTCACGCCTGTAATCCCAGCACTTCAGGAGACTGAAGCAGGTGGATCACGAGGTCAGGAGTTCACGACCAGCCTGTCCAACATGGTGAAACCCTGTCTCTACTGAAAATACAAAAATTAGCCAGGCACAATGGCAGGCACCTGTAATCCCAGCTACTTGGGAGGCTGAGACAGGAGAATTGCTTGAACCCGGGCCGCACAGGTTGCAGTGAGCTAAAATCATACCACTGCACTTCAGCCTGGGTGACAGAGTGAGACTCCATCTCAAACAAAAACAAAAACAATGCAAGCAAACAAATAAAAACTATTTCTAGATAATAATAATGACAGCAGTAAAATATAGACATGCTTAAAGATTAAAATAATAGCATATATTTTAATTTTTAAATTTTAGAACTGGGTCCATTTTTATTTGAATGATAATCCTTTTTGGGAAACTAAAAACATTACTAGAAAACATTAGAGTGCAATTTCTGCAGAACAGATGTTTAAAGAACTGTGGGAATTCCTAATTATAGACGAGATTGTAGTTTTCAAATAACGACAAAACACAGTTGCTCAACAATACCAAATACACAAACACGTGCACAATTAATTAATGATTCTAAGAGGAAGAGTGTTCCTGGATCTTTGATAAATCACTGGAAATTTTACATTCTGACACAATTTCTCATATAACCAACCTGCTAATTGGCAACTCTAGGCTGCCAATTTTGTTTCTTTTTCTCCCCAGAGATCACCTGGAAGAAGCTCTTATGTTGTACCTATATCAAACCATTTATTTTGGCATCTTTTTGGAGCGTTGATTTTTTGGGCTTTATTGATTTTGACTTACTGGATGACAATTTTAGATGTTAACGAACTTTATTTGAGGCTTGCGTGGTATATTTTAACACAAACCTTTCATCTGTGAACTATTAAAGCCAATAAAGATTGGAGGATATAAGAAAGATAGAGTTGTTTATATTCTAATTCTAATCTTCTTTTTATTTATTTTGTTGACTTATTTCTGGATTTACCAGGGTAGGTTTCACTCTATTCAATATCCTCTTTTATCTGGGAATTAAAACCTACCACAAAAATTTACCAGGACTATTAGTATAATTTATCATACTTAGAATCCATAAACTACAGTTATTAATTCCCAAAATAGTAACTTTTACAAATTAAAATTATTTGCACATAGCTGTATTCAACATATAATATATCATTATAAACAACTTGTTTCTACTCATCTATTCAGGTCTCCTAGTATCCTACCAGCAAGGAGCAAAGTATTGCCTTAGAGATGGATATTTAGTGAATATAGCATGGAAACTGGAACAATATATGAACTGATAGCTTTGCTTTGGGATAAACTTCTCTGTTGGATTCTATTCTCAGAAAACTTCTGGAAACATATCTATGTGGTGTGTAGTTTGAGGGAAACTGTACTGCAGTAGTTACTCATACAATAAGAAAATTCTATATTCTAAAAATTTGAGACCAACTTTTATTTGTAAGTCTTTATGTTTTTACTGCATTTTGATAATCTCTTTATTTTTCAGAAGCATGACTATTTCTAACATGGACTTTGAGCTCCTTTTAAGACCAGTGGGAGAGAAGCAGTCTTTTATGATTTCTGTGCACTGAGTCATAACATACCAAGTTGCTGGTGCCAGAAACTCACACTAGACTCAATCCCCTTAAACAGCCTCTCCAAACAAGTCAATGAAGGGCTCCTAGAACTCTAATTTATGGTATCTCATACATCGATAAGAAAAGTGCTGGACTGAGTTCAGAAAGAAGGGTCAAATGATGACGATAAGAGCAAACAATTTCAAATTGTAATTGCAGCTGACTACAAAGTTGCTGGTAGAAAATACAAATCAGAGAGAACTACATAGTCATAACTAAGCCAGGCTTCCTTTTTTTAATTGCCTATTTAAAAAGACAACACTTTCACACTTGGGGGAAACTCTAAAGTGTTTGCATCTTCTCCATAAAATATACAGTTACAAAAACTAAGAGCTCCTTCTTGTCATGTATTTTCAAGGAGTGATGAGACTCTTTTATTTGAGCTGATTAAAAGCACTAAATACTTTTAGTGAAGGATAAAGTGTTCCTATGATGTTTAGTTACTGCTGTTAGCCTGCGCTGGACTTGAGCTGTCACATAGCAGTGCTGTATAGTTTCATTCTGTTATTCCCACAATAATGCAATCTTTCTAGACATCACTGTGCCACTTCATTGCTCGCCATTATCTGTTACCATTTAAATTCCTTCTCATTTTAACTATTGTAGTCTTTACAATTATTTACCAAAATTAAGGTAACAAATTGAAAGGGAAAATACAATGTCTCAAGTCTTACTTGCTTAGGAAGAGATTGAGTCTTAGTAGATTCGCTAGGTGATAGAAAAATTCCAAATATTAAAAAATACCTCCAGCATTAGTGGACTATAAGATGAAAAAGAAAAATAATGTATCTATGTCTTTTTGAAATAAAAAGAAAGTAGCTATTATATGTCCTGTTTCTTCTTCTGTCCAATTTATAACAGGGTGAATCACACTCAGTCAGGGAAGCTTTTTGCCCTATTTCAGACAGAATTTTCACAGGCATTTCTCTTATCTAAGCCTCTCTATGAACCTTCCCTCTATTTCTGTTACTTTATCTAATTTGGGAGATAAGCAGGCTCAAAAACAAACAAAAAGAGCTGCCAAAGAAATAATAGAGGCTTTGTCTCTTTTCTGAATTGGAACCTTCCTACCCGCTAATGTAGTCTAAATTAAAAAGCAGTGAGTCACCCTTTTCTATTATTTGCATGAATCCCACACCTGTTGTCCACCTTTGCAGAAAAGGTCACTCTGAGAGTGATGACTCATGCTGCCTACCCTCTTCAAGGACTTTCTAGCTGTCCATGCTCATCAATAGCATCCATAAAATTCATTCAACATGACACTTTTCTTCAGTCTAGGTCCTAGAAATCAGTAGACCTGCGCTGTCTCTGAGTAAGGATCTTCTTATTTGACTTAAATTCCCCTGAGTAATTCAGGTATGTGATGCTAACCCCAAGTACCCTAGAAAAAGCCTTGAAAGTCAGTATGTGTAAAGCAAACCACTTTTGATTTGTTAACAATTGAAAAGGCAATAGCATACAGTATCCTCCATTCTTTGTCAAGAGAAAATTTGAATTTATTCTGTTGTTATTGTTTAAGAGAAGTGAGATACTGTGATAAATTTACATTTTTGCTTAGGATGATAGCAATAGTTATCATGTACTACATGACCATTACTGTGTAAATGATTTAATTCACTATCATATTTGACCCTCACCCAAAGACATAGGTGCTGCAGTCTCCTTTTCTTTTCTTTTCTTTTCTTTTTTTATTATACTTTAAGTTTTAGGGTACATGTGCACAACGTGCAGATTAGTTACATATGTATACATGTGCCTTGTTGGTGTGCTGCACCCATTAACTCATGATTTAATATTAGGTATATCTCCAAATGCTATCCCTCCCCCCTCCCCCCACCCCACAACAGGCCCCGGTGTGTGATGTTCCCCTTCCTGTGTCCAAGTGTTCTCATTGTTCAATTCCCACCTATGAGTGAGAATGTGCGGTGTTTGGTTTTTTGTCCTTGTGATAGTTTGCTGAGAATGATGGTTTCCAGCTTCATCCATGTCCCTACAAAAGACATGAATGCATCCTTTTTTATGGCTGCATAGTATTCCATGGTGTGTATGTGCCACATTTTCTTAATCCAGTGTATCATTGTTGGACGTTTGGGTTGGTTCCAAGTCTTTGCTATTGTGAATAGTGCCGCAATAAACATATGTGTGCATGTGTTTTTATAGCAGCATGATTTATAATCCTTTGTGTATATACCCAGTAATGGGATGGCTGGGTCAAATGGTATTTCTAGTTCTAGATCCCCGAGGAATCGCCACACTGACTTCCACAATGGTTGAACTAGTTTACTGTCCCACCAACAGTGTAAAAGTGTTCCTATTTTTCCACATCCTCTCCAGCACCTGTTGTTTCCTGACTTTTTAATGATCGCCATTCTAAGTGGTGTGAGATGGTATCTCATTGTGATTTTGATGTGCATTTCTCTGATGGCCAGTGATGATGAGCATTTTTCATGTGTCTTTTGGCTGCATAAATGTCTTCTTTTGAGAAGTGTCTATTCATATCCTTTGCCCACTTTTTGATGGGGTTGTTTGTTTTTTTCTTGTAAATTTGTTGGAGTTCATTGTAGATTCTGGATATTAAAAGGTCTCTTTTTCCTGAAAGAAAAAAACTGAGGTTTGGGGAAATTAAACAGTTTATCGTCACACAGCTAATAAGAACTGGAGGTGTAATTTGAATCAAAGGCTTTTCTTCTCCAAAGTCTGTGTTCTTTTCCACCTTACTGTACTACCTCAGAAAAAAAGAATCATACTAATTCTGAATCCGCTTTAACTGAATTTATGATCATTTAGTCAGGCAGAGCTAGCATTTATTCACTCTTGTACTCTGAGGCTGAATTTATTAATTTAACAAATATTTACTGAGTGCGGGTTATGTACCAAGTGATTTTCCTCCTAAGTTCTTCAAATATTTATCAATTTTAGTAATATAGACACCAGTTTCAAGACATAATACTTATTTCCCAAGCCAAAATCAAAGACAATGACTTCATCTATTATCAGTTGTTGGAACATTTAGCCTATTAGAAACATTCTGTTTCTTCTTTCAGGCTTGAGTATGAATCTGAAATATTATACATCTTTTTGAAGCAGACTCTTTAAAGACCAAAATTCCTAGTTCCCACCACAAGATAATTAAAGCCATCACTATTGAAATTTTTTAAAACTTAAAAAAAACTTAGATTCCATGGTAGTTATGTTACACACATTTAAGTTGCATGCCTTGTAACTCTATGCCAAATTTAAAATCCCTTTTTCTCCATTTTGATGGAATTAAACTGCTTTTGAATCTTTCCACGAAGACCAGCTAATCTTACTACAAGTTTTCTCAATCTCTAAAATATGATGAGTGATATTTATGAGAAGAATCAGAAGAAGACTAAGTAAAGTTAATAAACAGGAAAGCAAAGAGAGAAGGACAAAATAATAGCCAAAGAAAGTAAATGAAATTTTAAAAGACTGGGAAGAAGTGAAGAAGATGCAAAGTAAGGGCAGATTTCTAAGCTCATGGAACATCAGGGGCAGCTTACAAAGAATCCTTTTTTTGCCTCTCTTAGCATGATCTTGTACATATATTGACAACTGAAGTTCATCAGTGAAAATCTCATTTTTGCTAGCCCTTTGCATGTCTCAAATAAATGAAATGAGGCTTATGGCTACTTGATAACAGTTATAATACAGGGTATACTGCTAAGGAGCTGTCATAGGGCCTTGCTGTCCCTGAGGTGCTCCTGAGCCATCTAGAGAATGAAATAGATGTAAAAATAAATAAATAAATAAATAAAATTAAATTAAAAAACCCCTCTCTGCTCTTTGCCTATCTCAGTGCAATCCTTCACTTATTTATTCCCTCATTCATAGTTGTTCATTCATTTAAGAAATATACACTGAGAACTAAAGAAAATCTACTGGGCTCTACACAACGATTTTTAAAAAGCACACACAGGATATTGCCTAAATACTTCCACATTAAATACCTTCTCTGAGTGTTTTACCGGACTGTCAACCCCAACAAATACAAAACTAAGCTCAGTTTGCTCTTCCTACCATGCCCCATCACTAATCACCCAGTATTTCCAACTCCACCAAATCTGTTCTTCCACTAATATCTCACATTTTTGTTACTGGTAAAAACCATACCTTTGTCATCTAAACTAGTAACCTCAGAGTCCTTTTCTGTTTTTTTTTTTGTTTTTTTTTTTTTTGGCTTCCTCTCTCTACTTCTCTAATCAGTCATTAGGTAACTTTGATTCTGCTGCTGATTCGATCTCCTTCTCTCCACCCTCTTATCATCTCTTACCTGAACTTAACTGAGATATGCTCCTATCCAATGTCTCCTCCAGTGCCTTTTTTTCCTCCCTTTATGTACATGGTAGCCTGAGCAATGCCCCTAAAATTCAAATTGCATCATATCACTTTCTTGCTAAACATCCTACTCCTCCTTACAAAACAAGAAACAACATCTCTTAAAATTATACAGAAATGCCTTCACATCTATTTTATTTACATATCTATCTACCTATCTAATCTTTTTAACTTTTATCTTAGCATTCTTTTCCATGAATGCTTGGCTTGCATTATGTTGTAATTTTCTTGAAATGTGTGTTAGAAGTCATGTTTTTAGTACTTTACTTTATGGGAAGTAGAAAATCGTTGAATTTATTTTAATAAGTCAGAGACAAGACCAGGGTGTGATTTACAGGGATGAATAGTAGCACTTTGAAAAATGAACCAAGAAGTTTCTAACTTGGAGGCTAGAAACTGAAGGAATGAGCTGCAGTAGGTGGTTACTGCAGTATTGTTGAAGACCTGAGCCAGGGCATGAAAGGAGATGAAGTGAGATGACATGCATGAGATAAGGTTATATATGAACTCACCTGAGCTGTTATGATTCATATTATCAGGTTGGTTGCATGGCATAACACTCACAATGGAAAATAGAAGGAGAAGAAAGAGTAGAGAATCTATTAGGCTTTTCTTAAAAGTTAATGTGAGGAGATTAGTAGAGAAGTGATATGCAGAAAACCACTATAGAAATAAATAAGAACCGCTTGCACTTAACATAGGCATTGTATAAAATAATATTTCTAAGATATTAGCGTATCTTTTGGTCACCAAATATTTCAACCATTGCTTGATTTAATTTTACAGTATTAATTTGTTAGCAAACATTTTATACAATTTTCAGGAATAAGTAAATTGCGAAGAGTTATACTTCTTTCTAATTTAAAGCCTGAAGAGTTATACTTCTTTCTAATTTGAAGCCTTGTTTTATGCTGAACACTGTATGCAGCCCTGTGGAAATAAATAAACACAAGATAATCCCTACCCTCAAAGGAAATTACAAACTCATTGAGGATTTTTAACAAGCAAAAAATAAATCTAAAATTTAGTCAATTAAGTAGAAAATTTAGGCCCCTAAACACTTTCCTCTTAAAGGCATATAACCAAAGCATGAAAAAAGGGATATTTAATTCGTTTTGCTTAATTTATTGGTTACCTACTAGAACTAGAGGCCCCAAAACACTAAACAAAAAGAAAGTATTCATGGGAAATATTCAACATGCAAAACATGCCTGCCAAGAAACCAAACAACCCACACACAGCCAATAAAAGTGAAGACTCTTACTTCTTACTCTAAATGCCTCCAGACTGAAACTGTGTCAGGGGGAGAACATTTCACAGCTGTAGAACTTCTTTTTAGGGAGATTTTTCTGCCAGTCTCAAAACTCTGTAACACAAATCATTTCCTAGAGAAGCACACCCGAACTTCTTAAATAATGAAGGGAATGTATAGGAATGTTCTTATTTTAAACTTTTAGGGAAGAGGATGCTCTGTTGAGCAAACAACTACTTTGCAACTCTTAACATTTTAAAAAGATCATCTTCAGCATTGTGGCTAGGATTAATGCATTCTATTTAGAAAACTTAAAATCCAGGGTATGGTCACATTAGAACCAAAGGAAATACTTTGTAACATTTAGCTTTGTACTCTTTAAACAACTGTCATTAAAAATAAGAATAATTTTATGTGTTCTTTGCTATAAAAATGTAGATGTGAGACATTTTCCAATCCTTCAATAAAGCAAAATTTGTGCAAAAATGCAAATTTTTTAGTTTTTGTTTGCCTTCTAACACACAGCATTATCAAAACCATCACTCACTGACTTGAGGATAAGTTACTCATGTCATTTAATACAATTTTGACAGTAGTTTATTTTTCTCTTTGTTCTTCATTTCCACCCCTTATGCTTATAAGTCAATTAAGTAGAAAATTTAGGCCCCTAAACACTTTCCTCTTAAAGGCATATAACCAAAGCATGAAAAAAGGGATATTTAATTCGTTTTGCTTAATTTATTGGTTACCTACTAGAACTAGAGGCCCCAAAACACTAAACAAAAAGAAAGTATTCATGGGAAATATTCAACATGCAAAATTGTACATGTTGCATGTAGTACAAATGTACTACAGTTATGTAAAATGTTAACTTAAGAGAAAATTAGTTAAAATGTGTATGGAAACTGTACTATCTTTGCAACCTTTATGCAAATCCAAAATTATCCTAAAATTTTAAAAAATGATTATATACCCCCACACCCCTAATCAGGGCTTAATTACAATGTTTAAAAAGGGTAAAGAAGCTCCTCTACAGAAATGGGAAACTTCCTTTCATGGACAAATAAAACATAGTTTCTTGATGTTTAAATCTGGGCTTGATGTCAGAACACCTTTGAGATTTTAGTTGTGTTAGAAAGTTAAGCAACCCAAATAAGATTTTTAGATTTACCTTTATGTATGCAGAAAAACAATGGTACATAATTCATGAAAGTAATATTGCTCAATTTTCCTTCCATTTGTTGTTTATTGACTACTAGCAAGGCATAAGGAACACTAAAGCATTAGATTCACACATGGAGCAAACTGATACCCGGAAAATTTATTATCAGGCCTGAAAACAAAGTATAATTCTTCTGACTACTGAGCTATAATTCTTCTAGCACACCTTGGAGCCTGCTAGACCAATCCCATAATTCCATGGGGGCATGTAATATTTTGGGTGGAGAAGCCATGTTCTTTCTCAATGGAATTTTGAGGAGGCAATGAAGGGACAACATTAAGTTTCTGGGACAGCATTAGAAACTTGCCAAATGGTGAGAGATTATGCAAATTATGGACCTAATTTGCAGCATCTTTGATGGAGATTTTGATTATTCTTTTTACAGCCCTATCTAGTTTAATTGCTGGAATCGTCAGAGTTGTGCATTAGTGATAATAAAAAAATTACTTGCAATGTTCTTTTTAAGACTGATGTAGTAGACAGACTCTGAGATGACACCTAATGTTTCACCGTCTATAATGCTCTGGGTAATCCCCAGGCAATTAGTGTGGTCTTGACTTAGTGACTCCCTTTCAGTAAATAGAGTACGGAAGAAGTGATGAGATGTCACCTCCTAGATTGGGTTATAAAAGATTGCAGCTTTCCTCTTTGGGGCGCTTAGGTTTTTTCATTCTCTCTTGAATCACTTATAGCTTAGGGGAATCCAGATGCAAATCAAGAAGAGTCCTGTGGAAAAATCCACAGGCCCTCAACAATCATGTAAGTGAGCTTGAAAGTGGGTCCTCACTAATCCCCCTTCCACCAAATTCAGCTGTGACTGCAGCCCATGAGAAACTGTAAGGCACAGCCATCTAGCTACACTATGCCTGAAACTGATCTGCTAAAACTGTGAGACAACAAATGTCTATTATTTTTAAGCTGCTAAATTTTGGGTAATGTGTTATAAGCCCCAGTAGATTGATAATAGAGTTGATACAAGGGAGGGGATTTTAATCAGATACCCACATTTATTTGATGTTGAGGATGTTACTATAGTTGTCTAACATATTTTTTATAAAGAGTGATACTGGGAGAGTATAAATCACTTATTCTCTTATTCAGTTTACCTTTCTGAGAGCTGTGGTTTATATTTTTCTTGATACTCTAAAAATATTTTGGGGAGCCCTAATTCTTTCATTTGTTTTTGTTGTACTTAAGACCATCTTTAAGACTGCAGAATTTAAACTGAAAATAGAAATTGAGCCTCAGTTATAATCTGTGATTATTAAAATGTTTTAATGATATAACAACATGTCTTTATACCAGAAAACTTTTCTTGAGAAATGTAGTGAATTAACTGTCTTATATTCACTTAAAAAATATTGCTTGGCAACACATAGAAGTGTTTACATTTATAAGAACACCAGACAAATACTTTATTATTGGCACAGTAACTCATGTAATGCTTTCAAAAATGTTTGCTTCTTCTTTTTGTTCTTTCTACTATAGTCAAATCATTTTTGCTCATATCTGAAAATTTTAATATTGCTTAATTATTTCCTTTCACATTTATATATCTTGAATGTAAGGCCAGATCAAGTGTTCCACCATGACTTATGTCTCCTATATCTATATCATCTATATATATTTAGGTACACACACAAACTTATATGTGAATCTACGTATAAATATATACGTTTGTGTGGTATGTATATAAGTACGTATATATATATATATATATATATTTAACTCTTCATTGCCTTTGTGTTTATAACATAGTAAAAATAACAAAGAAAGCAATCTCAATTTTTTTTATTGCTGTGGTTCTAAGATGGAGACACAGTTTCCAGAGTATCTTCTGGAAACTTTCTTAAATAATACATATTCAGTGTGGAAAAGGTAAGATATGTGAGTTTAAGCAAACTTTCCTAGATGATTCTGCTATTCAGTCTCAGATGTAGGAATGTAGTTCTAAGGAAATTATGTTTTCTCTTTGAAATAACAGATTTTTTATCAACTTGTTCCGTTGAGTTTAAAAAAAACATATCCTAGGAATTATTATTATGTAACAGTTATGATGAGACATACTGAAAACACTAAACATGGGTGCTGCCTTTGAGTGACTCACAATCTAGCAGAAGGGATAGAGAGAAAGCCATTATCTACAATTTTTTGCTTAATGTATACAGCATTTTTTAATGTATGGTCCAGAAAAAGTGACTCAACACTGCCTGCCCTAACAGTGGGCATGAGGAGTGAGATACGAGCATTTTCATTCTTGTCATCTTATATTCCCTAGATTACTACAATTTTGTCATGTTTGCCTGTCATTTTGAGATGCTGACCATTATTAAGTGCAATATGATCAACAGATACAGAAGCTGGGAGAGTTTCATGCAGAGGCATTATGATTATGATAAAAACATAAAATGAGCTCATCAGAAGTGAAAAATTATTTGACTTAGGAATAATTCAGAAGGACAAAGGACAAATTATTCAAAATGTCAAATGTTATCTGTACAGCCAATGACAGGGAATAGTTATAAATGAAATTTTAAACAATATTCACTATGGCTAAGAAGATCAGGATCAATGTGAAATGCCGATTGACTTAATGTTATCTCAAGTGAAGATAAGACTTTAAGAAGGTAGAGATGAAATTACTTCTGGTGATTTTTTTTTCCTGAAAAACCAGGGTGATTCACAGGCTCCAGGCCAGTTTTCCCTTCTGCACATCATCAAATTGTGTGGCAGTGCATGCTAGATGCTAAGGAAGAGACTTGCTGTGATCCTTATCAAGAGAGGCATTATCTGCATCAGACAATTTTCATATGGATAAAACTTGTCTATTTCGTGGAAAAAAAATGCCTAAGGAAAATATATAAACAACAAGAAGAATATGGCTGTTTTAAAGTTCGAAGGACTCAAATGAGTACACATTCATTTTGTGAAGATGCAAATGAATTACATGAGCCAAAACCCTCTTAGTTATTCTAGGCTTTAGCACAAAAGGGCTTCTGGAAGTCCTACTTTGTCCATAGAAGATATGTACAAGTTTCAGAGAAATATTTATAGTTTAAACAGGAGAAATCTTTAGACTACCTTGTCACTGAGGGTAAAGCCTCCACATTGTCTTTTGGACCCCAGTACAACACGGTGGTCTCTTCTTAACACTTTGCCCCAATTTCTGCTCCCTAAGCCTCCCTTCCCACTGGCTCTTTGTATTCTTGTAGCTACCCTCTGACCTGTTCTTGCTAAATTCTTTCTCTTATCTGTAGCGCTTCACCTCGTCTTCTAGTTTTGGTTTGTTTCCCAATTTCTTTAGTTGCAAATCCCTTAACCATTTATTTAAAAACAATAGAATGTGTTTGAGAAGCATGGATGTAATGATCTCTCTTCTACATGGGATCATAAAAAAAGCCCTCTGGATCACAATGCACTTTGTATAGCTGAAGTCATGATTTCTACACGTCACTAATGTTTGATAAAAAGCACTAATTTCTTATAACATACAGTGAATGTTTTCCACATATGATCTAGAGGGATATATGTAACAATATGTTGTTTGTTTTATAAAAGATATATGGTTGTATGAATATAATAATCTCAATTATGTTACAAGTTAGCTGTAGTCACATGTATATTATTTATAAGAGTAGGAAACATGAAGATAAAATGTAAAAGCCATAGAGTAAGCTTTTTAACTTACAAACAGATGTGACATTGTTTAATCTACATGTATCCTGGAAAGATTGGGTGGGCGTTTATCATATTCCTTCTGAAGTTTCTAGCCCAAGTTGTAAAGGGCTGTGTAAACCTTCTACATATTTGTTAGCAAAAATTATTTTATCCATTGCTAAAATTTAGTCAGTTTGAGGGTGAACCAAAGCAGCTGTTAATACCATGTAACTTTGCTTACTCTATGGTTGAAGTCAGGACACAGAGAAGGGTCTGTACTGTAACGTGAACAAGGCTCATCCCTTGAAGCTTAACTATTACATGTATTTGTGCTAATCAATGCACATTTAAGTCATTTACCACCCTAAAAATGATTTATACTAAATTACCTAACCATTTTCAACCAACCAATTTTGAATCCTACTAGGATTTCAAAGAAGAGTAATAAATAACCCAAGATTTGGTCAATAACCCTTATGGAGGAAACAGAGAGGGAAAAAACAAGTCAGGGTAGATGTTTGATAACTTTTGTCACATACATTCCTACCATTCCTACATTCCCGTACTCTGTCTGTTGGACTCTACTTCCTTGGTTTTCTCAACTCAGGGAGTCTGCTATCTGTTTATGAAGGAGCTCCTCCATTCTGTGCAGCCCCTGGAAACTCTCAAGGCAGTAAGCTGGGCCAACCATAGGGCCTGTTTTGTTTCCCTTCTCTCAGGAATCACTGTTCTTTGCCAATATTCGGTGACTTCAAAACTGTTGTTTCATGTATTTTGTCTGTTGTTGTTATTGTTGTTGTTGATTTAGTTAGGAGCATAAATCTTGTCCTTATTTCATGTTGGTCAGAAGTGGAAGTCTTGTTTTGTTTTAATTAAATAGTTGGATTTCCCTGGTTTGCCCTAATTGTAAGTCAGCTGCCATTATGATCCATTTTTTATTGTTGTGTTTGAAATGATTTAGGGGTTGAGATTCACTTTCTTTTTTCATAGATATTCAGTTGTTCCAGCACCATTCATTAAAAAGACATCTATTTTCCTGTTGATTTATTTGCTACCTTGGTTGAAAATCAATTGAGCATAAATATGTGGGTCTAGCTTTGTCATTATTCTGTTCCATTGACCTATTATCTCTTTATTTAGATATTCTTTAATTTCTTTCAGTATTATTTTAAAGTGTTTAAAGTAGAAGGCTTGCATATATTTTGTTAGATTTATTATTAGAAATTTGAGGGGTTTGGTACTATAGTAAATAGTATTTAAAAATTGTATTTTACAGTTGTCTGTTGTTACTATATAAAAGTACAATTCACTTAGTTCTAGTCCTATTTTAGATTACATAGCGTTTTCTACATACATAATCATGTTGTCAGTGAATAATAAAATTTAATTTCTTCCTGTCTCATAATTCTGCCTTTTATTATTTCTTTTTCATGAACTTGGACAAGAATGGAGCATCTTTTTTTTTTTTTTTTTTAGATGGAGTTTCACTCTGTCACCCACGCTGGAGTTCAGTGGCATGATTTTGGCTCACTGCAACCTCTGCCTCCTGGCTTCAAGTGATTTGCCTGCCTCAGCCTCCTGAGTAGCTGAGACTGCAGGCACACGCCACCACACCTGGCTAATTTTTTGTATTTTTAGTAGAGACGGGGTTTCACCATGTTGGCCAAGATGATCTCGATCTCCTGACCTTGTGATCCACCAGCCTCGGCCTCCCAAAGTGTTGGGATTACAGGCATGAGCCATTGCACACAGCCAAGAATGGAGAATCTTTCCCAGTCCCAATTTTAGGGGAAAAAGATTTAATATTTCACTACTGAGTATGAGTCTGTTGACTTTTTATATGGAACCCAAATCAGATTGAAGAAGTTTCTTTCTCTTCTGAGATTGCAAAAAGTTTTTGTCAAAGGTAAGTGTTAAACTTTGCCATATACGTTTCCTGCATCTATGAAAATAATCAGAGTGGGAGTGGCCAAGATGGCCACCTAGAAGCAGCTTAGGTGTATGGCTCTCAAAGAGAGAAACAGAAGGGGTGAAATCTAGAGAACCCCAGTAAGATACTCCATGAGAACATCATCCACAAGACATATAATCATCACGTTCTCCAAGGTCAAAATCAAGGAAAAAAATGTTAAAGGCAGCTAGAGAGAAAGGCCAGGTCACCTACGAAAGAAAGCCCATCAGACTAACAGTGAACCTCTCAGCTGAAACTCTGCAAGCCAGAAGGGATTGGGGACCAATGTTCAACATTCTTTTTTTTTTTTTTTTTTTTTTTTTTTTGTGATGGAGTTTCACTCTTGTTGCCCAGGCTGGAGTGCAATCACATGCAATCTCAGCTCACCACAAGCTCCGCCTCCCGGGTTCAAGTGATTCTCCTGCTTCAGCCTCCCGAGTAGCTTGGAATACAGGCATGTGCTACCACACTCGGCTAATTTTGTATTTTTAGTAGAGACAGGGTTTCTCCATGTTGGTCAGGCTGGTCTTGAACTACTGACCTCAGGTGATCCGCCCCCCTTGGCTTCCCAAAGTGCTGGGATTACAGGCGTGAGCCACTGTACCGAGCTCAACATTCTTAAAGGGAAGAAATTCCAACCCAGAATTTCATATCTGGCAAAACTAATCTTTATAAGAGAAGAAGAAACAGGATCATTCTCAGACAAGCAAATGCTGAGGGAATTGTTACCATCAGACCTGTCTTATAAGAGTTCCTGAAGGAAGCACTAAATATAGAAAGGAAACACCATTACCAGCCACTACGAAAACACACTGAAGTACACAGACCAGTGACACTATAAAGCAGCCACATAAACAAGTCTGCAAAATAACCAGCTACCATGATGACAGGATCAAATCCACAAATCAATACTAACTTTTAATGTAAATGGACTAAATGTCCCAATTAAAAGACACAGAGTGGCAAGTTGGATAAGGAACCAAAAGTCATTGTTATGCTGTCTTCAAGAGATTCGTCTCACATGCAGTGACACACACAGGTTCAAAATAAAGAGATGGAGGAAAATTTACCAAGCAAATAGAAAGCAGAAAAAAAGCAGGGGCTGCAATCCTAGTTTCTGACAAAACAGCTTTTAAACCAACAAAGATCACAAAAAGGCAAAGAAGGTAGCCTGAACAATGCCCCTAAAATTCATATTGCATCATATCACTTTCTTGCTAAACATCCTACTCCTCCTTACAAAACAAGAAATAATATCTCTTAAAATTGTATAGAAATACCTTCACATCTATTTTATTTACATATCTATCTACCTATCTAATCTTTTTAACTTTTATCTTAGCATTCTTTTCCATGAATGCTTGGCTTGCATTATGTTGTAATTTTCTTGAAATATGTGTTAGAAGTCATACTTTTAGTACTTTATGGGAAGTAGAAAATCATTGAATTTATTTTAATAAGTCAGAGACAAGACCAGGGTGTGATTTACAGGGTCGAATAGTAGCAATTTGAAAAATGGACCAGAGAACTCAGAGGCTAGAAACTGAAGGAATGAGCTGCAGTAGGTGGTTACTGCAGCATTGTTGAAGATCTGAGCCAGGGCAGGAAAGGAGATGAAGTGAGATGACATGCATGAGATAAGGTTATATATGAACTCACCTGAGCTGTTATGATTCATATTATCAGGCTGGTTGCATGGCATAACATTCACAATGGAAAATGGAAGGGAATCACATAATTATAAAGGGTTCAATTCGACAAGAAGAACTAACTACCCTAAATATATATGTACCAAACACAGGAGCACCTAGATTCATAAAGCAAGTTCTTAGAGACCTTCAAAGAGACTTACATTCCCACACAATAGTAGTGGGAACTTTCACACTGCACTGACAATGTTAGACAGATCATCAAGACAGAAAATTAGCAAAGATATTCACTATCTTAACTCATCACTGGATCAAATGGACCTGATAGATATCTACAGAACTCTCTACCCCAGAAGAACAGAATATACATTCTTCTCATCACCACATGGTACTTTCTCTAAAATCGATCACATAATTGGGATGAAAACACCCCTCAGCAACTGTAAAATAACTGAAATTATAACAAACAGTCTCTTGAACTACATCACAGTCAAATTTGAAATCAAGACTAAGAAATTGGCTTAAAATCATACAATTATGTGGAACTTGTATAATCTGCTTCTGAATGACTTTTGGGTAAATAATGAAATTAAGGCAGAATTCAAGATGCCCTTTGAAACTAATGAGAAAAAAGATGCAATGTACCAGAATTTCTGGGACACAGTTACAGCAGTGTTAACAGGGAAATTTGTAGCACTAAATGCCCACATCTATAAGTTAGATCTCAAGTTAACAACCTAACATCACAGCTAATAATAACTAGAGAACCAATAGCAAACGACTATTTGTGACATTTGTGAAAACACCAATGGAACTGGAGAACATTAGGCTAAGTGAAATAAGTCAGGCCTAGAAAAACAAATACCACATGCTCCTACTTTTATGTGGAGCCTAAAGCAATAAACTTACTTATAGAAGCAGAGGGTAGAATGGTGGCAACAGAAGCCAGAGGATGGGGGAGGTGGAGAAGTGACGGTTGAAGGGTATAAAATTTCAAACAGGAAGAATATGTTTTCTCTTTTTATGAGTTCTATTGTACACATAATGAATATAGACTAGAGTATTGTACATTTCAAATTTGCTAAGTAAGTTTCAAATGTTCTTGCCACAAAAGAATGTTGAGGATTTGAGGTAACGAATATGTTAACTAGCTTGATTTAATTATTTCACATTGTATTTATAAATTGTAACATTTTGTACCTCATAAATTTTTTTCCATGCAACCTCTCTTCACAGAACCCATAAATCTATACAATTATATATTGTTAATTTACAATAAGAAAGAAAAAAATATGTTTTATTTTGTATAAGTGATAAATGATGCTGATTAACTTTTGAATATTATACCAATCTAGCATTCTTGGGATATGATATGAAATATGATCAATTCACTTGATTGTAAAGTGTATTCTTTTTGTTTGTTGCTGAATATGATATGTTATTTTGTTAAGAATTTTGGATCTATGTTTATGCTTAATATTAGTCTAGAGTTTTTCTTCTTCTAGTGATACCTGCTTTTGGTATCAGGAAAATACTAAGGTCCTAAAATAAGTTGGCAAGTATTTCTTCCTCTTCTTTTACTCTGAAAGAGTTTATATAGGACTTGTATTGTCTCTTTCTTAAATATGTGGTAACATTTGCCAGTGAAGACTTCTGGGCCTTGAGTGTTTACTGTGGAAAAGTTTTTAATCACAAATTTCATCTGTTTAGCAAACATAGATTTCCATCCTTTTTAAAAAAAATTCCTTTTGAGGTAGGGCTGATAATTTATGTCTTCAAAAGATTTAGTACATTTTATCTAAGATGTCAAGTGATACTAAGATGTCAAATATATCTACTAGGGTCTTTAGTGATAATTCTTGTTTTCCTGAGACAGTTTGTGTTATTTCTGTTTTTTCTTGTTAAGTCTAGAGATTAATCAATTTGTTAATCTTTTCAAAAAAAGAAACCTTTGGTTTTGTTAATTTTCTGTTATTTGAATGTTTTTCATTTTTTATATTTGCACATTTAGACAATTTTTAATAATAACATAAAACCATAATATATATTCCACTTAAATTTCTATGACTGGCATATTTTTACATGTTAAATATGACTTTCAAAATACTTTGGAAATGTAGTCCCTTAAATATGGTAACTAAACTTAATAGTTTGGTTATTATTTGTATGTTTTTCATCGTCAGTTACTCATTTTATTTCCTTTTTTTACTTATTTAGGTTAAATTTAATATTTTTCTCTAGATTCTTAAATGAAACCTTATTTCACTGACTTCACATTTTAAAGCTATAAATTGTCCTCCAAATACTATTTTTACTATATTCCACACATTTATATGTGTTGTGTTTACATTTTTTCGGTTCGAATCATTATTCTTTTAGTTCAAATAATTTTCTAATTTTCTTATGTTTTTTTGATCATAGTTATTAAATGTATGTCGCCTAAGTTTCAAATATTTTGGAGATTTTCCATATCCAGATAATATTTATTTATTTATTTATTTATAGACAGGGTCTTGCTATGTTGCCCAGGCTGGACTCAAACTCCTGGGCTCAAGTGATCCTTCTGTTTCAGCTTCCTGAATAACTGGGACTACAGCCCCATGACACTTTGCATAGGTATTATTTATTTCTAATTTAATGCTTGTGTGGCTGAAGAATACACTTTATATAATTTTAATCTTTTTATACGTGGCTTATTTCATGGCCAACCATATGATTTCTTATCAATGTTCCATGTGCACTTGAAAATAATATGTATTGAGTGTAATTCTTAAGTTTTAATTTGTTCAAGTAGATGGCTAGAACTGTTCAAATCTTCTGTTATGTGCACATGCATTTAGGATTATTATGTCTTCTTGATGAGTTGATACTTTTATCATTTTTTAATATTCCTCTTTATCTTCATTTATCTTCTTTCTCTCAAAGTCTTCTTCACCTGATGACAATAAAGCTGCATCAAATTTATTATGCTTACTTGTTGCATGTATGTCCTTTTCTAAACCTTTACATTTGACCATTAACTTTTGTGTTTCTTGTAAAGAGGATTTATTGGGCCTTATTCTTTTTATCCAGTCTGACAATCTCTAATAATTGTTGTGGTTAGCTCTCTTGCGTTTAATGTAATTAATATATTGTTGCATTCAAATATAAAATACTGCCATTTGTTTTTCACTTATCCAATTTTAAATTTGTTTCTCCTTTCTTGACTTGTTTTGGTTGAATTAAATACTTTCCATTTTTTCAATTTACTATTTCATTTTATCTCCTCTATTACTTTTTATCTATTCCTCTTTGTGCATGACTGTGTGTGTGCTTAGGGGTACTCTAAAACGCAGAGTAGTATGTCTTTGATTTATCATGATCTTCATATTTATATAAGTATTCATGAATCTTACAGCAGTATAATCTCACTTCTGTGCTCTAATTATGTTATATTTTACATATACATAATGTTATAAGCCCCAAATATGTTATTCTCTTTTTTTAACAGTGAAAAGTTTTTAAGATACACAGGTATATATACAGATATTCTATATTTTAAAGATATTCTATATTTTACCCAAATATTTTCTGTTTCTAATGTTTATTATTCCTTCCTGCAGATCCTGGGTTCTTTTACTAAAGATATTTCTGCTGAAAAAAATATTAGATTAATGGTTTTTTCAATACTTTAAGGGCAGAATTCTTTTTTTTTCTGGCTTTTTTTATTCTTTTTTCCTCTGGTGAGAAGTGAGTCATCCTCAATATTTTTGCTGTTATTATGTAATGTATCTTTTTTTCTCAGACTGTTTTTAAATCTGTTCTTTATTGGCCTGGAAAGTTGGCTCATGCCTGTAATCCAGGACTTTGGGAGGCTGAGGCAGGTGGATTGCTTGAGTTGGAGACCAGCCTGGCTAACATGGTGAAACCCCATCTCTACTAAAAATACAAAAATTAGCTGGGCATGGTGGTGCACGACTGAAGTCCCACTTACTCAGAGGCTGAGGCTGGTGGGTCACCTGAGCCTGGGAGTTTCAGGCTGCAGTGACCTGTGATTGCACCACTCTAGCTGAGCGACAGAATGAGACCCTGTCTCAAAAAAAAAAAAATCTATTCTTAATCTTTGGTTTTGGTATTTCATATATGAAGTGCCTAGCTGTGATTTTTCGATTTTTCTTTGTATTTATTCTGCTTTGGTTTTTTTTTTTTTTTTGGATTTTCTAATATCCGTGGGATGATAATTTTCTTAAATTTTGTAAAGTTCTCATTCAACGTTTTTTTCAAATACTTACTTCCTCTCTTTCTTCCTGAAACTACTATTGCATGAATGCTAATTGTGTTCTATTGACCTGCAGATACTAAATGCTCTGCTCTTTTTTCCCCTTTATATTCCAATTTGTTTATTTTCCTGTTGTCCTGGCTTCAGGTGAACTGATCTTTTCCTTTCTGCCCAGTTGTTAAGCCTATTTACTTAATTCTTCATTTTTGGTAACCTATTTTACATTTCTATCATTCTGTTTTAGTTCTTTTTCAGAGTATACATTTCTCCACTAAAATTTCCTATTTATTACACATGTGGCCCATATTTTCCACTAGGTTACCAAGTATTTTATTCTAAGTTTTCTATAGTCCCTCTCTGATCATTCCAACATCTCTATACTGCCATGATTCCAGAGATATCTTTGTGTTTTCCAGCAAAGTCACCAGCTTTCTCAACCATGGGAATTCTGTCTCTAGTCTATAGTTCCACTGCAATTTTTTTGGATACTACTTTTTGCATCATAGGCAGTCTCTCTGTGCCCTCTCACTCTGCCTTTAACATTAGGAGGTTAGCTGCATTGTACCCTGTGAAGCTTGAAATGCCTCGGAGAGATTTCTCTCAGCTCCTCTTACCTCCAGCCTTCTGAAGTTGCCTGCCTTAAGTTTTAGGATATCTCAGGTACCTGGGAAGGATCTCTCTCAGCTCTGCTGGCAGCCTTTAGGGTATTACTTGTGGAGACCTGCGGGAAAGAGTTATTGGGTGAGTACCAACTTGCTCTTTGATAGGGTCTTCTTAAAATTGTAATCTGTCTGCAGGCCAGCCCATGGACATTAGAAGTTCAATAAGGTTTTGACTGATTTCTTTTCTCCTTCAATAGCAGATTTCCTCTCCTTTCATACCATGAGAAATGAGAGCAAGCATGTGTCTCTTCTTCTCTAAGAAGGGCTTGTCACTTTCTGGAATGTAGTTCAACTAGGATTCTTCACTTTCTCAGCTCTCTGATGGGTTAAAAACAACAGTAATTGTAATTTAATAGCTTATTCAGCTTGTTTGAGTTGTCATGCCAAAGGCAAATCTTTTTTTAAAAATTGTCCATTTATTAATTATTTATTTACAATGTGCTTTTTCAGTATTTTTGATATGTAAGAACTGTACAGATTTGTGGGGTACATCATGTGATATTTTGATAAATGTATACACTGGTAATGGATTAAAACAGGGTCATCAGTATATCCGTCATGTCAAACATTTATAGTTTCTTTGTGTTAGGAACATTCTTCTCTTCTAGCTATTTTAAATATACAATAAATTACTGTTAGCTATAGTTGGCTTACTATGCTATGGAACATTAGAACTTATTCCTTCTAACTGTGTTTTTGTATCCATTAACTAACCTCTCTTCAACCCCCTCCCTGCTCTCTTTCCCAACCTCTAGTAACCATCATTATACTCTCTACCTACATAAGATCAACTTTTTTAGCTCCTACATATGAGTGAGAATATGCAATATTTGTCTATCTGCCTGGCTTATTTCACTTAACAAAATGTCCTCCAGTGCCATCCATGTTTCTGCAAATGATAGGATTTCCTTCTTTTTTTTTTTTTTTGGAGATGGAGTCTCGCTCTGTAGGCCAGCCTAAAGTGCAGTGGCTCAATCTCAGCTCACTACAACCTTCTCCTCCCAGGCTCAAGCAATTCTCCTGCCTCAGCCTCCCAAGTAGCTGGGACTACAGGCGTGTGCCACCATGCCCAGCTAATTTTTTGTATTTTTAGTAAAGACGGAGTTTCACCATGTTGCCCAGGCTGGTCTCAAACTCCTGAGCTTAGGCAATCCACCCTCCTTGGCCTCCCAAAGTGTTAGGGTTACAGGCATGAGCCACCACACCCAGCCAATTTCCTTCTTTTTTATGTTTAAAAAATATCTATTTTCTTTATCCATTCATCTGTTGATGGACACTTACGTTGAGCCTATACATTGGCTATTATGAATTTTGCTCAAATAAACATGGGATTGCAGGTGTCTTTTCAATACACTGACTACTATTCTTTTGGATATATAGCCAGCAGTGGGACTGCTGGAACATATGGTAGATTTATTTTTAGTTTTTTGAAGAACCTCCTTACTGTGTTCATAGTGGCTATACTAATTTTCATTCCCACCAAAAGTGTATAGCAGTTCCCCTTACTCCATGTCCACATGAGCATGTTATTTTTTATCTTTTTGATAATAACTATTTTAACTGGGGTGAGATGATATCTCACTCTAGTTTTGTTTTGCATATACCTTATGATTAGTGATGTTGAGCATTTTTTTTAATATGCTTGTTGGCCATTCGTTTTCTTTTGAGAAATCTCTCTTCAGATAATTTGCCCATTTTTAAATAAGATTACCTCAAAATATAGTTTTAAAGTATTATCAGTAAAAATAGGTGTTTTCCTCAATTGGGATGCCTACTGTAAGAAATCTATTAGTGCATTAAATGTGTCAGAACAGACAGGAGATAGTCTGTCTGAATTCTAGGGGGAAAAAAGCCAGGAAGTTGGTTTCCCAGAACTAAGGGAAAAGGGAGATAAAGAAGAAAGGCAGGTTTGTCCAAGTGAAAGGCTCAGCCAAGAACAGGCACTATTTTTAATTCATGGATTTATTATTTGTTCAATTTATTTATTAATTTAATGAATGATTCAGCAAATATTGATTGAGTTTTTTTTTATATGGAGGTTTCTGGAGAGCTAGGTATATTAAAAGACAGGAGAGAATAAACTTCGGCACATACTGTAATGGAGGGACAAATGCTCAATGAATGTTAGCTATTTTTACTGCTAATATTATTGCCAAGTGCCATGAAGATGCCATAAACTGGGATAGCAGAGAGCTGCTAAGGAACTCATTGAACCACTTTTTTACTGAAAAGTCAAGTTGGTGCTGGTTGAGCAAATGTTGTGTTCTGGTCCCCAAGTTTGAAAGAAATTCTAGGAAAAGAGTAGAGTTGAGACAGATAGTAAGTATATCCAGTGGCTGGATGACAGTCTGCAGAGATGCAATGTCATTGTCACATTTCCAGTAGCAACAAAGCAAGAACAGGTAAGAAAGAGTCAGAATTTTAAAGAAGCAGGAAAACATGACTTGTGTAACTGTAGAGAACCTAGCCAGATCCACCAGACAATATGAGTGCATAAGACTCAGATGTTAGTTTGTGTTATGATAACACATATCATAGAACAGGGGAAGATGTATGAAGTTAGCATCTCTAGGCTTTTTCCCAAGTAAACAATATCTTTAGAATCCCATGTCCCCTGGAGACAGAAATTTTCCTAAACCTCTTAAATGAAAGAGGCTGCTTTGTTTAGCTAATATAAATACTTCATTTCAGTTTAATTTTTAAAAAATTACTGAGAATCTAATGCTGCCAGCATTTTACTGGGCACTGGTGATACAGAAATAAATAAGACAAAGTCTTTGCTCTCAAGGATCTCGCAGATTAATAGGAGAAGAAATCGTATAAATAAATAAGTAAATAAATAAATACAATGATCCAATTCCCTTAGGAAGGACAATCCTATCATTATAATGACTTTATCAAGTGATTAATTTGATGTTATCATTGATTTGTAATTTAATTAATTTGTTATTTCGGCAAACATTTATTCAATACCTATTATATCCTTGTAAGATATTACCAATGTCATACTATTTCTGTAATCTAAATCTATACTCATGTAACAGCCTTTTGAACTTTTAGCTCCCCTTTGGGAAGAGAACATGCTAACCACTTGGTACTGGGATCTACTTTGCAATAATATATTTTCTGAGTAAATAATTGTGTTGCCATGTAGGGGTTTTTTTTCACAACTCTTTCAATTTGATTAATGTGAACTAATCATCTTTAGCTTGAGTACTCTAGAAGATAAAACAAAATCAGGTTCCCAAATGCACAAAACTGAAAACTAGCTGGTAAAGAAAGTGTCCCTACGTCAGTGTTGATGCTGTGTGTATCTTAGCCCACGTCAATCCACCTAAGCTCTTCCTTCCATATTTCATATGCAAACACTTTTATTGCAGTACTGGGCACTGCATTCACTTGCAGTTTGATTTAATCCATTCAGTAAAATGAATTTCTTGTGAAATAAAATGTTTATACTATCTGATCTGATATATATTGCCTTTTTCATTTGGACAACTAAAATTGATTAATTACCCACACTGAAATTTGTTTTAACCAGTTGATTGTGGAGGATTAGATTTAATGTCACAGTTATTTGTCCTAAGATAAGATTTAAAGTATATTATGAGGCATGTAAAAGGAGGTTTAATGTGTGTTAGAAACAGAAAAAACATCTGAGAAAATTTCGAATCACATATTACTTTGCCCTATTAAAAAAAAAAGTTAGTGAAATAGATTTCTCTAGGAAACAAAGAAAACCATCCATGTTTTATTCTGACTCAGGATAGATGAACATTAAAGAAATTTTGAATTACTATATTTTGAATTACTAAAAAATATTGAACTCAACTGATGAGAGAGACGCTAGAGCTACTGTCTTTTCAAAGTGCACTTCTTGAGATTTCAGAGCAATCTGAGAAGGTCAGTGCCTATCATTCTCATTGACTGCAAAGTAATAGAAGACTGCCTCTAATTGTGAGATTAAATGAACATATGGCCAGTAACTTTAGAGGAAAAATAGATAATTTTTTTAGACAGATAATTTTTCTCAAAGATGGTAACAGAACAGAGAACAAAATTGAGAATTACTTTTGATTTTTATTCAGGCAAATTGGTATGTAAACATAATACATATTGTTAAGTAATTATAATTAGGTTATGTATTATACAATATATTATAAAAATGATTGTGTTATTCCAGTCTCACACTGGACTAATATAAGGACACTATCTGAGACTGGGTAATTTATAAAGAAAATAAGTTTGATTGTCTCATAGTTCTGCCTGGCTGGGAGGCCTCAGGAAAGTTACAATTGTGGCAGAAGGTGAAGGGGAAGCAAGGCATGTCTTACCTGGCAGCAGGCAAGAGACATTTATCAAACAACCAGATCTCATGAGAACTCCCTCACTATCATGAGAACAGCAAGTGGGCAACTGCCTCCATGATTCAATCACCTCCCACCAGGTCCCTCCCATGACATGTGGGGATTACAATTCCAGATGAAATTTGGGTGGGGACACAGAGCCAAACCTTATCAGTGATCTCAATTATTTAGATTTTACTTGGACATTAGATGTGTCTTCAAAATGGATTGGAAGATTTAAAAAATCACTTAAGGAGCCTACCTTTTGCTGTCATTAATGTTGTTGTTAAAAGGTAAGCATCAAGGGCATTTTTATCATTTTAATATTCCTAGCTCTATTGAAACCTGTGACTTAGGTGCCAGATTCAGCCCTGAGCCTGAATTTAACTGATTTTCAGGTTTTCAAAAGTGCCACAGCTCAAAAGATAATTTCTATGAGAATCACCTTTGTAATTTTCTCAATAAGAGTAGAATCTTTCTAAAGATTAATAATTAGGCATATGAAACACTGCAAAGAATGGTAAATTAGTTACATAAACATTTAAGTGTACAGTAGATAACAATACTTATTTTGTAGGTCCACAATTAAAGCAAAGAAATACGTCTAAACTCCAACTGAGAATCCAAATACACAGAGCTGATAGTTCAAAGATGATCTTAGCAAGGGGGTTTTTCTTTGACCTTTCTATTGAAATGACAGAGAGTTGTTTTATAAAGAAAAAGAAGATCCATAACTGCATTACAAATAGGATGTGATGCTGTCAGTACAATTGAAACTGAAATTATGAATGATTTCTGGAGAACATAATTTTATTGACAGATAATCAAGATTAGAAGACACAACTGGAAGTCCTACATAGTCAAAGGAGATGCCTTACATATGTTAGGAAAGTTTTAGGTTTAGTTAGCAGGCCTCTGGGAAAGGGGTTGTGAAACAGCAGTCAGGATAGTTATTTAAAAGTCTGTCTGCAGGCTAACAGGACCAATGTGACCCTCTGGAAACTCCGCACAGAGTAAGTGACATCAGTGGCATTTATTCCCTAGATTAAGCCAGATAACTTCTTTTGAAAGGAACTAAGTAGAGTGTAGGATGGGGTAGCATGTTCAGTATGACATTTGTCACCTGAGACAGAAGCAGAGCTCACTTCTGAATGCATGAAAGCTCTACAACCATACAGAAGAAATTTAAAAGAAAACCTTTTGATATGGTTTGGCTGTGTCTCCATCCAAATCTCATCTTGAATTGTAGCTCCCATAATTCCCACATGTTGTGAGAGGGACCTGGTGAGAGATAATTGAATCATGAGGGTGGTTTCCCCTATACTGTTCTCGTGGTAGTGAATAAGTCTCACAAGATCTGATGGTTTTATAAGGGAAAATCCATTTTGCTTGGTTCTCGTTCTTCTCTTGTCTGCCACCATGAAAAACATGCCGTTTGCCTTCCTCCATGATTCTGAGGCCACCCCAGTCACATGGCACTGTGAGTCCATTAAACCTCTTTTTCTTTATAAATTACCAAGTCTCAAGTATGTTTTTATCAGCAGCATGAGAATAGACTAATTTAGTAAATTGGTACCAGTAGAATGGGGTGCCGCTGTAAAGATTCCCAAAAATGTGGAAGTGACTTGGAAGTGGGTAACAGGAAGAGGTTGGAACAGTTTGGAGACAGGAACAGACGAAGATGGAACAGATGGAACAGATGAAGACAGGAAAATGTAGGAAAGTTTGGAACTTCCTAGAGACTTGTTGAATGGTTTTGACCAAAATGCTGATAATGATATGGACAATGAAATCCAGGCTGAGGTAGTCTCAGATGGAGATGAGGAACTTGTTGGAAAGTGGAGTAAAGATGATCCTTGCTATGTTTTAGAAAAGAGACTGGTGGCATTTTGCCCCTGCCCTAGAGATATGTGGAATTTTGAACTTGAGAGAGATGATTTAGGGTATCTTTGGAGGAAATTTCTAAACAGCAAAGTATTCGAGAGGTGACCTGAGAGGTGCTGTTAAAAGCATTCAGTTTTGAAAGGGAAACAGAGCATAAAAGTTTGGAAAATTTGTAGCCTGATAATGCAATAGAAAACAGAAACCCATTTTCGGAGGAGAAATTCAAGCAGGTGCAGAAATTTGCATAAGTAACAAGTCAAATATTAATCTCTGAATCAATGGAGAAAATGTCTCCAGGGTGTGTCAGAGACCTTGGCAGCAGCCACTCTTATCATAGGCCCAGAGGCATAGGAAGGAAAAATGGTTTCTTGGGCCAGGTCCAGGGTCCCCCTGCTCAGTGCAGCCTAGGGACTTGGTGCCCTGTGTCCCAGCCACTCTAGCCATGACTAAAAGGGGCCAAGGTACAGCTCGGGCTGTTGCACCAGAGGGTTCAAGCCCCAAGCTTTGGAAGCTTACACATGGTTTTGAGTCTGTGGGTACACAGAAGTCAAGAATTGAGGTTTGGGAACCACTGCCTGGATTCCAAAAGATGTATGTAAATTCATGGGTGTTGAGGCAGAAGTTTGCTCTAGGGTTGGGGCCCTCATGGAGAACCTCTGCTAGGGCAGTGAGGAAGGGAAATGTGTGGTTGGAGCCCCACACAGAGTCCCCACTGGAGCATTGCCTAGTGGAGCTGTGAGAATAGGGCCACTGTCCTCCAGACTCCAGAGCTGTAGATCCACTGACAGCTTGCACTTTGTGCCTAGAAAGCTGCAGACACTCAATGCCAGCCCATTAAAGCAGCTTGGAGGGAGACTGTACCCTGCAAAGCCACAGGGGCAGAGCTGCCCAAGACCATGGGAACTCACCTCTTGCATTAGCATGTCCTGGATGTGAGACATGAAGTCAAAGGAGATCATTTTGGAGCTTTAAGATTTGGCTGCTCCACTCAATTTCAGACTTGCACGGGGCCTGTAGCCCCTTTGTTTTGGCCAATTTCTCCTATTTGGACTGGGTGTATTTACCCAATGCCTGTACCCCCATTGTATCCAGCAAGTAACTAACTTGCTTTTGATTTTACAGGCTTATAGGTGGAAGAAACTTGCCTTGTCTCAGATGAGACTTTGGACTGTGGACTTTTGAGTTAATGCTGAAATGAGTTAAGACTTTGGGGGACTCTTGGAAAGGCATGATTGATTTTGAAATGTGAGGACATGAGATTTGGGAGGGGCCAGGGGTAGAATGATATGGTTTGGCTGTGTCTCCATCAAAATCTCATCTTGTATTGTAGCTCCCATAATTCCCATGTGTTGTGGGAGGAACCCAGTGGGAGATAATTTAATCATTGGGGCAGTTTTTCCCATACTGTTTTTATGGTAGTGACTAAGTCTCATGAGAGCTGATGGTTTTATAAGGGAAACCCCTTTTCACTTGGCTCTCATTATTTTCTTGTCTGAGGCCTCCCCAGCCACATGGAACTGTGAGTCCATTAAACCTGATTTTCTTCATAAATTCCCATCTTGGATATGTCTTTATCAGCAACATGAGAACAGATGAATAAAAATTCTCAGACTGGGAGAAAAATATGCTAAAGTGCTTCATTCCCAGAATAATATTCTTGTTATTTTGTCATATGGGCAGCCTACCTGCTTACCTCCTGTCCACACATCCTAATATGATGCCAACCAGTTAGTATGTCCTCACTTACTTGCTGACATGGATTCTTTGCTTGGCCAAATTTTAGTCACGTCTTCTGAACATTCTTCTAGGCCCATCTGTGCACTTCCTTGTAAAATACTGTTTTAACTAAGTCAGTTTAGCAACAATCCCCAATCTCAGTGTCTGATCACCCTTGGTAGCTGATCATATTACTTATCCTCCCTTATCCCCCAGGTGATTTCTGATCTTTCTGGTCTGTTTTTAGCAAGATCCTGTTAGGTTGGTTTAGCCAGAATTCCCCTTACCCCTGATGTTTCTGCTTAGTAATTTTCCATCCTCTGACTACCTCATCTGCTTCTTGGCTACAGATTCTCACTTGCCCCTGCTGTATTCGGAGTTGAGTTCAATCTCCCTAGCCTATTGTTAAGACTTAGTTGTAGTCATTCCTGTAGCTACTGCAATGATCCTAAATGAAGTCTTTTTTACTGTGCTTTAACAAGTATCATTGAATATTTTTTTTCTTTAACATTACACAAAAAGGAAAACAGCCTGTTCATTTCATGGAAGGACGTTTTGGAAAAATAGATCCAGACCTACATAGAAAGGTATGACAGCTACCTTAATTCATCCATCAAGACCTTTCTTCTTAATTGTGAATTACCAACTATAGATCATCAGAGAATTTAAGAAAATCGACAAACTAAATGCAAAGAAACAAGCTAATGAAATAGAACAAATGACTAAAGGAAACAGAAGTAATTCAATGAACATAAGAAAACTTAAAAAATATTCTAATTACATTCTCAGAAAGATTTGAGTGCACACTACATACATTAGAAGAGAAAAATAAAGGAAAATCAGACTGCTATGAAAACCAAGTAAGTATTTTTGGAACTCAAACATATTTTCTGAAAATGTAAGAAAGAAATAACTAGAAAATCTACATACCAAACTAATGCTGTATTCTGAAAAACAAAGTTGATAAACACACAAAGCATAGAACAAAAACTGGAAAATATGAGTTATTGAACTGATGAATTATTGAACATCATCTCAGGGACTTTGATATCTCTCTAGCAGTTTTAGAAAAAGAGTATGAGGAAAAGTTAAGATGTAGAAATTATTTAATATTAAACATTTTGTTTTAATAAAAAAAGGCAGTGCGAGTCTTCAGACTGAAAGAACGAACTCACTGGTGATATGTCAGAACTCAAATGATAATAAATAAGTTGAAAAAGTTTCAGAGGGGAAAAATGGGCTACTGGAGGGTGCTAAATACTCATGTAACAACAGGAACTAAGGAAAGGCAGAGGTCCCTGATTTTGATGCCTTGAGGAATTGCTTCTGTGAGCAAAGATGGATTTATAAGCAAAGTATTGCGACAAATGAGGTAAGTATTCACATCCTACTAGGGTTCTGGAGAAGAAAGAACTGCTGATCCTTAAGGGCTCAGGAGAAACTTCACAAAGCAGGTGTCATTTGACCTATGTCTTGAAGCGCAAATATGAGTTTACCTTAAATGTCAGGAAATCAGAAACAAATACAACAATGTGTTCATTTTAGCTGACTGGGAATCTTCTCTTCTTTTGCTTCTTATTCAAGTTTTATTTTCAATTTTATTCCTGTTACTTTATTTATACTGTGTTTTTTTTCTACTGTGACTTTAAACCTCTTGTAGTAAACAAACCACGTAGCTTCAATAAATAAACATTTAGTTTCTTCATCAAATGTAAAAATCAGGTATAGGTTTTATATGTTTTAGGGAACTGAATAAAAATAATTACATGTGATTCTTAATTTTTTATGAGCTACTTAGATAGGATGATACTATTAGTGGAAGAATATGATCAACCTAGACTCTTTGACAAGGAATGAAATCTTCTATAGATTAAACATTCAAATTACAAGGCTTTTTATTTATGCCCAAACAGAAAAGATAAATAAGGAAGGAACATTTTGTGTGAGGAGGGTTAAAGGAGACTGCAGTGTAGGTGTGATAATTTTGGTAGCCTAATTTGTCATTTAAATATTTATGAATAAAGAGAAAACAGGATGATGAAATCTGAAAACAAAACAGTATGCTTTTTCATTTTCAAGGACCATGGATTTCCATAAATTATTTTCAGATAAGGATGTTTTAAATTGATGACACAAAGCAGTGGCAAATCTATTAGTGAGTCAGTAAATTGATGAGCAAGCTTATTGAGTACACCTTGTATGTAGAACTCCTCATTGGCTATTTTAAGAAAAGCTTTGTCAATATCAATGCTGATGACTACCCTTGGGAATAAACTGGTAACATTTAGAGTTTCCAAAATGAAGCCAAGCCTGCTTCAAAATTTTCCTGTTACATGTTTTTTTTCAAATTCTTATTATCACAATATTTGGAAATTAGGGCTTATGTTTTAATAATGCAATTTACCTTTGAGTAAAAAAAGAATTCATTTTTTAATACTACTTGTTTACATATACATAAAATTTGAAATAAAATAGAATACTGAGGGTCCTTTGCACCCAGTTAAATTGAATTGGACTTCTTAAAAAATTGTCTTTCATGATCTTTCACTTTAATAATGTGGAACTGGCTTATTGACCATTCAAAAAAGAAGGAAAACACTAATGTTTGGAAGCAGAGATGCTGTGCAGCTTCAACCCTTAGCCTAGGGTTGAATCTTTTCTGAATCTTTCCTAGGAATCTTTTCTGAAACCTAGCAACATTAGTCTGACCATAAGGAAACCTTGAAATAAATTCCAGAGCCTGCTTTCTGTCTTTGGTAAAAGGCTGCCAGGCTTGTTTGAGATGGCAATGAAAGATTTACATAAGGCATCTGATTCTGAGAAAAGGGATTACTTGTAGGTACAAGTGAAGGATTTCTAAATTTCAAACAGAAAACTCAATCTCTTCTGTTCAGAGCATTCAGGAAATCTGAACCCCTACAAAAAGCCTTACTCCATCAATGGAATGTGATGTTATGATTTCCTTCGCCTATACACACTATGCTTGTGGTTTTCCCTTTTGTACAATGAAGCTGCAGACCTCGATGGACTTAAAACCTCTTTCAGGTTGTTAAAAGACAAAGTTATAACATATTTGAAAGTGAAACTCTCAACTGGCTTTTATTTGTGATTCTAAAATTGGGCAGCACCTCATCTTACAAGGTAGAATGAGTGTTCCAATGAACTGAGCTAAACAGGTTAGTTTTGTAGACAAGGAGCTGAGGAAAGCAGAAACAGAGAACAAAAATCAGATTGGTTGTTTAAAGTTAATTTCCTTGTAAGTGTTAGAGAGCACTTCCTTATCATGTTGGCTAAGACTGGCTTGTTTGGGAATTTGGCTATTATCTCTCACTCTCCTGATTTCTCGGCAGGTCAGATAACTTACTTTTGGCTTAGTGACATGGAACTTTATAGCATGAGTGACTCCATTTTGTTTTGGTCTGTTGGGTCTAGTGCAGGAGTTCAGTCCAAACCAATAGTCTCCTATATATTTTATTTAATAAGCTCTAATGGTCTGAAGATTTTGCAGTTCATTTTTTAATTTTCACCCACATAACCCATATTTACTAATTTAAAAAAATGGATATACATTATTTATCAGTATTTGTACAGCTGTCTAAATGACTTTATGTTGATGTGTGTTGCTACTGTCAAGTTCATATTAGAACTTCTGGGGAAGCAAGGACCATATCTTATTTGTTTGGTACCAGAACCTAATCCATTGAAATATGTTGTAGAAAAAAAAAATGAAAAATGTGTGTGTGTGTGTGTGTGTGTGTGTGTGTATAGATTGATGGTATGATTTTCAAGTTATTGACACAAAATGAGTGTGAATGTGATTGTGGGAGAGTGGCTTGAAGAAAACAGAAATGAGACTGGGGAGAGAAGGGACACATTTTAAACCAAAATTTCCATTTCCTTAAACTTTATAGTGTCTTGATGTGTGACCCAAAGATGCCAAAGTGAAGGAAGCAGAGCATAAGTCTCCTACCTACTAACATATTTTAGATTTATGTAATTTGCTATTTTTCCAAAGAGGCCGAAAATTTCCAAGTGTAGAGCCATTAATCAGTGACTAAAGAGACAGATGGTCTAAAGAGAAGAAGTACTGCTATACAGTTTTTATCTGAGTTCTGTTAACTGTCTCCTAGAAAAACAATTATACAGGGCACAGAGAATACCTGAAATTGAGAACATGGCTCTTCAAAGTCCATGAAACAGCAGAATGTAGAATTCTTTCAGTACACAAATTATTTGGAGGAGTTTATGATTGTAGTACTTGAATTAGATGAAAAAGCCCTTGAGTTAGCACTGTATTTAGAGGTGGGTACAATGTCTGTTGGGCTAGAGTCTGGTCTAGTTACTTTCACGGTTGTATGATTCCTGCTCCCCTCCAACTTTGCTATGCCATCGCTCACCATGATGTTTACTACATACTATATAATTACATTAATGAGATCTTTGAGGTATTCATTATCTAATTTGAAGGCGAACTGGAATGTTATCATTGGGGTGGCTATCATCCGTTGTTTCAAATATTACTTTAGGGGATATGTCATCTTTGTCTTCTGTCATCCTTATCTGACTGGTCCCCTCCCCAGTCTGAAACAATTGCAAGTCACTTGGTAATTACGTGTCATTGTAGCATCTTCTATTTGCATCCATCTCAATGAGATTATGTCTTTTCTGTCCTTCTGTAAGCTTCTTGATCGTACACCCTCATGTGTTTATTTAGTACATATAATCTGCCCTGGTTCCAAGACATTCCTACAGAAGATATGTAGTACTTAGTGCATACATGAGAGTCTAAGTGAATAGATAAATTCTACCTGCTATCTCTAAAATTATCTAATTTGAAATAACATTTTCACTGGGATACCCTTAGAAATTAGACCCTGGGATGCTTTATGTCTTGCTTTTCTTCTCACACTGTTTTGTTCACTCAAATTGTTATCAAAATAACTGGAAAATTTACTCACAGAAACAAACTAATTATTCCTACTTACCTGGACCCTATCATTAGGAGAAAATGTGGTTACAACTAAAAAATAGCAACAATCTATTCAAGATGCAAACATATTCCACCATCCTACTACATCACAAAGTCCAACTTGGAGTCTCACAATTGTGCATTCCCAAACTCACTCACAATTCCCTGGGTGCCAAGAGGTCTCTGCTCGCACATCCTGGTTACAAGCCTTGATGTTATCTTATGCCTCTTTCCTTCTATCCCCCTAGGTTCTCCTGTGTGTCCCTCCACTGTGCTTCCCTCTGTGCTAAATGACTGGTTTCCCCCATGAAATGAGTTCTTTCCTAGGACATTGTGAATCCATAGGACACTGAGGATGCTCAATCATTTATAGAAAAGGCTTTCAGTCCTATTCTCATTACTCCAGTAATTCTATACTCTCTAAGAACACTATCTGTCATGAAAATGCCCACCTTCTATTGTCCTGAAGGCCCGGTATTTTTTATTCTTTGCTCTGTCACCATAGGGCAGGACTTTTGTCATCTGCTAGATAGCATATCAACTACTAGGAAACTTTTGTAAAAGAACAACGATGACAACAACAACAACAACAACAACAACAGCAATACCTGTTATCCTTCTGAATACTTTATTCAAACAGCAGGTAATGAAGTCTTCCAAAAAAAAATAAATAAAAGCCCAAAGAATTATCAGCAATCATCACATGCACATTGACTGTATGTTCTAGATTTTCTGACTCGGTTTATATTTTAAGTATTTTATTCTACTGTCCCACTAGATATCTCATATTTAGGATAATTATTAATTTATTCCATGAATATGATAACCAGATGATCATGAGTGATACCAATTTTGAACCTTATTAGGAAGGGAGATAAAACTTAAATAGCCAGATGTTTTTAGAAAAAAAATTGTTTTGAATAGGAATATTCTCCAGATTTGTTTTCAAGGGCAGAAAGAAAGTGGGACAGTCATCATCATTACTAAATAATATATGATTGCCAGATTTTTCAAAACTAGCCAAATATTGATTGGAAAAAAATTTTTGAAAGGCAAAATTATACTATTCTCAAATGTTTTATAAGATATTCCTGAGCTAAATTTTAATGCTAAGAGCAGATAGTTGCATTTAATGTTTAGAACAGATATCCTCTGGAATGTACAATGGTGTTTTTGAGAAATGTTATTTTAGTTTTAGGAGAAGAGATTTTAGTATTTTCACATTCATTCTCCTAGTCAAATCAATTAGTTTTGGCCGAAACTACTTTTTGAGCATCCATCGAGTGCAGAGTACAGTAAGGTCCTTATGCAATTATAGTTCTTGAGCCATGAATAAGAAATAGGTTGATTATAATAGGTTGTCTAAACTCTGTTCTAGTTGTTGCAACTGGGTGGTTTCAGTGGGCTTCATTTTTAATAGGCAGCTGCTTCCTGGGATTGGTATGGCCTTGGTTTCATACTCTGCTACCTATTAATAAAAGGTGGGCTTTTGGAGATAGATTTAGAGGAAATAACTGAGACAGTTTATTTTGTAGTCTATCTATTGCTTTTACAATCTTTTACCACCATTACTCCAACATTTGAAGTGAAAAAACAGGAAAGAGCAAATAGCTTATTAAAAACAATAGTGATAAACTTAACAATTTCTGTTTAGATCTTGATATATCTTATTTGGCTAGACTTCTCTACAAAGTCTTCTGCTTCCTGGGAACTTGCTGATACCAAGTCCTGGGAATGGGAAAGGAGGGGACATGTAGACACATTTGAACTATGGGTGTCCCAGTGAGTCACTTTACTGAAAGGTTGTCCTCTTGGGTGACTCTGAGTTTCTTTTAAATACTCTTCTGTCCCATTTCTTGGGTTTGACCAAGTGGGTCTAATCAATTTGATCTTTTCCCACTAAAGTAGTCCTGATGGCCCTCACATCTTGGAAAATTTCCCCTTATGAGTCAACCAAAGGGACAGAAAAAAATGGCTTTTAATATTTCTAAGATTTGAATTGAAACCCTTTATATCCCAATGTACTAGATGTGCAGTGTGCAAGTAATTTCCCCGAGCACCAAATTCTGAGTACAAACCTGTGGAGATAATTATAGTATCATCAGCTCTACAGGGCAGATACAAGGTTTACCTACCATCTGGGAGAACGTTTATGAAACATTAGCAGAAATTTGACAAAATTTAATCTCTTTACTTTTCTCTAAGATCATATGAAGTAATATTTATTGAGCACATCCAAGTGCTCAGAGCTTTACATATAGTATCTTATTTAAAATAGTCATCTCAATATTTTGATGAGGAAGATGTCTTCCCAATTTTAAGGATAAGAAAAATCAGCGGATTTATAGAGAGATTATGAAGCTATATATATAATCAGGAAGATTCCAGACTCATGTTTGAATTTGGATGTAGCTCACTCAGAAGTCTCTTCACTATATGAGAAGGTTACATTGCAAAAAGTCATAGGTATTAAGTAAAGAGTAGTGTCTAAGTTCTTAATTTCTGAGGAAATTTCGCTCCTTCCCAAGCAACAAAAGGGAGATAATTAGACGGATTTTTAATATAAAATGCTTGACAATGTTTAGTATTTTTCATTAGAAGTCAACTTCTTAGCAAATATGCTTTATCTTTATTTTTGAACTCATTTTAGAGCATTTATTAATGCTGTTTATTAACATATATTTGAATATGATAGTATAGTTGGCATTTGATTTTTTATGTTAAATATAGAGACTGCTGATACAGTTGGTTCAAGAATCAATTAATTGTGGCCTTATTTAGTATTTATACTGATGTTTGTTTACTGAAATAGGAATTTACAAAAAATATAAAAAGTAATGCCAAACTTCTAAATTGTTTTCCATTGGATAGAAAAAGCTTAATTACTTATTTATTCTTTTCTGCTTTGCTGTCTTTCAGGTTTCCCACTTCATGCTAAAAAGTGGTAACATTGCATGTCAGACTGAAGAAAGACACCTGAGTCTATGTTGAGTTGTGTTTGGCCCCTTGCAAGGTTGTCATAAATGATTCATTGTTTTGGCTTAAGGGGCTTTCAGCTGGATGACAAAGCATAAGGACAAAAAATATGAAATTTGTCATTAAATGTCTTCATCATTTAGCCTGTTTAATTGTGCTAAGATCTTTTAAGAAACAATGAATACAGAGATTTCCAGATTATACTTCCATGAAAGCCTAAATCTTCTCAGGTATTCACAGTTTAAAAAAATTGAAGTATACCAAATGATATCCAAGTTTACTGTGAAAGCAAATGGCCCATAAAATTTTGCATTTACATTTGAATTTTAATCTAGAGAGAAGGAGACCACATAAGTAAAACACAATCTATCTCATAGGCTGAAGCGTCAGGTATTACAAATGTATGTGGTTAGCTTCTCTTTATTTAGTTCTCATTGATTTAGGTACTAATTCTACCCATTCTTTGCTTTAATCATTTAGTATTAAGAAATATTGACTTTCATCAGAGCTTAATATACAACTGGCTCCAAATCTAGAAAATCAATTTAAATTCTTTATAGTAGTATGTAATTGGTTAATTCAGTCATTTTTAAAACAATATATTTGTTTAAAAATATTTATTTTGCTAACCAGCTACCAGACATTGTTCTAGGTAATTCTTACAGAAGTGCGTAAGACAGATAGTGTGGCTTCCCACATAGGGCATATAGATTACAAAGAGAAGACATAGCTAAAGAATTAAACCAATAATAAAAACATCAAATTCTCTGAAAAAAAGAGCTGCTGCCAGTATCAGTGAATACTTCTTTCATGTAACACAAACTGACACTTAAAGAAAAAAAAAAAAACACTCAGCCATGCAAAGATGTAAGTAAAGAGAATTCTGGGTGGAAAGAATAGGATAAGTGAAATATTTCAAGCATGGAAGATCTAGGAATCTTTCAGGAACTGAAAGGAGGCCAGTATGATTGGAATAGAGAAAATAGGTAGGCCAGGAGGTCAGATGATGTAGGCATTGAAGGACAAGATAGGAGTTTGCATGCTGGTCAACAATTTTAAATCAGAGGGAGGGAGAGGGAGAGGAAAAGGGAGAGAGGCAGAGAGTGAGAGAGAGGTAGAGAGAAAGAGAGAGAGGGAGTGAGAAAGAGAGATCAAATTTACTTATTTTGCCAATAGAACTGTTGTGTGAAAAATGAACTGAAAGGAAGTAAGGGGAGAAAAACAGCAAAGAGCACATTTAGGAAGTGAAGATAATGAGAGTCCACTCAATGATAAAGGTTTGGACTTGGACAGTTTAGTAGAGAAGTACACAAGAACGGTTGTGAAATATATCTTAGAAGTATAATTTGTGGAGTTTTGCTGATTGATTAAATATGAGGCATGAGAAGAAGGAGAGAAAGGAATGAAATATGTCTACCAGGAATATGGGTTGAACCATTGAGTAGATGGTGGTGCAGGTGCAATTTACTGAAGATCTGGGATGAACAGGTTTTGGAGTGAAGATCCAAGTCCACTTTTTTATGTATTAAATTTAAGATACATTTTAGACATTAGGAGACATTTGTGGCCACTATGACATATAAGGCTTTAGCTTATTTGAGAGGTTCAGACTGGAAATATCTATTTGAGTAGTTAGTATTTTATGTGCAAGCCATATAATTGAATGATATTACATAGAGAAAAAGTGTAGAGTGAGAAAAGGAGAGGATCAAAGACTAAGCACTATAGAATGCCTACATTTTTATTGTAATTATTATTATTATTATTCTTATTCTGAGACAGAGTTTCACTCCTGTCGCCCAGGCTGGAGTGCAATGGCACGATCTCTGCTCACTGCAACCTTTGCCTCCCGGGTTCAAGCGATTCTCTGCCTCAGCCTCCCAAGTAGCTTGGATTACAGGCACGTGACACCACGCCTGGCTAATTTTTTTGTATTTTTAGTAGAAACGGGGTTTCACCATGTTAGCCAGGCTAGTCTCGAACTCTTGACCTCAGGTGATCCACCCACGTCGGCATCCCAGAGTGCTGGGATTACAGGCGTGAGCCACTGTGCTTGGCCTATTTATTTTTTAAATTGACAAAATTCTATACATTTATTGTGTATGATGTTGTGTTTTAAAATATTTTATGCATTGTGGAATGGCTAAAACAAGCTAATTAATATATGCATTACTTCATACCCTTACAATTTTTTGTGTGTGATGAAAACATTAAAGTCTACTCTTAGCAATTTTCGAATATACAATACATTGTTATTAACTACAGAAACCATGATGTTCAATAGATCTATTGAACTTATTCCTCTGTCTCACTGAAATTTTGTATCTTTTGACCAACATCTTCCCAATTACCACTCACCGACAGTCCTTGGTAAGAAACATTCTACTCTGTTTCTATGAGTTTGACTTACTTAGATTCCACATATAAATGAGATCATATGGCATTTGTTTCTCTGAGCCTGGCTTATTTTGCTTAACATAGTATCCTTCAGGTTCATTCATGTTGTCTCCAATGCCAGGATTTCCTTTATCTTAAGGCAGAATAGTATTCCACTGTTACGCCACATCTTCCATTTATCCACTACTGGACACCTTGGTTGATTTTATATTTTGGCTATTGTGAATAGTGCTGCAGTGAACATGGGAGTGTAGATATTTCTTTGACATGTTGACTTCATTTCCTTTGGATATATACCCAGTAGTGAGATTGCTGGATAATACGGTAGTTCTATTTTTAATTTTTTGTGGGACCTCCATTGTGTTTTCCATAATAGCTGTACTAATTTACATTCCCATCCACACTGTACAAGGATTCGCTTTTCTTGCATTCTCATCAACACTTGTTATCTTTCATTTTTCTGAGACTAGACATTCTAACAAGTGGAAGGTAATATCTCATTATGGCTTTAATTTGAATTTTTCTGATAATTGGTGAAGTTGAGTATTTTTTTCATATGCTTGTTGGCCATTTGTATGTCATCTTTGGAGAAATGTATTCAGATCCTTTGCCCATTATTTTTTAATTGGGTTATTTTTTTCTATTGAGTTGTTTCATTCCTTATGTGTTTTGAATATTAATCCCTTAGCAGATGTATGGTTTGCAATTTTTTTTCATTCTATAGGTTTTCTCTTCATTCTGTCAAATATTTCTTTGCTGGGCAGAAGCTTTTTAGTTTGATGTAATCTCACTTCTCTATTTTTGCTATTGTTGCCTGTGATTTGGGAGCTACATCCAAAAAATCACCACTGAGACTGATGATACAAAGCTTTCCCTCTGTTTTCTTCTAGTCTTTTTACAGTTTCAAGTCTTAGGTTTTAGTGAACTACATTTTAAGTCCAAGTCAAAGATCTGAAACTGGAAAAGGAGAGTTATGAGTGGACAAAGAGATAAACCCGTTTAAAGAAGTACAGAATAGCTCATGATATTAAATGATGTTCGTTGCTTTATTTTTAAAAATTGTGCCTGTTGGACATGGAAACAAGAAGTATTTGGTGATCCCAGTCAGTGCAGTTCAATTTCATTGAACTAATTGGAACAGCAGCAAGGTCATGGTGGGAGAGTGAATGTGAAGTAAGAAAGTGGAGACAAAGAAATTGTATGAAGAATTGTTTCTATGAATGGGAACACAGTTGGAGAGGTTTGGAGGGACAAGTAATAATATTGATTTTAAATATGGGAGGTATAAGAGATTCCTTTTTAAAAAGTTCTTGATAAAATGAGAGACATAGATGAGTCATTTCTGGAATCTTTGACTAAGGCAATAACAACTTATTCATTTTATTTTATCTTTTATTCTGAATGATGATGATGATGATTTTTTTAAAGTAAATACTATCTTCCTGTATCTCTAAAAAAAATGACAGCATGTACTTTTCATAGAATGGGACCTGAATGAGGGTTTATTGAAGAGTGAATAAATGTACACATTAGTATAAATACAGATGTTCTTATATGTCAGGTATATATTAGAAAAAGACAATTTTGTTCTTTACTGCTCAAACTCAACACAGAACATTTCTGTGACCCCAGATGTGTATGTTTGTGTGTTTTTTTCCCCACATTGACCAATTCTCCAACACTAGCCTGTTGGGCTATAATTAAATTCAGTCCTGGCATGATCTACCTAGAGCGAGAGTCAAATTCCACAGATGAAGGCCTCAGTCCTACAAGACTGTACCCTACTTCAGATTTAATCATAAGTCCAAGTCTCCATCTCCAATACATCTGATCAATTGGCTACATATTGGGCTTCCCATAACCCTCTCCTCAGCTTCCATCATTTGATCTAATGGCTTATGGAAATCAAGGAAATGCTTTGCTTACTACTGCCTATTTATTTCAATGGATATGTTAAAGGATACCAATGAGCAGCTAGATGAAGAGGTACAGACAGTGAGGTTTGGAAGGGTCCCAAGTGCAGGAACTTCTGTCCCCATGGAGATGGAATGTGCCATGCTACTGGGACGTAGATGTGTTCAGCAACCCAGAAGCTCTCCAAACACTGTCCTTTGAGGATTTTATAGAGGATTCATTATGTACATATAATTAATTACATAATTGGCCATTGGTTATTAGCTTTACCTTCAGCCCCTCTTTCCTCCCTGGATGTTGGGGGCTGGGGCTCAAAATTTCAATTCTTTAATCACAGGCTGGTTCCCCTGGCAACCAGCCCCCATCCTGGATAATATCCAGGATGCCCCCATATCCAGGAACCCACAGCCATGCTAGTAATCTCACTAGGACACAAAAATACACTTATAACTTTAGAGATTTCAAGGGTTTTAAAAGCTATGCACCAAGAAATGACTGCAAAGACCGTAAATATATTTATTATTGTGTCATATCAGGTTACTTTAAGCTTGTCCATTCTGTTTTTTCATCTTCTCAAAATATGTGCCAGAACATTGTTTGTTTATATGCCATTAATATTGATACTTAAAAATAAATAAGTTGGTTTGCTAAAACCAAAACACGTTTCTGAAGAGTTTTGACTTATCTCTCAAAAAAAAAATAGGAAGAATAATGATTCAGTTAGCAATTTAAAAACATTCATTAATCCCTTTCTAGATATAAAGCATTATGATAAACCATGTAAGAGATTTCAAATAACTTATTTGTGGCCAATAATTGGGAAATGTATGGTATTTAATAGTATGTATTTCTTTCATTTCTCCCAATCAGAACTTCTAATAATCTTACTTTTTAAAATTTTATCATATTTTATTATTTATTTTAATATTATTTTAATCATCATACTCTAACTCCACAAGCAATGTTAAATTCTTTATGGATTTATGATTAATGTTGTATGCAAAGGTGAATGAATGAATGAGTCAGTGTATAAATAAAGAGTTCATACATAAATAAAGACACATATCTCATCCCAATGTATAGTTTTAATTTGGGGACAGGGAGTTGAATTTTGGGGTAGAGATATAGATAACTAAAAATTGTCTATAAAAAGTATTTAAGAAGTTTGTAATTTTACTGAATTTCTGGAGTGAGAATATCATGTTTTATGGCAGAGGAAGTAGCATTTTGAGAGTTTGAGATAGCCCTAATTGTTTTATAGAATTAAAACATGTATATAACCAAAGCAGTGATGTAATCCATGGTGGAGAAATTGTAACATGGAAAAATCCACATATCAGAAAACATCTCACATAATTTTATAAAATTATTAAAATTTTATCAAGTGGAGGAAGAGCTGTCAAGTAAAAGACATTTTCAGTCGTACAGAATATTATGTCTAATTTGCATTTCTCTGATGGCCAGTGATGATGAGCATTTTTTGATGTGTTTTTTGGCTGCATAAATGTCTTCTTTTGAGAAGTGTCTGTTCGTGTCCTTCGCCCACTTGTTGATGGGGTTGTTTGTTTTTTTCTTGTAAATTTGTTTGAGTTCATTGTAGATTCTGGATATTAGCCCTTTGTCAGATGAGTAGGTTGCGAAAATTTTCCCCATTTTGTAGGTTGCCTGTTCACTCTGATGGTAGTTTTTTTTGCTGTGCAGAAGCTCTTTAGTTTAATTAGAACCACAATGAGATACCATCTCATACCAGTTAGAAGGGCAATCATTAAAAAGTCAGGAAACAACAGGTGCAGGAGAGGATGTGGAGAAATAGGAACAGTTTTACACTGTTGGTGGAACTGTAAACTAGTTCAACCATTGTGGAAGTCAGTGTGGCAATTCCTCAGGGATCTAGAACTAGAAATACCATTTGACCCAGCCATCCCATTACTGGGTATATTCCCAAAGGATTATAAATCATGCTGCTATAAAGACACATGCACACATATGTTTATTGTGGCACTATTCACAATAGCAAAGACTTGGAACCAACCCAAATGTCCAACAACGATAGACTGGATTAAGAAAATGTGGCACATATACACCATGGAATACTATGCAGACATAAACAATGATGAGTTCATGTCCTTTGTAGGGACATGGATGAAAATGGAAACCATCATTCTCAGCAAACTATTTCCAAGGACAAAAAACCAAACACCGCATGTTCTCACTCATAGGTGGGAATTGAACAATGAGAACACATGGACCCAGGAAGGGGAACATCACACTCTGGGGACTGTTGTGGGGTTGGGGGAGGGGGGAGGGATAGCATTAGGAGATATACCTAATGCTAAATGACGAGTTAATGGGTGCAGCACACCAACATGGCACATGTATACATATGTAACAAACCTGCACATTGTGCACATGTACCCTAAAACTTAAAGTATAATAATAATAAAATTAAAAAAAAGAATATTGTGTTGAAAACAAAAAGGGCAAGGAAAGCAATGTGTTGGGAAGAGTGGGTAGGCTGACAAGTGAATAGCACTGCAGTTGCTCAGTACTGGAAATATAGATTTGATTTTTAGAATGAAAGACCTTGAATGCCCTACCACAGAATTTTAAAATATTTCCATAGGGCATCCTGTACTTGGTTTTATGTTCTAGGAAGCCTAATATGATGATGGTTGGTAACAGCTTAGGAGGAATGGATGTGGAGTTAGGAAACTAGTTAGGCTTCCTATTGCAAAGATCCAGATGTGAGCCATTAGCTCAACTGTGGAAATAAAAAGAAAGGGAATATTGAGTGACATGCTACAGAATAAAATATTTTCAGGACCTGGCAAGCAAGTGAGTGAGAGGGAAGAAGAAAGATTACTTCAAAGCTTTGAACTTGTGTGACTGGAAGAGTGGTGAGATGAAGCTAGGACAGTCAGAAGAACTCATTGCAGTGTCAGCATAAGAAGGATCATTCCAAACTTCTGGAGTTTCCAGTGTTGGCTGAAAATCAGGTGTCAGGGACTGGTAGGCAGTTGACAACATAGTGAGAGGGGCGGGACTAGAGATCATTAATTTGGGGCACCTTGGTATAAAGGTGGTAGATGAAGACTTAAAAGGGTTGGCATTATGAGGAAATCACACATCTGGAGAGAGTAAGAATTTAAAAAGGAATAAATAAAAATCAATGTTTATTTGCATTTCCTCCCTTTTCTTTATAGTCCTGAAAATTGACATCATATGAGAGACTGATTCTTTAACAGGGGGAATTGATAATATGAATGGGTGGAGTCTATGAAAAAGACCAGAGATTTTGGCAAGTATATGCTAGTATTAAGAGTATTGATTGCAAATGTGGATCCTGGAAACAAATTTAGGGTAGAAGACAGCAGTGATTTCAGAAGGAATTTGTTATAAATAATATAATGTGGGTAACTTTTTGAATGTGGTAAATTGTAGTTGAGGCTACGAGATGTATTTAGGTATAAAATTACTTATGTATTAATAAATAATAAGGGAATTTAGGTTTCTTTAAAGAAAATGAACGAATAGGTTCTAAAAATGGGATTTGCGAGGGGCTGAACAGCTGGAAAGCAGATGGGGTTAGGGTGGAGTGAATAGAAAAGTCATTATTAAAGAGAAATGTTTAATCTTCCATGTCTTCTGTTTGATTTGGTGGCTTTATAGTGGAATTTGAGGCATCATTTGGCAGCTGAATGGACTTGGGTTTTGCAGTAAAATTTATAGGTGGTATAACGTGGTTTTGTAGAGAATGATAGAGTGTGTCTGTTATAAACTCTTCATAAGAATTTCTGTTACCAAATTTTGCAAATATAGTAAATGTTATAAGGATATCAAAGTATTTAAATTGTGGTATTCCCTCAGGGTTTTTTTATTTCTGAATTTATATGTGTGTATGTATTTTTAATATATTTTATTTTTTAGAGTAGTTCTAGCTTACAGCCAAAATGTCAGAAAGTAAAAGACCCTAGTCCCTACACCCTTAGTTCCCACACATACAAACCTCCCTCACTATCAACATCCCATACATGAGTGGTAGTTTTTTGGTGAACCTCGAGGTCTTTTAAATGTAACATTGCAGACAGCCTGTCCCCGTATATCCTGTATAAAGTAATGCCTGTATCAGCTGCTCTTTGGCCTCTATCCTCTTCATTTCCTTCAAAGCACTTATTCACTTACCAAATATTATAATACATCTTGGTAATTTGTTCATTTTTCTGCCTACTGCCCTAGATCTTAGGATCACTAAGGTAGGTACCCGGAGCTTCTTGTTTACTGTGGTGTGCATCTCCAGTTGTACCTGACACAAAGTAGATTCCAATAAATATTTGTTGACTGATAGACTGGCTGACTGATGGAATAAGAAATGGTGAGTTTCCTATTAAACTACATGCGCTTGAGAAGAAAATTAGTTTCTTACTCAGCCTCATTTAACTCCCCATCTCTCCTTCCTTTCTGCTTCCTCATTCACTTACTTGCTCTCTCTCTCTCTCTGTGTGTGTGTTTGTGTGTGTGTGTGTGTGTCTAAGATACAGCATTACCAGCATTTAGTATAGTGTCTGACACGTAATTGGCACTCCAGAAGTATTTACTGAATTAGTGAACACATTAACTCATCCGCCCATCAAACATTATGTTTGTATCTTCTTTGTATTAGACATTCTTTTAGGCTCTAAATATGTAAATAATATTGACACTCAAATAAATAATTACAGACTAAAAGGTGAGATGACTGTTCCGTTAAGAGGGGTGCACCAGAGGCTTTAAGAGGAGAGAAGAGGGGCACTTAATCACAGAGTGGAGGGGCAAGAGAAAATAAATGAGAGTGAGTGCTACCTTGAGCTGAAAATTTCAGAAGAATCACATGCCTCATAAGTGCTCCCAAATATGTATTCAGTTGAATTAAACATGTATCTTTAGCAATAGGGTAAATCAAGATGGCGATTTTCAAATGTGGGTTCTGTAGGCTAAAGCATATATAGCAGAATATACTGGAAGCTTTATAAAAATAATAATCTCCTTCCCCTTTTAACACCTGAGATTCTGTTTTACAAGGCATTTATTTTGGTAAAACACTGATGTGGTCGCCTCCCTCACCCTGGTAAGGGAACCCTACCCTAACAGAATGGATTTTGCCATCTAAGATGGTGACTTTATATCCTAAAAGGATCCTCTGGCCTAAGTTAAGCCATAAGTGCATACCATTACTTTTATTTTGCTTTCAGGAGATGTTTTTCATTTTCATTTTTTATTCTTTATTTAATAGGTTTCATATACATCTTAGAATTTAAAGTGTTACTTTAAATATGCTTCAGTTTACTTTTTTATGTTCTATGATTAACTATTCCTTTACTTAAAATAAAATTGACATAAGGCATTTTTCAAAGACAAGCTAGCAAACGATTATTGAGAGAAATGGCAGTACATACGAGTAAGATATGAAACTTAGAGTTTCCTTTTGGAATGGTGCATGAGGGAAGTCTAAATGAGCTATGTGTATATTTGCTTACATACATATGCACATGTCTAAGGTCCATCAGCAACTAGCTAACAGATGTCTGTGTTAAAAGCTCTTCAGTTTGAAGTTATGTATAATAAACTGACGGGTTCTATTTTAATTCAAGGCTCTTGGCAAATGTTTATTGAAACTTACAATGTGATACTGTACTTGTGTTTATTCTTTTCTCCTAAGATTCATTTTTGTTGTTATTGTTCAATGACATGTTGTTGTTCGAAGAGTCCCTAATTGGTGGCAGTTGAATATATTGTTGATTATTAGCAATGACTAATTCTGTCCAAGTTTTAATATTCAAGCTAAAAGTGTCAGAAGAACATATTTAATTTTCACTTTGAAAAAGAACAGGGTCCCCAGTTTTCCTAATGACTGGAAGAGAAGGAAGTCTCCTTAAAATTTTAGCATGCAATTTCTAGGCATAAGATTTTATATGGTACTTATAGAAATAGTTTATTCCTGCTGATTTTAGGATAATTATTTTCTTTGCTTAAGCTAAATTGTTCTAGATAAAATGAAAATGCTGAATTTTCAAATGTAAAGTTCATTTGAAACGTGTAAATCCAACAGTATATATAACTAATTGTGATAGACATGTAAGTTTTATTTGTTTTTTAATATCTGGCCCCCATCAGATGTCTGTATGTTAAACCCCCCTTCTCAGTTGGTGGTGAATGATATCTGGATTAGATTATATAATGTTATCTATTTTTAAAAATTAAAGCCTTATTTCAGTCCTAAAATTCCAAAGTTGTACTTGATTTTAATAGCTTTCTTATAATTGTTCCCAACCCCACTCCATTCTCCTTTTCCTTCTCTATAAGTCCCATCCATCTTCTTCCACCCTTCTAGTCCTGTGTTCTTAGTGGACTACAGTGAATGTGTGTGTGTTTGTGTGTGTGTGTGTGTAGGAGTGGGGGTAGAAGTGGGGGTATGGTTAAGATTGGAGTCAGGGTGATGTGAGTCAGGTATGAACGTTTTGGTCTCACTATAAAACTCCTCCTCTATTTCTAGATTATCTGCTGTGCTAGGTAGAGCCAAGAGATCACCAAAGTTACTTTTCATATTAATCTAGTAAATACTTTTATATAAAACTCTAAATCTGGAAATTATTTCTTTAAACTTTTAAAGCTATAGAAATCAAACTTCAAAATATACCTCTTTTCGTTTTTCTTTTGACTTTTCTTCTTCCTTTCACATTCTTTATATTCTTCACTTCAATGCTTGAGCATGGTGTTTATGCCACAAAAAGAGTCATCTTGTTTTATGAACTATTTAATTTTGTGTTCTCCTCAATTCTGTCTTTAATTGAAAATAGTCTTTTGAGAAAAAACGTTTGTTTCCCCCTGGAACAGTATAACTATTGTGCAAAGTTTACAGTATTATGCAAGAAGCTATAAAAATTATTAGTAACAGCATGTCAGATTTTAGGTATCACTATAAGGGTAACATTTTGTTAGAAAAAGCTTTCAAAAGTGTGTTTGATCCAGAGTGTCAAAGCATATGTGTTTGGGGAGACATTTAAAAAGTGAGATGCCTATTTCTGAAAGCATATTATTAGAAGCGTCTGCTGAAAGCGTGATGCAAACTTACCCTGGCCAGGAAATTGTTGTCAGGCTGACATGCCACTTCTAACTTACGTCACCATTGGATTCCAATCATATTGGTTTGGCACAAACTAAGCGACCTTCTTTAACATATTCACGTCATTCTTATTTTCTAGGTCATTGTGTTCCTAGTCATGTGCAAATACATTTTTTATTAATTATATAATTTGCTTTAATAGCAATTTTGATGCACAGATGAATTTATGAATATTATGAAATCTTTTCCAGAACAGTCAGAGAGTTGAGTTAGCCAAATTCCCTTGGCCAATTAATGCCTGGATGTGGCTGTTATCTCACCAGAGCAGAACTTCTGGGACTTAGGTATAAACATCTTCAACCATAATAAACTCGATGCTATTTAGGAACACACCAGAAACAAATCTCTGCACTGGTGGGGATTCTACTCTAAAAGGATAAGTACTATATATTGATGTAAAGAGAGATTACAGTTAGTACTAATTAAGCAAAAAATTTTGTTGATGGGTTGTAGGGGATATTGAGTAATGAATTAATTTTAAAAAGAAATAGGGGGATAATGACAGCGCTGGATGAAGAAATTGTATAGGATTAAGAATTTTTTTATTAAAGTAAGACACATAGGTGGGGAAGAAGTCAGGAGGGCCTAACAAACCAAGAACCTATGATGAAATAGAGGTGGGAAGGGCAGAACTGGGAAGTTGTGCTGGATACAAAATGGAATTTGTGGTGAGAAATGATGGACAGAATGGAAACCAGTGGGATAATAGCAAGGAGGAAAGCTTAGAAGATAAGGAGCGGTCAGAAGAGACCCATGAAACACAACTTGTGGAGTGGTTTTTTTTGTTTGTTTTTGTTTTTTTTTTAAATCTGTGTAACACACTGAAGCCTTCTGTTTGTCCTTGAGTGACATGATCAAATAGTGTTGGAGTAAGATAAATTTCACATAGGGTTTTCATGAAGGAAGAGAGAGAAGTTAGGAGCAGGGAGACTCATTATGTGAATATGTATAATTTTCCTATTTAATTAATTAATTTTATGATACAGAGTCTCACTCTGTCACCCAGGCTGGAGTGCAGTGGCCTGATCTCAGCTCACTGCAACCTCCGCCTCCTGGGTTCAACGGATTCTCCTGCCTCAGCCTCCTGAGTAGCTGGGACTACAGGAGCGTGCCACCATACTCAGTTTATTTTTTTGTATTTTTAGTACAGATGGGGTTTCACCATGTTGGCCAGGCTGCTGTCGAACTCCTGACTTCACGTGATCCACCTGCCCCTGCCTCCCAAAGTGCTGAAATTACAGGTGTGAGCCTCCGTACCCGGCCTACTTTTCTTTTTTAAAGTCTTTAATTGCTAATATATATTAGAAAAGTTTTACAGGTACACATAAAAAATTTACACATGATCACAACAGAGGGTGCAGAAAACTTAAGCAGATAGTTATGCTGTCAGGTATATAAACTGAAAAATCACTGGAAGTGACAGCTGTTATTTCAGTATGTTTTATAATTTTAGACGTTTCATTTGGGAGGGATAGCTTTAGGAGATATACCTAATGCTAAATGACGAGTTAATGGGTGCAGCACACCAGCATGGCACGTGTATACATATGTAACTAACCTGCACATTGTGCACATGTACCTAAAACTTAAAGTATAATAATAATAAAATAAAAAATAAAAATAAAAAATAAAAAACAAAACAAAACAAAAAGTAAAATTTTAAATTATATAAAATATTTACATAGTTCCAAGTCAAAGTAGAAAAAAATTCACAAAAGTCCTGATAGTATTCCTGTTCCATTGACCCTTTGCCCCGACTCTCTGCATGGGCAAAATTTTATTAGGTTTGGTTTCACATTTACATGGTTTCTATTTTGAAAATTGAATGAAATACATATACACACACAATTCCCCTCTCTTACATACATGGTATCATTCTAGAAATAATATTTTGTAATTTATTTTACTTAATGTATATCCTAGAGCTATCTATCTTTATCTATCATCTATTTATCTATATTTTTCTAGACACACAAATCACCTTTATTCCTCTTTATAGCTGCACAGCACTGCTTTGAGTGGAGGCACAACAGTGTAATTCCCTATTAATATATCTTTAATTAATGTCACAATTAACAACCTTGCTTAAAGGATAATTTGCATATTTGCCAGAATCTAGAAGAAAGATCCTCAAGTCACAGAATAACACATAGGCAATTTGGTAAATATTTCCAAATTCTTCTTCATAGGATTCATCATTTCGCATTTCTGTAACCATGAATGAGGGTGTTTGTTTTCTTAGAACTGTCCATGTGGAACATCCTGTCAGCCTCAGCTTTTTAACAATCAGGTAATTAAAAATGGTATTTCAGTACAGTTTGGTTTGTTTTTCTATAATTTTAAATAAAGGTAGTCTTGTTTCATATGTTTAAGGATCATTTTTATACGTTGCATATTGATCATATTTTATATAATTTCTCCGCTTTTCTAATGGGTTATTGGTACTTTAATTTCCATTTTTAAAAGTTCTTCAGGTACTAGATATTAGCCTTTTTGATATGTTACACATATTTTTTCAATTTTTTATTTGTATTTTTACATTGCTTTTGTGTTTTGCTATGTTATCAATCATTTCTTGTACTGACACTGGATTTTGAATTATAGCTAGCAAAATTTCCCTATTTTCCATTAGGCAGAGTATTTGAAGATTATAAAGTAATTTGCTCATATTTTCTTCTAATACTTGTATTATTCCAAATTTGAATTTAGAGTTCTGATTGATTTGGAATTTATTCTAGTTTTGGTTTAAATAATGAGTCTATTTTTATATGACTACCCAATTTTTACAACTTTTATTAAATCTCTATATATAGTGTGTGTGTATATATATATAGAACGTGTGTGTGTATATATATAGTGTGTGTATATATACATGCTATATGTATATATAGTATGTTGATCCTCTGCTTTGTTCCATTGATCTGTGTCTTTCTTCATGTGCAAATACCACACTATATTTTTTAGCAGCTTTACAATATGTTTACATATTTATTATGGCTAACATTTCTTCTCACCTCCCATATGTATTGCTCTTTTTATTTTAAGGGTTTTGTGACTACAACTGCTGGTTCATTTCTTCATATAAGCTTTGTAATCAATATGTCTAATCACAGAAAAACATTGATGGCATTTTTTTTTCCTTGATCACATTACATTACATTCATAATTGTATCCCAGGTAAAGCAAATGGCATTTAAAAAAATCAAGTCTTTCTATTCAAGAGCATAGTATGTCTTTCCATTTATAAAGTATACTATTTTGTCCTTTGTAATATTTTATATTTTTCCTGATATAGTTTTTATATAGTTTATTAAATTTTTGCTTGTCTATTTTATTTTCATTTGAAATAAACAAAAGGGATTTTCTGTGATATGTTCTAATTCCTCTTTTCATCTATGAAGGCTATTAATTTCTGTATATTAATTTTGTATCTTTCTAATCTTGCAGCCATTTTTTATTGGTGCTTTTAATTGTTTTAGATATTTAATCATGCCATAGACAAATGGAGGTGGTATTTCCCTCTTTTTACTTCTTACACTTTTAATTGCTTTTTCGTTTATGACTAACCACTTTGTCAAGTAGATCTCAATACAATCAAATAGCAAAATAATAGTAAGAACAGAAGACATTTTTGTCGTTTCTGACTTTTATGTGACTGACTCTAGGGTCTCCTCATTACTGGCATAAAGACTGAGTTACAAGGGGACTTCAAAAATTCATGGAAAATTTGTATTATGAAAAAGGTATGCATGGATTTCAATTTTTTTTGCACTAAAATAAACTTCCACTAACTTGTTATAACATGTTTAAATAAGAGCCCTTGTTGGAGCAACATAAATTTTGCTAAAATTCAAATTTATGGTGAATGTTGGGTTGAAGAATGGTAAATCCTAGGCTTTATGAAAAGTTTATGAAGTCAGTGCCTCAAAGAAATCAACAGTTTACAAAGTCCTCCTTTTCAGAAAGGACAACATGATGTTGAAGATGAAGCCTGCAGTGGCAGACCATCCACATCAGTTATCAAGTAAAAAATGTACTTGTCGGTGCCCTAATTGGAGAGGACTAATAATGATAGCAGAAACAATAGTCAACACAATAGACATCTCAATTAGTCAGATTACACAGTCTGACTAAAAAAATAAAGTTGAGCAAACTTTCCATTCAATGGATGCCAAAACTGTTGAACCCAGATCAGCTGTAGAGAAGAGCAAAGCTTTCTATGGAAATTTTAAACAAATGGGATCAAGGTCCTGAAGCATTTCTTCAAAGGTTGTAACAGAAACTGAAATACATCTTTACTAGTATGATCATAAAGACAAAGCACAATCAAATCCATGGCTATCAAGAGGTGGAAGTGGTCCAATCAAAGCAAAAGTGGAATGGTTGAGAGCAAAGTTCATGGAATACTTCACTGGGAGGCTCAAAGCATTTTACGTGTTGACTTTCTGGTGGCCAAAGTACAATAACATCTGTTTATTATGAGAATATTTTAAGAAAGTTAGCCAAAGCTGTAGCAGAAAAATGCCTGGGAAAGGTTCACCAGAGAGTCCTTCTCCACCATTGCAATGCTCCTGCTTATTCCTCTCATCAAACAACGGCAATTTTGTTGGAATTTTGTTGAAAATAACTACACACCCACCTTATAGTCCTTGGTTGGATCCTTCTAACTTTTTGTTTCTGAATCTTAAAATATCCTTAAAGCACACCCATTTATTCCACGTTAATAATGTGAAAAAGACTGCATTGACACGGTTAAATTCCAAGGACCCTTAATTCTTTAGGGATGGACTGAATTACTGGTCATTGCTTACAAAAAAATGTCTTTAATTTGATGGAGCTTATGTTGGGAAATAAAGTTTATTTTTTTACTTTTATCTTTTAATTCTAGTTTTCTACAGTCTTTTTGAAGTCTCCTCATGTAAACCAATGGAACAGAATAGAAAGTCCAGAAATAAACCCAAGCGTATATGGTCAACTGATTTTCAACTCGGGTGCCAAAAACACACAACGGGGAAAGGATTGCCTGTTTAACAAATGGTATTGGAAAAACTGCACATCCACCTACAAAAGAATAAAATTGGACCCCTAGCTTACACTATAAACAAAAATAAACTCATAATGGATTAAGTACTTAAAGGTAAGGCTAGAACTTGTAATACTCCTAGGGAAAATGCTTAAATGACATTGGTCTAGGCAATGATTTCATGCATATGACACCAATAACATAAGCAACAAAAGCAAAAATAGGGAAGCAGGATTACATCAAACTAGCAAGCTTCTGCACAACAAAGGAAACAACAGAGTGACGAGGCAACCTGCAGGATGGGAGAAAATACTTGCAAACCATATATCTGGTAAGATGTTAATAACAAAAATGCATGGAGACTCCTGCAACGCAGTAGCAAAAAACCAAATGGCTCAATTTAAAAATGAGCAAAGGACCTTAATAGACAGTTCTCCAAAGAAGACATAGAAATGCCCAACAGGTATATGGAAAAAATCTCAGCATCACTAAACATCAGAGAAATGCAAACTAAAACAATGTTCTGCGACCTCACACCTGTTAAAATGGCTATTATTAAACACATGAAAGGTAAGAAATGTTGGGGAAAATAGAGAGAAAAGAGAACCTTGGTACACTGTTGGTAAAAATGTAAACTAGTACAGTGATTATGAAGAACAGTATGGATCTTTCTCAAAAAGTTAAAAACAAATATCATATGATTTAGCAATCCCACTTCTGAGTATATATCTAAAAGGATTGAAATAAGAATTTCAAAAATATTTCTGGACTCCCATGGTCATTGTGGTGTTATTCACAATAGCCAAGATATAGAATTAATCTAAGTGTTCACCAACAGATGAATAAAGAAAATATGGTATATATAAATAATGGAAACATATTCAGCATTAAAAAAGGGAAATGTTGTCATTTATGAAAACATGGGTGGAACTAGAAGACATCATACTAAGTGAAATAAGTCAGGTACAGATGAAAAAATACTGCATGATTTCACTTATATGAGGTATTTAAAATAATCAAACTTATATAAGCAGAAAATAGAAAAATAGAATGGTGGCTGCCAGGGGATGGGGTGGGGGAAATTAGGAGGTTTTGTTCAATGAGTATAAAGTTACAGTTATATAAGATGAATAAGTTCTAATGATCTGCTGTACAACACAGTGACTGTAGTTAACAATATTCATTAAGAGGCTAGATCTTATATTAGGTGTTCTTAACACATAAACACACACACATATACACACACACAGAGACATAAGGAGATGATGGATAAGTTTATTACTGCGATTGTCATGATGGTGTCATAGGTGTATTCATATGTTCAAAATAATAAAATTGTATTCACTAAGCAATTATGTGTAGATCAATTATACCTCAATAAAGCTGTAAAAAATAAGATTCTAGCTTTAAAGCTGAAATATATATAGATCTTATTTCAGTTTCTAGAAAAGCTGTTTAATTTAGCAGTTTTATTTAAAAAAATGAAATAGTATTGATGTGTCAAATGCCTTTTGCTAAAAGATTGTCTCTAATGAGATCATATTTTTCTCTTTATATATGTTGATGTGATTAATTATATTAAAGAATTTCATAATATTTAAACTCACTGTGATAGTTTCTTTTGCTGTGCAGAAGCACTGTCATAAAGCCTCGGATTTACCATTCTTTAACCCAACATTCACCATAAATTTAACTTCACTGGCTTAGTAAGGATGTACTTTTAAAATGCAGTATTGGTTCCTATTTGTTAATATTTTATTTAAATTATACATCAATATTCACAGTAAACAGTCTGTAGTTTTTCTGTGCAATGTTTGTTAACCTTATGTTTATTTCATAAAAGAAATTGGAAGTAAGCCTTTATTTTCTGCACTTTGAAATCACGATGATATGTTTTAGAAGAATACTTTTAAAGACACAACATACCAGAATCTCTGGGACACATTCAAAGCACTGTGTAGAGGGAAATTTATAGCACTAAATGCCCACAAGAGAAAGCAGGAAAGATCCAAAATTGACACCCTAACATCACAATTAAAAGAACTAGAAAAGCAAGAGCAAACACATTCAAAAGCTAGCAGAAGGCAAGAAATAACTAAAATCAGAGCAGAACTGAAGGAAATAGAGACACAAAAAACCCTTCAAAAAATTAACTAATCCAGGAGCTGTTTTTTTGAAAACATCAACAAAATTCATAGACCACTAGCAAGACTAATAAAGAAGAGAAGAGAGAAGAATCAAATAGATGCAATAAAAAATGATAAAGGGGATATCACCTCTGATCCCACAGAAATATAAACTACCATCAGAGAATACTACAAACACCTCTACGCAAATAAACTAGAAAATCTAGAAGAAATAGATAAATTCCTTGACACATAAACCCTCCCAAGACTAAACCAGGAAGAAGTTGAATCTCTGAATAGACCAATAACAGGCTTTGAAATTGTGGCAATAATCAATAGCTTACCAACCAAAAAAAGTCCAGGACCAGATGGATTCACAGCTGAATTCTACCAGAGGTACAAGGAGGAGCTGGTACCATTCCTTCTGAAACTATTCCAATCAATAGAAAAAGAGGGAATCCTCCCGAACTCATTTTATGAGGCAAGCGTCATCCTGATACCAAAGCCTGGCAGAGACACAGCCAAAAAAGAGAATTTTAGACCAATATCCTTGATGAACACTGATGCAAAAATCCTCAATAAAATACTGGCAAACCGAATCCAGCAGCACATCAAAAAGCGTATCCACTATGACCAAGTCAGCTTCATACCTGGGATGCAAGGCTGGTTCAACATATGCAAATCAATAAATGTAATCCAGCATAGAAACAGAACCAAAGACAAAAACCACATGATTATCTCAATAGATGCAGAAAAGGCCTTTGACAAAATTCAACAACCCTTCATGCTAAAAACTCTCAATAAATTAGGTATTGATGGGATGTATCTCAAAATAATAAGAGCTATCTATGACAAACCCACAGCCAATATCATACTGAATGGGCAAAAACTGGAAGCATTCCCTTTGAAAACTGGCACAAGACAGGGATGCCCTCTCTCACCACTCCTATTCAACATAGTGTTGGAAGTTCTGGCCAGGGCAATCTGGCAGGAGAAGGAAGTAAAGGGTATTCAATTAGGAAAAGTGGAGATCAAATTGTCGCTGTTTGCAGATGACATGATTGTATATCTAGAAAACCCCATTGTCTCAGCCCAAAATCTCCTTAAGCTGATAAGCAACTTCAGCAAAGTCTCAGGATACAAAATCACAAGCATTCTTATACACCAATAACAGGCAAACAGAGAGCCAAATCATGAGTGAACTACCACACACAATTGCTTCAAAGAGAATAAAATACCTAGGAATCCAACTTACAAGGGATGTGAAGGACCTCTTCAAGGAGAACTACAAACCACTGCTCAATGAAATAAAAGAGGATACAAACAAATGGAAGAACATTCCATGCTCATGGGTAGGAAGAATCAATATCATGAAAATCGCCATACTGCCCAAGGTAATTTACAGATTCAATGCCATCCCCATCAAGCTACCAATGACTTTCTTCACAGAATTGGAAAAAACGACTTTAAAGTTCATATGGAACCAAAATAGAGCCCACATCGCCAAGTCAATCCTAAGCCAAAAGATCAAAGCTGGAGGCATCACGCTACCTGACTTCAAACTATACTACAAGGCTACAGTAACCAAAACAGCATGATACTGGTACCAAAACAGAGATATAGATCAATGGAACAGAACAGAACCCTCAGAAATAATGCCGCATGTCTACAACCATCTGATCTTTGACAAACCTGACAAAAACAAGAAATGGGGATAGGATTCCCTATTTAATAAATGGTGCCGGGAAAACTGGCTAGCCATATGTAGAAAGCTGAAACTGGATCCCTTCCTTACACCTTATACAAAAATTAATTCAAGATGGATTAAAGACTTACATGTTAGACCTAAAACCATAAAAACCCTAGAAGAAAACCTAGGCAATACCATTCAGGACATAGGCATGGGCAAGGACTTCATGTCTAAAACACCAAAAGCAATGGCAACAAAAGCCACAGTTGACAAATGGGATCTAATTAAACTAAAGAGCTTCTGCACAGCAAAAGAAACTACCATCAGAGTGAACAGGCAACCTACAAAATGGGAGAAAATTTTCGCAACCTACTCATCTGACAAAGGGCTAATATCCAGAATCTACAACAAACTCAAACAAATTTACAAGAAAAAAAACAAACAACCCCATCAACAAGTGGGTGAAGGATGTGAACAGACACTTCTCAAAAGAAGACATTTATGCAGCCAAAAAAACACATGAGAAAATGCTCATCATCACTGGCCATCAGAGAAATGCAAATCAAAACCACAATGAGATAGCATCTCACACCAGTTAGAATGGCGATCATTAAAAAGTCAGGAAACAACAGGTACTGGAGAGGATGTGGAGAAATAGGAACACTTTTACACTGTTGGTGAAACTGTAAACTAGTTCAACCATTGTGGAAGTGAGTGTGGCGATTCCTCAGGGATCTAGAACTAGAAATACCATTTGACCCAGCCATCCCATTACTGGGTATATACCCAAAGGATTATAAATCATGCTGCTATAAAGACACATGCACACATGTGTTTATAGCGACACTATTCACAGTAGCAAAGACTTGGAACCAACCCAAATGTCCAACAACGATAGACTGGATTAAGAAAACGTGGCACATATACACCATGGAATACTATGCAGCCATAAAAAGTGATGAGTTCATGTCCTTTGTAGGGACATGGATGAAACTGGAAACCATCATTCTCAGCAAACTATCGCAAGGACAAAAAACCAAACACTGCATGTTCTCACTCATAGGTGGGAATTGAACAATGAGAACACATGGACCCAGGAAGGGGAACATCACACTCCGGGGACTGTTGTGGGGTTGGGGTAGGGGGGAGGAATAGCATTAGGAGATATACCTAATGCTAAATGACGAGTTAATGGGTGCAGCACACCAACATGGCACATGTATACATGTGTAACAAACCTGCATGTTGTGCACATGTACCCTAAAACTTAAAGTATAATAATAATAAAATAAAATAAAATAAAATAAGAGAGTTGTATATTTCATCTAGATATTCAAGTTTGTTTTCATAGAAGTGTAAAAAGTAGTCTTTTCTTTTAGTACCTATTCCATTGTCATTTAGTATTTCACATGTTATTTAGTATTTCATATGTTTGTGCTCCCCATTTTTGTTTTCTTAAGATATCTAGCATTTGTTGCTTTGGTTAATTTTTTTAAATTAAGCAGCTTTTGGATGAATTGCATTCTTGTTTTTCAGCTTATTAATTTCTGTTTTCATGTCAAACATTCTTTCCTTCTGTGTTCTTTCAGTTTGAGTAGAAAATATAGTTATTTCATTTTCATTTTACTGAAAAATTATTTAATGCTGTATGTGTGTCTATGGACACTGCTTTAAACTTGTTTCTTAAATTCTGATATCATATTTTTGTTACTTTATTTTTTATAAATTGTGAATTTTTGTTATGTGTTTCTCCAGTGATCCAAGTGTTGGACAGTTTAAGAGTTCTTAATCTCCAGGCAAAAGGGCCTTTGATTATTATTATTTTTTGCTTTTTATTTTAAAAGTTAATTTTAATTTATCTTATTTTGGTCAAAGTATACCTTTTATATTATATATAGTATTATTCAGATTTTGTCTCTGTGTGTGTATTACCTAATATATGGACACTTATAAATATGGTGCATTTTATTTGTTGAGGCTCAGAATTTGATACATGTTAGAACATTTACCTTACTGATCAGACCATTTTGGGATAGTGTAATCTTGTTTCTCTGGTTTGTCTTGGATTGAGAGAGATGCATTAAAAGTTATTTTTCTAGCATACTTTGACCAATCTATTTATTTTTAACCTTTCTGTGCCTCTTTTAGAAATAACTTTTGTATACATCATAAATTTGGATTTTGCTTTTTAGCCAATCTGATAATCTCCATGTTTTACCGGATGGATTAAGTCTATTTACATTTATTGATATTACTTCTAATGTTTAATGTCATATTTTTGTGCTGTATATATGTATATATATTTTATAGGTACATTTATTAATTCATATATATGTGTGTGTTTACTTTTATAATGTGGTCTTTTGCTCTTTATGATATGTCATCTGTTATTTAGCAGGGCTTCTATTTTTGTTAAAATATTTACTTTCAAAATTAATCTCTTTAATTAAACAAATTAGATATCATCTTATGGTTCTCTTCTATAAGCTATAATGAGTTTAGTTGATCACCTTTTCTTTTCCATTCTCTCATTCTCCCATGGTGTTTAATTCAAAGTGACATCCTTTACTCCCAACTACAATATTTAAGGTAATCAGTGAGCTTATTCTACATTGTTAATTGCATTATATCTAAATAATAAGAACATATGACATTTATAGATTTTTAAAAATAACCTTTACCCTTATTATCAGTTTTACACACATGTGCTTAATGCTCACCACTACACCTCATGTCAATTCTTCTGTAATACCTTGGTTTCTTGAGGAATTTTTCTCTTAGGGAAATACGTTGTTAAATTTTCCTCAGATATAGAATGTTGCTGTTGAAAGGTGTAATATCTGTCTAATCTTTAATCCTTCTAAAGACTGGATGCAAAAGGATCCTGGCCCTCCCACTGCAAATCTGTTAGTTTGACTATTGATCATTCTGAGTTTTTGTCCTCATATGTAATATATTCCTTTTCAATAAGTAAGATTGATTTCTTCTCCCACCCACCTTTTATAAATAATGTTTCTATTAAATATGCATTTTTTAAATTAAAGTTTTATGAATTATGGATTTTAATATTTGTTCTACTCCATTGGTTTGACTTTTCATTTTTAGTATTCCCCCTTACACACTCACTGGAAATTTCATTTTCTTTTTCAAATTTTATTTTAGAATCAGGGCATACATGTGCATGTTTGTTACATGAGTATGTTGCATGATGCTGAGGTTTGGGACATGACCAAACCCATAACCCAGATAGTGAGCGTAGTACCCAATAGGTAGTTTTTCAGCTCCCCTCTCCTCTCTCTCCCCCAATATAAGTCCGCAGTGTCTATTGATCCCATCTTTTTGTCCATGTACCCAATGTTTAGCACCCACTTATAAGTGAGAATATGTATTTTTTTCCTTTTCCTATGTTAATTCACTTAAAATAATTGGCCTCCACCTGCTTCCATGTTGCTGCAAAAGGTATAATTTTATTATTTTTATGGCTACATAGTATTCCCTGGTGTATATGTACCACATTTTTTTTATCCAATTCATAATTGATGGGAACCTAGGTTAATTCCATGGTTTTGCTTTTCTGAATAGTGCTGCAGTGAACATACATGTGTCCTTTTGGTAGAATGATTTATTTTCCTTTGGATATATACCTAGCAATGGGATTGCTGGGTCAAATGGTAATTCAACTCTTGGTTCTATGAGAAATCTCCAAACTGCTCTCCATTGTGGCTGAACTAATCTACGTTGCCACCCACAGTGTATAATTGTCCCCTTTTCTTTGCAGACTTGCCAGCATGTATTATGTTTTGACTTCTTAATGAAAGCCATTCTGACTGGTATGAGATGGTATCTTATTGTGATTTTGATTTGCATTTCTCTGATGATTAGCGATAATGAGCATTTTTGTGTGTGTGTTTATGGGCAGGTTGTATGTCTTCTTTTTTTGTTGTTGTTGTTTTTTAGATGGAGTTTTGCTCTTGTTGCCCAGGCTGGAGTGCAGTGGCGCAATCTCGGCTCACTGCAACCTCCATCTCCTGGGTTCAAGCGATTCTCCTGCCTCAGCCTCTCAACTAGCTAGGACTACAGGCATGCGCCACCATCCCTGGCTAATTTTTTTTTTTTTTTTTTTTTTTTTTTGTATTTTTAGTAGAGACGGGGTTACTCCATGTTGGTCAGGCTGATCTCAAACTCCCGACCTCTGGTGATCCACCTGCCTTGGCCTCCCAAAGTGCTGGGATTACAGATGTGAGCCACTGCACCCAGCCATATGTCTTCTTTTGAGAAGTGTTCGTTCATGTCTCTTACTCACTTTTTAATGAGATTCTTTGCTTTTTGCTTCTTGATATGTTCAAGTTCCTTACAGATACTAAATATTAGACCTTTGTCAGATGCATAGTTTGTGAATATTTTCTGCCATTCTATAGGTTGTTCATTTATTTCCTTGATACTTCTCTTGCTGTGCAGAAATTAATTAGTTACCACTTGTCAATTTTTGTTTTATTGCAATTACTCTGTAAGACTTAGCAATAAATTATTTTTCCAAGGCTAATATTAAGAAGGATACTTCCTCAGATTACTTCTAGAATTTTTATAGTTTGATGTCTTACATTTAAGTCTTTAATCCATCTTGAGTTAATTTTTGTATATGGTGATAGAGAGGTGTATTAGTCCATTCTCATTCTTCTAGTAAAGTCATACCTGAGACTGGGTAGTTTATAAAGAAAAGAGGTTTAATTGACTCACAGTTCAGCATGGCTGAGGAAGCCTCAGAACACTTATAATCATGGTGGAAGGGGAAGCCAACATGTCTTTCTTCACATGGCAGCAGAGAGAAGAATGAAAGCCAAGTAAAGGGGGAAGTACCTTATAAAACAATCACATCTCATGAGAACTTACTTACTATCATGAAACTTGTTGCAGGAAACTGCCCCCACGATTCAATTATCTCCACCTTGTCCCTCCCATGCCATGTGGGGATTATGGGAACTACAATTCAAGATGAGATTTGGGTGGGGACACAGTCAAGCCAAACCATATAATTCCACCCATGACCACTCCCACATCTCATGTCTTCACAATTCAAAACACAATCGTGACCTTCCAACAGTCCCCAAGGTCTTAACGCTTTTCAGCATTAACTCAAAAGTCCAAGTCCAAAGTCTCATCTGAAACAAGGCAAGTCCCTTCCATCTATGAGCCTGTAAAATCAAAACAAGCCTGTTACTTCCTAGATACAATGGAGATACAAGTATTGAGTAAATACACCTGTTCCAAATGGGAGAAATTGGCAAAAACAAAGGGGATACAGGCCCCATGCAAGTCCAAAATCAAATAGAGTCGTCATTAAACATTAAAGTTCCAAAATGATCTCCTTTGACTCTATGTCTCAAATCCAGGACATGCTGATGCAAGAGGTGGGCTCCCATGACATTGGGAAGCTCCACTCCTGTGGCTTCGCAGGGTACAGCCCCCTCATGATTGCTTTCACAGGCTGGAGTTGAGTGTCTGTGGCTTTTCCAGGTGCCCAGTGCAAGCTGTTTGTGGAGCTACCGGTCTGGCATCTGGAGGATGGTAGCCCTCTTCTCACAGCTCCACTAGGTAGTGCCCCAGGGGGACTCTGTGTGGGAGCTCCAACCCCATATTTCCCTTTCACACTGTCCTAGCAGAGGTTCTTCCTGAGGGCCCTGCTCCTGTAGCAAACTTCTGCCTGGACATCCAGGCATTTCTATACATCCTCTAAAACCTAGGCAGAGGTTCCCAAACCTGAATTTTTGACTTCTGTGCACCTGCAGACCCAAAACCATGTATAAGCCACCAAGGCTTAGGGTCTGCATACTCTGAAGGAATGGCCTGAACTGTACTTTGGCTCCTTTTAGCCAAGGCTGAAGCTGAAGCAGCTGGGACACAGGGCAGCATGTCCTGAGGCTGCATAGAGCAGGTGGTCCCTGGATATGGCCCATAAAACCGTTTTTCCTTCCTAGGCCTCTGGACTTGTGATGGCAGGGGCTGCCATGAAGGTCTCTGACATGCCCTGGAGACATTTTCTCCATTGTCTTGGTGATTAACATTTGGCTTCTCATTATTTATGTTAATTTCTGCAGCTAGCTTGAACTTCTCCTCAGAAAATGGGTTTTTCTTTTCTATTGCATTATCAGGCTGTAAATTTTCCAAACTTTTATGCTGCGCTTCTTCTTGAATGCTTTGCCATGTAGAAATTTTTTCCACCACATACCCTAAATCATCTCTTTCAAGTTCAACATTCCACAGATCTCTAGGGTAGGGGCAAAATGCCACCAGTCTCTTTGCATAGCAAGAGAGACCTTTACTCCATTTCCCAAAAAGTTGCCCATCTCTGTCTGAGACCACCTCAGCCTGGACTTCACGGTCCATATCACTATTAGCATTTTGGTCAAAGCCATTCAACAGTCTCTAGGAGGTTCCAAACTTTCCCATATCTTCTTGTCTTCTTCTGAGCCCTCCAAACTGTTCCAACGTCTGCCTGTTACCCAGTTCCAAAGTTGCTTCCACATTTTCAGGTATTCTTACAGCAATTCCCCACTCTACTGGTACCAATATACTGTATTAGTCTGTTCCCATGCTGCTAATGAAGCCGTACCTGAGACTGGGTAATTTATAAAGGAAAGTGGTTTAATTGACTCACAGTTCAGCATGGATGAGCTTACAATTATGGTGGAAGGGGAAGCCAACATGTTCTTCACATGGCAGCAGGAAGAAGAAGAATGAGAGCTGAGCGAAGGGGGAAGCCCCTCATAAAACCATCAGATTTCGTGAGAACTTATGAACACAAGAACAGGATAGGGGAAACTGCCCCCATGATTCAATTATCTCCACCTGGTCCCTCCCATGACATTTGAGGATTATTGGAACTACAATTCAAAATGAGATTTGGGTGGGGACACAGCCAAACCATATCAAGAGAGGTCCAGTTTCATTCTTCTGTATATGGATAGCCAGTTATCCCAGCACCATTTATTGAATAGGGATTCCTTTCTCCATAGTGTGTTTGTCAAGTTTGTTGAAGATCTGATGGTTGTAGGTGTATGGTTTTATTTCTGGGTTCTCTATTCTGTTCTATTAGTCTATGTGTCTGTTTTTGTACCAATACCATGCTGTTTTGCTTACAATAGATCTGTACTATATTTAAAAGTCAGGTAATGTGATAATTCAAGCTTTGTTCTTTTTCTTAAGATTGCTTTGGCTTTTTGGCTCTGTTTTGGTTCCCAGTGAATTTTAGAATAGTTTTTCTGACTTCTGTAAAAAATGACATTTCTAGCTTGATAAGAATGGCATTGAATTTGTAAATTACTTTGGGCAGTATGGCCATTTTAAGGATATTGATTCTTCCAATCTATGAATATAGATTATTTTTCCATTTACTTATGTCATCTTTGATTTCTTTCAGCAGTATCAAAAAGTTAAGAAGATCTCAAATTAACAGTCTCACACTGCACCTAGAGGAACTAGAATAAAAAGAACCAACCAACTCCAAAGCTAGCAAAAGAAAAGTAATATCTAAAATTAGAGAAGAATTGAACATAACTGAGTGCAAAAATTCATGCAAAAGATCAATGAAACAAAAAGTTTGTTCTTCAAAAGAATAAGCAAAATTGATAGACCACCAGTTAGGTTAACAAAGATAAAAACAAGAACCAAATGAGCACAATCAGAAAAGACAAAGATGATATTACAACGAATCTTACAGAAATATAAAAGATCCTCAGAGACTATTATGAACACTTTCAGGCACACAAATTAGAAAATCTAGAGGAAATGGATAAATTCCTAGAAACACAGAACTTCCCAAGATTGAATCAGGAAGGAAGTAAAACCCTGAATAGACCAATAACGAGTTCTGAAATGGAATCAGTAATAAAAATCCTACCCACCAGGCTGTGTGTGGTGGCTCACGCCTGTAATCCTAGCAGTTTGAGAGGCAGAGGCAGGGGGATCACTTAAGCCCAGCAGTTTGAGACCAGCCTCAGCAACATAACAAGATTCTGTCTCAAAACAAAAACCAAAAAACAAGGAAAAAACTACCAACCAAAATATATCCTGGACCACCTGGATTCACAGCTGAATTATACCAGATGTACAAGGAAGAACTGGTACCAATTCTGCTGAAACTATTCCAAAAAATTGAGGAGGAGGGACATCTCTCTAACTCATTCTACAAAGCCAGCATTATTCTGATACCAAAATATAGCAGAGAAACAATGAAAAAAGAAAATTTCAGGCCAATATCCTTGATGAATATAGGCACAAAAATCCTCAAGGAAATACTAGAAAACCAAGTCCAGCAGCACATCAAAAAGTTAATTCACCATGACCAATGGTGCGTTGATCATACAGTGCAAGGATGGTTCAACATACACAAATCAATAAATGTTATTTGCCATATAAACAGAATTAAAAACAAAAAAAGATCATCTCCAAATAAACACAGAAAAAGCTTTTGATAAAATTCGACACCATTTCATGATTAAAAACCCTCACCAGACTAGGAATTGAAGAAACATATCTCAACATAATAAAAGGGATGTATATTAAACCACAGCCAACATCATACTGAACAGACAAAAGCTGGAACTATTCTCCTTGATAACTCAAACAAGATAAGAATGTCCACTCTCACCACTCTTTTTCAACATAGTACTAGAATTCCTAGCTAGAGCAATTAGGCAAAACAAAGAAATAAAAATCATCCAAATTGGAAAAGAAGTTGGCAAAATATCTCTCTTTACTGATTATATGATTCTATACCATAAAGTCTACAATAGAATTCTCCTATAACTGTTAAATGACTTCAATAAAGTTTCAGGATAAAAAAAAGTATGAAAATCAATAGCATTTCTATATACCAATATAATTGAGCCAAATTAAGAACACAATTCTTTAAACTAGCCATAAAAAAATGAAATATCTAGGAATACATCTAACCAAAGAGGTGAATGATCTCTATAAGAAGAACTATATTGGCTATTGTTTTGCATGGCCTCTATATTTATCATTTTTTGAGTTTTTAAAGTGTATGTGTTTTTTAGTATCTTAGTCTCCACTGTCTTATTTTTCTTTCCTTTACTTTTCTAGTAACTTGTGTGTTCTTCCTAGGTGTGTCTTTATTTCTGAAATGATTTATTTTCTTTCGATTTTCAGTTTTCTCATAAAATCCTTATTCTAGTCATGCTATTTTTGGCCGTTCTGATTTATGTTTTTACTTGTGAGTTTCTACTTTTTTATTTTTTACTTGTTCTGTACTCTGAAGTTGTATTTTTAATCTGGCTGTGGACATATTTACCTAGTGTCTTCCTTGTGTGTTGTGTATTACTTCATATATTTAAATATTTTTTCTCTGCAATACATATGTATATAGTTTATTTATACTTTCCAGTTGCTTATATGTGGGTTTTTTATTTTGTACTTTTAGGAAGAGTTTTTTTTTGCATGAGGGGTAATATGTGCCTGTAGAGCTTTCCTAGATTTATGGCAAAGTTTTCCAGCTTAGTCAGTACTGTGAAGTCTTCAAATATATAAGAGTTTTATCCGAACTGCATGCAGAAGTGGCATAGCTACAATGACCTAAATTTTACTTTGAATGCACATCGTTTAGGATAATAATAATTACAGTTCTGGAATTCACATTTTGTGAGTAATTTTGTGTACCTACACTTCAGCTATTTCTTCACAAATGTGAAATAGCCGTTATGTGAAATATTTATAAAAAAAAGAAACCTGCCACTAAAATCAAATAAAAGTTCTCTTAGGTACTCAGTCCATTGATATTTAAAGAAAAAAAGATAAAATCTATTTTTTATTGAGAAAATGGGAAATTTTAATTAATCTAATTCTCTATCACTTTCATAATGTTAACAGATTATGGTACTAATGTGAGGACACATTTGATGTAGCACAGCTAACAGGCCTGTGGATGCAATTTCTCAGAACTATTTTTTGAAGTAAGAACCTGAGATGTTTGATCTTGTTCTTGTGAATTTTGGGCTTTCTAGCAAATCTCTAGTCATTAGTGAGCTATCAACACATTCCAGCAATGAGTTTCAAGTGTCATTTTTCTCACGGGTACCAATGATTTCAACATTAATATTAATTAACCCAAATATTATTCTTAATTTTTGTAGAAAATCTGTTACAGACCAACTTAACATTCATACATCAAGTGCTAGTTTATCTTTCCTTTAAATGAAAAATGTACTTTTATGAATAGTTGTTTTCTAATAATGAAAACATAGTCATTGTCATCATTTTTGTTGTTGAGGATTTAAGATTTCATTTGAATTAGAAAAAATTAGAGTTGAAAGGAGACTTAAGTATTGTCATATAAATCTAACTTCTTTGAAACTAATAATTGTAGTGCTGACAAGTGAATTTAAATATGAATATTTGATGTTAGCATGGTTACCTCCTATGTCTGGGGCAATAATACAGTGAGATTCACACTAATTAAATATTCCATTTCCAAAGGAACAATATGTTATGCTAGGCAAATACTAAAAGACCCTTCCCAATTTATTATAACCTAATGATATGAATAATTTTAAAGATTTTTTAAAGCATTGATTCTAAATAACCAGCAGTTTTCTTCACATTTTTCTCCTGGCTAATTTTATATTCATTTTAGGAATTAAGAATTATGGTGTTTAGAGAAATACTGCTTGAAGTTTAAATCTTTCTATAAAGAATTGTACAGAAGACCATTTATTATAGTAGAAACCATTCACTATAGTAGAATCTTGACATTAATTACTAAAAATTTATTCAGTAAAAGCAGAAATTGAACATGACATAGATTGTTCCAGTGGCTGCATAATGAACCACCATAAAATGTAATATATTAAAATAACAACTAATTTGTCTCATGCTTACGTGGGTTGCCTGGGCTGAGATGGGTGGTTCTTTCTTAAAGTCTCATGAGGTTGCAGGCAGATGTCAACCAGATCTGCAATCATCTGAAGAATTGACTGGGCTGGACATACAAGATGGCCAACTCTGATAACTGAGAAGTAATGCTAATTGTCACTTGAAGCATCTAAACATAGACTCTTCATGTTGCTTGGGATTCTCACAAGACAGAAGCTGAGTTGAGAAAGTATCCCCAAAATGTGACCATTTTAATAGGCCTATCTTGTATTTCAATTATTAATACACATCTTAATTTCATGTGAGATTAGGGTTATTAAAGGAAATGAATCTTAATGAAGAGAGAAAAGTCAAAAAAATTGAAGATAGATATGTATGGGTGGTTGTCCATATAAATAGTAAAATTATCTAGAAAAATGGCAGAAACTGGGATTGAAAGAAGATAGTGAGCCAGTTGAAGATTCACAGATATTTTAAACTTTAAAATAATTTTACTATTTACTTCTAAACAAAACAAATCTAACACACTTCTAAATACATAGTAGTTTTTGGTTTTGTTTTTTTTTTGTTGTTGTTATTGTTGTTGTTGTTGTTGTTTTGTTTTTTGAGACAGTATCTCACTCTGTTGCCCAGGCTGGAGTGCACTGGCATGATCTCGGCTCACCACAACCTCCACCTCCAGGTTCAAGCGATTCTCCTGCCTCAGCCTCCTGAGTAGCTGGGACTACAGGTGCGCCCCACCATGCCCAGCTAATTTTTGTATTTTTAGTAGCGATGGGGTTTCACTATGTTGGCCAGGCTGGTATCGAACTCCTGACCTCGTGATTCACCTGCCTTGGCCTCCCAAAGTGCTGGCATTACAGGCATGAGCCACCGCACCCGGCCTAAACACATAGTTTTTTTGTTTGTTTGTTTTTTGTTTTTACCTTTTTTTTTTCTAAACACATAGTTTTAACCTATCTTCCAATCTCCTTCTTTTCTTAAAACTTGCTTTGTGGCCTCAGCAAGACATCAAGACCATTGATCACGTTTTTTATTTTTATTCAGTTATACTCTCACATGTCTTTTCCAAACCAGCTTAGACTTCATGAACCAGTACTTCAATGGTTTCTTGACAGGATCTTTAACTTCCTTATAATCATTTTCTGCATCAAAGTAACCATCTGCTTTTCCCTTTAGGAAGAAAGTCACACAACCACATATTTTCTGAACATAAGCTGAACTTCTACTTCCATGGAGTGAGTTACTTCACCTCATTGGTAAGCTTTCTCATTCTCTCTACAGGAATTATTTCAACTATTTGCAACATTAACAACCTAATCTTTCAATGCATATTTTACAACTTTCAGAAAAATATCTGACCCCTTTCAATAAATGAAAAAAAAAACAGACCATCCTTCCTCCTTCAATGTTACATCACTATGTCTATAATCATCTGTAATCATCTTTCTTGTGTTTCAGGTTAAGATGAAAATCTTGTTCTAGTCAATGAAAATCCTTCCATCTAGAGCCAAACCTCTCCCTTCTGTAAGGCCTAGATCTTTCTTTCCATGTTTTTGATTGAATTGATCTTTTCTTGTTGACTAAAATACTTTATTATTTCTCAAAAATTCTATCATTATATCATTTTCTACATTCTCTTCCTGGACTCCATATAAAATAAAACTTTACATTAAATAACCATCCTCCTGCATGTAACTCTATAATCTCTGTGTCCCGAGTCCTTCTTCTTACTTCCAACTCATGTATGAATGCTTTTTGGGCATTTATACTTTGATCCTATTGGCACCTCAAGCTTGAAATATCCTAAGTCTAATCATCTTAATTTCCTACCTTCTTTACAAATGTACTCATTATTTTTATTCTTCCTTCCTAGTGGTTAAAATTATCCTCTAACTAGTGGCTTAGGTTAGAAATCTTGGAATCATTCTAGATTCTTTAATGTTGCCACCCACCCACACCAAACCAATCAATAATGAAATCCTAATACTTCTGCTTATTTAGTATATTTCAGATTTGTCCCCTACTTTCCAAACACACTGCTTCTTTTTGGTCTCCATCTTTAGTCATGATCTGAAATTTCCTTTTTTTTTTTTTTTTTTTCTGTCTCCATCCTTGTTTGCCTTTGGTCTACCTATCACATGATTGTTGAAGGCTCTTAAGGGCCAATCTGGTGGCATCTCCATTGCCCATAGGTTGGAATCTAAGCTACTTGACATTTCATAGAAGGTCTTTCTTTCCCCTTTCCAGATGATCTTTCACAGTCGCCTTTCAACAATTTGTACTCTGACCCAATAAAATTACTAGACTGCTAAACGTCTTTTAAAAGATTTTTCTCTGCTCTCATCTCTGTGATTTGAATGACTTTATTTATCCGCTATTATATCCCAGTGAAAAGTTACTATTAAGACTTAGCTCAAAGCCTACATCCCTCAGGGGTTTTCTGTTATTTTCTCTGCCTTCCTGTTCTATTCTTTGGTTATACTAATAAATCTGCTCATGTTCTACCAAAACAAGAGTTTCTTAAGTGTAGAATTTTTTTTATTTGTCTAGTACTGAGACTGATATAATATATAATTATTGATTAAAGGATCCTCACGTGTCCTGGAAGAACTTGTTTCAAAAATTTAGTTGTTTGAATAAAGTAGAAGAAAAAGCGGTATTCTGACTCAATATTCATTTCCTATTCCTTTGCTCCTTGAAGGGTTCCTGGATCATTGAGCTGGTAGATAAACATTATGCCCTTTGAAGAACAAGTGATAATTTTAGTGGGATTTTTGTCAGAGTCAATTGGGATGGTTTAAATGGAAAGGGATTTTGAAAATCAATTTCAAATCAATTTCTAAACTATGAAACAGCAAGTATTCGTTCTTCTTGTCTTCTTCCTTGAACTTGCATAGTACAAAGGCCAGTCACTTAGGAACAAAATACATGAATTTAGATATTCTAAATACTTGATTGTATTGATTTGTCCCTCAGAGTATCTTCTGTAAGTTGATCACCAGAGCACCAATTTCTATAGTGAGATAAAAATAGCTTTGTTATGAAGAATCTTTCATCGAAATAGAAATAAACTTTAATGATACAGATTTTAACATCTGTCTGTAAAAGAAAAACACACTTATCTTTAGCAGAAAACACAGCCTGTTTGCATTATCAAAACCACTGAGAGCTACCGTTGGATAGATAGCCTACATGTGATTATGTGGTCACTAAAAATGTACCTTCAATCATGGAGATGATTTCGATTGCCGGTTGACAGATATACATTGTAGTGATGTCATTTAACTCTTTTTTTCCAACCATGTGTATGTAAGTCAGAATGTGTTTTCCTCCCTCTGGGAATCAATACCCCCATTCAAAAAAAAATAAATAAATATATAATTAATTAAATACAGTCATGCACTTCATGATGACATTTCAGGCAACAATGGACTGCATAAAAGATGGCGGTCCCATAAAATAATACTATACTTTTACTGTACATTTTATATGGCTGGATATGTTTAGATGCACGAATACCTACTATTGTGTTAAAACTGCCTACAGTGTTCAGTACAGTAACATGTTCCACAAGAGCAATAGGCTATACCATATAGTCTAGGTGTGTAGTAGGCTATATCATCTAGGTTTGTGTAAGTATACCCTGATGTTTGTATAATGATGAAATCACCTAATGACACATTTTTCATAATGTATCCCCATTGTTAAGTGGCACATGACTGTAAACGAATAAACAAATCACTGAGAAAAATGAAAATTATGTAATGCTTTTCCCCTGCTTCTTTCCATTGTCTCCTTTCCCTCTTACTCCTACTGTTACTACTACTGCTAATTTTCTTCTTGTCCTTCTCATCAAACACTATTAAATAAAGTCATAGAATATGTAGAAACAAACAGCCTTTATTATTTAAATAAATACCACACTTTTACCCTCAAATTATGTAGATGCAATCCAGGAGTCAGCATGCTTAATAATAGATTTTTAACACTGTAGATTTTTGTCTTTATTATTTGTCAAGCTCCTATTTTTCTCATTTGACATAATTTCTGTTTCTCTTTTGGGTAACAACACAAAGAAATGAACTATTTATCACAATTTTTTTCAGATGTTTTATCTTTGCTTTTTTCCAAAGCTCAACACATTTCTATTTCAGAATAACATACTATTATTGGGGTTTTCTTAGATAGTATTGGTCTTATAAATTGAATTATAAAAATCAGACCTCTTTTAGATACCTGTTTAAACCATTTCAGTGGCACTGAGAGAGTAACATAAATCACAAGTGTCACTACTAAGGAATGGTACAGAGAATTACAATAATCTGCCTAGGCCTATTGGTTTAGTGAAGCCAGATATGTTCCTCTAGGAGGTACAGAGTAGGACAAGAGAAGACCTTCTAGGGGAAAGGAAGAAAAGAGGTAGTAAATTAAGCCAAAGTATATAGAAGAAAGTCAAACATGCTGGTCACTTGGGCAGCTCTCTTGTTTTTCTTTCTAGATCTTTCTTTCATAGTCTATTTTATGCTCTATACTTTTTTTTGCATAGACCAGCACTTTTAAATTTATTTTTCACTATTTACTTACTTATGTATTTTTCTATTTGCTCAGGCAAAAGACAACAGAAGAGTCCAAAGTCTGAGGGGACTGGGCAAGCTTCTGTCACATGCTTTCAGAATGAAGACAATCTGCAAGAATTTTAAGTTGTGACCTCTACAGAGAAAAGAATGAAAAGTAGCCAAATCTCCACATGAGAGATTTTGGACTATTTTGCAGTGTAAACCCCATCTGATTTATATGAAGTAAGCAGACTTTCTCTCCAAGAGTTCAAAATAAATTAATTCTAATGCTAAATATGTTCTCATGACAGTCTCAAAAACAAAACAGTAAAAAAAAGTATTAAGGTTTACTCTACCTTTTCACTGTATTAAACTCATGTATGAAGCAAAAGTTAGCTAAGAACATATTTATTATCATTTTGAGTTTTCTAGGGGCTTCTACAAACAAAAACCAAAAGGCAAAACTCTGGTTAGTAAGTTATATAAATCCCTTAACTCTTGGAACCCATAAAATAGAAATGACAAAATATCTAGTTCATACAATTGTTTTGATTATTGAGATAAAATTTATGAAAGTTCTTTGGATCCTCTAAAGTTTTACACAGCTTCCAAATATTATTGTTTGACAGAATCCCATTTGGAATTAATAATGTCCTCAATCTTGATCTATGAATTTTAGTAATTCTAATTCTGCTTTGTATCTTCAAGTTAATTGTACATTTTCTGAAGATAGAATTTTAAAGGGGAAGGATCTTGTTACTCATTACTTTCATTGAAGCATAAGTTTAGTAAATGGGCTTTGGGTCTGTTAGACCTTACTTTTGATCTTGGTTGAGTCTTAAATCCACTGAGTCCTAGTTGTATGACGATAGATACATAACTCCTCTTCTCTGAGGTCTTCCACTTTTAATTTGTAAAGTAGAAATAATTTTAGTGTCTACAATATAGGTTTGTTGTGGCTCATGGATGAAATAATGTATGTTGAAGACTGGACAGTAGCTAGTATGCTAACTCTCAAAGCCCCATCTGTGCCATTTCTCATTTATTCCCTCAAACAACAACAACAACAACAACAACATCCCAGTGCCTTCCTTGAGGGCTGAAACTCTATTCTATTCCTATTATTATTAATTTCAGCATTCTTGCCCCACTTACCTTTTGTGACACCTACCTGGAAAAATCACAATTCTAGATAAACTCGAGTATCTTCCTCTTGCCCAAATCTAACCTTGAAAAGTACTACTAGAATTACATAATGTCCCAGATTGGCTCTTTAAAATTCATGGTCTCAGTCTCAATGAGGTAACAGTAACAAGAGGCAAAATTTCTAATATTCCCTGCTCAGCTTCCTCTCCCATTCCCGCAGCAGCAGCTTCAAACTTTTCTTCAAACTCTCTCTTCCCTTACCTCAATCCCCACACTGAGCACAAGATTTCACAAGGAATAGCGAAGCCATCTGATAGATATTTCTTCAGCTTCTCGTTTTTATCCTGAATCTATGCTCTGCATTTCTTCCTTTTCTCCTCCTGTTTTAGAGAGATGACCCCTTTCTGTCTAAAGCCAAGCATTTTTTTCTGAGTTTTAAATCTCTAAAATCGATAAGCTTTTTTTAAATTTTGATTTTAATTTAATACTGACAAATATTTTAAAATAATTGTATATATTTATGGGATACAACATGATGTTTTACTACACATAAAAATTGTGGAATGAGCAAATCAGTTCTAATTAACATATTCATCATCTCACCTACTTATCATCACTTGGGGGTGAGAACATTTAAAATCCACCCTTTTAGCAATTTGGAAATATACAATACATGATTATTAACTATATTTACCTAGCTGTGCTAAAGATCACCAGAACTTATTTCTCCTAACTGAAATTTTGTACCCTTTTGCAAACATTTCCCCTTTCCCTGCTCACACCACCCCACTTTCCCAGCCTCTGGTAATCACCATTCTACTCTCTACTTCTATGAGTTTGGCTGTGTTAGATTCCACATACATGATATTATGTGATATTTGTCTTTCTGTGCCTGGTTCATTTCACGCAGCATTATGTCCTCTAGACTCATCTATGTTGTTTGTAATAATAGAATTGCATTCATTGTAAAGACGAATAGTATTTCATTGTGTATATATACCACATTCAAGAAATCCATTTATCTATTGATGGACACTTAGTTTATTTCCATATCTTGGCTATTGTGAATAATGCTGCAATAAACATCAGAGTGCAGATATCTTTTCAACATACTGACTTCAGTTTCTTTCAAGGTATACCCAGAAGTTGGCATTGTTAGATAATGTGGTAATTCTATTTTTAGTTGTTTGAGGAACCACCATACTAAATCAACATGGCTTTACTGGTCATACCAAGAAATGGAAAGATAAAAGTTTGGATTAACTCCAAGATTTCTGGTTTGGGTAAGAGGAGGTTGCATTTATGGAGGTGAGAGGATTTTAATGGATTGATAATGAGTTTTAGATATCATGAGACATCTAACAGGAAGAGTTTGATAAGTCTTGAAATGAGTAAAATAGTTTGAATGGAGTGCAAGATGTTGGTTGAAGTTATAGTACTGGTTGAAATACTTGAAAAATGTGTATGAAATAAGAGGAGAACGTTTAAGTTTTCCTAAGGAATCATGAATTTATAAATAAAGATCCATGTTCTTTGTGTCTTCCCCATTTTGGAATATAGCAATTAAGCAGTTAAAATCAGCTTTTATTACTTTCTATGAGTTCATCTTAGTACATTTCCAAACACACTATTCTCCCTGTAACAGAAAATCAATCGTTTATACCCACCTGTGTTGTTAGACTTTTAAACAGTCTCTTATTTTATCTGTTGAAAATTAAGAAAGAAAAAATACAAAACATTTTCGGCCACAAATAAATAAATGAAGAGTTTTATAATGCTTAAATCTGTTATACATTTGTAAGAGCACCCTTATTTTATACAGGTTAGCATAATGCTGAGAATTAAATGTATCTGTTTCTCCTACAAATGTAGAATAGATCCTGTGTCTCTACACATGAAGATAACTGACTGCTGTTAGCATTCATTATATGTAAGCTTTCAGAAATGGAAACCTATGTTGCCTGGTCCTGCTGGAGAAGGGGAGGCAAAACAGAGGGCTGGATTTACCTGCTTTGATCTACAGAGAATACTTTTCTCACACATTTTTACTGCTATAGCTGTATATTACATTTACATTAAAAGTCCCAAAGGGACTTTAACAAACATTTAAAAATTTTTCAACAAATTCCTTTTCACCAACTGAGGCGTTCTATTGAGAGTTCTTATGAGTTGACGACATAGTTTTTAAGTTTTCAACAGTGCGATTCTGTTGTCTAATTAGGTAAAATGCTAAATTATATTTTAAAAATTATTATATCATATATTATTAAATTTTAATTGTATAGTCATACATTTTCAAAATAGAGAAAAATTAGTTCATATTCTTGTCTATAGATTTCTTCATTATAATGATTTGCATTTATTAATTTAAAAAGATATTAAAACGGACAATAAATAGAAAGTATGCCAGTAACTCATTAAATCCCTGTCAAAAATGGCATTGACAACTTAAGACTGTTTCACCGTGGTTTTTTTTTAATTTTTTTTTTTTAGATTTACAGGTTTTCAAGTTAAAGCAAAAATAGATTGCTGCTTTCCTGAGTCAAGGACTTTTCAAATTTTATTTTTATGCCATATTTTAAAGAAACTGCTCATAATTTTTTGCTTTTCAAATGTCTTTTTAACTATGTAAATGCCTTTAAATCATAAGCTTAGAGAGAAAAACGAGATTTGAAAAACATTGAACCGTTGTAAAGATTACATATTTTTTAGTATATCTCAAAATAAACATGTTAGATGTGTGTGGCAAAGAGTTTTATGAATGGTTGGCAAAAGTTACTATTTACTACACCAGTGGGAAGTGTAAAAGGAAAAGCATTTCTGCATTGTGTGTGTTCCTTGGCGTAACAGCTACAAACTGTCCTTGTTCAGAATAAGCCAATCAGAGGCTGCACTGGGCATGGAGCTGACAAGGCTTTCCACCATTGGCTGCTCTGCCTTTGGCTTACAGAAAGCTGGCTGGCTTGCTTGCTGATGAATTCAGCAGTACAAATTAATTTCTCCCTAGCTAAAATTTCCAGTGGAGGTTTGTGTTAATGGTTTAAGAACATTGTCTGATTAAACACTGATAACATGGATTCTCTCTGTAGTATTTTCTAATTATGTTGTGAAACCACTATTATTACATGCATTTGACTTGTCTCTTTAACATTTCAAAAGCTTTTCATACCGATTAACTATTATTATATCCACAGCAACCAAAGGAGGTAGGTGAGAAAGAGGCTGTTATATGAAATGATGCAATGTATGGGAGAGCTGTTTGTTAACTGTAAAACCATACAACAGATATCATTAAGATTTTTGTTTTTTGGATGAAAAAATGGAAGCCAGAGACACCACACTATCTGCTTCAGCTGATAGAACACTAGGACAATGGGAACACAGGTCAACTGATTGACACTTAAAATTGTTAATCATTTTTTATATGCAATGCTCACTGGTAGAGCTATAGGAAGTCAATATAAGAAAGGGATTCATTTTATAGATTACCAAATATAAGGCTAAAGCAATTTGAGAAGCTTATTCTGAGTTTGGCAGTTAGCCATTGAGAAAATATACACTCAATATTTAAAAAGAATTTTTAGGACCGATGTTTGCCTGAAAATTATATGTACGAAGTGTCCACAGTACTACGGTTAAAATTATTATGGTATGAAATATTATGACAATATAGCCAGGCCTGAATCAGTGATTCAGGACAGAAGTTTCTGCATTTTATTGGTAAATTCTGGGTCACCCGTCGTTCATTAATCTGGTTTCATATAACCTCTGTATTAAAAGCCCATTAACCATGATCTCTTCCCTAGTTACAAAGTGACTACTTGCTATAATAGATCAATTGAATTTTCATGGAAGAGTTAGAGTGCAACCATGTTTCCCACCTTTTCAAGCTTTAAACCTTTCATTCCTATGTATTTTCTTCTCTTGAAAGGCAGTTAAGAACAGGATTCTTAGGACCAGAAAGAAAAGAAAGAACTGTTGTTTCAAGTCTTGGGTTTTTATGTTACTTACTTAACTTTTATTTGCCCTACATTCTGCTTGACCCCATTTCAGAACACAGAATTGGGCAGGTGTATTTGAAGAACATGATAATAATGGATCATTATGAAATAGTAACACAACTAAGTGTTTACTGAACACTTACTCTTCATTGATTCACAAGTCCTGTTAAGAGCTTTCCATTTACAGTCTCAGATTGAGATATTGTATTAGTCTGTTTTCACACTGCTATAAAGAATTGCCCAAGACTGGGTAACTTATAAAGGAAGGAGCTTTAATTGACTCACAGTTTACCACGGCTGGGGGGAGGCCTCAGGAAACTTATGATCATGGCAGAAGGTGAAGGGGAAATAAGACAACTTCTTCACAGGTGGCAGAAAGGAGAAATGCAGAGCGAAGGGGGAAGAGCCCCTTGTAAAACCATCAGATCTCATAAGAACTCACTATCACCAGAACAGCATGGGGAGCTGGGGACCGGCCCTATGATTCAATTAACTCCACCTGGTCTCTCCCTTGACACCTGGGGATTATGAGGATTATAATTCAAGATGAGATTTTAGGGAACACAAAGACTAACCATATCAGACATTAAGTAATTAGACCCAAGTTACACACCAGTTGGTGCTGGTGCCAGAACTTAAATCTACTTTTGCCCAGCTGCAAAAACTGTGTATTGACCATTATACTGTTCATCTCCAGGTTAAACTGAAAGTCAAGAAATTAATATATATATATATAAATATATAATTATTAATATATAATATATCTGTGTGTGTGTGTGTGTGTGTGTGTGTGTCTGTGTATAACATGGGTCACAGTGAGTGGCTGATTCCAGGAAACTCTGATTAATTTTAATAGCTGAGATGTATTTAGAAACAACAACAAACAAATAAATCACATAAGCAGTTCTCCCCACAAAGAAGTGAAAGAAAGCAAGCCAAAGATGAAGGCAGCATCTAATTACTAACCATGCTGTCACAGATGTGATTCTGCTCTGTTCAGTAATGAGGAGGGGCCAGAAATTTCACTGTGTGCTGATTATGTGGTTTTGTTTCTGGTAAGTTATATGTAATTTCTGAGTCTCAGGTTTTTTATTTGTAAGATGGGCTAATAATCCTAATCTAGTTTTTCATAAGGATTAAACACACACACACACACACACACACACACACATTTGAAGTGTCTAGTATACTTCTGAAACATTGTATTCACTCTGCATATAGTAGTTTTTATTCCTGTCATGATATCCACCTATTCTGCTGTTCTCAAAGAGGCAAGTGTTGGGTACAATAATGCCAAGACTCTGGGTGGCAGGATCCAAGAGCCCAGGACCAAATCTTACCAAAAGGTTAGGCAACAAAGCTAATCTGACAGAGGAATAGCTGAAATATAGACAGCAAACTCAGGATGTTTCAAACCAGTCTTGATTTGGAGTACACCACGTACCTCCCTTACATTATCAAAGTAATAAGATTGAAACTAGGCAGCGAAGAAAGAACCATGAGTCACTTATTTACCCATAAAGATGGTGAGGTAGTTCCACAGGCAAGGATTCAGAGCTTAGAACCCTATAAGCCATCAAGCCAGGGTAAGGGAGTAGACAATTTTTGATTATAGATTTGTAGCACCAACCATAAGGAGATCTTGGTACCAAGATCAAATTACTACCTATCATGAATCATTGCACATACTTTTTGCCAAGGTGCTATTCAATCCCAGAGCGTATTGAACACTTTAGTAGCTGTTCCTCGTTGGAAAGATAATAAAGAGATAAAGAGTTTCACACTGTAAGATTTTTCTGATGGAAGAATAACACCTGTGTTATAGTCTGGGACTACTGTGTTTCCCACAGTCTGATGTGAAGCATCCATACTGTCTTGGGCAACTGAGCAAGAAGCTTCAGTCTTCTTGTCCTCCAATATCCTAGCCAGATCACAAAGTTATTTAGGTTTATCATCCTCTCTTTGTCCAATAGAAGGATATAATAAATGTCAAATATTTGTCTAATTACTAGGAATACACAAAAGGATTTTAATCTATTTTTATAGAACCTAAGATTATTAGTTAAAACTTTATTAGTCTACTGATTTAAGGGATAAGAAATTAAGTCACAGAGAGGTACAGTTGTTCCTGGGTTTTTCCAAACAGTTGTTCCTAAGTCATCCAGCTAAATTTAGCAAGCTATAATTTAAATCACAACAGTCTAGCTACAAAGATACTCAGCTACCATATAGTATTATGTTGGTGCAAAAGTAATTGCATTTTTTTGCCATTAAAAGTAATGGCAAAAAAGTTAACAGCATTAACTTTGAATGGCAATAAAAACCACAATTACTTTTGCGACGACCTACTATCATATTTAAATTTAAAGCAACTTTCCTGCCAAACACTTAAATCTCTGGGAAAACAAAACAAAGGCAAAAGTTGTTCTCCTTTATTCTCTTTCTTCTTCTTTTTTTTCTATTTCCTAATTCTAATTGGTACGCTCATTTGTTCATTTTCTGTATGCTGATGTTACTGCCTGTTTTCATGAAAGTGGGCCATATTTTAATTTCTAACTTTCTCCAAAACAATAATTTTTTAAGGCTATAAAAATGTCTATTAGTTACACTACATATTTTAAGATTAAAAAAGTGGAAGTCAAAATTTCTGACAAGAGTGTTACACCCTGTTCTGGAACATGCTCTTTGTTTATGAAGAACAGAAGCTACTCAAACTAGCTCAAATAATAAAATCTGAGATTTACTGTAAATTTAAAGTGAAATCTGAAAAACGTCTAAAAAGAAGCAGACACTAAGCCGTAAGATAGCTGGATTCAGGACTGTTCTGGTAGCCACAGGAGAAGTTCATGGGCCTCCATTCTTCATGGAACTGTCAGTAACTCTTTTGCCCACTTGCTATGATGTCAGCACAAGTCACGCTTGGTGGAGAGTTATAACCGTGGCATCAAAAAGTGAGCTGTGTCAATTAGATCCATCTCTCAAAACATTTAAACTAATGCATCAGTTCAGCATAAACCATGCTAGTCAATAGCTGGATAGAAACAAGCAGATGCAAACCAATACTGAAAAGAGTATTTAACACAACAGTGGGGCTAACAAAATTTTTAATGGCATACTAAAATATAATCTCACATTACTTTTTGTCTCCTGTCCTGTGTTGTGTGTTGACGTTAAGAGAATTTGTTTAGCCCCATAGAGTTAACTTTCCACACTGGTTATAAGAACAAATCTATTCATCATCTCAAAAAAATTTTGTTAGTAGGATATATTGGAAGATGAGTTCAAATTCTTTCCCAATCATGTGAAAATGTAGTGCAAATAGAATACTTCACTATTTTATGTCCTAGTGTTATCAGATATAACATGTGAAACTAAAGTCTAGATAAATGCTATTCTCTACGAGTGATGGTAGCAATCTTGTCAACACCCTTCACTTCCCCTTGTTAAGCCTAAAATATAATCAAAACATATTGGGCCCAAAACATATTGGGCCCAAATGAATCTTCATCACATAATAATTATTCAGAATTATTTTTAGCACTAATATAATGCATATACTAATAAAGATTTACTAGATTAATTCCAGATCTATAAATGAGCAAAGTTAGAATATAGTTTCTGAAAAGAGACAAATCTAGCAAACTTGTCCTTGATCTTTCTGAATTCAAAGATGAAGGCCCACATTTTAGAAATAAATATGTATAATATTGGCTAGATAAAGTTCTGCCTTCAAGAAGCTTAGAATTTTATAAATGAAACTATTATGATTCTTCATTTTTACTTAAATGCACAAGGAAATTCCTGATTATTGAAGAGACTTGTGACAAATGACTACTTGAATCTGTAATATAATGTATTCAGTATTCTGAGACTTGAAAGATTCAGCCATGAGTTGAAAGCATATCTTACTATCTAATAAAATTTATGTAATTTATATATTTAAATTTTAAATTTAAATGTCTTAAATTTTAACTTAGAGTTCTTGGACAGGACTTAGAAATTAATGCTCAACCAAAGAACTATCCAAATGACAGTAAAATTTTGTTTTATATTATGGTAAGCATAAATATACTGGATAAAATCTTGAACTCTAGAAACAGATAAACTGTGATTTAAAGCCTAATTTGAAACTTAACCTCTTAAAAGCTCCATTTCTTTATCAGTTAAATGGAAGTAATAACAGTCACTAACCTACCTAAATATTTGTTACTGTGAGAATTAAATAAAGTGATGAAGATAAGTTTCTTAGCACACAGAAGCTACACAATAAATGGTAGGTATAAATTATAGAATATAAAATATTGACTAAGAAGATAAATAGTTAATAATAGAAGAAGTTGAAAAACTAGAAATAATTAAGGTTATTTTTAGAGTGCAAACCTTTTTGGTTGTCCTAAAGTTTAAATTTCAGGTTAAGTATTTCTAGTTACTCTGTTTTTGATGTTTAAAACTGTACTCTCCCAAAACTGCTCTAGGGCAAAAGTAAATGAACTGAAAACAATTGCTATAATATGTAAAACTTGAAACAGAAATGTATTTTCATTCTTGGTAATGTCCAGGGACTGAACAACTAAGACGATGTTTTTCAAATTCACGGTGAATCAATAAATTATGATTTGGTAAATATGTACTAACCACTGTTTAGAAAACATTATCAATCTAATACATGGGAGAGCTAGGGAAAATGTGAATCTCAGTATAAAATACCTAGAAAGCTGAAACAGTACATTTAACCTTTGATCTTCTATTTAAAATAGTGTGTTTATATAGAAATCTGTATGATAAACTGCTTTGCATCTGGAGAGCTCAGAACATGAATGCCAACTGCTGGAGATGGCCAGGGGTTTATTGAAGGAGTTGTATCCCTCCCTCAAGGGAAGTAATTGGTGTTAAGGGGAAGTTTCTTGAACTTTTCACACTGGAATAAACTTGAACTATTTTCTGGCTGAGTACTCAAAAAAAAAAAAAAAGATGTCTTGAAACAGCAGAGTGGAGATGAGCACCTCCTTTGATGGTACCAGCCTGGGTGCTGATCTTCACTTGGCTGCCTGAGACCCTGAGCTTTTCTGAGATTCAGTTTCCTCCTCATCTAAAACATTGTAGGGTTGGACAGTAATTAATGGTTTTCGAAGTTGCTTTATTTGACCCTTTACTTCAAATAAAATCTCAAGGAGAACACAGCTATGTAAAGCAGAAATAAATATACTCTTTTTGAAACAAGGTGTTTCAAATGTGTGTGTGTGTGTGTGTGTGTGTGCACGCGCCAATAGTGCTAGCTATCTTTCCATTCTCCACAGCATGGCTGCTTCCCCAAAATGACTCCCTTCCTCCAACTCCTAATTTTCTCAGTATCAAAGCATAGGAATATTCAGAGAACAGTTTGCGAAACACTGCACCAGAGGTCTTTACTTGTTCTTCTGAACATTATTGTTGACCTTTTCAAAAAATTTATCTAGATGGGCAAATTGCAAAAAAAAGCTGTTAGTTAATATATTTAAAACTCAACTCAAAATATTTAAAATAAAATAGAAAATATCTTTTTGTCTTACCATATTAGCAAAACTTACAATGAATATTACTAAAGTTGAAATATCTAGGGACACAGTTGCTCTTATTCATTGCTAGTGGGAGTGTAAACTGGTCTAACATTTCTGGAACATATTTGACAATATATACCAAATGCTTTCAAGACTGATAAACCACTGTGCCACAGAATTTCTCTTTGAGTTTAACTCAAATAAGTAGATGGGAAAAAAGGAAGATGTGCAATTGAGCTCATCAGAGTTATTTATAAGGAGGAAGAGTGAAAACCACATTAGTTTTAATATTATTGTCGAAGTTAAGTATCTATTTAAATACATATTATAAAAGAGTATTTTTTTGAAATTAGAAAATTTGAAGAAGTTTGAATAAAGTAATAGTATAAGGAGTAGGTAATCTCCTGGTCCTTGCTGGGTACTACTGGGGGGAAAAAAAGCAATGAAAGGCCGAAGTTGATTAATCACTAATTTAAGGTGATAGGAGAAAGTGGAGGGTCTCTTAGGAAGCATATAAAGAAAGTTTTATTTCTAGCAGGTACAGGGCAAAGAATAGCTGGGGATTAGGCACATGACCTACTTATAAAGGCAGAAAAGCTCCAAAGAATGTTGGGTCCTTAACCCTGGCAAAACTACTATGCTCAGGGTCTAGATTGCAAAGGTATTTTAGCTTCAGATGTGTGATGAGACATCTGAGTCAATGTACTTGAAAATCTTGAATCTCCAGATTCCCTTGGACACAGGCCAGTAGAAACAGCCTACTCTTTTCTGTTATAGCTTAGTATTCCTCCACTGCTCTAAGGCAATGCAGAGGCTTCTACCTCACAAGATAATGCACAGGCTTTCAAGATCTATCCCCACTTCCCCTTATGGCCATCAGAAAAATAACTAGTATAAAGTCACAACACTGCCCTGCCCAAGAAATGCTGAGACTAAATGGAAGAGATGTAGGACCAGCCAACATGCACCAGGGAGTGATTTGATTCTGAGGGTGCTGAATCAAGGTGGGAAGGTGGAGCATAATATTAGATAAGAGAGAGTTTATCAATATGGGAGCACTATCTCATAATACAAGATTTATTACCCTATTGAAGACCTTAGGAAGCAGTGATAACATGGCACCATTCTTGGAAGCTTGAACAAAATGACAGTCCTCAATAAATAAACTGGAGCCACTGGAACTTATCTATAGCAGGCAGTAAAAGAAGGAATCAAGAGGTTGAGAGAGGTGAGCATGCTGGTGGAGGTGCACCATGTAAGGCTTGAAAACCCCTGCACACTGTTGGGGAATCTGGAATAAACTACCTGTAAACTGTTAAGAGATGCTCTAATGAGGGGGCATCAGTATGTCTGAGTAACTCAGCAATGCATGTTTTTTTATAGGACAGGAGTAACATAGGGGATGATGTTACACTAAGGAGGTTTCTGATAGCAGTGGGGATGATGGGCTCCAGAATAAGAAAGGTCAGGTGACAGGAAATTTAAGCATCAAAAGTAATAGAGATGCAGTGATTATAACTGGTAGCAAAGTCAAAAGGGAAGCCCAGGGGAACTGGCCTACAGAGAGCTATGGATATATAAAACATGGTATTCCTAGGAGCAAGATAAATGGACAGCCAATGAGTTCTGCTCAATTCATAAGATTCATACAACAAAAAAAAAAACTCACAGATTTATTGGAAGGTCCCCTCATTAAAGCATTGTGATCCCTTGTTTAACTTACAGATCTCACAATATTTTTACATTCTGAATTGCTGATTGAGGAAAGGCTGTATCCTCGTGAGTAGGTATCTTGTAATACCATGGCAGGTATATGTAATAATCCCCCCTTCAGAAACCTATGGCCATTCACACAAGTAAGAGGAAGATGCAGATATTTTGAAGACTGTTGGACACAGGGCTTAGGTTAAGGTTGATAACCTGGGATCCAAAATAACCGCCAAACACCTCTGTTAGAGAAGAAGACACATGTGTATTAGGTTAAAAATTAGAATCCTGGCCCAGGTTCAGCTCGCTGGGTCCACAAATCTATCTGGTAGTTATTTCCTGAGCCCCTCATTATACAATTAGAATGAGCACATTTAGTAGTTGGCAGAACATCTGCACTGTTTTTCTGAGTGGTGAGAACTAAGATAGTAGGAAAGCCAAATGGAAGCTCTGCAACTGACTCCACTCCCACTTTCCACCTCCTTTTCCTACCCCAGCCAAGATAATACATTAAAACAAAGTTCAGAGAAGAGTACCACCCTTAAGAATGTCAATAGATTCAGGGATGCTGTCTCCATATGTTTATTTAATTCATTAGTCTGGTCCTTAAGAAATAGATAGATCCTGGTAAATATCAGTGACATGGACATGGGCTACACACAGGCAAATTTTAAATTTCATTGCAGCTGCTGTATTAGATGTGATATGTCTTCTAAAGTAGATCAGTACAGCCTTAGGTAGATTGATCTAGTGAATCTATTCTTTTCACAGCAAGAAAAAAGAACAGAAGCCATTTGAATTAATGTAGGACAGATAAGAATGTGCATTTATGCTTTTGCTCCAGGGAGATGTTAACTCTCCTACTCTTTGTCATGAGATAGTTGGAAAAGGTCTGAGTCGTCTGGACATTTCACAGATATTCATTATATTGATGGCATCAAGTTAATCAGAAGAGCAAGTGGCGGCAAGTATGAATCTTAACAAAGAGAACCCTATGAGAATTTACGCCCTGTGTTTTGACCTGGTCATCCACTCTCTGTGGAGAGAAGTGGCTTGAAGTAAAAATATATGTCCATTCATTGGCAGTGGTAAATAGCTTGGCTGTTTTTTCTAGGGTCCTGGAAGGATAAAGTTTGGAAAATCATGGACCAGGAGGTATGGGGAAGAGGCATATGGATGTGTATTTATCATGTTTTATTATTCATATTTTTTATTTTGATGAAGATGTTTTGACAAAGACTCACATTTTGTTTTGACAAGATGTTTCAACATCTTGGGGGCATGCTGACCCAGGAGGGACTGCCCCTCTTACGCTTAGCTAATTCCAAGAGATAGCAAAAACTCACCTGAGAGTGCACCTTTCAAATGAAAATCAACTAATTCAGAATCCATAATTCAGTCAGCTCTTTTATCAAGATCTTATACTCCTACACTCTGGGCCACTATTCCTTTGCCCTAATTATTCCAGGGCCATCTATCAAACAAAAAGGGACAGCTCCTACATCCCTGAGCCCACTGAAATTATTCAAAACAGACTATTCTATACCTGCTTATACTGTCTCACATGTTCCTTCACAAGGAAAGCACAATAAAAGCTCTTGCCAGTTTCTCTCCTCCTTCTACCACCTGACTAACCCCAGTACTTCCTTTTGTAGCCTCCCATGGCATGGCATGGCCCCTTCTGTTGAAATTTGTGAATACAACATGTTTTCAGTGGTAATCATTCATTGATATGTTGGTCTCACCATATCTGAATAACAATAAAGTTATAGTTTAAAATAGTGCTATAGACTGTTTGTATCCCCCACAAATTCAAATGCTGAAATCCTTTCCCCCAATCTAATGGTATTAGGAGATAGTGCCTTTGGTGGGTGATTATGTCATAAAGATGGAGCCCTCATGAATGGGGTTAGTGCCCATATAAAAGAGACCCTTGAGAACTCCCTAACTCCTCCACCAGGTGATTATATAGCAAGAAGGTTGCTGCCTATGGACCAAGAAGCATGTCCTCACCATACACCAAATCTTCTGAATCCTTCATCTTGAATGTCTCAGCCTTCAGAACTTTGAGAAATACATTGTTTATAAGCCACCTAGTTTATAGTATTTTGTTATAATAGTCCAAAATCACTAAGACAAACAGGATGGAGTTATGGGGACCTGCATGAAGTATGACTATCTTTGTATCACATGCCAAGAAGAGAGCATTCCCTGAAAAAAAAGAGGCATGAAGCAACCAAGGAGACAGAATGACTCAGCTATCTGATGATGCCCAGCCAAAATAATCTTTGTTCAACTCAGTGCTGACTCCATGAGCTCTTGGACACATTAGCTGTGGTGGCAGGCATAGGGGCTGTTCATATGCCCAATTATGTCCAATTCATCTGTTTTTGTCTGTGCTGCTATACTAAAATACCTCTGACTGGGTAATTTATAAAGAATATGAATTTATTCTTCATAGTTTTAGTAGTGGGAAGTTCAAAGTCAAGGTCCTGTCAGGTTTAATGTCTGGTAAGGGCTTGTTGTCTGCTTCTAAAGATGGCCACCTTGAATGCTGTGTAACCACCTGGTGGAGGCAGAAGGCAAAAAGTGACTAGCTAGCTACATCTTGCCTTTTTATAAGGTTACAAATTTTATTCATGAAGGCAAAGCCCTCATGGCTCAATTACCTTCAAAAGCCCCACCTCTTAATACTGTGGCATTGGGGATTAAGTTTCAAGATAAATTTTGGAGAGTATACATTCAATCCATAACATCAACCAAGACTGATTTAGCTACCATGATGCCGAACATCCAAACTGCTAGAAATACAGACCAATGCTGAGTCCCCGGTTGTGCTACTATCCCTTGATGAAATCATTCTGGAAGGGGAAGAAATTTAGTTTATCTGGAATCAACACGTGATAGGTATGGATTTTCCTTTCCTGTTTTTGGGAACTCAGTCAGCACCACTATATAAGGGCTTATGTAGTGTTTGAACTACCAACTAGGTATATTTATAATATCACCTCAGACAGACTTGCTTTACAGCAAAGAAGGTGTGAAAGTGAGTGCATGACCATAGGTTCATCTGGTCTTATCACATGTCACATTTTCTAAAAGCTGTTGGCATGCTGGAAAGATGAAACAGTTTTTTTAAAGGCGTAACTTCTGTGACAATGTAAAGATAATACCTTGAGATCATAAGGTACTCTTCTCCAGGAAGCAGTATACATCCTATGTCATGGCCATTATTAGTCATGGTGCTATGTGCCCAGTTGGTAAAATACATGAGTGTAAGAAACCGGGAACCAAGCCCCGCTTTCCACAATTTCTAATGATCCCTTTAGGAAACTTGTACTTCTGTGATCTAGATGTCTTGATTCTCATAGAGTAATGCTCCAACCAAAGGATAAAGTAAGAGTCCCATTAAATTTATAGCTATGGTTATGACCTCAATACTTCAGGCTTTAAAAGACAAGCAGGCTAGAAGAGTAGTCATCTCTTTGGCAAGGGTAACTGGCCCTGGCCCGGATAATCAGATGTACCCATCATGACCAGTGATTCACTACCAAATCTCTTCCTGGCCAACTTTTATGGTAAATGGGCAGCCTAAGAACAGCATGATGATATGAGGACATAGATTTTTTAGAGATGAGGGTCTGGTTTACCCTACCAGGTAAGATGCCTGGACTCACAAAAATGCTAGCCAAGTGTGAGGGTTATCTGGAATGGGTAGTAAAAGAAGAAGATAATGAGTATCAGCTATAGCCAGAGTCTACCTGCAGTGACAAGATTTATGGTGCATTCCACTAACCATCCTCTTTTAAATTCCTCCAGAAACACAAACCAGGAAGAAGCTTGGAGAGGCTGCCCTCAGGTGTGGTCATCTAAGTATATGAAGGAAGTGAATCTGAGTGGCTTAAGGGGCGTGATGTACTGAGTGCACTGGTATACCCTAGTTTCACACTAAAGCATTCATTTGCTAAGCTGATTGCTCCCAGATTAATGAACTTCTAGGAATTTTCTTTGGCTATAAGATCTGCTTTCATGAGGTTATGTTACCTCTCTGTGGGTGGCCCATATCTAATGACTAGTTAATGCGGGGCACAATGTCCTGCTCTCTTGTCTCCATTTGGGAGAACCCTAAAGAACTACTCCAACTATCAGTGAGTAACATTTGCTTCACAATTCTTTGCCTTCATTAATGCCAGTGAATTTACCTGCCAATTGACTTCAGCCATCCACTCCACAGGCCACTCTACAAACTTTGTAATAAGCTCAAGTTGTTCTATCACTGAATGCAAAAATGTCTTATTCTCTGAGCATGATGTCTGATGCCATATTATTCTTTCAGTAGCTTACTCCACTATGCCTGGTCTTTGACTTCATATATATCCTTAAATTTTTTTATTCAATGAAACTCTTTTTTTCCTTTCTTAAAGACTTTCTTAATGACTTTTTTCCTGAATACTGTATTGTATATATGTATACTGTATATATATATACAGTTTATGTGTGTATATATGCTGTATATATGTGTATATATATACAGTACAGTACTGTATGTGGTATATATACTGTATATATACAGTACAGTACAGTTATAGTATAGTGCAGTTATATATATTTTATATATATATAAAATGATTGATAATCTGACCTTCAGATACCTTCCCTCATAGATATTCTCATCATTATATAACCCTGGACCATTGCTAAAATTTTTTCCTCTCTTTTACTAAACTTCTGGGCAAAAATACTACAATTTTGAGAATGGTGTTATTGTAATTCATTATAATAACTTGGGTCATCAAAATCACTTCTTAATCTTTCTATTTTTATTTGGCATATCTCTTTATTATTTCTTTCATCAACTCTGGCAAAGCTTTACAATTCTCAACTTTTATTTTCAGTGGTCCACCTTGCTTGCTACTCTCCCTCTAAGCTTCCTACCTCACTTTCTACAAACCTATCCCTACCATCCCCTCCTTTTTATAGTTTGTTCTAGACTAATTCATTATCTTTTAGAGACTTTATCAGCCATCCCTTCTTCAACTCAACGCCTCTCTTCTAACTGCTTACTTATGCTCAGCCTGGGAAAATGATCAAGTTTCTCTCATAGGTTAAGAAAAAAATTCCCCCTTAAACCCTATGGCTCTTCTAGCTACCATCCAATCATTCTTTTTTTTTTTTTTAAGTATTATTGTACTTTAAGTTTTAGGGTACATGTGCACAATGTACCGGTTAGTTACATATGTATACATGTGCCATGTTAGTGTGCTGCACCCATTAACTCGTCATGTAGCATTAAGTATATCTCCTAATACTATCCCTCCCCCAACCCCCCACCCCACAACAGTCCCCAGAGTGTGATGGTCCCCTTCCTGTGTCCATGTGTTCTCATTGTTCAATTCCCATCTATGAGTGAGAACGTGCGGTGTTTGGTTTTTTGTCCTCGCGATAGTTTGCTGAGAATGATGATTTCCAATTTCATCCATTTCCCTACAAAGGACATGAACTCATCATTTTTTATGGCTGCATAGTATTCCATGGTGTATATGTGCCACATTTACTTAATCCAGTCTATCATTGTTGGACATTTGGGTTGGTTCCAAGTCTTTGCTATTGTGAATAGTGCCGCAATAAACATGTGTGCATGTGTCTTTATAGCAGCATGATTTATAATCCTTTGGGTATATACCCAGTAATGGGATGGCTGGGTCAAATGGTATTTCTAGTTCTAGATCCCTGAGGAATCGCCACACTGACTTCCACAATGGTTGAACTAGTTTACAGTCCCACCAACAGTGTAAAAGTGTTCCTATTTCTCCACATCCTCTCCAGCACCTGTTGTTTCCTGACTTTTTAATGATTGCCATTCTAACTGGTGTGAGATGGTATCTCATTGTGGTTTTGATTTGCATTTCTCTGATGGCCAGTGATGATGAGCATTTTTTCATGTCTTTTGGCTGCATAAATGTCTTCTTTTGAGAAATGTCTGTTCATATACTTTGCCAACTTTTTGATGGGGTTGTTTGTTTTTCTCTTGAAAATTTGTTTGAGTTCATTCTAGATTGTGGATATTAGCCTTTTGTCAGATGAGTAGGTTGCGAAAATTTTCTCCCATTTTGTAGGTTGTCTGTTCACTCTGATGGTAGTTTCTTTTGCTGTGAAGAAGCTCTTTAGTTTAATTAGATCCCATTTGTCAATTTTGGCTTTTGTTGCCATTGCTTTTGGTGTTTTAGACATGAAGTCCTTGCCCATGCCTATGTCCTGAATGGTAATGCCTAGGTTTTCTTCTAGGGTTTTTATGGTTTTAGGTCTAAAGTTTAAGTCTTTAATCCATCTTGAATTAATTTTTGTATAAGGTGTAAGGAAGGGATCCAGTTACAGCTTTCTACATATGGCTAGCCAGTTTTCCCAGCACCATGTATTAAATAGGGAATCCTTTCCTCATTGCTTGTTTTTCTCAGGTTTGTCAAAGATCAGATAGTTGTAGACATGCGGCATTATTTCTGAGGGCTGTGTTCTGTTCCATTGATCTATATCTCTGTTTTGGTACCAGTACCATGCTGTTTTGGTTACTGTAGCCTTGTAGTAATAGTTTGAAGTCAGGTAGCATGATGCCTCCAGCTTTGTTCTTTTGGCTTAGGATTGACTTGGTGATGCAGGCTCTTTTTTGGTTCCATATGAACTTTATAGTTTTTTCCAATTCTGTGAAGAAAGTCATTGGTAGCTTGATGGGGATGGCATTGAATCTAGAAATTACCTTGGGCAGTATGGCCATTTTCACGATATTGATTCTTCCTACCCATGAGCATGGAATGTTCTTCCATTTGTTTGTATCCTCTTTTATTTCCTTGAGCAGTGGTTTGTAGTTCTCCTTGAAGAGGTCTTTCACGTCCCTTGTAAGTAGGATTCCTAGGTATTTTATTCTCTGTGAAGCAATTGTGAATGGGAGTTCACTCATGATTTGGCTCTCTGTTTGTCTGTTATTGGAGTATAAGAATGCTTGTGATTTTTGTACATTGATTTTGTATCCTGAGACTTTGCTGAAGTTGCTTATCAGCTTAAGGAGATTTTAGGCTGAGACAATTGTATATCTAGGTTTTCTAGATATACAATCATGTCATCTGCAAACAGGGACAATTTGACTTCCTCTTTTCCTAATTGAATACCCTTTATTTCCTTCTCCTGCCTAATTGCCCTGGCCAGAACTTCCAACACTATGTTGAATAGGAGTGGTGAGAGCGGGCATCCCTGTCTTGTGCCAGTTTTCAAAGGGAATGCTTCCAGTTTTTGCCCATTCAGTATGATATTGGCTGTGGGTTTGTCATAGATAGCTCTTATTATTTTGAGATACATCCCATCAATACCTAATTTATTGAGAGTTTTTAGCATGAAGGGTTGTTGAATTTTGTCAAAGGACTTTTCTGCATCTGTTGAGATAATCCTGTGGTTTTTGTCTTTGTTTCTGTTTATATGCTCGATTACGTTTATTGATTTTCGTGTATTGAACCAGCCTTGCATCCCAGGGATGAAGCCCACTTGATCATGGTGGATAAGCTTTTTGATGTGCTGCTGGATTCGGTTTGCCAGTATTTTATTGAGGATTTTTGCATCAATGTTCATCAAGGATATTGGTCTAAAATTCTCTTTTTTGGTTGTGTCTCTGCCCGGCTTTGGTATCAGGATGATGCTGGCCTCATAAAATGAGTTAGGGAGGATTCCCTCTTTTTCTATTGATTGGAAAAGTTTCAGAAGGAATGGTACCAGCTCCTCCTTGTACCTCTGGTAGAATTCGGCTATGAATCCATCTGGTCCTGGACTCTTTTTGGTTGGTAAGCTATTGATTATTGCCACAATTTCAGCTCCTGTTATTGGTCTATTCAGAGATTCAACTTCTTCCTGGTTTAGTCTTGGGAGAGTGTATGTGTCGAGGAATTTATCCATTTCTTCTAGATTTTCTAGTTTATTTGTGTAGAGGTGTTTGTAGTATTCTCTGATGGTAGTTTGTATTTCTGTGGGATCAGTGGTGATATCCCCTTTATCATTTTCTATTTCGTCTATTTGATTCTTCTCTCTTTTCTTCTTGATTAGTCTTGCTAGCAGTCTATCAATTTTGTTGATCCTTTCAAAAAACCAGCTCCTGGATTCATTAATTTTTTGAAGGGTTTTTTGTGTCTCTATTTCCTTCAGTTCTGCTCTGATTTTAGTTATTTCTTGCCTTCTGCTAGCTTTTGAATGTGTTTGCTCTTGCTTTTCTAGTTCTTTTAATTGTGATGTTAGGGTGTCAATTTTTTATCTTTCCTGCTTTCTCTTGTGGGCATTTAGTGCTATAAATTTCCCTCTACACAGTGCTTTGAATGTGTCCCAGAGATTCCGGTATGTGGTGTCTTTGTTCTCGTTGGTTTCAAAGAACATCTTTATTTCTGCCTTCATTTCGTTATGTAGCCAGTGGTCACTCAGGAGCAGGTTGTTCAGTTTCCATGTAGTTGAGCAGTTTTGAGTGAGTTTCTTAATCCTGAGTTCTAGTTTGATTGCACTGTGGTCTGACAGACAGTTTGTTCTAATTTCTGTTCTTTTACATTTGCTGAGGAGAGCTTTACTTCCAACTATGTGGTCAATTTTGGAATAGGTGTGGTGTGGTGCTGAAAAAAATGTATATTCTGTTGATTTGGGGTGGAGAGTTCTGTAGATGTCTATTAGGTCCACTTGGTGCAGAGCTGAGTTCAATTCCTGGGTATCCTTGTTAACTTTCTGTCTCGTGGATCTGTCTAATGTTGACAGTGGGGTGTTAAAGTCTCCCATTATTATTGCGTAGGAGTCTAAGTCTCTTTTAGGTCACTCAGGATTTGCTTTATGAATCTGAGTGCTCCTGTATTGGGTGCATATATATTTAGGATAGTTAGCTCTTCTTGTTGAATTGATCCCTTTACCATTATGTAATGGCCTTCTTAGTCTCTTTTGATCTTTGTTGGTTTAAAGTCTGTTTTATCAGAGACTAGGATTGCAACCCCTGCCTTTTTTTGTTTTCCATTTGCTTGGTAGATCTTCCTCCATCCCTTTATTTTGAGCCTATGTGTGTCACTGCACGTGAGGTGGGTTTCCTGAATACAGCACACTGATGGGTCTTGACTCTTTATCCAATTTGCCAGTCTGTGTGTTTTGATTGGAGCCTTTAGTCCATTTACATTTAAAGTTAATATTGTTATGTGTGAATTTGATCCTGTCATTATGATGTTAGCTGGTTATTTTGCTCATTAGTTGATGCAGTTTCTTCGTAATCTCGATGGTCTTTACATTTTGGCATGATTTTGCAGCAGCTGGTACTGGTTGTGCCTTTCCATGTTTAGTGCTTCCTTCAGGAGGTCTTTTAGGACAGGCCTGGTGGTGACAAAATCTCTCAGCATTTGCTTGTCTGTAAAGTATTTTATTTCTCCTTCACTTATGAAGCTTAGTTTGGCTGGATATGAAATTCTGGGTTGAAAATTCTTTACTTCAAGAATGTTGAATATTGGCCCCCACTCTCTTCTTGCCTGTAGAGTTTCTGCCGAGGGATCCGCTGTTAGTCTGATGGGCTTCCCTTTGTGGGTAACCCGACCTTTCTCTCTGGCTGCCCTTAACATTTTTTCCTTCATTTCAGCTTTGGTGAATCTGACAATTATGTGGCTTGGAGTTGCTCTTCTCGAGGAGTATCTTTGTGGCATTCTCTGTATTTCCTGAATCTGAATGTTGGCCTGCCTTGCTAGATTGGGAAAGTTCTCCTGGATAATATCGTACAGAGTGTTTTGCAACTTGGTTCCATTCTCCCCATCACTTTCAGGTACACCAATCAGAGGCAGATTTGGTCTTTTCACATAGTGCCATATTTCTTGGAGGCTTTGTTCGTTTCTTTTTATTCTTTTTTCTCTAAACTTCCCTTCTCGCTTCATTTCATTCATTTCATCTTCCATCACTTTTACCCTTTCTTCCAGTTGATCGCATCGGCTCCTGAGGCTTCTGCATTCTTCACGTGGTTCTCAAGCCTTGGCTTTCAGCTCCATCAGCTCCTTTAAGCACTTCTCTGTATTCGTTATTCTAGTTATACATTCGTCTAAATTTTTTTCAGTTTTCAACTTCTTTGCCTTTGGTTTGAATTTCCTCCTGTAGCTCGGAGTAGTTAGATCATCTGAAGCCTTCTTCTCTCAACTCGTCAAAGTCATTCTCTGTCCAGCTTTGTTCCATTGCTGGTGAGGAACTGCTTTCCTTTGGAGGTGGAGAGGCACTCTGCTTTTTAGAGTTGCCAGTTTTTCTGCTCTGATTTTTCCCCATCTTTGTGGTTTTATCTACTTTTGGTCTTTGATGATGGTGATGTACAGATGGGTTTTTGGTGTGGATGTCCTTTCTGTTTGTTAGTTTTTCTTCTAACAGACAGGACCCTTAGCTGCAGGTCTGTTGGAATTTGCTAGAGGTCCACTCCAGACCCTGTTTGTCTGTGTATCAGCAGCAGTGTCTGCAGAACCGCAGATTTATTTTTCAGTCTTTCACACAATTTTAACTTATCCTTGACATTTTAATATATATTTTTGGGATTTTTCAAGTTGTGATTGAAAACAGTCTAAATAGAGCTATAGAATCTGTGATTTAAACATATTTCCTAAAATAAACTTAAATAACCCAACTTGAAATTTTATATATATGATATATATTATATGTAACATATATGATATATATTATATGTAACATATATGATATATATTATATGTAACATATATGATATATAGTATATGTAACATATATGATATATATTATATGTAACATATATGATATATATTATATGTAACATATATGATATATATTATATGTAACATATATGATATATATTACATGTAACACATGATATGTTATATTATATGTAACATATATGATATGTTATATTATATGTAACATATATGATATATATTATATGTAACATATATGATATATATTATATGTAACATATATGATATATATTATATGTAACATATATGATATGTTATATTATATGTAACATATATGATATGTTATATTATATGTAACATATATGATATGTTATATTATATGTAACATATATGATATGTTATATTATATGTAACATATATGTTATGTTATATATATTTATATAGCATATATGATATATTATATATCATATATATTATATATCATATATATTATATATATTATATATCATATATTATATATTATATATCATATATTATATATCATATATTATATATTATATATCATATATATTATATATGATATATCATATATAGAACATATATAATAAATTATAATATGTTATATATATAACATATATAATATATAGAACATACATAATATATAGAACATATATAATATAACATATATAATATAACATATATAATATAACATATATAATATATATATTAAATATAATATATGTTATATATAATATATGTTATGTTATATATAACATATATATATTATATATGTTTTATATATATATGTTCAAATAGCAAAAAATAATCTGAGATGAGGAAGTTTGCTTATTCTTTTTTAAAATGTACATTGATGTGATAATAAAAGTATTTTTAAAGTATATGGATGGTATGAAAAATCATGATAGAGTGACCACCAATACCCACATTAATAAAGAGACTATTACCACTAAATTAAAACTTGATGTGTTTCCTTCTACAGTTACGTCTTGTTGTTTGTTTTTTTTTCCTAAGAAGTAGTTGCCATCTGGATTTTGTATTTTTCATTCCTTGTCTCCATGTAGTTTTACTAAATTATTTGTGAAGGTGAACAATATCTTATGCTATGTGTCTTGCTTATCTTTAGTCAATATTATGCCTGTGTTATTATGTGTATAAACATTCATTTATTACTATTTATTTCTGTTTAATACACTTTATGATTTAGAGCAGTTTTAGATTTATGGCAAAGTTGAGGAAGGTACAGATATTTTTCATATACTGCTTTCCACTACACATGCATATCCTCCTTGCTTATCACTCTTTGCCACAGTGGTACATTTTAATTGTTTTATAGTATTTCAGTATATGACTATATGACAATTATTTATATATCATACTGATAATGATTATTAGCATTTGCAGTTTTGGTTTGTTCTGTTTATTCTCCAGTTACAGCATTGCTATAAATATTTTTGTACAACTATCTTACTATACATGCTTGTCTTCTAGGGGTTTTGGTTTTAGATGACAAGTGTGTCTTTGCCTAGCTCACTGGGTGCCCAAGACTGACTAATCTTAGCATGATGTCTCTCACTTTTTATCTAATTATAAAGAAATGTTGAAATTTCTCTTTACCATTTTTAAAAGTCCCACACCTTCTATGCAATCCACTATAGTACTTCTTGGGTAGGCAGGAGGTTTCCAGTACTATGGGGGCTGGAGATGGAGGAAGTGAATGACAACTTTACACCATCATGTAACTTAACATCTTATTAGGAATTCCTATCTCTCACTAAAAGACAGACCTGAAATTATAGAAAAAAATAGTAAAACTGAAAAAAGCTAACGGCCTAAACTCCTAATTATTAGGTAAGTTATTTAATAAAATAATTAAAACCTGTGGGCTCAAAATGACTACAGATAAAACTTCTGAAAATTCTATGTCCATGTAGACAACAAGGTGATGTAAAATAAAATGTCATTTTTATAGTCTTCTTTTCCCTGTATTTTAACTTTAAAAGTAAATATCACTGATTAACCTGTAACTTTTGCATTTAATCCACAAAATTTTTACTGAACGAAAAAGTAATTTACAAGAACATTGAATAAAAAAGTCATATTGATAATAATGTTTGCAAATCCATTTTTTTCTTTAATTGATCTTCTAAATGCTAAGAGAGATTTTCATCAAGATTGCTTGATTATCCATTTTTCCCTCATAATTAAAAATTTAAAAATTGGGAGTCTTCTTTTCTTGGTTTGATTGTAAATTTAATTTGAGGTCTGATAATACTGCCATAGTTCCAATGCCAAGCAAATTTTTCAAATGTTTCACTGCATTTCAGCATATATTTGCTATATGATTGCCAGATTCAGCAGCACAACACAAAACAAAAACAAAAACAAAACAAGATGCCCATATTAAATTTGAATATCAGATAAGCAATAAATAATGTTTAAATGAAAGTATGTCCAAAATTATTTGTTCTTTATCTGAAAATCAAATTTAACTGGAAATCTTGAATTTTATTGGTAAATCCTCTAGTGAAATGAAGTTGAATGGAGGGGAAAAAAAAGTGTAGCTTTGGGAAGGAAATAGTGGCCACCAGAGGGCAAGCTAAAAAGATGATTGTCTGTGGGTGGAAAATTGAAGGTTGTAGGGCATCTGGGTTAGATTTGACAGAACAGGGGAAAATACCTGACAGGATTAAAATGCTTATGCTGTCAACTTGATACTTTTTCTTGGAAATTTGGGACAATGTATGTCACAAACATATACCCCTCTAACTGTAGTCTTAGACTTTCTGGTCAGCATAGCATAGTCCCAGTCTGTCTGAAAAATTCAGATAGAATAGAAAGTCATATACTTATTGAGTTTGGACCAAATGGATTTTACAGTTCTAGAACTCTAAAATAAGAGAGAATCACCATTATAAATAGATAAGAAGAGGACCATGTATTTTGCCTATGTTTATAGGCAGGAGTTACTACTTTTTTCAAAATTATGTTTTACCCTTCCTTCTATTCCCCTTCTTTCTCTTTGGGCTATAACTGGTGCCTGAAATCCTATTAACTTGGCTTAAATTTTTGATCATTATTAAAATGTCAGTACCTTAAGGTGCTCGAATTTGTTCAAGGCAATGGTGAGCCAAGTTGGTGGGTTATTACAGTGAAATTCAACCCTCGCTACAGGTTTGAATTCTCTGGCCACTATTTATAAAAATGACTATGTCCTGAATCCATGTTCAGAGACTTAATTCAGTTTTTCTAAATAGTGCCAAACATCAAATATTTTTTTAAAGTTCAGCAGGTAATTTTTATACGTAGTCAGGATTGAGTATTAGTTTGTCACAGCATTGGATGGAGTACTTGTGGGCATCAGAGTAAAAGCATCAGACTAAAATTCTTTGGTGGTGTCAAAAGACTGAGTATGATTGAGCTAAGCAGTTCTCCAGACAAATACACACAAAAAAACAAGTTTGGTTGAAGTTTTTGGTATCCCAACAGGGAGATCCCTAGTGTTTTCTGCTCTAGAAAGGATTTATCTTAATTAAAGTTGTTCTTTGCCTTGGATAGATCTTTACCACACCTGGTAGCACACTCTTGAGAGGATAAATCCTTCGTTCCATTCCAAATGTCTTTAGAAAGATCCGTTTTCTAATGAGCCAGCTGACAACTCATCCATTCACATATTTTTGCGTACAACTTTCACATGGATTTAAGACTCAAAGTGGACGTTGTCAGTTTATTCTCTATAAGTTTAATTTCCTAGGGAACATGTGTTCTATTTTATTGAATGAATCCTTAGTGGATAAGGAGAAGGATTTTGAGGCGATTTTAACACGGATTAGTGGAGGGGAGGAGTGAAGGCTTTTACTTAAAAATTACAAGTAATTTGTCATGGTGTTAGGGAATTTGACTTGTTAGACCCTATCTCATGGAGAATCACATCATTTTATTATGTTTTTAAAAATACTAAACCAACCTGCATCTCTAGGATAAGTACAGCTTCATCATTATACATGATTTTATATATACATATGTGTGTGATATGTATTTTATATATACATATGTATACATATATATATATATATAGAGAGAGAGACAGAGCTATGTTGCTTTTTGGACAAATTAAAGAAGGTACTACTCTGCATATACATAAGGAGCAATGAGGACATGAAATTCATCATAAGATGTGGGAAATACACATATAAATCTTTATTAAAATTTTTTTTGATAAACTAAGGAATTTCAAGTTTAAACTAATGGGGATTAAATCTTGTAGTGTGCCCTGACACAAATATTAGAAAGGCATATGTGATCAGATACAACACATTATTTTGCTTAGTAAATTTTATCTTATTATAAAGGCAAAAGTATTAAATATATAAAATAAAAAATACAAAAATCTATAAAGAAATTAAATTTGCTCAAAATCACAAAATCTGTCATAATCACAGTAAACATTCTGCATCACATTTAGTCTATTTTTATCCATCTTAATGTAATTGGGGTATTCCTGTATAGTTTGTGTATAATTTCATAACATAGTTTTTCTTTGTATATTTTAGTGATTTTTCCATGAAATTTAAAACTCTGAAAATATACTGTTATATCAAATATTATCCCTTCAAATTAGCTCTGTTGTTAGGCATTTAGAATATTTCTAGGTTTTCACTATTATAAATGACTGTGTGTTGAATACCTCTATATCAGTATTACCTTTTATATAACTTTTGAAAGAAACCTGACCACATTTTAATCATGAGACCATATTTATGTATTTGCTACTGAAAGTATGGTCTGTAGAAAATAGCTACAGCATTCCTTGGAAGCCAGTAAGGAATATGGACTCTATGATTTCTTTCACCAGTGTTTTATAGTTTTACTTGCAGAGATTTTTCACCTCCTTGGCTAAATATATTCCTAAGTATTTTATTTTATTTTTTTGTAGCTTTTGTAAAAGGGATTGAATTCTTAATTTGATTCTCAGCTCGGTCATTGTTGGTATATAACAGTGCTACTAATTTGTGTACACTATTTTGTATGCTGAAACTTTACTGAATTCATTTATCAGATCTGGGAGCTTCCTGGATGAGTCTTTAGGGTTTTCTAGGTATATGATCATATTGGCTAGAAGCAACAGTTTAACTTTCTCCTTTCTGATTTGCATGCCCTGTATTTTTTGCTTCTCTCTGATTGCTCTGGCTAGGACTTCTAGTACTGTGTTGAATAGAAGTGGTGAAAGTGGACATCCTTGGCTTGTTCCAATTATCAGGGGGAATGCTTTCACCTTTTTCCAGTTCAGTTTGATGTTGGCTCTGGGTTTGTCTTAGATGGCTTTTATTACTTTGAGGTATGTCCCTTCTATGCCAATTTTTCTGAGGGTTATCGTAAATGGGTGCTGGATTTTATGAAATGCTTTTTCTGCATCTGTTGAGATGATCATGCAATTTTTGTTTTTAATTCTGTTTATATGATGTATCACATTTATTAATTTGTGTATGTTAAACCATCCCTATATTCCTGGTATGAAACTCACTTGATAATGATGTATTATCTTTTGGATATGCTGTTGGATTTGGTTAGCTAGTACTTTGTTGAGGATTTTTGTATCTATGGTCATCAGGGATATTGGTCTGTAGTTTTCTTTTTTTGTTATGTCCTTTCCTGGTTTTGGTATTAGGGTGATACTGGCTTCATAGAATGATTTAGAGAGGATTTCCTTTCTCTATCTTTTGGAATAATTTCAGTAGGAAGTATACCAATTCTTCTTTAAATGTCTGATAGAATTCAGCTGTGAATCCATCTGGTCCTGGACTTTTTTTGTTGGCAATTTTTTTATTATTATTTCAATCTTGCTACTTGTTATTAGCCAGTAAAGAGTTTCCAATTTTTCCTGATTTAATCTATAAGGTTATATATTACCAAAAATTTATCCAACTCCTCTAGATTTTCTAGTTTGTGTGTATAAAGATGTTCATAGTAGCCTTGAATGATCTTTTGTATTTCTGTGGTATTGGTTATAATATCTCTTGTTTCATTTTTAATTGAGTTTATTTGGATCTTCTCTCTTCTTTTCTTGGTTAATCTCACTAATGGTCTATCAATCTTCTTTATCTTTTCAAACAACGCACTTTTTGTTTCATTTATCTTTTTTTTTGTTTGTTTCCATTTCATTTAGTTCTGCTCTGATCTTTGTTATTTCTTCTTTTCTGCTGGGTTTGGGTTTGGTTTGTTCTTGTTTCTCCAGTTCCTTGAGGTGTGACCTAAGATGTCTATTTGTGCTCTTTCAGACTTTTTGATGTAGGCATTTAAAGCTATGAACTTTCCTCTTAGCACCACTTTTGCTGTATCCCATCCCATGTTCATGGATGGGTAGAATCAATATTGTGAAAATGACCATACTGCCAAAAGCAATATACAGATTCAATGCAGTCCTCACCAAAATACCATCATCATTCTTCGCAAAAACAGAAAAAAAATAAAAAAATTCATACAGAACCAAAATAGAGCCTACATAGCCAAAGCAATACTAAGCAAAAAGAACAAATATGGAGGCATCACATTACATGACTTCAAACTATACTACAAGGCTATAGTTACCAAAACAGCATGGTACTGAAATAAAAATAAGCATGTAATCCAATGGAACAGAATAGAGAAACCATATATAGAGCCAAATACTTATAGCCAACTGATCTTTCACAAAGCATACAAAAATATAAAGTGAGGAAAGGACACCCTATTCAACAAATGGTGTTTTAATAATTGACAAGCTACATGTAGAAGAATGAAACTGGATTTGCATCTCTCACCTTGTACAAAAATCAACTCAAGGTGGATCAAAGACTTAAATCTATGACCTGAAACCATCCAAACTGTAGAAGATAACATTGGAAAACCTCTTCTAATCATTATCTTAGGCAAATAATTCGTAACCAAGAAACTAGAAGCAAATGCAACAAAAACAATGATGAAGAGATGGACCTAATGAAACTAAAAAGCTTAAGCACAGCAAAAGAAATAATCATCAAAGTAAACAGACAACCCACAGATTGGGAGTAAATATTCACAAAGTATGCATCTGAAAAAGGACTAATATCCAGAATCTACAAGGAACTCAAACAAATCAGCAAAAAAGAAAACAAATAATTCCATCAAAAAGTGGGCAAAGGATGTGAATAGACAGCTCTTAAAAGATGTACAAATGGCCAACAAACGTATGAAAAAAAATGCCTAACATCACTAATTATCAGGGAAATGCAAATTAAAGCCACAATGCAATACCAGCTTATTCCTACAAGAATGGCCACAATTAAAAAATTCTTTTAAAAAAGATATTGGCATGGATGTAGTGAAACGGAAACACTTTTATACAGCTGGTGGGAATGTAAACTAGTATAACCACTATGGATAACAGTGTGGAGATTCCTTAAAGAACTAAAAGAACTACCATTTGATCAGCAATCCCACTACTGGGTAACTACCTAAAGGAAAAAAAGTTATACAAGAAAGACACTTGCACACTCATGTTTGTAGCAGCACAGTTCACAATTAAAAAATTATAGAATCAACCTAAATGCCTATCAACCGATGAGTGAATAAGGAATTTGTGATATATATATAATATATGTATACCATGGAATACTACTCAACCATAAAAAGGAATGAAATCACAGCATTTGCAACACCGTGCATGGAGTTGAAGACTATTATTCTAAGTGAAGTAACTTAGGAATTAAAAACCAAATACTGTATACTCTTACTTATAAATGGGAGCTCAGTTAATGAGGATGCAAATCATAAGAATGATATAATGGACTTTGGGGACTTGCAGGGCAGGGTGGAATGAGGGGATGAGAGATAAAAGGGTACACATTGGTTACAGTGTACACTGCTCAGGTGACATGTGCACCTAAATCTCAGATATCACCACTAATGAACTTATCTATGTAACCAAAAACCACCTGTTCCCCAAAAACTTTTGAAATGAAATTTTAGAAATAGTTTGTGATAAAGAATCTCAGGCCCAGTGCAGACCCACTGAATCAGAATCTATATTTTAATAAGATGGCCCAGTGATTCCTGTGCATATTCAAGTTGGAGATCCATCTTACAATCTATTACGTTCAGGCAAGCATGATTGGCTCGCCAAGGGGACTCTCAGTTTCCTGATTAGTTGTCAGGAAGCCACTCCCAGCCACACTTCTAGTCCTACTTCAGCTTTACATTCTAGCTCTTTGTAAACAAGTATTTCTCAATTTTGTTTATACATTAAAATTACCTGGAAAGTTAAAAAAAAAAACACACTGAGGTTTGGGCTCACATTCAGACCTTTTAAATCACAATCTTTTGAGAAAGGGAAACTTTTTAAAAAGCTCCCCAGGTGATTCTAATGATCAGCCAAGGTTGATAATCATTGTTGTAGATGAACAAAGTGAAGAAAATAGATGACAAATGATTCTTTCTTGTCAAGCTGCTAAAATCTGTAACATTCAATGCCATCAGAACAAAATTTGTGGAGCTGCACAGAAAGGAAGTGAAGGGAGGGAATGTGGTTTATCTGGTGAGTGTTTGGAGATTGAAGGAATTACTTTAACTGAATTTCCCATAAAGCTATCATATTCCAAAGGACTCAAGGCCTAGTTTAAAAGCCCAAACAATCAAATGATTGCATATGTGCTTTGTTTTATAAGTGAAAGGCAATCAGGTTGAAGGGACTGTTGCCATTTAAGGCAGCTTTTCCGAAGTAGGTTGAGTGTAAGAAATACAATCGCATGAATGTTGTCTTTTTTCTGGAAATAACTTCTACATAACTAATTTTACTTGAAATGATTGACATTTCAAGGTCTTTAGTATTTATCAGATTATTTGGAAGCCAAAATATATCTTGGTAATTCCAATTTAATTACACATTATGAAATAAAGCAATTGGATGCATCATTGTGTCTCAAGCCATGAAATTTTCAACACCATTGTTTTCTTTTTAATAGGATTTGAAACTTCGGTGTTGGCAATTCCCTCAATTTATGTTTTCTTTGGCCTCTGCTCACATTAAGGCTGTGCAAAATACTTAAAGTGTTGTCATGTTCCTTTTAATAGAAAAATATGTTTGCTTTTTAGCTATAGCAAGATTGAGAAGAATTTAATGTATTAATCTCAATACTATTATCAATATGATATCGTTTAATTTTACTCACAATTATCAATACCTTATTTTATTTACTTAATTACTCAATTGCAAACTGTAATCCACAAACTAATCTCATGCTTGAATAGCATTTGTTGACTTTTTTTTTTCAAATAACAAAATATATATTCAACCTGTGACCTTCCTCTTTTCCATAGTTTCATACATTTAGGATATCTTTATTAACAAACTATGTTGATAGTATACATTTCTTCTTGGATTATCATAAAAATGAGTATCTTACCTTCCACCTCCCTTTATTTTAGGTTCTAGATCCATGAAATGCTATATTTAGTCTTTTTTCAAGTAACTAATTGAACCTTTTAAAAACTTGCAAGGAAATTCAAAAATTATTACTAATTAAAGAGCCCCTAATGTAGATTGGATGTATGTACTTTCTTCACAAGGATGAGCCTTATAAATCACTAATAAGATTTTAATGCAGAATATTCTTCTGTTCCACCCCCCAGAGGTCTGTGGTCAATGATAAAAACAACAATAATATTTTCCACTTTTTTTTTTTTTTTTGAGACGGAGTCTCGCTCTGTCTCCCAGGCTGGAGTGCAGTGGCGTGATCTCTGCTTACTGCAAGCTCCGCCTCCGGGGTTCACACCATTCTCCTGCCTCAGCCTCCCGAGTAGCTGGGACTACAGGCACCCGCCACCACGCCCAGCTAATTTTTTGTATTTTTAGTAGAGACGGGGTTTCACTGTGTTAGCCAGGATGGTCTCGATCTCCTGACCTCATGATCTTCCCGCCTCAGCCTCCCAAAGTGCCAGGATTACAGGCGTGAGCCACCACGCCTGGCCTCCACTTTTTTTTTTTTAAGTCCTTGTTTTCAAATAACTTTTTGATTTGGGCCAATCTTTGCAAAAGTTTTATATATATATATATGTACACACACACACATATATATATACACCAGTGTTAAATCAAATGAAGAGTTTTACTTTCACTTCCTAAAGGGCCTTCATAAACCACTCTGATTCTCTTTAAAATCAGCAAGGAATGCAATTAACTACTTTGACACTGTTTTTTTTTGCCCTAATCTGAGACTTTGTCAACCCAGCCTCACAAGGTGTTTTATTTTGTTCTCTAAAACTGTTGAGAAGAAGGTATTATCCTTCTTCTTCATTATAAATAAATGATAAGTAAACAAATAATTGTTTAGAAGTGTGCAGAGAAATGTCATTTTTACCTTCTTTCTGAAGCCCTCTCTTTAAATTTCTATCAGGTTCTACAAAACCCCATGGAACTTAATTGAGTACTGTGTTGTTCAGGTTTTATTCTTTTAAATGTGTTATTTGTTCTTTCATAGGTTTTAGTCCATTTCAGCTGTTATAACAAAATACCATAAACTTGGTGGCTTATAAACAACAGACATTTATTTTTTATAGCTCTGGAGCCTGGGAAGTCCAAGATCAAGGCACAGGCAAAATTGGTGTTTGGTGAGACTTCACTTTCTGCTTCAAACAAGACATCTTATCATTGTATCCTCACATGACCAAAGAGGAGAACAAGCTCCTTCGAGCCTCTTTTATAAGGGCAGTAATCCCACTCTTGAGGGCTCTGCCCTCATGATTTAATCACCCCCAAAGGCCCCACCTTCTAATTCCATCACCTTGGGAATTAGGATTTCAACATATGAATTTTGAGGGAACACACACATTCAGACCATAGGAAGGTCAAGTGCCAACCTGTCTTCTTTGTTTATTAACAACATTTTAGGAAGATAGGGAAAGGTCAAAGGATCCTCTTGGATTACCAGAAATTTTCTGTAGATTTGCCAGGATTAGAATCCATAGCTCTTTCCAAGAAAAGATAATCTTTGTTTTGAGCAATTGTAAAAATGTTCTTGACCTTTATCTTTATAAGCAATACTATGGGCATTAAAAAATTCTTCTAAATTGTGATAAAATTACAAAATAAATTCTGTGAGATGGCAAAAATAATTAGATAATCCAACTGAACCAATATTATCCAAGACAAACAGTTGTGATCAGAATAATTTTAGCCTTGACTAAGAAAACGGAGCCATTTTAAAAGAAGAATTTCATGGGTTTCTAAGGCAATTTTGGTTCATAACTTTATTTTAGTGAACAGTTCTATGCTTTAAAAGCAAACAGCTGTACAAACTAAAGTTGAAGATCTGTATATTTCCATGTCTAAATACTTGATTCCTTTCTCTATTTCTTTATTTTAATGCTAGTGTTTAATCTACTGCATCCCTTTGTTTGTTACAAAGTTAGCCTCGTGAGACCAGTGGAATAAACATCAAAATGTGTTTTTCATTTTCCCCCAACTACGATTTTTATTGTTTTCCTCCCTACATTTTAATTTTATTCTTAGTCTTCACAAAAAAAGGAACAATAATACCAGATGGCATAAGTCTGATGCCATTCTCTGCTTCTTTATGTAAAGTCAGGTGGTTGGAAATGTAAGTCATTCATGCTGGAGATGACATGGAGCTCCACAGATAGGGAAGCCACAGGCAAGTTTATAAAGTAGGTGAATTAGTCTTTGATTTTCTGCTGCTTTTGATAATGGCAGCTCCTTCTTTTGGAGTCATAGGAGTTGTAAACAAGCTTTACAGGAGTTCTCCTATGGTATTCCTTTAAGGTGTTAACTGATAATTAGGATGGTAGCTACTATTAAGGGTTGGTTATTAATGGAGTTCATTTAGAATCCATTGTCTATAGATGGCTGGATGGGAGCCTAAATCACTGGGAGCAGACAAGGCCACACTCATACAGTGAACACTTAGAGAGGATGGAGTTAACTTGCATTCCCAATTATGAAATACAGTGTATTTTCCTTCATGGAGCCTTGCCACAGTAAAGCAATCTATGAATGAAAACTTCCTCCAACAAATGAAACATGCTAGGAATTTTGAGTTTCCTAAGGTTTAGGGGATTTTTCGTAGAGATGGAATAACTATTCGACCCTGTAATTCACTGCCTAGAGAGTGGAATGTGGAAGTTTTGGTGTTAAAAACTAGACAAATGTACAGATCAGAAAAACTAATATTTTGAATTTGGGTTATTAATATTACATATACATAATAAATTATCTTGTTGCTTGTTGTACCAATAGTAGCCAATTTTACCCTAATTATAATTTGTATTACTGCAATCTAAACCATGTATTATTACAATCTAATATTTTTGAACCTATTCTCATATTTGTCTGAAGTTGAGGTGTTAAAATGTTATTTTTAACTTTTAATATTGAAAAATTATTAAGGATAAAATAGCATTAGTGTAGGATAATAAAAATTCTTGGTTAGCTCCACTATGATATCAAAATATAACCATATCAGCTTAGATTATTGTCTGTTATGGTCTTACAGATGTTTAGAAATGGAACCAATCTTACAGACAAATGAGCTACAGACCTAATCTGGAAGTGTTATTCAGAACAATCCCTGCTGCAATGGCTGCTATGAGAAAAGCTACAGATCTAGTGTAAAATATGAGGGCAAAGCAGAATCTCAGAATGCAGCCCTGGAATTAAGCCAGAAGCACGCTTTAATCAAGCCAGGAAAAAGCACCTAAAAACCCAGTCATGAACAGGGCTAGTCCAGAGTGTGCAATGAAAAGAGAGCATCAAATCTAAGAGGGACAGAGATATGTGTACATCCTGCCTTTCTTGGACCTAGAAGGGGATTTGGTTGCCAAAGGACCAAAAGGGCCCCATGAGGCAGATTTACTTATGCTTTGGCTACAGAGCATGATCTCTACACAGTGGGTAATAGGGAGGCTGTATAGCTGGGCTGTGACTTCAAGTGACTCTGAATGACTTAATAATTCAAGTCTTTCTGTCCTAGTAGCAGTCTCCTGTGCTGTTTGTGGCCACATTGTGTGCTAGGTAGTAAGTGTTTTAGTGAGAAACAGAATAGGAAATATATGGTAACGAGAGGAAGACAGTACAATGTGCTACTTACAAAGATTGGAGACAGACTTTCCAGGTTCAAATCTTGACACCATTCATTGGTTAATTTTGTGATTTGGGGACAAATCACTTTGCCTATATGAAGCTTGGATTTTCTCATCTGTGTTATGAAGGTATTAACAGCACCAAACTTACAAGGTTGTTATGAGAATGAAATAAGCATGTCCATGTGTGAGCATTTAACTTGCAGCACCATGTGTGTCAAACCCTCATTGTTATTAAAGAAAGGCTTCTGGAATTGTCAGATGAAAAAAATCACTCTAGTAAATAGAAATGTTGTAATCTACCACTTCTTTTTTTTCTTCATACACATCTTCCATAATAAAAGAAAAGGGCAAAGAAGTAAACAGGAGTAGTTAGATTGCTAAAGCAATTATTCTCAAGCACAAAGTTAGTATGTCTGAATAAATGGCTTCTGAAAAGAAGAGACTAAAATGCTACTTTAAGGTAGGAGTAACAATTGGCAATTTTGTGTTGCCACATAAGCAGCTCATAATTATATGACTAATCTGAGAGAGACAAGATGAAAAATGTGAACGGTGTAAGAATATGTGACTAGTTGGAGGGCCACTTTTCTAAAGAGATAAAACCGTTTGTATCTGCTACGGGAATAAGTATAATAATAAGGATATTGGGCACAGAGCTTGGTGCATTTTAGTTGCTCAGCCAATGTTAGGTCCATGCAGTCCCCCACAAAATGGTCTCTAGGGCCTTCCAACATGAGCAGCCAGAGGCTGTTTCTGACCATTGACCTGCCCAAGACTCAGTGTGCCCAAGAGAAGCTCAGGGTCATAAGAGGTAACATTTCTAGGGATGTGCCACAGCATTATTTTCTCCCTTTCCAAACATCCCATTTAGATGGTAAAAGGTAGAAAAATATTAATAGCATCTGACCAGGTTGTCCCAGCAGTTAAATTGGCATGCATTTTTCTTTTTAGAATGATCAGAAGAGTCCTTTAGTACCGATGAGAAATTATGATGAATTATGTAACAACATAACAGAAAAAAACATTTACCAGAATGCTCCTCAGGTTCAGTGTACAAGAAGGGTTTAAAGCAGTGGTGTCCAATCTTTTGGCTTCCCTCACCCACATTGGAAGAACAATTGTCTTGGGCCACACATAAAATACACTAACACTAACGATAGCTGATAAGCCAAAAAAAAAAAAAAAAAAAAAAAGATTGCAAAAAGACATTGTGGGAAAAAAATGAAGAATGTTTACAAATTTGTGTTGGGTCACATTCAAAGGCATTCTGGGCCACATGCAGCCCACTGGCTGTGGGTTGGACAAGCTTGGTTTAAAGAATAGTGAGACTACTGCCACATTTCTCATACATGTTCCAATAGGAGTAGATTGAACTGTCTTCTAGAGGTAGCAGAGTAATTAAGTAATTAAGTTCATAGTAGTTATGAACTGTCTTCAAGAGGTAGAAGAATAATTAAGTGCAAGGCCTTTACTGCAGTGAGGAGAATCAGGAATAATTAAGAGGTAGAATTGCTCAACCCAATGGATGACCACAATGTGGGGAAAACATAGAGTAGGGCAGCAGGTGTCATTGCAAAAGGTGGAGAAGGTGGCAGAACTGACATGTCTGAGGATATGTGAGGAAGGAGGTAAAATTAATCTTAATCTGTTAATCTCTTTCTACTGCCAAACCATGAAAAATAACAATAAAAAGTATTTGGTTGAGTTCAGTCATTCAAAACTGTCTGCTATTGCCCAAAGATACTTGGTTCTTTCTCTGGAATGATCTATCCCTCTTTTCACACCTAGCACATTCCTACTCATTTTTGAGTCACATCCTTTAGGAAACTTCCATAAACTGCACTCCTAATGTATGTTTGGCTGCTCTCTCCTCTGTAATGCATTGTGTCTTGGTCAGGCATTGATGCAATGTTTGTCTCAATGTGTCCTCGATGTGTCTCAATGTGTCTCAATGTGTCCTTTTTTGTACCACCTCCCTTCACCAGCACAATACCTGGCATCAATGCAGGGCTCCACACGTAATTATTGAAATGATGAGGAATTACAAAAAATATTTTATGCTGTTTGTGAGATGCCCAACTGATTTAATTCACTAAATCTTCTTCAATTTGGGTTATACCAGTTGGCTTGGGTTTGTTATCTCTCTCCTTCGTTTTTCCCAGTATTTTGGAAGAACTGTTTTTTGGAGGGAGAGGAAGCTATCCCTTCCATTCTCTCTACCTTGTTTCATTCCTTCATCTCTTGCTCTCTTCCTTTCAACTTCTTTACTTTCCGTTCCTTTCTCTTTCCCTTCCTTCTTTCCTTCTTCAAAGAGTATATCAGTTTCCACAATGTGTCAGGCATTGTACTAAGCATAGAAAATAGAAGTGTGCCAGATTCCACCCTTGCCTACAAGAAGATAATATTTTAGTTAGAATGAAAAAAAAATCAAGCACACAAATTTGGGTTCTCTGCTGGGGACAGGCTAGAGTAAGCTGTTGGATCACATAAGGCAGATGCAGAGGGAATCCAGGGAAGACTTTGTAGAGGGGATGATGATTGAAGTTTTGAAGACAGTATAAAAGTCACCAGGCAACAAAAGGCAGATAAAGATAGGACAGCTAGAAGGAACACCACTTACAAAGGTAGAAGGGCATAAAAGAACATGTCTCATTCAGGGAAATAAAAAAATTACTGGTGTGACTGGAGTGAAAAGTACAAGTTGCCCATCGAGAGAGACGAAGAAGAGAAGTACAGGAGATACATTCTCAAAGACCTTTTGTACTAGTGAATCTACCGGCCCTTCATCCAAAATGTTGTAAGGAATTGCTTAAAGATTTTAGGCATGAGACAGACATAGTTAATATCTGAATGACAAAAGAGCACTTTGCCTGCTAGATGAATATGAAATGGAAAGGCAGGAGATTAGGAGTAGGGAGACCAGTTAGGAGATTCATTCCTATCCCCTCTGGCACCCCATAGCTGTGGGTATCTCTTCACGTTTCAGAGGTTGTAGTCATTGGGTAACTGAAGTTTTCTTATTCTCAGCCCTTTTAATGTCCTGTAATTCTCATGGAACAGAGGATAAGCTTCCTTAAATGTCATACTGTGACTTCATGCTAAGAACAAAATTCATTATTTTCTCCCACTCTCAGACTTCTCTGAGTTTGTAATTCTTCATGTAGTTCCGCAACATGCAGACTTTTGGGTGTACAAATTAATATCTTCATTAATTCACTTCCCTCTTCCTCTATGAAAGTCAGTCCAAATCTAACTGATTCTTTCATTAGACCCCTGCTCTTCCTCTAGTCTACAACTATTATCATGTTTCTACCCGGTGCGTCAAACTCATGACACTAGGCAGGATGTATCCAAATAAAACAGAGCACACATTTTGATTCCCAATTGCACTGCAACTTGATGGCTATAGCCACTTAGCTGGTTTCACATATCTTAGTCCTGTCCCTTCATTCAGTTCTACACAAAGGGTATGAGTCATCCTCTGTAAGCACTGTTTTGATCATCTCTCTCCCTCTCTGAACCCTGCAGGATCTCTGAGTTTCTGCTTACGTCAAATCAAAACTGATATGAGTCACTCGTTATCTAAGTGTCCTCCACTTTCATCATAGCCTGATTGTTCTCTCTGCTTAATTCAAGCTGGCTGGCTCCTTGTTCAGGCACACATATTCTGTCTCACTTCTCCAGGGTATCTGCAGAGACTGCTGCCCACCTGGCATGTTTCTGCTCCTCTCTGCTGTGCCAGTCTCCTTGCTGTTTGCTTTGGGGCCCAGCACAATCTTTGTCACTCCATGAGTGGCTTTTCACCTCTGCACATATTCGTCTCCATCATTTCAGTAAATCTCACCCTGCTACCTTGCTCTATCTTTACATGCGTCCACTGAGTACTTTTATTCATTCATGTATTCATTTGTTGATGTACGCATTTGTTTATTCATATACTCAACACATTCTTATAAGGTCTTTAATGAGACTGGCTGTGGCAATAAACTGGGGATACTGTTGTGAACATCTGAATAATGCCCTACCACAAAGGAACTTACTGTTTAGTGCAGGAGACAGATACCAAAACATTATCACAAGATTATGATAACCACGAAAGCAATGATTATTATAAAGAAAAGTAAAAAGCGCAAGGAGACTTTAACAGGAAACCTGGTTTAACTGAGCAGAGCTGGGAAGACTATTTTGAGAATGTAGCAAAAGATGAATAGAATTTAATCACTTGAAGAGTTAGGAAAAGAGTTTGCTGACTAGGCAAGAGCAAGTGCAAAGTCCCTGAAGTAGGAATGGGATTGGAATAGTCGACGGAGTGTGAGGGGTCTGAGTGACTGCAGTACAAGTGATGGAAGAACTTCATGCTCAGGTATGCCACTCACGATTTTATGGGTCATGATGTGCTTGTCACCTGCACACAAGCCCCATATAACAGACCATTCAAAGTCCCGCATCTTCAGTATCCAGATCAGTGTTTTCCAGTCTTCCTTGATGATAAGAATCCTCGGGACACTTGTGAAAATTCAGTTTCCCAGGGTCTTTTCTTGAAAACTGTGGTGCAGTGGGGCCATGGTAGGGCTCTGAAATGTGTAATTTTAAAAAATTGAGGTTTTTAAAATTTTATTTTATTTTTTTGGAATTTATTAATTTATACAATGTTTGGATAATTCTGAACTGATATGAAGAACAACAAATGGCAATCTATACAGTAGAATTCCCTAAACTCCCACATGTTTTGTTTTTGTTCAAACCAAACATTGCAGGCTGGTGTGCATATTAACCTGTCTTTGAATGTTGATTACATAAATCTTTGCTTACTCCCCAATTTGACCATAAAGCAATGAATCTCAACTCTGACTTATTGTCACAATTTCTACCCTTACTCCAAGACTCTCGGGTTATAGCCTGGGCATCTGTTGCTTTTAAAAGCTTCCAAGCTAACCTTGATCCTCAGCCAGGATTGCCAGTCACAACTCTTGAATGTTTGTGGAAGGAGGCAGTATGTCTTACTCTCTTTGCTGCGCTCTTAGTGCCTACTCTCTGTCCTTCAGCTAGAGTAGGTTCAGTAATTTGGTCAAGCAACTGACTCACCCTCCCTCCCTGCAGTATGATCATGTACTTGTAAAACACATGCAATCAATTATGTCCACCTCTGCACTCTGAGTAAGGACTGTCCCCGGAAACACAAGTGCAGAAACTGTCCTGTCACTGACAGAGCAATGTGCCATCCAGTGGCAGTGATCTGAAAACCCAGCTTCTGATTCTTTTATTGATATACATTTGTTTGAATGATATACATTTGTTCACATCTCAACAACCTTTTTTTAAAGGGTAAGTGTAATTTTAGTGTCTTTCCTAAAAATAGCAAGAGGTTAGTAGTTTATCAAGGAAACTTCAAAAAAAAGGTACAATGTGTTCACTATATTTTTTTAAAATACAAAAAGTTAGAAAAAGGGAGGAAGACATATATCATCTGTTAGTTCATGGCTGAAAATGACCCCTATTAATTGTAGCAGTTTAGGGCAGTAAGACATAGTACTGGACTGAATTAACGGTGATCGTCCCCAGAAAAAAGGCCAGAACAGAAAGAATATGGTAGATTCAGGACCAGGCAATGGTCACAATGACCAAGCAAGTGAGAACAACTGGGGGTCAACAAATTTGCAAAGAAAAGCTATGGGAATCTAAGAGTCTGTGATAGTCAGAGATCCTTGGGTACAGAAAGGCAGTTGGTACTATAAAAACCGTGATTCATGTAACAGGATCTAAATTGCTGAGCTGCACAAAGGGAAAAACACAACTCTATTCTAACTCTGTTCCAGTGGTTTGGAGCACTAGTCAGGTTATAGTAGGAAAGTAATCAAAAAAGTGACTCTGACCATGGAATAAGACAGGTTCATGTTACCATTGAGACCCAACTTGCAGGAGCCAGTTCAGAAGGCCAAAATTAAGATTCACAATTTACTTATTTTACAAATGGCAAGTGTTTATGCATTAATACCCAGAGTAACTTGATGCTGGTCCCAGTGTTTTGGACTTGAGTCCCCTAAATTTCTCCTGCTCAAATTAAGTATCATATTTCTAAGCTGAAAGTGAACATCTGAGCATGTGTTTTGACGGTCAATGTCTTTTGCTGCAGGAAAAGATACATATGTAGGCAGGAACGAAAAGAATGGTTACAAAAGATAGGATGAGTTTTTGAAATCTTATTTGCTATTTTGCAGCTATTTCTAACTTCTTAACTATAATTTTCTATTTTTGATTTGTTCCAGAAAGCATCACCTTCTCTTGTCAGGAACAGGGACTGACTGTTCCTCATATATGCCCTGTATTTTTCCACCTTAAAACTTTTGATTAAGTAGCTCTCTCCACCCAGAATGTCCTCCTCATTTTCATAAGTTCGAATTCTAGTTCTTTTCTGAGACTTAGCTTTTATCCTCCCATCTATAAATGTATTTCTGTTGCCAATTGTCACAACACTTTTCTATCAGTTTTCTCCTACTTTTACACACAATGCATTATTGAAAACATGTTAAAAAATCAATGGTACTAGAAGTCAAAAAACAGGATTAAATGTTTCATTCCCAATGTGCCAACTATATTATAAATTTTACTATTTATAATATAGTTTCATATTATAATAACTATATGGTTATTATAAGTATATTATAAATAAAATTTATAATATAGTTAATTAGTACATGATGATCTTGATAATATTTTCCAAGCATGTTATTCTCTTATTTAACAGTTGAGTATCTGGTTTATTGTCTTAATTTTCTAAGACAGTTTATTTTATAGATGTCTAAACTATAATTTAAAATTTTTGCACATGTGATAATGTATTTTCATAAATTTTATTGAATGTGAGACCAATACTTCTTTTATTTTTATTTATTTATTTATTTATTTTGAGACGGAGTCTCGCTCTGTCACCCAGGCTGGAGTGCAGTGGCGCGATCTCGGCTCACTGAAAGCTCTGCCTCTGGGGTTCACACCATTCTCCTGCCTCAGCCTCCTGAGTAGCTGGGACTACAGGTGCCCACCACCACACCCAACTAATTTTTTTGTATTTGTAGTAGAGACGGGATTTCACCATGTTAGCCAGGATGGTCTCAATCTCCTGACCTCGTGATCTTTCCGCTTCGGCCTCCCAAAGTGCTGGGATTACAGGCGTGAGCCACCATGCCTGGCCCAATGCTTCCTAATTTTAGTTTCTTTTTATATATTTTACCACTTGTATAAAACAGTAAGTCAAAATGCAGTTGAATATTTTATTAACTACACAAATAGACATTGCTATACAAACAGAGATGGAATACTGCTGAATTGGACCATTGACTAGCAGGTGTTAGCTAGAAAGACTAGTTCTTTACCCTTTGTCTGCAAGCTTGAATTCAGCCATTATAATATAGAAGTGACAATATATAACTTATGAAAGAGTAGATCACAAACAGTATGAACATAATAAGAATCAAGATCTTTCTCTTTGTGCTTTATAATACATTGTTTTGATATGACATTTAGGACTGATATTTAGGTGGTATTCCCTGGCACTCTATGACTGGTTGGTTCCCATGTACTGCTAATTATTTTGTATCACCCCCTCAATACCTGCATTATCTTCCTTGCTAGGTTGTGAATTCCTTGTATCTATCATAGCACCTAGCACAGTGACTTGTGGGAAAAAATCCCACTTGCACTGGTATAGCACTTAATTATTTTCCTAATACTTTTGGGAACATGATCTCCTTATATGTTAACAACAGCCCAGAGGTTGCAACAGGGGCCCAGGTGTGCCGAATGTCTACGGGGCGCAGGCAGAACACATGTCTTTGTAATTGAAAAATGAAAAAACAGAAGAATGGAGACAGGTGACATGCCAATATTTATAAACTAATAAGGTCAAACTAGGACATAAATTAAAAATTTTAAGTTCTTTGTACCAGCGGGTTTTAATAATGATTTACTGGATGCCTGTGTGAAACCTAAGTAGTCCTTGTTCCCTGTCCATAGTTAACAACTTTTCCCAAGGTATTTGGTACCCTGTCAGATTATGTCTCCCACAATGCTCAGGGCTGAGTCCATTCAGAAACATGAGGCACTGGCCTAGGGCCTTGCTACCAGTGTCTTCTTATTCATACCAAAAGGAAGCAGGAGGAATTATGTCACAAGTAAGGAAGTAGTTTGGAAACAATACAGGAAAATTGTAGTTTAGGTGTTAATACATACACATATATAAATTTCTAATGGGAACCATTTAAGGTTTTTCACTAAATAAAAAGGACTGCAACTATATTATTTTGGATTAAATGGTGGGAATTTAGCATTAAACAAAGTGAACTGAGCAGGTAAGAAATCTAACCCACTCCCTTTTTTTTGAAGGGGATTGGCATTAAAGCTTACTGTTGTAAAGAGCTCTAAGACTGTGTAACATTGCTCATATATAGATTTTTTTTTGTCATTGTGGCTTTTTATCTATGAAAGAGTTTAATCTCCTCTTTGAGGAAGAGAATAATCAGCTCTAACCTCATTGGGTAACTACTAAGTGATACTAACTGCCTTTTTGTGTATGTTGAGGAGGGCCCATGAAACCTGATGCTAACATGTAACTCTTAATAGGGGACAAAAGCTCTTGGAATATATTAAATTCCTCCTAATGAAAATCTGTACCTGAGAAAGCATGGATATTCTCTGATAAATTAATTTTCTCCAAAATCTGGAACTATTCCAAGATACATGTTTTTGAGCCAATATTTTAGTCAAAGAGTATTTACCCTGACTTATCCCAGTAAAGTAAATATTTCTCAATCTCCTGATCAAACATGTGTTGATATATTTTGCTTACAGTAATATGTAAGTGAAAGATAAATGAGTTATCTAACAGATACAAATGTTGGCCTTTAGTAATTTGGTGATGTCAGATGCAAATACTCTTTTCTCGATATTTCTTCTTCTTTAGTCAAAGACTTTAGACAAATAACAAGTTTTTATTTTGAACTACTATCAGTGAAGATAGAGTAGCACGCAATCCTAAAATGGGAACATTCTAGCATTTGAAAAGGAAATTCTGCAGTTAAGGAAGTTGAAAAATACTTATAAGAAACTATTTTAGAAGTTCAAAAGGCAAGATTTGGCTACTACAGACCCAGTGGGAATAAATCTGACTGAATATGTGAGGATACAAAGAACACATCCTTCTTAGGAAGAATTGAAATCCATTGTAAAGTTAGGTAACAATAATGACTTGTGAATTTCTGAGTTTGTTCTTCTCCTGGTAGAGAATACATTCCTCATATATCTGGCATAAGATAGCTTAATTTCCAGGCAAGAAGAATGCTTTCTTTTCCCCTTGGTAGTCTTCAGTGTGAGTTTCGCTTAACTGATGCTGAATAGAACACATCATAAAAGAATATTTGGTTTACAGGACTCTAATAGTTTTGTCTCTTATCTTTTCTCTCTTCTCTTGTAGGAGACAGGTTGTAAAGAATGGTTCTCAGTGCTGCTTTCATCATGAAAGACTGAAGAATCACTATTGGCTCATTTTATAGGAAAGAAATACTTTCACAGAAGAGCATGCCTATAGTAACTTTGGAAATATTCCACATCTTGGAAGAGCTGGCTTAGGATATAAAGAAACTTGAAAATAAAAAAAAATGGCCTAATCAGAAAATATTTAGTTTTTGCCATAAACTATATCAAACATGTAGACATAGTACACATGGACTTGCTTCTTTTGGTTTTCAGTGCCTGTAACTTATTAATAAAAGTCAGTGGAGAACATCTATCCTAAAATGTTTAAATATTTTTAGCTTGATTTAAGATGCATTTGGTTTGAAATAGGATATGTGGTATGTAATGGAAAACTGAAAGTGACATGAACAGAAATATTGATAATTAAGACATATCAGTTACAACATACTCATTGATCTCATTGATTTGAAAGTAATTTGCTCAGCATAATGTGTATTATCTTAACATTAATTTATGGCTTCTTGCTGATTGAGTGAAATTCAGCTTAAAATAAATCACCAGTGTCTACCCTGACAGCAATAGTAGGCAAAAAAAAGAGGACCGAAAACTGAGCAATTTTTCTTCCATATGTCTCTAGACTCTGTATCACTGTCGATTTAAAAAGTCAAATATTTGTGCTCTGTCTGGCTCAACTAAAGTTAAGTGTGGCATTGTACTGTTTGCTACCCAATAATCTGTGATTAATTTTCAGAATGACCCTTTCTATTTTTCTTCATATGTGATTTGCCAAGCCAATATTAAAACCACATTTGCTTAATCTTTCTCATGTTTGAGTATTCAAATACTCAGGAGTTCACTGGGGGAATCTGACAAATGATTTGAAGAAAAATGGACAAGTGTTCCTGGGGCAGGTTTTATGGGAAATGGGTGGAGGAAAGTGGTTGGGTGGGGATTTAGTTGCAATTTGTCCTAGATTCTTCTAGGTCTTTAGCCTTATCACATACTAGCAGGATATAATACCATTTTAGAGCTGGAATTATTCATTGTGTTGATTTTCTTGACACAACATCAGCAGAGTATTAGCTTTTGTGCTTTAATAATAAATTGTCAAATTTTCAGTGATATCAAGGACTATTTGGGAAGAATTATCTTATTTCTAGGAGCCAAAAAAAGGCAATACAGAAAATGTACAGAGAGGGATCACTCTACTATGAAACTTGGTTCAGCTTAATAATGGATTTAATCTTTTAGTCAGGAAATATATAATTTATGATCACTGCTATATAATAATTGCTTTCAAAATACTATAATTTCTTTAAATTTTGTTTTTTCTTTTGGAGATTAATTTTATTTATGTATTTTTTATTTTATTTATATATTTTATTGATTTTATTTTATTTTTAATTTATTAATTGTATTCATTTTTATTTATCTGCTTTTCCTATTTTTAAAGCCTGAAAATTTTATTATGATAAATATATTTTTATATAGAAAATCTAAAAAAATGCAGAAATCCATAAAGATAAAAATGAAAATGAATTAAAACTCCACAAATAGAGATTATTGTCTATTCTTACAGGTTTTTTGAAGAACATATACACATGTATTTGTCCACTCACTTATTAAATATTTATTGTTTGTCTATTATGAAGCAGATACTACCATGCTAGATATCTACTCTGTTAATTGAAAGTGTTTTTCCATTAACAAAGTTTGCAAGTTGGAAACACAGATGAACAAAAACTAAACAAACATATATTTAGTATTACTACTTGTGATACTAATATAAAAGAAACAAGCAATAAAGGTGCCATGATTGAGAATAACAGGGATGTGAGGCTAACTTAGCTAGTATGGTTGAGGAAGGTGCTACAGGGGAGGTAACAAAGATGAGACCTGGAAGCAAAGACAATAGCCATGGGCTTAGCAGGAAAAACATTTCAGTTGACAGAAACAACCTATGACCTGGTTATATAAAGAAATGTGAATGTTTGCCTTTGGTTCTGTTATGCCTAGTAATAGCTATTTGATTTCCTAGACCTAATCTTCTGAATGTGTTGCTGGTAACTTGCTAACTGGCTAGTCAGTAGATGACAGTGTTAATGGTGTTTTAATCATTTAATCCAATTCCAGTTTACGTGAAATATGTTAATGTGAAATATGCCTATTGTCACAAAAATTAACAACATAATGCAGAAAATATTGCCAAGATGGCATAAGATCAAATCACAAAGTTTAAGAAGGCGACATGTTCTGAAGTCACCATAGCTCTTTACTTCAGCTGTTTACTGTGAATGCTCACAATATAAAAAATACATTTTTCAATATATTAAAGCCAGTGTGTAGATATAACTGATTCTAAGGTACAAATGGCAATATCTTCTTATTCTTAAATTTGTACAGGACAATGTGTACTAAAGGAAAATAGGCTTTCTCAAAAGCTGAAAACCATATTTTTGTGAAGTAAATTGAGGTAGAGAGACTAGTCCAGCTGTTCCCTTATCTTTTATACATAAAGAGACATGGTATATCCAGTAGGTACCAGCATTCTGCATTCCCCTTTACAATTAACTCAGCAAAGAGCAAACACTTCATGTTTTATCCTAGAGAAATCTCATAATACTCTTTGTTTCATAAGAAACTGCACCTTAAAGATATAAGGCCTACAAGGAAGGAGAGGGAAGTAAGGCAACTTGTTGGACCAGGATCAGCTGAGAGCCTGGAAAGGATCCCTAATGTAAGAAGAGGGTAGTGATCTACATTCTCACTGCAGATTCCCATGATTTTAGCCAGGGGAGATCCCCCCAACCCTTGTAGGCCCTAAGACTATCATAGGCAGCTGCCTGAAGATAGTGCAATGGCATTGCTCCAGAGAGGGAGCTCAGGTTGAGTCCCACAAATCCCAGAGTCTTGAGCAGCTGCAGCGCAGCACCATTGTAAGAGCCCAGCTTTCATCAAACTGCCTCCTACCCTGGGTCCCAACCTGTCCTGAATCTCCACATCCCTGGATCCCCATGAACATTCTCCACCCACAGCTACTGCAACGGGGCTGAGGCAGGAGCCATTGGCAGTGACCCCACCCCGCTCAACAGAGGGACAGTCATGTATTTTTACATGCCCTGAGGAAAAAATTCAAGATTCTGTGGGGCTGAGGTGCAAGTGAAGTGCAGGCCCTATAGCTGCCTGCCCATGGCTGCTCCCACTTAAGAAAACCCTGCCCTCCCTAGTAGCACTAGCAGCAGGGCCACAGCACAGGCACTGCTGCTTCCACCAGAAGCCTGAGGATCACTTCACTCCTGCCTATCACAGCTAGTGCCTGACTGCAGGTACCACCTGGAATCCTGAAGGCAGGTCTACCTGGCCTGGCTCTGCACCCCCCAATAGCAGAACATGCTATCCAGGGCCCTGAGGATGGCCCAGCCAAGTCCACTACGATTGGCACCTGAGAACTCATCCCAAGATCTGAAATCAGATTCATGCAACCTGTGTGTATCCACAGCTGACACCCACACACACATGCCACCCACAGAATTGGGACTGGCCCACACAGCCTATCGCAGCCACTGACAACACCACAGCAGACTGCTTGGGCCTCAGAGGATTATCCTACCACTGCTACTGTTCCCGGACCAAACTGAGGGTCGGGCTGCTATTTCTTATGGCCCAATAATGAGATGCAGATGAACTGGGAAGGAAGACAGTTTTTATTTCTGTAACCAGTTACAGGGAAAAGGCCTGGAAATTATCACCAGACCAACTCAAAATTACAAAGTTCTCCAGAGCTCATATACCTTCTAAGTTATACATCTATGTGTAAGTGTGCATTTGTCTAAAGACATAAGTGATTAACTTCTTTTAATCTATAACTAAGGCCAGAGCCCTGAAGACCTTCTTCTGGATCCTCAGTAAGTTTACTTAATTTAAATGCATCCAGGTGCTGGGGTGATTACCCTTATCTTGACTCCTGCTAAATCATGGAGGTTTGGGGAGTTCCTTCAGATCTCCAATAAACTTGTTTGTGGGGGCCTGGGGAGTTTCTTCAGACCCCTAATAAAACTTGTTTAATCCTAAATGAGTCCTGTTAAGAACTCCTTTGTTATTTTGTCATGCTTTAAGGCCCAGGAAATGCCTAGGCACAACTTTCTATGGTCTTTTGTTACATTCCAGCCTTTATATAAAGACACTGGTTCAATCAGCTTTTAATGTTTAACCTAGCTACTTAGTAAGTGCTGGGACAGTTGTAATGGAGGCCTGAGTTAGTGAGACCTGGCCTGCCACACTACTGCTAGTGACCATGCCACACCTACTGCCCAGGGGCTCAAGAATTTACCTACCCACTGGCCCACCACTGCCATTCCTGATGTCTGAGCAAGCCACCTGGAGACCTAATAATTTTTCTGCCTAGACCCACCAACACTGGTACAAGTATACGCTGCCCTGGGGTATTGCGGGATCTGGCCAGCAGCCCGCAATGCAACGGGGCTCTCTCTTTGTTCTCAGGTGGATCATCAAGTCGAGAAATAATAGACACACACAAGATAGTGAAAACTGGGTCCAGGGAGGTCACTGCCTTCTGGTCCCATGGTGCCAACCATGCACTGGATATACCAGCATTTATTATTAAGTTTAGTGAGGGCGGGGGTAGGTTAGTGAGGGATTTAGGGTCATTTGATTATGAGGTGAGATGCTCACAAGGGGATGAAGTAATTCTTTAACATAACATCTGTATGCAGAAGTACAGTATACAGGGATAAGAATTTACAATATAGTGTGGGCATCAGTAATTTCTAACAGAGCCTTAAAATAGAAACACAGTCTTTCCATAACCTACAATTAGCAAGATATTAATCAGCAGTAACAGTTGCAGCAAAAGCTGGTTACAAACAATCCATAGAAACAAGACATGAAGCTAGACAACCGGTTAGACCAGAAATTCTCAGAAGGGAGTATGCCTTAACCCTAAAGAGGTCTAGAAGAGCCGTGACAAGATGAGGACGTTTATAGCCCTATCTTATCCATATGGACAGGCGCCCCCCATGTGTCCGTTTATAGGCTCTCCACAAAGGTTGCATTCCACTCCCAGAGCTATAAATATCTGCTTTTCTGGGATAGGAATCTTGGTGATGTGAAACTTCCCTGACTGCACATCCATTCATAGGCTCTCTGCAGGGGGAAGCACATCACGTGCTGTTGGCTCATTCTGGCAGTCCAACCTGGCATTATCTTTAAACAATCCGGTATGCAACTTTATATTTACAATAATCAGGAGCATTTCATCTTTTATTCTGTAGCAATAGTTTCAGGGCGTCTGCCTACACTGGGGCTTAAGGAAATGCTCACTCAGCCGACCACTACCACCAATGAGACCCAAAGAATAGCATACCTGATGTCACAATCCTCAGCAAAGTTTGACCATAGCCTTCACTAACAATCATGTTAAACCACCAAGGAAATCAAAGACACCAATGATACTATTTACAACTGAAGAAATCATACAGACTATACTACTGCATGTACTCAGAATAAAAGCCAAAGTGCCCTACTCAACCAACACCTTAGATACATCTTCATGAAAATGTTTTCCCTATGAAAGCAAATTCAACAAATTAGAAGAAGCAACTGTTAAACCCAGATAAGGAGATATTAATGTAAGGGCAAAGGAAAGATGAAAAAGAAAGGAAATATGACACTTAACAAAAAAATACAATAATCTTCAGCCACAGAGCCCAGTTAAAAAGAAATGTTTGAAATCCAGAAAAAAAAAATTACTGATATTTAAGAAGCTCAGTGAGATAGAAGAGAATACTAATAATATAATAAATTAGAAAAACAATTCACGATAAAAATAAGAAACTACCAAAGAGAAAGACATCATAAAGAGAAGCTAACAGAAATTCTGGAACTGAAGTATTCATTGAATAAAATACAAAATACATTCAAAAGATTCAACAATAGACTACATCAAGCAGACAAAAGAATATCAGAACTTGACAACAGGACTTTTGAAATAACTAAATCAGATGAACATAAAGATTAAAAAAGAGTGAGCAAAACCTAGATGACATACAGGAAACCAGAAAGTTATCAAATATTCACATTTGCAGTGTCCCAGAAGGCAATGAGAAATGAAAGAGTTAGAAATTCTATTTAACAAAATAATAGATAAAAACTTCCTGAATCTAGCAAGAGAGTTAGACATCCAGATACAGGAGGCTCATAGATTCCCAAATAAATGCAATATAAAAAGGTCTTCTGCATGGCACATTATAGTAAAACTATCAAAAGTCACAAACAGGGAAAAAAATTCTAAAAACAGCAAGAGAAAAGCATCTAGTCACTTATAAGGGAACCCCTATCAGACTAACAGTGGATTTCTAGGCAGAACCTTACAGACCAAGAGAGAATGGAATTATATTTTCAAAATGCTGAAAGAAAAAAAAAAACTGTCAGCCAAGAATACTATACCCAGAAACGTTATCCTTCATAAATGAAAGATAAATAAAGTCTTTTTCCGATAAGCAGCAGCTGAGGGAATTCATTATCACTGAACCAGTCCTAAAAATATGTGCCAATCCTATACCTGAAAGTGAAAGGACAGTGTCTATCATCATTAAAACACACAAAAATAAAAACCACTGGTAGAATGAACACATAAAGAAAGATAAAAGACTCAAAGATTACCACTACAGGAAACAACCAACTCACAATGGAAAACAAAAAGAAAGAAAGGAACAAATAATATACAAAACAACCAGAAGCTAACTAATAAAATGACAGAAATAAACCCTCACACATCAATAATTACCTTGAATATAAATTGATTAAATTTTCCATGTAAAGAATATAGATTGACAGAAAGGATTAAAAAATGACCCAATTATACACTGTGTATGAATAAGAAGCTCATCTTATCCGTAAAGACACAAACTGAAAGTAAAGGGATGGAAACAGATATTCCATGTAAATGGAACAAGAAAAAAGCAGGAGTAGCTATATTTATATCAGATAAAAGAGACTTTTAAATCAAAAACAGCAAAAGAGACAAAAACGTTTATGTATAATGATATATAATGATAAAGTGATCACTTCAGCAAGAGGATATAACAGTTCTAAATATACCTGACACCAGAGCATCTAGATATATAAATAAAATATTATTAATGTGACAGGAGAGATACACTTCAATACAATCATAGCTGTGGACTTTAACACTGTCAGCATTAGACAGATCAGTTGGATACAAAATTAATAAAGAAACATTGAATTTATTCAATGCAATCCTTATCAGTATCTCAGTGTCATTTTTCACAGAAGAAAAAATAATTCTAAAATTCATATGGAACCTCAAATAAGTCCAGATAATGAAGTAATCCTAAGCAAATAGAACAGAGCTGGAGGCATAACATTATCTGATTTCAAATTATAATACAAGGCTGGAGCAGGCAAAACAGCATGGTACAAGTATAAAAATAGACACCTAGACAAATGGAACAGAATAGAGAATCCAGAAATAAAGTGACATATCTGCTTCCAACTAATCTTTAACAAAAATGACAAAAACATACATTGGGAAAATGGTATACCTTTCAATATATAGTGCTGGGAAAATTGGAATGCCATATGCAGAAGAATGAAAGAGAACCCCTATCTGTCACTATAAACATAAATCGATTCAAGATAGATAAAAGACTTAAATGTAAGATCTGAAATTACAAACATACTAGAAGAAAATCTAGGGAAGACTCTTCTGGACATTGGCCTAAGCAAAGAATTCATAATTAAGACTTCAAAAGCACATGCAAAAAACCCCAAAATATACAAACTAAAAATAGAGTTACTTAAACTAAAAATCTTCTGCATGGCAAAAGAAATAATCAATAGAGTGAACAGACAAACTGCAGAATGGAAGAGATTATATTCGAACTATAAAGCTGACAAGAAACTAATATCCAGAATTTATGAGGAACTCAAACAACTCAACCACAAAAAAACAGCAAATAACCCCCAACAAATAATAAAAGGAAGTCAAATAATATGAATAAAACTTTCTAAAGAGAAGACATGCAAATCATCAGTGAACATATGAAAAAACACTCAACATCACTAATCATCAGAGAAATGCAAATTAAGACCATAAAGAGATACCATCTTATACCAGTCAGAATGACTATTATTAAAAAGTTAAAATTAACATATGCTGGCAAGGATGCAGAGAAAAGGGAATACTTACACACTAGGGGAATGTGACTTTGTACAACAGTATGGAAACAGTATGGAGATTTCTCAAAGGACTACAGACAGAACTACCATTCAACCCAGCAATCCTATTATTGAGTATCTACCCAAAGGAAAACAAATCATTATATCAAAAATATATCTTCACTTGTATGTTTATCACAGCACTATTTACAATAGAAAAGATAGGGAATCACTTACAATAGAAAAGATAAGTGTTGATTAATGGGTGGTTGGCTAAAGAAAATATGGTATATATACACAATGGGATAATATTCAGCCATAATAAAGGGAAAATGTCTTTTGCAGCAACATGTATATAACTGGAAGCCATTACCTTAAGTGAAAGAACTCAAAACAAAAAGTCAAATACAACATGTTCTCAACTGTAACTGGGAGCTAAATAATGTGTACAAGTGGAGATAGGGTGTAGAATAATAAACACTGGAGACAAGGAGGGATGGAATGGTGGGAGGGGTTGGTGATAATAAATTACTTTATGGGTACAATGTACATTATTCAGATAATAGACACACTAAGAACCCAGACTTCACCAGTGTGCAATATATCCATGTAACCACATTGTACTAGTACCCCTTAAATTTATACAAATACATAAATAAATAAATAAATAAATAAATAAATAAATAAATAAGCTGCATGTTAGACCGTTGGAGATAACAGACATTTACAGGAGATTTAATTCAACAGCTACAGAATACACATTTTTTCCTCATCAGCACATGGGATTCTGTAGGATAGACCATATATTAGGACACAAAAAAAGTATCTCAACAAATTTTAAGTCAATTTATAAAGTATTTTCTCATAAAATGAGTTAGGGAGGATTCCCTCTTTTTCTATTGATTGGAATAGTTTCAAAAGCAATGGTACCAGTTCCTCCTTGTACCTCTGGTAGAATTCGGCTGTGAATCCATCTGGTCCTGGACTCTTTTTGGTTGGTAAGCTATTGATTATTGCCACAATTTCAGAGCCTGTTATTGGTCTATTCAGAGATTCAACTTCTTCCTGGCTTAGTCTTGGGAGGGTGTATGTGTCGAGGAATTTATCCATTTCTTCTAGATTTTCTAGTTTATTTGCATAGAGGTGTTTGTAGTATTCTCTGATGGTAGTTTGTATTTCTGTGGGATCGGTGGTGATATCCCCTTTATCATTTTCTATTTCGTCTATTTGATTCTTCTCTCTTTTCTTCTTGATTAGTCTTGCTAGCAGTCTATCAATTTTGGTGATCCTTTCAAAAAACCAGCTCCTGGATTCATTAATTTTTTGAAGGGTTTTTTGTGTCTCTATTTCCTTCAGTTCTGCTCTGATTTTAGTTATTTCTTGCCTTCTAGCAGCTTTTGAATGTGTTTGCTCTTGCTTTTCTAGTTCTTTTAATTGTGATGTTAGGGTGTCAATTTTTTATCTTTCCTGCTTTCTCTTGTGGGCATTTAGTGCTATAAATTTCCCTCTACACACTGCTTTGAATGTGTCCCAGAGACTCTGGTATGTTGTGTCTTTGGTCTCGTTGGTTTCAAAGAACATCTTTATTTCTGCCTTCATTTCGTTATGTACCCAGTAGTCATTCAGGAGCAGGTTGTTCAGTTTCCATGTAGTTGAGCAGTTTTGAGTGAGTTTCTTAATCCTGAGTTCTAGTTTGATTGCACTGTGGTCTGAGAGACAGTTTGTTATAATTTCTGTTCTTTTACATTTGCTGAGGAGAGCTTTACTTCCAACTATGTGGTCAATTTTGGAATAGGTGTGGTGTGGTGCTGAAAAAAAATGTATATTCTGTTGATTTGGGGTGGAGAGTTCTGTAGATGTCTATTAGGTCCGCTTGGTGCAGAGCTGAGTTCAATTCCTGGGTATCCTTGTTAACTTTCTGTCTCGTTGATCTGTCTAATATTGACTGTGGGGTGTTAAAGTCTCCCATTGTTATTGTGTGGGAGTCTAAGTCTCTTTGTAGGTCACTCAGGACTTGCTTTATGAATCTGGGTGCTCCTGTATTGGGTGCATATATATTTAGGATAGTTAGCTCTTCTTGTTGAATTGATCACTTTACCATTATGTAATGGCCTTCTTTGTTTCTTTTGATCTTTGTTGGTTTAAAGTCTGTTTTATCAGAGACTAGGATTGCAACCCCTGCCTTTTTTTGTTTTCCATTTGCTTGGTAGATCTTCCTCCATCCTTTTATTTTGAGCCTATGTGTGTCTCTGCACGTGAGATGGGTTTCCTGAATACAGCACACTGATGGGTCTTGACTCTTTATCCAATTTGCCAGTCTGTGTCTTTTAATTGGAGCATTTAGTCCATTTACATTTAAAGTTAATATTGTTATGTGTGAATTTTATCATGTCATTATAATGTTAACTGGTTATTTTGCTTGTTAGTTGATGCAGTTTCTTCCTAGCCTCTGTGGTCTTTACAGTTTGGCATGATTTTGCAGTGGCTGGTACTGGTTGTTCCTTTCCATGTTTAGTGCTTCCTTCAGGAGCTCTTTTAGGGCAGGCCTGGTGGTGACAAAATCTCTCAGCATTTGCTTATGTGTAAAGTATTTTATTTCTCCTTCACTTATGAAGCTTAGTTTGGCTGGATATGAAATTCTGGGTTGAAAATTCTTTTCTTTAAGAATGTTGAATATTGGCCCCCACTCTCTTCTGGCTTTTAGAGTTTCTGCCGAGAGTCCTGCTTGTTAGTGTGATGGGCTTCCCTTTGTGGGTAACCCGACCTTTCTCTCTGGCTGCCCTTAACATTTTTTCCTTCATTTCAACTTTGGTGAATCTGACAATTATGTGTCTTGGAGTTGCTCTTCTCGAGGAGTATCTTTGTGGCGTTCTCTGTATTTCCTGAATCTGAATGTTGGCCTGCCTTGCTAGATTGGGGAAGTTCTCCTGGATAATATCCTGCAGAGTGTTTTCCAACTTGGTTCCATTCTCCCCGTCACTTTCAGGTACAACAATCCGACATAGATTTGGTCTTTTCACATAGTCCCATATTTCTTGGAGGCTTTGTTCATTTCTTTTTATTCTTTTTGCTCTAAACTTCCCTTCTCACTTCATTTCATTCATTTCATCTTCCATCACTGGTACCCTTTCTTCCAGTTGATTGCATTGGCTCCTGAGGCTTCTGCATTCTTCATGTAGTTCTCGAGCCTTGGCTTTCAGCTCCATCAGCTCCTTTAAGCACTTCTCTGTATTGATTATTCTAGTTATACATTCATTTAAATTTTTTTTCAAAGTTTTTAACTTCTTTGCCTTGGTTTAAATTTCCTCCTGGAGCTCAGAGTAGTTTGATCGTCTGAAGCCTTCTTCTCTCAACTTGTCAAAGTCATTCTCCGTCCAGCTTTGTTCCATTGCTGGTGAGGAACAGCATTCCTTTGGAGCAGGAGAGGAACTCTGCTTTTTTAGAGTTGCCAGTTTTTCTGCTGTTTTTTCCCCATCTTTGTGGTTTTATCTACTTTTGGTCTTTGATGATGGTGATGTACAGATGGGTTTTTGGTGTGGATGTCCTTTCTGTTTGTTAGTTTTCCTTCTAACAGACAGGACCCTTAGCTGCAGGTCTGTTGGAGTTTGCAAGAGGTCCACTCCAGACCCTTTTTGCCTGGGTATCAGCCGCAGTGGCTGCAGAACAGCAGATTTTTGTGAACCGTGAATGCTGCTGTCTGATCGTTCCTCTGGAAGTTTTGTCTCAGAGGAGTGCCAGGGCGTGTGAGGTGTCAGTCTGCCCCTACTGGGGGATGCCTCCCAGTTAGGCTGCTTGGGGGTCAGGGGTCAGGGACCCACTTGAGGAGGCAGTCTGCCCGTTCTCAGATCTCCAGCTGCATGCTGGGAGAACCACTGCTCTCTTCAAAGCTGTCAGACAGGGACACTTAAGTCTGCAGAGGTTACTGCTGTCTTTTTGTTTGTCTGTGCCCTGCCCTCAGAGGTGGAGCCTACAGAGGCAGGCAGGCCTCCTTGAGCTGTGGTGGGCTCCATCCAGTTCGAGCTTCCTGGCTGCTTTGTTTACTTAAGCAAGCCTGGGCAATGGCGGGCACCCCTCCCCCAGCCTCGTTGCCGCCTTGCAGTTTGATCTCAGAGTGCTGTGCTAGCAATCAGCAAGACTCCATGGGCATAGGACCCTCCGAGCCAGGTGCAGGATATAATCTCCTGGTGCACCGTTTTTTAAGCCCATCGGAAAAGCGCAGTATTAGGGTGGGAGTGACCCGATTTTCCAGGTGCCCTCTGTCACCCCTTTCTTTGACTAGGAAAGGGAACTCCCTGACCCCTTGCACTTCCCAAGTGAGGCAATGCCTCGCCCTGCTTCGGCTCACGCATGGTGCGCTACACTGACTGTCCTGCGCCCACTGTCTGGCACTCCCTAGTGAGATGAACCCGGTACCTCAGATGGAAATGCAGAAATCACCCATCTTCTGTGTTGCTCACGCTGGGAGCTGTAGACTGGAGCTGTTCCTATTTGGCCATCTTGGTGGCCATCATCCTGATACCAAAGCCGGGCAGAGACACAACCAGAAAAGATAACTTTAGACCAATATCCTTGATGAACATTGATGCAAAAATCCTCAATAAAATACTGGCAAACCGAATCCAGCAGCACATGAAAAAGCTTATCCACCGTGATCAAGTGGGCTTCATCTCTGGGGTGCAAGGCTGGTTCAATATACGCAAATCAATAAATGTAATCCAGCATATAAACAGAACCAAAGACAAAAACCACATGATTATCTCAATAGATGCAGAAAAGGCCTTTGACAAAATTCAACAAGGCTTCATGCTAAAAATTCTCAATAAATTAGGTATTGATGGGATGTATCTCAAAATAATAAGAGCTATCTATGACAAACCCACAGCCAATATCATACTGAATGGGCAAAAACTGGAAGTATTCCCTTTGAAAACTGGCACAAGACAGAGATGCCCTCTCTCACCACTCCTATTCAACATAGAGTTGGAAGTTCTGGCCAGGGCAATCAGGCAGGAGAAGGAAATAAAGGGTATTCAATTAGGAAAAGAGGAAGTCAAATTGTCCCTGTTTGCACATGACATGATTGTATATTTAGAAAACCCCACTGTCTCACCCCAAAATCTCCTTAAGCTGATAAGCAACTTCAGCAAAGTCTCAGGATACAAAATCAATGTACAAAAATCACAAGCATTCTTATACTCCAATAACAGACAAACAGAGAGCCAAATCATGAGTGAACTACCACACACAATTGCTTCAAAGAGAATAAAATACCTAGGAATCCAACTTACAAGGGATGTGAAGGACCTCTTCAAGGAGAACTACAAACCACTGCTCAATGAAATAAAAGAGGATACAAACAAATGGAAGAACATTCCATGCTCATGGGTAGGAAGAATCAATATCGTGAAAATGGCCATACTGTCCAAGGTAATTTATAGATTGAATGCCATCCCCATCAAGCTACCAATGACTTTCCTCACAGAATTGGAAAAAACTGCTTTAAAGTTCCTATGGAACCAAAAAAGAGCCCGCATCGCCAAATCAATCCTAAGCCAAAAGAACAAAGCTGGAGGCATCATGCTACCTGACTTCAAACTATATTACAAGGCTACAGTAACCAAAGCAGCATGGTACTGGTACCAAAACAGAGATATAGATCAATGGAACAGAACAGAGCCCTCAGAAATAATGCTGCATATCTACAACTATCTGATCTTTGACAAACCTGCAAAAAACAAACAATGGGGGAAAGGATACCCTATTTAATAAATGGTGCTGGGAAAACTGGCTAGCCATATATAGAAAGCTGAAACTGGATCCCTCCCTTACACCTTATACAAAAATTAAATCAAGATGGATTAAAGACTTAAACTTTAGACCTAAAACCATAAAAACTCTAGAAGAAAACCTAGGCATTACCATTCAGGACATAAGCATGGGCAAGGACTTCATGTCTAAAACACCAAAAGCAATGGCAACAAAAGACAAAATTGGCAAATGGGATCTAATTAAACTAAAGAGCTTCTGCACAGCAAAAGAAACTACCATCAGAGTGAACAGGCAACCTACAAAATGGGAGAAAATTTTCGCAACCTACTCATCTGTCAAAGGGTTAATATCCAGAATCTACAGTGAACTCAAACAAATGTATAAGAAAAAAACAAACCACCCCAACAAAAAGTGGGCGAAGGACATGAACAGACACTTCTCAAAAGGAGATATTTATGCAGCCAAAAAACACCTAAAAAATGCTCATTATCACTGGCAATCAGAGAAATGCAAATCAAAACCACAATGAGATACCATCTCACACCACTTAGAAAGGCAATCATTAAAAAATCAGGAAACAAGAGGTGCTGGAGAGGATGTGGAGAAATAGGAACACTTTTACACTGTTGGTGGGACTGTAAACTCATTCAACCATTGCGGAAGTCAGTGTGGCGATTCCTCAGGGATCTAGAACTAGAAATACCATTTGACCCAGCCATCCCATTACTTTAGGTATATACTCAAAGGACTATAAATCATGCTGCTATAAAGACGTATGGACACGTATGTTTATTGTGGCACTATTCACAATAGCAAAGACTTGGAACCAACCCAAATGTCCAACAATGATTGACTGGATTAAGAAAATGTGGCACATATATACACCACAGAATACTATGCAGCCATAAAAAGTCATGAGTTCATGTCCTTTGTAGGGACATGGATGAAATTGGAAATCATCATTCTCAGTAAACTATCACAAGGACAAAAAACCAAACACCGCATGTTCTCACTCATAGGTGGGAATTGAACAATGAGAACACATGGACACAGGAAGGGGAACATCACACTCTGGGGACTGTTGTGGGGTGGGGGGATGGGGGAGGGATAGTATTAGGAGATATATCTAATGCTAAATGATGAGTTAATGGGTGCAGCACACCAACATGACACATGTATACATATGTAACAAACCTGCACATTGTGCACATGTACCCTAAAACTTAAAGTATAATAATAATAAAATAAAAAAATAAAAATAAAAATATAAAGTATTTTCTCAGACAACAGTGCAGTAAAGGTCAAAGTCAATAACAAGAGAACTTGAGAAACTATAAATACATAGAAACTAAGCAACATGCTCTTGAATGATCATTAGGTTAAGGACAAAATTAAGGAGAAAATCAAAAAAATTCTTGCAACAAATGAAAATTGAAACACAACATACCAAAAACATACGGGATGTGGAAAAGAAGGAAAATTTCCAGCAATAAATGCCTACATGGAAAAAATAGTAAGATTTCAAATAAACAATCTAACAATGCAACTCTATAAGCTAGATACACAAAAACAAACCAGACTCAAAATTAGTAAAATAAATAATAAGATCAGAGCAAAGCTAAATAAATACGGGAGATCAATCAAACAAACATTGGTTATTTTCAAAGGTAAACAAATTGATAAACTACTTGCTAGGCTAACCAAGAAAATAGAAAGAAGATCTAAATATACAAATTAGAAATGAAAAAGGAAACATTACAACTGATATCACTGAAATAAAAAGATAATAAAATAGTATTATGAACCACTATACACTAACAAACTAGAAAACCTAAAGGAAATGGACACATTTCTGGACACATACAACCCACCAATATGCAATCAGGAAGAAACAGACAACCTGAACAGGCCAATAATGAGTAATAAAATTGAGTCAATAATAATAAGTCTCCTAAGAAAGAAAAGTGCAGGACCAGATGGCTTCATCACTAAATTCTACCAAATTTTCAAAGAATAACTAACATCATTTTCCTCAAACTATTCCTAACAATTGAATAGGAGGGAAGTCTCACTACCTAATTGCACAATGCCAACATTACCCTGACACTAAAATGAGACAAGAATGACAAAAAAAAAGAGAAAGAAAGAAAAAGCACTAGATGCCAATATTCCTGATGAATATAAATGCAAAATAATTGAACAAATTGTAGGAAACCAATTTCAACAGCACATCAAAAAAAAATACACCATGATTAAGTGGGACTTATTCCAGGGATACTAGGATGGTTCAACATACACAAATGAATAAATGTGATACATTACATGAAAATAATGATGTACAAAGGCCATATATTTATCTCAGTAGATGCAGAAATCACATCCTATAAAATTCAACATCTTCTTATGATAAAAACTCTCAACGAATTAGGCATAGAAGAATAATGCCTCAACATAATAAAGGCCATATATGACAAACCCACAAGTAACATCCTACTGAATGAGGAAAAGGTGAAAGAACTTTCTCTAAGAGCTAGGACAACACAAGGATGCCCTCTTTCACCACTCTTATTCATCATAATACTGAAAGTCCTTGTAACAGAAATCAGACGAAGAAAAAAATATATCTGCATTGGAAAGAGGAAATCAAATGTATCTTTTTGCCAATGATATAATTTTATTTCTATAAAAATCTAAAGACTCTACCAAAAAACTATTAGATCTGATAAATCCAGTACAGTTGCAGAATATCAAATCAACATACAAAAATCAGTAGTGTCTCTATACATCACTGATGAATTAGCTGAGAGAAAATTCAAAAGGAAATTTCATTTAAAATAGCCCCCAAAATTAAAAAAAACCTAGGAATAAATTTAACCAAGGAGGTGAAAGATTTCTACAAGCAAAATTATGAAACTCTGATCATAGTAAATGAAGAGGACACAAAAAATGGAAAGACACCCCACGCTCATAAATCAGAGAAATTAATATCTTTAAAATGACTACTCAAAAAAATCTGAAGAGTCAATGCAATCTCTGTCAAAATACCAACACCATGTTTCACAGAAAAAGAAAAAGCTATTTTAAAATGTGCATAGAACCAATACAGAGCCCAGGTAGCCAAAGCAATCTAGAGCAAAAAGAACAAAGAAACACACTTCCTTACCTCAAAATATATTACAAGGATTTAGTAACCAAAATAGAATATTATTGGTATAAAAACAGACACACTTACAAATTGAACAGAATAGAGAAGCCAGAAACAAATCCATGTGTTTACAGAGAACTAATTTGCAACAAAGGCTCCAAGAACATCCACCGGAGTAAGGACACCCTCTTCAGTAAATGGTGCCGGGAAAATTGCAGAATGCAGAAGAATAAAACTGGACCCCTAACTCTGACCGTATACAAAAATCAACTTAAGATGGATTAAAGACTTAAACCTAAGAACTGAAACTATAAAACTACTAGAAGAAAACATTGTAGAAGCACTTCAAGATATTGGTCTTGGCAAAGATTTTATGGCTAAGACCTCAAAAACACAGACAACAAAAACTAAAATAGATAAATTGGACCATATTAACTACAAAGGCTTCTGCATAGCAAGAAAAGAGAGTAAAGAAACAACCCGTTGAATGGGGGAAAATATTTGAAAAACTAATCATTTGAAAAGGGACTAATAGGCAGAATATGCAAGATATTAAACAGTAAAAAAAATTAATAATCCCACTAAAAAAATGGCCAAAGGATTTGAGTAGACATTTCTCAAAAGAAAACATACAAAAATGCTCAATATCACAAATCATCATGGAAATTGAAATCAAAACCACAAGGACATATCATCTTACTCCAGGTAAAATGACTGATAGAAAGAGACAAAAATCAGTAGTGTTTCTGTACATCACTGATGAATTAGCTGAGATGTGGAGAAAAAGGAACACATGCATTGTTGGTGGGAATGTAAATTAATACAGTCTCTACAGAAAACAGTATGGAGATGTCTCAAAAATCTGAAAATCACACTACCATATGATACGACAATCCCATTACAGGATATTTATCCAGAGGAAAAGAAGTTAGTACCTTAAACGTGTATTTGCATTCACATGTTTACTGCAGCACTATTCACAATAGCAAAGAGATAAAATCAACCTAAATGTCCATCAGTGGATGAATGGATAAAGAAAATGTGCCATATATGCAATGGAATACTATTTGACTACAAAAAGGAATGAAATGTCATTTGCAGCAACATGAATGGGACTTGAGGTCATTATGTTAAGTGAAAAAGGCCAGGCACAGAAAGACAAATATCACATATTTTCAGCCATATGTGGGAGCCAAAAACATTCTTTTTGTCAGATGTGGTGGCATGCACCTATAGTCCCAGCTACTCATGTGGCTGAGGCAGGAGGATTTCTTGAGCCCAGGCATTTGAGGCCAATCTGGGCAACACAACAAGACCTAGTTTCTAAATTAAAACAGACAGACAGAAATAATGATGATCTTATGGAGGTAGAGAGTAGAATAGTAGAATGTTGATTACCAGGTGCTGGAAAGAGTGAGGAGGGTGAGATGAAAATAGATCAGTTAATTGGTAAAAACAGATAGTTAGATAGAAGTTCCAGTGTTCAATAGCACAGTAGAGTCACTATAGTTAAAAATAATTTATACCAGCACTTTGGGAGGCCGAGGCGGGCAGATCACGAGGTCAGGAGATCAAGACCATCCTGGCTAACACAGTGAAACCCCGTCTCTACTAAAAATACAAAAAATTAGCCAGGCGAGGTGGTGGGCGCCTGTAGTCCCAGCTACGCGGGAGGCTGAGGCAGGAAAATGGCGTGAACCCCAAGGGGCGGAGCTTGCAGTGAGCTGAAATGGCGCCACTGCACTCCAGCCTGGGCGACAGCGAGACTCCGTCTCAAAATAATAATAATAATAATAATAATAATAATAATAATAATAATAATAATAATTTATAGTTGTATTTCAAAATGGTTAGAATTTGTGAAATATTCTCAACACAAAGAAATGATAAATGTTTGAGATGATAGATGATCCTGAATACCCCGATTTCTTCATTATACATTGTATGCATGTATCGAAATGCCACATGTATCGAAATGCCACATGTACCTCATAAATATGTACAATTATTATGTGTCAATATAAAATAATTTTAAAAAAGAAAAGAGAAATAAAATAAACATCTTCACAGTACAGCCTTTGGGGGATAAAACTGAGTTAAAATTCTTTAGGGTGGTGACACTATGATTCTGTCAAGGAGTAGGGAGAGAACTAGGATGTGGATGGAAGAATTTATGATATTCATTCAAAAACTTTGATCCATTACTTGCCTATACTCTGAAATACGTGGAGCCTCTCATTTAGAGGTGAGTTTCCTTCACCGAGTCAAGCTAAGTATGTTACTAAAACATACCCAGATCTCTTCCTACAAAAAACGCATATCAAATAAAAAGATGAAATGAGATGATCTCCAAGGTCTCTTCCAGCTTTAGCATGTGAATTTGATGATAAGGGAGTTATTGTGTTTTTAATAAATAAAAATTAGGAAAATTTTGTTACAATAATGTAAAGCCTAAATTCCTTAAGGTCTTTGGAAGTTTTCCAAAGTGACATGACAATTAAGTCAATTGAAAGCCAGAATTCCAGATGCTTCACAGGGGAAACACTGTGTGAAGGCATCCACAGTAAATGTTTAAGCTTCAGCTTATGAGGTGGTTTATTCAGCATAAAAATTTTCTGTGGGTCAGAGCAATTTCTGTTTTAGTGCTTCAAATCAAACACACTCTGAGGTTTAGAGATGAAAAATAAATATTTGCAAACAGTGGTTGAATCAGGGAGACTGTTCACTCTGGTTCTCTTTGAGGATTTTCAAATCTTCTATTTTATTACTATTTCTGAATTTACCAATAAAAACAGTCCCCTTGGCCACCAAGAAGGGATGTTAGAAGGAGCTATTATCCAGTTTCGTGAAATGTTAACAGAAGAGATGTAGAGCCTAAGAGGGTCCTTCAAAGGCCCAACATCTCAACACGTATGGCCCCTTTGCAATTGGCTGTCAATCATCAGACAGACTATTGCATCAACGCCTTTTAGAAAAGGAATATTGAATAACAGAGACATTTCTTACAATTCTTACTAAACTTTAAACTTGATTTAAGTATTATATAAGATATACTCCCTAGGATAGTTAAATAATCAAAATATATAACGTAGTTATATATTTTTATGGCATGGTAATGCTTTTAGAATGGATTAGACCAACATAAAGGCTTCCTCATTTATTTTACACATTTTGAGCAAAATATACATATGCCTCAAAACTCGTGTTAATTCTTTTAGATAGACTAATTCATGATGCTTTTTGTTTTGACTGTCACTCCTTTTTTTTTTTTTTTTTTTTTTTTTGCAGTGTGTTAAAGGATAAGGGCACACAGAAAGAAAAAATGGGAACTATATCGAAAATAATTTGAAGTTGGTAATTTTACCTCACATAGTATATGTGAAGTAGGTTGGTGGGGGAGCAGAAAATAGAAAGATCAATCAGTTTACTACACAGTGTTGAAGAGCTTAAAATTGCGACTATGACATTCTCTTTTTGTAAATGGCACTTTGGTTAGAGCAAATCTTGACTGTCTGAAATACCTGTATTCCTGAATTTAAAATTATTCTAAATATGACTTATTCCTGAGGAATGGAATAAGCCCAACATGAAGGCAGATATTTCTTTTGGTTTTAGGACTCCAAATGACTTTCTGTTCATATTATTGAAAGTACTATTTGCTCAGTATCTATATGAAAGAGTATCAAATGCAGAATATGAATAATTCTTGTGGTTGGAGACCTCAGTGCACTTTACCCCAGCCACTGATTTTCAATTTGTGTATGAGTTAGATGTGAATAGGGTTTCCAGGCCTTAGTGGTGTGGTGGGGAGGGGCGGGCACGGCAGGTGTTTATACTACTTTATTCCACGTATTAGTCTGAATTCTCCAGACAAACAGAACAATACTGTTTATAGGCAAACATACACACACACACACACACACACACACACACACTCATGGAGGCTGAGAAGTCCTAAGATATGCAGTCTGCAAGCTGGTGATGCAGGAGAACTGATGGTATAAATTCCAGTCTTGCTCTGAGTCCAAAGGCAGGAGAAAAACCAATGTCCCAGCTCAAAGACAGTCAGGCAGAGAGACCATATTCTCCCTTACTCAATCTTTTGTTCCATTTAGGCCTTTCATGGATTATATGCTAACTATCACATTGGGGAGGGCAATCTGCCTTACTTAGTCTATGGATTCAAATGTTAATATCATCAAATTCCCCACAGACATGCCAGAATAATGTTTAACCAAATACCTGGGCACCCCATGACCCAGTAAAGTTGGCACATATCACACCCCATGACTCCTCATGACTTTTAAACAGTTCAGATAGACTCAGGCTTCAGTTAAGCATCTGCCTTATTTGTTTATTTTTTTAACTGGTAAAGCTAGACTGGGGAAATTAGCTTAGGTCTGAGGCCAAAATCTGGATGTCTTTCCTTGACCTTGTGTCTAAGTCTTCCGTATTTGCGAGAAAAAACTGAAAAACAACAAACAAACAACAACAACAATTTTCCTGGCCAGCAGCAGACAGAATTGTCACCTGATTTTGCCAACTATCCCTTAAGCAGGATAAGAGATAGAGGTAGGTTTATGGGCTTGGTTGTAAAGGTTATACCCAGGGCCCTGGAATTCCAGCTCTTGGCATTCTATTTAATATCCATTGGAAGGTATGCTACTGCACTCCAGCCTGGGTGACAGAGTGAGACCTTGTCTCAAAAAAAAAAAAAATAGGCTGATGTATAGTTTATATACAATAAACTGCACACACTTTAAGTATACAGTAAAATGAGTTTGGACAAAGGTAATCACGTAAACATCATCACAATCAAGTGTAGATTTTCATCAGCATAAAAGCTCTCCAGTATACCTGGGAATTGATAGTTCTCCACCCCCCCAACACCTCCCCACACACCTGGTTACTCCAACTTCACCCCCTGTACTCTAGGGTTCCAGTAATCTATGGTGATCTACATTCTCTCATTAAGATTTACTTTGCATTTTCTAGAACTTCATGCAAAGGGCCAGTATGTACTCTTTTGCATGTGGTTTATTTTACTCAGGTATAAATCCATTTGAATTAGTCCATTCTCATGCTCTTATTGAGATTGAGTAATTTATAAAGGAAAAAGGTTTAATTGACTCACAGTTCCTCAGGGCTGGGGAGTCCTCAGGAAACTTACAATCATGGTGAAAGTAGTAGCAAATGCATCTTTCTTCACATTGCAGCAGGAGAGAGAATGAGTGCCAGCAAGGGAAATGACAGACGCTTGTAAAACCATCAGATCTTGTGAAAACTCACTCACCATCACGAGAAAAGCATGGGGGAAACTTCCCTCATGATTCAATTACCTCCCATCAGGTCCCTCCCACGACAAGTGGGGATTATGGGATTACAATTCAAGATGAAATTTGGGTGGGGGAACAAAGCTTAACCATTATTCTACCTCTGGCCCATCATAAATCTCATATCCTCACGTTTCAAAAGACAATCATGCCCTTCCAACAGTCCCCCCAAATTTTAACTAATTCTAACATTAACCCAAAAGTCCAAGTCCAAAGTCTCACCTGAGACAAGGCAAGTTCCTCCTGCCTCTGAGCATACAAAATTAAAAGGAAGTTAGCTACTTCCTAGATACAATGGAGGTACAGGCATTGGGTAAATACACCCACTTCAAATGGGAGAAATTGGCCAAAACAAAGGGGCTACAGTCCCCATGCAAGTTTAAAATCCAATAGGGGAGTCACTAAACCTTAAAGTTTCAAAATGATCTCCCTTGACTTCATGTCTGACATCCAGGTCATGCTGATGCAGGAGGTAGGCTCCCACAACCTTGGGCACCCCTGTGGCTTTGCAGGATACAGCACCCCTCCTGGCTGCTTTCACAGGCTGGCATTGAGTGCCTGCAGCTTTTCTAGGTGCACAGTGCAAGCTGTTGGTGGATCTATTATTCTGGGATCTGGAGGATGGTGGCCTTTTCTCACAGATGCACTAGGCAGTGCCCCAGTGGAGACTCTGTGTGGCAGCTCTGATCCCACATTTCCCTTCTGCGCTGCCCTAGCAGAGATTCTTCCTGAGGGCTCTGCCCCTGCAACAAACTTCTGCCTGGACATCCAGACATTGTCTTACATCCTCTGAAATCTAGGCTGACGTTCCCAAACCTCAATTCTTGACTTCTGTGCACCTGCAGGCTCAACACTAGGTAGAAGTTACCAAGGCTTGGAGTTTTCATCCGTTGAAGCAATGGACCAAGCTGTACCTTGGCCCCTTCACGGCTGGAGCTGAAGCAGCTGGGATGCAGGGCACCATGTCCCAAGGCTGTACAGAGCAGGGACATCCTGGGCCCTGCTCAGGAAAACACTTTTCCCTGCTAGGACTCTGGGTCTGTGATGGGATGGGCTGCAATGAAGATCTCTGACATGCCCTGGAGACATTTTCTCCATTTTCTTGGTGGTTAACATTTGGTTCCTTGTTAATTATGCAAATTTCTGCATTGAGCTAGAATTTCTCCCCAGAAAATGGCTGCAAATTTTAAATTTTCCAAACTTTTATCTTCTGTGCCTCTTGAATCCTTTGCTGCTTAGAAATTTCTTCCACCAGATGCTCTAAATCATCTCTCTCAAGTTCAAAGTTCCACAGATCTCTAGGGCAGGGGGAAAATGCCAACAGTCTCGTTGCTGAAGCAAAGCAAGAATCACATTTATTCCTGTTCTCAACAAGTTCCTCATCTCCATCTGAGACAACCTCAGCCTGACTTCGTTGCTCATATCACTATCATCATTTTGGTCAAAGCCATTCAACAACTGTCTAGGAAGTTCCAAACTTTCCCACATCTTCCTGTCTTCTGAGCCCTCCAAGTCTCTAGGAAGTTTCAAACTTTCCCATATTTTCTGGTCTTCTTCTGAGCCCTCCAAACTGTTCCAGCCTCTGCCTATTACCCAGTTCCAAAGTTGTTTCCACATTTTCAGGTATCCTTATGGCAGCACCCCACTCTATCGGTAACTATTTACTATATTAGTTTATTCTCATGCTGCTATAAAGAACTGCCCAAGAGTGGGTAATTTCTGAAGAAAATAGGTTTAATTAACTCACAGTTCTGCAGGGCTGGGGAGGCCTCAGGAAACTTACAATTTTGGCAGGAGAGGAAGCAAACTTGGTGGCAGGAGAGACGATGAGTGCCATCAGGGGAAATTCCATATGCTTATAAAACCATCAGATCTCATGAGAACTTACTATCATGAGAACAGCATTGGAGAAACTGCACCCATGATTCAATCACCTCCCACCAGGTCCCTCCAAGGACATGTGGGGATTGTGGCATTACAATTCAAAATGAGATCTGAATGGGGACACAAAGCCAAACCATATCACCATTCATGTTATGTTAATCAGTAATTTGTTCTTGATGTTGCTGAAGAGTATCTAATCATACAGATGTTTATCTCTTGACTTCTGGATGGATGCTTCTTTCTAGTTTTTGAATATTATAAAGAAAGCTGCTATGAACATTCTATTTCAAGTCTTATATAAACGTACATTTCTTTTCAGTAAATACATAGGAGTGAAATTGCAGGGTCACATGGTTATTTTACATTTAAATATACCAACTCTCAAATTGCCTTCCAAAATATCAATACCATTTTTCAGTCTCAATAAAAGTTTATGAGGGTTCCAGTTGCTCCAAATCCTTAGCAAAAGTTGGTTTTGTGCTTTTTATTTGACATTCTAGTGGGTGTCTAGTGGTATCTCACTGTGTTTTAACTTACATTCCCCTGATGAATGTTGCACATGTTTTCATTTGCCAATGAAGTCCAGTTTGTCAAATATTTCTTTTAGAGCTCATGCTTTCTTTGTATTATGTGTGAAGTCTTAGCCTAAATGAACTCTGTTACCTGCCACCTTGAGCTAGTAAGTTTGCAATTTTCTATGGGGAACATTTTTGAGGGAAAAAAAGCCACAAATTCACAGTTCTTGACTCTCACATAACAGGTTCTTAAGAGTAAACCTTTCTTCTAATTTTGTGTGCTTTTGGATACTTTCTATTACCTTTAAATTGTTGTTTTTAAATTTCATCTAGTTTTTGTAAACATTTACTGAGTTTACAATGTAGTTCTATGATTCAATTTGTATAAATAAGCTAGTCCTTGACCTCAAAGAACTTCTAGACTTCGAAAGGAGGGGAGATCGTTATAGAATTACATTTTATTTGTGTGTAAGCAAAAGAAGACACAAAATAATTTTTGTGGTGAATAGCAATTAGGACCAGGTATTATAGAGAAAAAAACTAAATATTTTCTTTCCTTAGTTAATATCTTGTATGTATTGAGTTGGTGTAAACATAATTGCCATTTTTTGCTATTAGTTTTAAAGTCATTAAAGTTTTAATTAAGTTTAATGGCCATTACTTTTAATGGCAAGAACCACAATTACATTTGTACCAACCTAATATTATAATATCATTTACATATTGGGCCATTATGTAAAAGAAAGAAATAGCATTGTCACTAAATGCATAGTTTTAGGTGTAATGGGAAACATGTTTCCTTCCTTCCCCTTCACTATAATGACCTCCCTCCTACACACAAATACACACCCTACAACTTGTCCTAATCTTCTTGTGACATCACATCATGATATTTTAGAAGGTGTGTAGCAATTCCCACAACACAAGAAATATAGCTGTACATATAAATATATGTATAGCTAGCACAATTTGTTGGCTCAGTTTGTTTGGCAACTAAATAAAAATAGCATTTTCTTCCCCTAGGGAGAACATTTGAAAAATAGAAAAAAAAAACCTGTGAGTGCCCTCTACAGCTGTGGGGACCAATCCCTACCATCCCCATCAAATTGACCATCCTCCCACTACCATCATTATTTTTGTTATACCATCCTTGTTCCAACAGTACAAGGGCCAAGGCCGTCTACAAATCTCTGAACTTATGCCACATAAATGTAGAATGGGATGCCCTTCTAGAGATTAAATTAGTGATTTCCTTTTTTTCCATAAAATAAGTTAGCAGGTGCCTCTGGACTGAAAAAGAAGACTTGTCTTATTCTAGGAAAGTTCACAAAAGTGATATCCTTTAAATACACAAGAATAGGGCAACTAGACACTTTCTTAATTGTTTCAAGTATAAGGAATATCTTTAGAAGCAATTTACAAATAATATTTTTTACAGCTGCAATCACAGGGGAGTTAATGAGCAGGTCAGTTTGTAGAGGGGCAAAGCAAGCCGTATCAAAGTAAAATTTGATGTGAGGAACATCAAATTTTACATTCTGGGCATAGTAGTCACTCTCGTGATTGTTCAGCATGTGAATCTTTCAGTAAGGACTACAAGGTATCTCAACAAGAGTGACCCTCAGACCTTACTTTCAGTTCAATTTTCTTTATTGTTAAATATGCCTTTCTCATATTTCAAAATAATCTTTTGTGACTGACTCTTCTCTTTCCTTTTTATAATACATATTTAATATTCTAGAAAACTGCATAAAAATTGCTAGCTTTCCTTCAAACTAGTATGCATAATATTATCTGTAACAATTTTGATGGAACAATGCCATAGTGAGAAAGAAGTGTTTTAATGAAGTTTAAATAGAACAAATAAACAGGACTTTTGGAAGACATAACCTCTTTCTTCTGTGGTTAAAGAAACATATCATAAAGTCTACCCTGTAGTTTGGCAGTTAGAGTCTCAAATGTAAAAAACCCTAAATCTTTTCATGCAGAACAGATGACTATTTTATTGACAGGAGTTTAAAAAGAAAAGAAAAAACCAAACTCTAGACCTTTCTATATTTATAAAGCAGATAATTGTTTGTTACAATGCTAATAATGTCCATAACAATATGTTCTAAGCATTTATAGATGTTATAATACACACAAATATTAACTAAACCCTCACAATAACCCTGGGAGGTAAGTATGACCTGATGTGCAGAAATTATTTATTTTACATTTCTTGGTGAATTGGATAATTACTTTTCAACTTAATGCTATGATCCTTTTCTTTTTCTAGTATTAAAAAATTCCTCCATATGTAATACATCTATATATTTTAAAGATAATTCATCATATTATACATCTATGCAGTCCTGGGTGGATTTACTGTTACATACATAAAATAAGTATAAAATAAATAAAATTTTCAACTCATTTGAAAAATTCTAAAACACTCATACTTCCATTCATACAGAGCTGTCAGTAGAGTTGCAAATAAACTTTTTATTAAATGATAAGTTAAATGCTTTGAAAGATCAGTGTTATTATTTATGAACAGCTTGCATAGCTTGGTCTAAGACCGGGAAAAATAAGTGAATATTTGTTCTGTTTGAATTAAAGAGGGCTCGGACCTTCACTTATTCTGAATATTTTTGCCATGACACAATAATTTGACATGATGAAAATTTGAGGGACATGACTTTTGAAAGCTTCTGTTATCTGCGAGATTCCTAAAGAGCACTATTTGGCATTATTTCACGTCTTGACATATATACTTGTCAGATTACATAGCTGTTTTCTAGCAGAGGGCCAGTCCTTGAGATCATAAGCCACACAATTTGCTCATTCACTTTACAAACATTTATTGAACACCTGGTGTATTCTGGACAGATTCCTCAATGAGCTCATAACCATATAAATAAAAAATTCAGTATGATGGAAAAAAACTATAAAATTGGTAAAGAAAAGTCACATCTTCAGTGGGCTTAGAATGTAAAGTTAACACGTAAGTCAAAAAAGTTTATGTAAACAAAATTGTCCTTAAAAATGCGACAGAAGGTGTTAGGTTGGTGACTTACATATCTTTTTGCAATGAATTTAAACAACCAGCTCGTTTTTCCTCAAGCATTTAGAACGGATAGTTGTTTTTTTTTTTTCAGTTGCGCATCAGATGAAGTTAATTTGTATCCATTGCCAGATTTTATGAAATATGCCCATTTAAAAATAGCACCACATTCAGCAATGCAGGCTGTCCAACCTGTAAGCAATATGTAGGTTCTGAGACCCACTGAAGAAGAACAGATTCAGGTTTTCCATGTTATTGTCACTCTGTGGCTGACACTTGCAGAATAGAATGATAGGTGGCTCACTTACTTGCACTATTTAAATTCTTTCCTTCTCTTGATTGCCTGCATATAACTGGATTTCCACAGGTTAATTAAGTGTATAATTGATCCCCAAAGCATGCACAAGATGTTACTAAAAACTCATAAAGGAAACGTCTCGGAAGGTTCTGAGGCAGATGTGATACTTGATCTGCATTTTAAGGATAAGCAAAATGTAATAGTTTACTAACGTAAAGAAAAGAAATCCCAGGGAGCAAATAGCATGAGCAAAATCAAGAAAGAGTGAGAGCCTCTAATACATTAATGAAACTGTAAGTAGTTCTTTATGGCAAGAGCATGCAGCCGGAGTGATACAAAGATGCAAGATCCTCAGGAAGTTTCTTCTTTGGAGAAATCAGAGGAGATTCTTTTAGAAGTGATATGAAGAATAATTGGTGGGAAGACAAGAATAAAAGAAGGGACATCAGGACATTAGGTGGCAATAACTGAGGAAACAGGAGGACTCCAGCAATTCACTCCAGGAAATATGCCTCCTAGTCCTAGAATGGAGGCCAGACTCCAACCATAGTGTTTTTTACACTGCACCACACTGCCTCCTTATTACTTTTCCATTTACATCAGCATCAGTTCTTCCTATTGAAGAATCATGTATTTTTTTTTTTCTCAGCTAATTCCTATGGACCCTCTTTCGCCTTTCTGAGGTTACAAGGAGGAACATCGATTCTCCTTGCTATTGCTTTATCTATTGCTGCCTTCTCAAAGCCTGTTAGGATCAGTTATTTTAGGTCACTAGGTCACAATCCTCATTGTCTACAAGCATAATCTAAACTTGAGGATTATTCATTTTTAAACTATGTATTATTTATTATATTAACTTTGTATAATTATTTTATATTTTTAATATATTTTAGTCAATGATATATCATTAGCTCTCAGAAAACAATTAACATGATTCTGTCTTCATGAACATATTTTGTTATGACCAAAAAGCGGAATTTTAATTTAGATATTTTATTGTTAAAAAAAAAGTTCTAAGGTGATATATGCAAGTCTTCATTTTGCTGTCTTTGCCAACTCTGGATATATTGTGCCAATCTGGTAGGAAAATGTGTCTTTCTTAAATTTGTATTATTATGATAGTGATTATATTTTTTCATGTTTATTACTTTTGGTTTTCTTCTTTAACAACAACATATTCACATCTTTAGCCATGTTTGTTGGAATATTTATCTTTTTCTCACTGAGTTGCAACAAGACCTTATTCAAAATAAATGACCATTATCTTTAATATTTGCTTTAGTTATTTAATTCAAACTTATCATTTGCCTTCAAATTTGGTTTATGTTGTTTTAAGATATATGGGGTTTGTGATTTTTATGTAATTTATTTATTATTTTCCCTTTCTACTTCTACTTTTCATGTTATGCCTTTGCCCAGCTGAATATTTTACAAGTCTTGAAAAACAGTTATTTATTTCTTTCATTGTTTTGCATTTTACCTTTTCATCCATTTGGAATTGATTTTAGCCTATGGAGTGTGGTAGAAATATAACTTTTTTTTTTTTTTTACACTGGTTTCGACAGGCACAGATATGCACTGTTAGTATCCGTCTTACAGAGAGGATTCACTGCTCAGCTGGGAGGAGTGTGGTTAGCTGACAGCCTCCAGCAGTTAGCTCCTCCAGAGTTCACCTCAGCTTTTTTTTTTTTTTTTTTTTTTTTCCAAGGCCATCAAATTTATTCTTCCAGCCTTTCAACAGTCTTGGCTTACCTAAGCAACTAAGGGAAGGGAAATAAGGAATAAAGAGTCACAAAGAAAACACACATGATTACTGTAATACAATGTTTTGAGACACGTCAAAATATATGCAAACATATTTTTAGGTAATTGAAGGAAGAAAAGCTATTACATTTGCTAATTTTTTTCAAAAAAATGTTTATTTTTTCTTTATTGAAGAGGCCATCTTCCTGAATTTGTTATATTTATCAGTAAAATTGTGCTCTACTCTATGTCATTTCTGAAAGAACCCTAGGGGAGCTTACCCAATCACTACCAATTGGTAGTTAACTTATGGGGATTACAAACATAACTATCAAAATCCAATAAGCCTGTTAGAAGGAATTTTTATTAGAATTCCTACATTGCCACTTGTATGATATTTGGTCTTGTATGATATTTGGTTTATTTCATGTTCAGTTATCTTATGTGTAAAGCAGGAAAAATAACATTGTGTGATTTTTATAAGGATTAAGGAACATGTGTGCAATGTTTAGTGTTGATACAGCAAACTTCACTGTTGCCTTAGTTTATGAAATTGCCACAGCCAACCCAATATACACCACTCACCACCCTTATCAGTCAGCAGCCTCAATTTAAAGGCAAGACCCTCCACCAGCAAAAAGACTAGGACTGAGTGAAGGTTCAGAAGATCACTAGCATATTTTAGCAATAAAGTATTTTTAATTAAGGTATGTACATTGTTTTTAGATAACGCTATTGCACACTTAATAGACAATAGTAGAGTGTAAACATAACTTTTTTATTTATGGGGAAACAAAAAAAATTGTGTGAATTATTTTATTGTGTTGGACTAGAAATGAAGCCACACTATCTCTGAGGTATGCAGGTAGCACTTTTAATTTTCTAGGACATATAACTAAAGGAAAAAACATTTTATGGATTTTTGGCCAGATTTGGGACAGACTTCCTCATCCTGGGTAAAATTTCTGCAGCACAGTAGCAATAATTTGAGTATGTCAGCAGTACTAGTAGCCTAAATGCTCAAAAGTTTGCCAAAAAGGAGAATAATTAATAAATTGAAAAAGTAACAGCCTAAGCAAGCCCAGAGTTCTCCAATTTGATACATACATATACCCCCCAAAAATTACAATATTAGGTATTAGCTACCTTTTATTTGGCACTTACCCTGTTATATCCACCTCAGCTTTTAAGCCAAGGTCACACTCTTCTTGGTACGGCTCTTGGCCAATGAGGAGCAGGGCAGCTGTGTAAGTGCCTGGCTTTTTCCACTCAATAGAGACTCTTCTAATGAGCAGTCTGTGCTCCATCGCTCTCCCCTTTGGGCTGGCAGAAACCAGTTATGTCTCTATCATGGCCTGACAACTTCTCCTGCCAAATCCTACTTCCTACTTTTTCCTTCCAAAGGGTTACTGTTCAATAAACTTTGTGCTCCTAAATCTATCACAATGTCTATTTCCCAGAAAATCCAATCAATCAACACTCTGGTTTACAAATTATTTCCACTTAGAAATAACTCCTAACAAGTTTTATATTATCAGTTTTCCTCTTGGGTTGTGTATTCTACAGCACTGATCTTTTGATGTATTCTTTTGCCAGTTACACAGTTTAAAATACTAAGTAATTACTAAATTAACATAATAAATGCATACTTATATACATGTATATGAATGTATTTGTGTGTATGTCTACACCCACACCCAGACACACACACACACACACATCTATATATAGCTGTGAGAGAGTCTGGTCTCTGCAAGCTTCTTTATGAATATTTTCCTATATTGCCCATAGGAACAACACAGAAAACATTTTTACTGAAGAAAAACTTTATTTTCCTTCAAAGAAAATTTAAATTCACTTAAGTTCAAAAAGACTTTTGAACTTTTGCTTTCTCTATGCAGGAAAATGCATGCCTTCTCTCCTCATCTTCTATTTGGTCTTAGTAAAATGTATATTTATTGTTGAATTCATTTGTAAATCATTTATAGTGTTTATGGCAATGGAATTTTTTGAATGGTGAGTTACTATCATAAGAAAACATTGATTTTGAATGTGAAGTTTTGAGATCATCTTTGTTGCTACTTTCTAGAGAATCCTAATAGTTTTTGGTTGATTTTCTTAGGCTTTCCATGTAGTGAAAGTATTATGTGCAAATATTATAAGTCAAGGAAGTTAATGAGGGAAGGCAACAACCTTTATGCAGCCTCTTGAGAATAGGACCACAGCTGATAACAGTGATGCCATGCCCATGAAGAGGTGTCAGCACCGCTGTGTTCAGACTGAGCAGTCTGGCAATGGGAGCAGAAGAAGGAGTGGGAGAAACATCACAGATGGCTTTGAAGCAGTGAAAAGGTGACAGGCACAGTTAGAAAGACACATGTGAAGGACACATATGGAATAGAATAAGGCAGAAGCATAGACAAAATATTATGTATTTATTTTTTAAAAGATAAACTTTCATTGTGTTTTGAAAGACCTAAGAGAGGAGCTGGACCGAGATGCTGCCATTTGGCACGTGGAACAATTCGTTCAGCAAGTCCTGACTGTGGCCTGCAAGACTACACATCATCTGGCATCTGGCTCTATGTCACAAATATATTTACTACCATTCTTCTCACTCATTCCCCAAGAGCTCATGCTGTTCCTTTGTCTGAATTGCTTGTTCCTGGATAATCCCGTGGTACACTCTCTCCTTAGATGTCACTGCTTCAGCAAATCAGACACTCAGCAATTCCTCTAAAATAGGAATCTCATTGCTTTCTATCCCTTATTCTATTTAATTTATTTATAACTTAGTAAAACTAGATATTATGTTACTTTTTGTTTATTTGCCAACTTTCTCATGAGAAGGCAAGTTCAAAAAGTTCAAGGACATTTTCTTGTTCATTGCTAAATATCTAGCACCATAGCATGGTATTATACTTAGTTATATTGGCTGAATAGACAAATGTAGATGCACATGATTAACCTGATCTAGAGGGTGCTACAGTTGTTCTGTTATTCTAAAACATCTTTTTGCTTAATAAGAAGGCTATTCAGTGTTAGCAAATGCTATTTTGTAATCTTGCACAATGACTTGCTGGCTTATTCTTTTGATGTCTTTATAGGATAAATTGTGTTAGTATGTTCTCAAATGTTAAATTAGGAATGAATTTTTAGAAAAAGTTATGCATGGTAACTCCTATGGTTAGAATGTGTTCTCCAAATGTCTTGTGTTATAAACTTAATTGTCAAATTTATTTGTTGATTGGAGGTAGGGCCTTTGGAAGGTAATTAAGATTAGATAAGGTAATCATGGTGGGACCCCCATTGTGGGACTGGTGGCTTTATAAGAAGAGGAAGAGAAATCTGAGCTGACAATCATGGTTTTGACCTCTTGCCACATGAGGCCCTTGGCTGCCATGTTATGATACAGCAATGAGGTCCTTACCAGGTGCCAGCATCAGGGCTAGGACTTCCCAGTCTCCAGCACCGTAAGAAATAAATTTGTATATTACCCAGTCTATGGCATCTTGTTATAACAACAGAAAATGAACTAAGACAGTCACACTATGTTAACTTTGAAAATACCATTTTGAGCCAAATTTACCAGTAATATATTTTACTTAGAATTTTCTCATTTATATTCAAAAGCATATTTGTTTGTAATTTAAATATTATTCTTTATTGATATCAGGGTTATTCTAGCTGCAAAATGTATTACAGGGCTTTCTATCATGTTTAATGCTTTTAAAATAGGTTTTTAAAATTTTCACTTGAATTAAAGTATACAAGTGCACAGACACAAATTTAAATTTTAAGAAAGGGCTTTTAATAAAATCTAACCATGTCCTTATCCACCATTCCTAACTCTGAGTCTTGTTCTCCAGAGGTATTCCCTTTTACCTATGGCTGTTCTATACTTTCTGGAAGTTTCCCTCATGTTTATTAATACTGTTTCTTCATTTATTAACTTAGATATTATCTATTGACTTGCTGAGGACTTTGCCATATTCACTGCCTTCTACCTACCAGCACCCCATATTCTCAATAGCTGTAGCCCATGTTTTGTTCTAGAGAACCTATGTATTTTAAACCATGAACTCACATCTCTGTTTCTTTTTCCATCAGCTGTGTATAGGATCTGCAAGTCGCCACTCTTATACAACAGACATTAGCACTTATATCATTCTCATTTCCTCTCTCCATTTTCCCTACATACCAGTCTCTAGCTGTCTTTCCATTAATTTTATTTTTGTTCAGGTTATGTATGCACAAAGTTTAAAGTCAAGTAGTTTTATGATGTTCTTTATGCAAATTAGTAGTTCACTGCTTACCTCCATTTTAATCTCACATTTTGTAAGCTGCGGCTTTTAACTCTCTTGTCTAATTCTTTTGATATTTACGTAAAGAATCTCTGAATAACATCTTCATCTTGCTGCTTCATGATGTTTTTCCAATTTTACTTTCCAAAAATGACAAAACAGAGTGAGCTTCTTTTCATCCTCCTGCTCACCCATCATATAACATGAGCCCTTTATCTTCTCAATATTGTAAGATTAATATTCATTTACTTTATTTTTCTATATAAACACTTTTCACTACAAAGCCATGCAGAAATTAACATTACATATCCTTTACAAAACACTGTTTCTCTGTGGTTATTAATCATGTGGACTTTTTTTGTTTACTTAGTTTTCTAAATATACATACTTATTAGTTAGACTCCAAATTATCCATATGTTTTCTAAATTTTCTCTCAATAGATTCAGATGTGTAAAACATTCCATGAGTTTTAATTTCTTAAAATAATTCTTTTCTGAGATTTTGTCTTCCTTTAATCTGTAATCTTCTTTCTCTAGATCTGATCATTTTCTCTGCCACTCTCATTTAACACAGATCCAGTCTTTTGTATTCATATCTTCATTTTCCTTAGTTTACTTTCTTAATTTTGGGGAGCACATACGCCAATACCTTCCTGAGAAATTTGCATGGGAGGTACATTTTTTTAAATTTCAAACCTTCTGTGTACAACCAAATAATTCAAAGTTACAGAAAAATTTCAAGGGCAAGAAAAGTACAAAGAATATTTTTATACTCTCTATCCAGAATTATCTATTATTACCATTACTATTTTGATTTGTTGTTCTCTGTGTGTGTGTGTGTGTGTGTGTGTGTGTGTGTATTTGTGTGTACAGCTGTTCCCTGATATCCATGAGGAAATGGTTCCTGAATCTCACACAGATAACCAAATCAATGAAGCCCAAGATCCTTATATAAAATGGTATGGTATCTGCATATAACCTATACATATCCTCTTGTATACTTTAAATCATCTCTAGGTAACATAACACCCAATACAATGTAAATGGAATGAAAATAGTTGTAGTACTGTATTTTTTAGGAAATAATAAGAAAAATAGTAGGTGCGTGTTCAGTATTAATGTAAGCATAGTTTTTTATATTTTTGATCAATGGCTGGTTAAATTCATGGATGCAGAACCAACACATACAGAAGGCTGTGTGTGTGTATACACACACACACAGCTGTAGTGTAGCTCTTTGCCCCTAAATATTTCAGCATATGTGTCTTAAGAATTATATATTCTTGCAGTACAGCTATCAACTTCAGTAAATCTATCATTGATACAAAGCATTTGTTGAATCTACCATCCGCATTCCAATTTTATCAAATGTTAGCATTTCTCCCATCCTGTATAGGTAATCTGAGAGAAACTGATTTTGAGAATAGTTTATTTTTTTTTTCGACTTTTCTCCAAACTACTGCCCTTTCCTCCGCTATACTTTTTTTTTTTGGCAGTTTCTTTTTTTTATTATTATTATACTTTAAGTTTTAGGGTACATGTGCACAACATGCAGGTTTTTTACATATGTATATGTGTGCCATGTTGGTGTGCTGCACCCATTAACTCGTCATTTAGCATTAGGTATATCTCCTAATGCTATCCCTCCCCCCTCCCCCCACCCCACAACAGTCCCCGGTGTGTGATGTTCCCCTTCCTGTGTCCATGTGTTCTCATTGTTCAATTCCCATCTATGAGTGAGAACATGCGGTGTTTGGTTTTTTGTCCTTGTGATGGTTTGCTGAGAATGATGGTTTCCAGCTTCATCCATGTCCCACAAAGGACATGAACTCATCATTTTTTATGGCTGCATAGTATTCCATGGTGTATATGTGCCACATTTTCTTAATCCAGTCTATCATTGTTGGACATTTGGGTTGGTTCCAAGTCTTTGCTATTGTGAATAGTGCCGCAATAAACATATGTGTGCATGTGTCTTTATAGCAGCATGATTTATAATCCTTTGGCTATATACCCAGTAATGGGATGGCTGGGTCAAATGGTATTTCTAGTTCTAGATCCCTAAGGAATTGCCACACTGACTTCCACAATGGTTGAACTAGTTTACAGTCCCACCAGCAGTGTAAAAGTGTTCCTATTTCTCCACATCCTCTCCAGCATCTGTTGTTTCCTGACTTTTTAATGATTGCCATTCTAACTGGTGTGAGATGGTATCTCATTGTGGTTTTGATTTGCATTTCTCTGATGGCCAGTGATGATGAGCATTTTTTCATGTGTTTTTTGGCTGCATAAATGTCTTCTTTTGAGAAGTGTCTGTTCATATCCTTCACCCACTTTTTGATGGGGTTGTTTGTTTTTTTCTTGTGAATTTGTTTGAGTTCATTGTAGATTCTGGATATTAGACCTTTGACAGAGGAGTAGGTTGCGAAAATTTTCTCCGATTCTGTAGGTTGCCTGTTCACTCTGATGGTGGTTTCTTTTGCTGTGCAGAAGCTCTTTAGTTTAATTAGATCCCATTTGTCAATTGTGGCTTTTGTTGCCATTGCTTTTGGTGTTTTAGACATGAAGTCCTTTCCCATGCCTATGTCCTGAATGGTATTGCCTAGGTTTTCCTCTAGGGTTTTTATGATTTTAGGTCTAACATGTAAGTCTTTAATCCATTTTGAATTAAATTTTGTATAAGGTGTAAGGAAGGGATCCAGTTTCAGCTTTCTACATATGGCTAGCCAGTTTTCCCAGCACCATTAATTAAATAGAGAATCCTTTCCCCATTGCTTGTTTTTCTCAGGTTTGTCAAAGATCAGATAGTTGTAGATATGCGGCATTATTTCTGAGGACTCTGTTCTGTTCCATTGATCTACATCACTGTTTTGGTACCAGTACCATGCTGTTTTGGTGACTGTAGCCTTGTAGTATAGTTTGAAGTCAGGTAGCGTGATGCCTCCAGCTTTGTTCTTTTGGCTTAGGATCAGTCTTTCCTTTTCATGTTGCTGGCTTTCTTCAAATATCTGGTCATTGTGGATTACTCATTAAAATTTTAGGAATAAAACAACAGAGAGGCTGACTGGGAAGCTAGTGTATCTGGGTGGGTTGTCAGCTGACAGCAACTGCTTCAGTGTGGGCAGCAGCACTTGCTTCATTAAACTGGATGTTTCCCAAGTGCTAGAACAAAGAAGGCTTTAGAACATGAAGATCTATCCTACCTGCCTGATTTCTCCCCAGACAGTTATCTGTTCTTTCTCTCTGTCTCTCTCTCCCTCCTTTTCTCCCACCCTCCTTCCCTTTCTCTCACCCTCCCTCCCTCCTTCTTTCCCTTTGTCTATTCTCATTCTTTCCTTCACAAAACTTTCCTTTTAGTTTAATTCCTGGCTCCCAGCTTTTCTATTTCATACAGATGATGGAAATGGAAGAAGGATGGGTGGGTAGAGGAATCAACCGGTACATATTTTGAATTTCAATTAGTCGTATTATAAATAGCCCCACTTCCTCTGCCCTTGCCATAGATGAGGTTGTACCCATTGAGTTCTTCCAGGTGGCCTGACTTTATCTCTTGCACCAGCTACCAGTTTACCAACATTGTATCACTGCCAACACACAATTTACCTTCTGCCTTTTAGAGATGGGTTCTAGAAATGTTCTAGACTAAAAGCTGTCTACTTTTAGTCTCCCTCTAATTTGATGTGTAGTTTTAAGTATACACTTTCTGCATTCCTTTATTACCATTTAATTTAGTCTCTGAATAAAGAATAAGTTAACATATATGTTCAGTTTTATATCATGACTTGGAAATGGAACAATTATAGCCTAGGAACAATTTGTTCTCTAAAATTTGAAAGACATTTGGAAGCAATAGAGTGTAGTAATGAGAAGTGAGATGATTTATAGGGAGGCTAAGTGAAATTTGGAAGGAAAAAACAGACACTGGGATCTACTTGAGGGTGGAAGGTGGGAAGAGGGAGAGGATCAGAGAAGATAACTATTGGGCACTGGGCTTAATGCCTGGGTGATGAAATAATCTGTACATCAAATCCCCGTATCATGAGTCTACCTATGTAACAAACCTTCACATGTACCTCCGAACCTAAAAGTTTTTTTTAAAAAATGAAATTTAAATAAATTAATAAACACATATAATTATTACCAATTTAAAAAATAAAGACTTCTGGAGACAAAAGAAAAAAAAGAAATTTTAAGTATGTAGAACTGATTTTTTTACCCACCCATTCTTAAAACTATACAGGGCTCTGCCATTATTTTGAGGAAAGTATTGACAATATTTTTAGTTCTTTGATGTGCAGAGGTTTTTATCTTTTCTTGAGCCAAAGTTAGTTTACATTTTACTCGAGAGTTCATCAATTCTTTTTTTTTATTATTATACTTTAAGTTTTAGGGTACATGTGCACAACGTGCAGGTTTGTTACATATATATACATGTGCCATGTTGGTGTGCTACACCCATTAACTTGTCATTTAACATTAGGTGTATCTCCTAATGCTATCCCTCCCCCGTCCCCCCACCCCACAACAGGCCCCGGTGTGTGATGTTTCCCTTCCTGTGTCCAAGTGTTCTCATTGTTCAATTCCCACCTATGAGTGAGAACATGCGGTGTTTGGTTTTTTGTCCTTGCGATAGTTTGCTGAGAATGATGGTTTCCAGCTTCATCCATGTCCCTACAAAGGACATGAACTCATCATTTTTTATGGCTGCAGGAGAGTTCATCAATTCTTTTGATATTTCCAATGTTCCATAAGAGAACCAAATATAATATACTTTTTAACTTTGTGAATATCTTTATATCTGTAGTCATATCATCTTTTGCATTCCTAATAACATGTTTAAAATCTTCTTCTGTTTTTAATTTTTGCTAAGTATTATCAATTGTTCCACTTTTTCATTTTTAAACTGAACTCTGTGCATCTCAGTTTCCTCATCTATAAAATCGTATTATCAATTGTATCTGTTTTGTTGAGTAGTAGGGAGGATTAAGTGAAATTCTTCATGCAAAAAAGTAGAAAAGTAAAAACTCAAATATTAGCCTTTATTTATTTCTCCTGCCGATCCTGGTTTATTTTCTTGTTCTAGTTGTAATTTATTGAGTTGAATATTTAGTTAATTTATTTTTATTTCTTCCTGTTCAACCACTAAAATAGTAAAAGTTAATATGTCTTTTTGGAGAGTAGTTTTGGCTGCATCTCAACATTTTTATGTGAAGTATTTTTTATTATTGTTATTTTCTAAATATTCTCTGATTATAGGTTTTAGCTCTGTTTTAGATAATGGCCTCATCCAACTATAAAATTCATTGACCAAACCAGCAAGTAGCTGGCTTTCCTTTAGGCATAGCTGGACGTGGTTGAGCTGTTTCTTCCTCAGCTGATTCTGTTTTATAGCAGTGCTAGGAATTCTTCCCTATTTCAGGGCTCTCTAACCTTTGCTTCTTAAAAATAGGAAATATAAATGAGCTTCTCCTAATATGTCTACTGTTTTTCTGTGAAGCTGTATGGCTTTCTTAGGAAAAGAAGTTTTGAGTTGCCTCCAAATATCTCCTTTCTTCCTGATTCCACTTGTACTATACAAAGCAGACATTGCTTGAGCTTTATGCCCTATGGGTGTCAGCTTACCTAGTTTTCGGTGCCATTGGAACTTTTTTAAAAAAATAGTTATTACTATGTTTGTACTATTTTGGTTATTTCTGTTAGTTATAACCAAAGGAGGTCAGATATTTGTGCTCATCCTGCCATATTTTTCAAAAGACTAAATAGAGATTTTAAAACCATTAACTACCACCTTTTTATTTTGTATGAATTTTCAAACTAACTTGACAGGTTGTGACCACCAGTGAGTGACATTTGTTTTTATATAATTCTTCATGGAAATGAGTAAGATACTTCACTATGTGAACTCTACAAAAAGGAAAGATTCATTTGATAAAGAATATATCAGATTGCATTCACACAGTTTTAAAAATAAATTTAGTCTATATTACCTATTGTTTAATTTTGAGTATGCTATAAAGTACCCATGATTTATTGAAAACAATGCTTTGTATAACTTATTTTTATTTTGCTTGGGTAAACTGAATTATATGCTAACTTTCTATACCTTTAGCTTGTGTCTACACTGGACAGAATCAACAATTGTGCTAGAAAAAAATGCTGTTTTATAAAGGTCTAAGATTTCTACCAATTACATTCATTGTAAAGTGGCTATACCCTGGTTTTAATGTTTGTAAAACCCATTTGCAGAGGTGATTTAAAAAAATATCTAGTAATCAAACTCCTGCAATTAGTTTACAACCCAAACAAAACCTTTTGCATTAAAAGGCTTGAAAGAAAAAAACCCTACAAATAATGTGAGATCCTGTGCTTAAGTACCTGGAAACTAGAACTCTGAAGTTTTATCCCTTTCTGCAAAAATACTTGCTAGGTTTCCTTGCAGAATTTCTTGGTTTCTTCCTGCACTTTCTTTTTCTTAATATGATCTTAATGGTGAGCAACATACCTATGTGTGAGTTTTAACCATGTCAACAGTATAAGGTCTTCTTGTTTATTCTTTCTCTCTGGTCATGTGTTACTTTATCGTCTTACTTCTTTGACCAAAAGAGAGCATGCGTATGTGTGTGAATATTTTATATCAGCCATAGTATTCAATTAAAGCAAATAAAATGTGAATCCCTTAACACCACTAAAAGACCATTTGGAACCACTTAGACTAGTTTCAAATTCAAGGGTGCCTATTAAGTATGAAGCTTGCTTGAATAAAGTGTATGTTCCTCCGCCCCTTTCAAGGGACTGTATCAGAATCTCTGGGTTGTGGCTCAGGGATCTGTATTTTTCAAAGACCTTCTAGGTGATTTTGAAATAAGTAATTTACAGATCTCAAGTATAAGTAACACTGATTGGATATGGAGAGGGAGAGTGAGCTAGCTCATTACAATGGGAAATTAAGATGGCTTAGTTATTGTCGCTTCACCGTGGATTTGGCAGGCAATTTAAAAAGAAAAAAATGATTTATTCAGTTTCTCTCTGACCAATAAAAAGTAGCATTAAAATCCATCTGAAGAAAAAACTTTCCCTGATGAATTTTAGAATGAATTTATTATGGGGATTCTTACAAATAGGACAATGAGTAGCCAGTTAAACGTCCAAGGTTTTGATTGCACCTTTATAAAAGCTGAGGGCATAACATTAAATCTTGACCTTTAGAAGGCATTTCCTCAAGGAGCTAAGATAATATAATGTAGCAACATGACTTTCTTATGATATAACTTAAAACAGAGATAAAGCTGGAGAAATGGATATTTAACCTATCCTTTATACCAACTCTTTCAAATATCAAATATTTCAACCAAGTTTCAGGCAAAGTCTGAATAGCAGACTATGTCTGAACTGACTTCCCGGGACAGGTATACCAAAATTCTCTGTTATGGATAAACGGATGTGCTGTAGGCCTTAGATCCTAGAACTGCAGATGGCGAATTTGATATTATAAAGATTTGGAGATTGACTTTGGACCTACACAGAAGGAGGAAGGAGGACCTGCAGATGGTGCACAGCCCTGCCTTTTGCCACCTGCATTTTGTAGGATTATCTACTGTCATTCTAATTTTTCTATGTTCATTTATTTTTGGAAAGAAACATTCTCCAGGGTCTTGGTTTTTCTTCAAGGCTGTGGAGATGAGGCTAAATACAGCTCCTTCTTTCCCTGTGACCTCAGCCTGTGAAGGTTGCTCAGAACTATGGGAACTGCTCAAGGAGTCTGAGGAACTGGGATGACCGGTGTTCCATATCAGAGGCTTCTCAGATATCTCAGAGCCCGAGGCTCATGCCCAACTCATTTTGAAGTAAAGCTGCCCTTGAGCTTGACAGTCAACTTCACTTTAAAAAATTTTCTGTGTGGCTTCCTACCTCAAGCTTCAAATAACCAGAAACCAGCAGAAATTTCATACTTGGAAGGAAATAAAATATAATTCCTAATTTGATGAAGAAAATAAGCAGCTTGCATGGGCTCTTCCATAATTTGTTCAATGAATTAATTCTCTCCATTTGATTGATAATAGGTAGTACCAGTGTTGGTGATGACTGAATGCCCAACTACAAATGAAATTTCAAAATGCAAACGGAACATTCTAATTCCACTTTTTAGTTATTTTTAAATATGCAATAAATTATTCCTAACTATGGTCACCCTATTGTAGTACGAAACTCTAGATCTTATTCCTCCTCTCTGACTGTATACTTTTACCCATTAACTATTCCCTTTTTATCCCCCATTCCAACTACCCTTTCTAGCCTCTAGTAACCATTATTCTAATCTCTATCTCCATGAGTTATTTATTCCTTTTTTTTTTTAGCTCTGATACCATAATAATTAAAACTTATAAAGACAGGCAGAGAAAGAATAGTATTACACCTGAAGTGTTAATGCACCAATGCCATAGGCTGGCTATCTTATTTTTTTATATATAGAGTTGTAAAATTATGGTGGCTTACGTCTGTAATCCCAGCACTTTGGGAGGCCGAGGCGGGCAGATCACGAGGTCAGGAGATTGAGACCATCCTGGCTAACATGGTGAAACCCTGTGTCTACTAAAAATACAAAAAATTAGCCAGGCATGGTGGCGGGTGCCTGTAGTTCCAGCTACTTGGGAGGCTGAGGCAGGAGAATCACTTGAACCTGGGAGGCGGAGGTTGCAGTGAGCTGAGGTCGTGCCACTGCACTCTAGCATGGGTGACAGAGTGAGACTCAGTCTTTAAATAAATAAATAAATAAATAAATAAGACATTTAAAAATGTTCAAGTAGCCTGCAGAAAGTTTACCTGTTTGGCCCAAGGTTTTTCTTATCACTCAGTATCTGGGAGGGGGAGAAATTGCTCCATTATAGAGCCATTGCTAACTCAAATTGCTTCTTCCTTAAAATCAAAGCAAAGTTTTTATTTTATTTTTGTCTTGTTTTCAGTTTATAGTTATCATAAGAACATACAATATTTAAGGAACATTGTCTTATATTCTTTAATACATAAAAACTGTTTTGTATCCTTAAAATTTTAACATTTCCATTTGAATTTGATTTTTCCACAATTTTTCTGTTATTGCCACTTCAAGTGCTTGTTAAAGTGCGGATTCATGCACACAGCACCCAAGAGATTCTCTTTCTTTCATTTAAAAATCATTTAATTGTTTTTAAATTTACCCAAGAGAAATATGTCTCTTTTACTCTTACTTTGAAGTTTCTTAGGGCTGGAAGAAAGTTCCAGAGAGGTAATTTTAGAAACACTGTAGATAACACCCTTGTGTCTGGCCATGCATGTCCTATAAAAGGATAAGTGAGTCATGCAAGTACAATCTATTAGTGACCTTGTTATAAATTCCATTTTTACCACATTCATGAAAAAGCCCTAATTTAAAAATGCCTTAAGGTGGATGCTATCCTCAAAAATATACCCAGAAATCACACATCAGACCAATAATCTGATATATACAGATTTTATTGGGTTCAACAAAGGGCTTTCTATGTCTATTTTCAAAGTGTATCAAGTGCAAAGGGAAAAAATTCAATCAGCAGCCAAAATCCCTTTTTGGCAATGCTTATTTTCTCAACAAAATTATTTGCCAAATTCAAGTTGCTGGGCTTTCACGCGTAGCAACACTGATGCTCATCAGCTACTTCAGAAGCTGTGTCCAGACACTTTATTTTTCAGTCTTTAGAGGCAGCTATTATTACATACTAAAGGTTCTTTTGGAAGAGGTTAAATCTGATTTTTATAAAGTTTGAGTTCCGATGTAAGTCTTGAATGAGCTGGTGTGATAACTTAGTCCTTAGCCTAGTCTGAAACCTGCTAATTTGCCACTGTTCAAAATTGGTATAGGGGTTTGTGGTCACAGCATTGGAGTGTGTAGGCTCCAGCTGAAGCAATCCTAGCTATCTTAGCTCTTCCATAACAGAACTGAGGCAAAACACCTGGTCTCAGCACAAATAAGTCCTGAGTATGCAACCCAGTCCCAGAAGCAGGTTCATCTATCCTATCAGCTTGATCTGGATGCTTTCACTTGCTCTCTTGTTTCTGGCCCCTTTGGCAACATTTGAAATCAATGCAATTCATCAATGTAACAAGTATTTCATTATCTTTGTGTTTACCAGTTTTACTTTTAATTGTGAAGCTAAGCAAGTTTTTTTTTTTATACTTTAAGTTCTAGGGTACAAGTGCACAACATGCAGGTTTGTGGTGTGCTGCACCCATTAACTCGTCATTTACATTAGGTATCTTTCCTAATGCTATCCCTCCCCACTCCCCCCACCCCGCAACAGGCCCGGGTGTGTAATGTTCCCCATCCTGTGTCCAAGTGTTCTCATTGTTCAATTCCCACCTATGAGTGAGAACATGCGGTGTTTGGTTTTCTGTCCTTGTGATAGTTTGCTGAGAATGATGGTTTCCAGCTTCATCCATGTCCCTAAAAAGGACATGAACTCGTCCTTTTTTATGGCTACATAGTATTCCATGGTGTGTATGTGCCACATTTTCTTTTTTTTTTTTTTTCAAGTTTTAATTTTTTTTTTTTTTTATTATACTCTAAGTTTTAGGGTACATGTGCACATTGTGCAAGTTAGTTACATATGTATACATGTGCCATGCTGGTGCGCTGCACCCACTAACGTGTCATCTAGCATTAGGTATATCTCCCAATGCTATCCCTCCCCCCTCCCCCCACCCCACCACAGTCCCCAGAGTGTGATATTCCCCTTCCTGTGTCCATGTGATCTCATTGTTCAATTCCCACCTATGAGTGAGAATATGCAGTGTTTGGTTTTTTTGTTCTTGCGATAGTTTACTGAGAATGATGGTTTCCAATTTCATCCATGTCCCTACAAAGGACATGAACTCATCATTTTTTATGGCTGCATAGTATTCCATGGTGTATATGTGCCACATTTTCTTAATCCAGTCTATCATTGTTGGACATTTGGGTTGGTTCCAAGTCTTTGCTATTGTGAATAGTACCACAATAAACATACGTGTGCATGTGTCTTTACAGCAGCATGATTTATAATCCTTTGGGTATATACCCAGTAATGAGATGGCTGGGTCAAATGGTATTTCTAGTTCTAGATCCTTGAGGAATCCCACACTGTCTTCCACAATGGTTGGTGTAAAAGTGCTCCTATTTCTCCACATCCTCTCCAGCACCTGTGGTTTCCTGACTTTTTAATGATTGCCATTCTAACTGGTGTGAGATGGTATCTCATTGTGGTTTTGATTTGCATTTCTCTGATGGCCAGTGATGATGAGCATTTTTCATGTGCCTTTTGGCTGCATAAATGTCTTCTTTTGAGAAGTGTCTGTTCATATCCTTCACCAACTTTTGGATGTGGTTGTTTGATTTTTTTCTTGTAAATTTGTTTAAGTTCTTTGTAGATTCTGGATATTAGCCCTTTGTCAGATGGGTAGATTGTAAAAATTTTATCCCATTCTGTAGGTTGCCTGTTCACTCTGATGGTAGTTTCTTTGACTGTGCAGAAGCTCTTTAGTTTAATTAGATCCCATTTGTCAATTTTGGTTTTTGTTGCCATTGCTTTTGGTGTTTTAGTCATGAAGTCCTTGCCCGTGCCTATGTCCTGAATGGTATTGCCTAGGTTTTCTTCTAGGGTTTTTATGGTTTTAGGTCTAGCATGTAAGTCTTTAATGCATCTTGAATTAATTTTTATATAAGGTGTAAGGAAGGGATCCAGTTTCAGCTTTCTGCATATGACTAGCCAGTTTTCCCAGCACCATTTACTAAATAGGGTATCATTTCCCATATCTTGTCTTTGTCAGGTTTGTCAAAGATCAGATGGTTGTAGATGTGTGATATTATTTCTGAGGGCTCTGTTCTGTTCCATTGGTCTATATTTCTGTTTTGGTACCAGCACCATGCTGTTTTGTTTACTGTAGCCTTGTAGTATAGTTTGAAGTCAGGTAGCATGATTCCTCCAGTTTTGTTCTTTTGGCTTAGGATTGTCTTGGCAATGTGGGCTCTTTTTTGTTCCATATGAACTTTAAAGTAGTTTTTCCCAATTCTGTGAAGAAAATTGTTGGTAGCTTGATGGGGATGACATTGAATCTATAAATTACCTTGGGCAGTATGGCCATTTTCATGATATTGATTCTTCCTATCCATGAGCATGGAAGCAGAATTAAGGCAGATATAAACACATCAGACTTTTAACTCTTTCCAAGCGACAACCCAATTAGGGAATTTGGCTACCATGGACAAATAAATAAATAAATAAATAAATAAATAGATAAATAAATAATAAATTAAAAAAGAGACATAAAGCAAAGGAAACATTTACCATATTTTGGCATAATGGTAGAAGTTGTTCTTTGATAATTAACAATTGCACTTTTATAATTTGTCTCCAGGGCTTCTGGTTTGGATAGCTACTGGTAGCTTTTGTTTTTCCTCTATGCTGAAGTGATCCATTACTTGAGGTATACCAATCTCTTCAGGCAATAAGATTAAAGGCCAGGGCATAGAACACCAGGGAAAGGTGGAGATGGCATTTCATAATTTCAGAAGATAAAAGGCCTAGTCCTTTGTATTTTCTTCAAGAGATTAATAATTGAACCGCTGTGTGTCAGTAGCGACATTTGAAACACTCAATAATTTCTGTGACATTTTGTACTTTTAAAAAGAAAACAGGAGTCTTGAGTGAAATTCTTCTCAGTATAAGCATTTTCTGTAGCTACTGGTTTCTGTCTAAATGTGTGTGTTCATGCTAAATCTAATTATATGACTAGAAAAAATGGACAAAATGGGTTTGTGTTACTATAATGAATATAGATAAGTTCAATCCTCTAAGTCACATTTTATACCAAGTAAATATTTTTTAAATTAATAAAACTAAATAAAAATAAGGATATATAAATAAATAAAGTATTTGTGTTCTCAAAGTGTTTGCTGGATACCATGCTACATTCCCTTATAGATTTTCTTATATATCAGCTACTTTTAGAAAGTCTTTTTTTTTCCCTCTCTCTCTGTTCTTTTTATTAAGTACCACCTTCTTAGGCTTTACGTGAGAAAGTGGTATAAATTGATGGTAATGATTTGGGGACGTTTTACTGATTATAATCAAAGAACTGTCAAATGAGATTCCATATTAATCTGAGATAAAGGAAGGTAAATACCCAAATACATACTCTCATTCTATTTTTATTTGAATGTTATGTGACGTTTTCGGTTTATTTGTTTTCTATTTACTTCATTATGAGCAAACTTAATCCCAAATTCAAACTCGTGTATAGTCGTGTCTCTCTTTTAAACAGTTTTTTCAGTAGAAAAAAATCTAGGCCGGGTGCAGTGCCTCACGCCTGTAATCCCGGCACTTTGGGAGGCGAAGGCAGGTGGATCACGAGTTCAGGAGATCGACACCATCCTGGCTAACACGGTGAAACCCCGTCTCTACTAAAAATACAAAAAATTAAACGGGCGTCGTGGCGGGTTCCTGTAGTCCCAATTTACTCGGGAGGCTGAGGCACAAGAATGGCATGAACCCAGGAGGAGGAGCTTGCAGTGAGC